>NC_000002.12:119364618-119989618 GCF_000001405.40 Homo sapiens
TCCTGGCTTATGTGTGTTTGGTGGGAGGCAGAGGCAGAGGGTTAGACAGTAGAAAAGTAAATTAAAATTAAAATAATTGTAAATAAAATAATTACAACATGTTACGGTGGCTAACAAGGACATAAACAGAGCTGAGGATCTTGCATTCTCAGAATTATGAAAAGCAATATTCAATCAAGGCCAGGCGCAGTGGCTCACACCTGTACTCCCACCACGTTAGGAGGCCAAAGTGGGAGAATCCCTTGAGCCCAGGAGATCAAGACCAACAACATAGCAAGACCCCATCTCTACAAAAAATAAAAATAAAAATAAAAAAATTAGCCAGGCATGGTGGTTGTGCCCACATTTCCAGCTACTCGGGAGGCTAAGGTGGGAGGATCGCTTGAGGCCTGGAGTTCAAGGCTGCAGAGAGCTGAGATTGTGCCACTGAACTACAGCCTAGGTAAAAGAGTGAGACCACATCACACGCGAAAATAATTAAAAAACAAAAACTAAAAAACTAAAAGCAACTGATCTTTGAGAAGTGATAACTGCATTCTCAAAGTACCTAATCTCAACAATACCCTAACTTAAAACCTGCTGACTAGGAGATGTATTTGACTGCAAATCTGGCCCACACAAGCAATAATCTGAGTTTCCATCAAGGAAGCTGTAAGCACCAAGTAGAGCAAAAACAAATCCAGGCCTCAAATGGAAAAAGCAGCTCTGAATTGTGATTTTCGAAGAAACCTGCATTTCTTACACTTCAGTGTACTTTCCCCATATTTAACTCCAAGATTTTTGTTAATTTGTTTGGTTTTCCTTTCTCAAACAAAATTATGCTCAGACTGAAAACCCTAGATTTGTTCCCTATTGCATCTTCATTTCTTCCCAAACATTCCATAAAACGTGACCTACATTAAGTTAGCAAGTTAAGTCTGAAAGCGTCTACCTTCCCTGGGGAGGGGGAAGGTGTAGGCAGGGCAGAGATTTGTAGTCCAGCCCTCTTGCCACAAATTATGAATTAGAGAGGAATGACTTTGCTTTTTTAATGATCTCCAGAGAATTTTCCATCATTTCCCTCTCTTCACCCAGCTCCTTTGCAACCACTGCCAGAGAAGTCTTCCTTTAGCTTCTTAAACATCGATCCTAAAACACTTCCAGACACCTGTGCTGCTCCTTTCAGTTCCCATGGAGATTAGGCTGTGTAACAATCTCGCAAAGACGTTCCCCTCCGTCTCCTCATCCTCTTTTCAAACCCTTTTACGATTTCCCATCTCACTCAGCATGACAGTCAAAGTCCCTGTGATGGCCAACTTCTGCATCACCTAGCCAGTCTGCCACCGCCAAAACTCTCCAGCCTCATCTTTCTACTCTTCCCCTGGTTCCTTGCCCACGCCTTTACACTTGTTCTCTGCTTGGAATCTTCCCTCCCCTCCTTGAGGAACTTTCTCAAATGTCACCTTCCCTCAATACTCCCCCTCCTCCATTTAAAACTATAAACTTCCAACTCTCTAAGCCCCTAAAGTACTCTATATTTAACTTATTGTATAAACTACTGTCCCTACTTGTAAGTTCCAAGATTGCAGGGATTCACCCGCTTTGTTCACTGCTGTCTGCCAAGGTCTAGAACAGTGCAAGTTACCCAACAGGAGTTCAATAAACAGCCATTCATTTAACAAATATTTGCTGAGCACTTCGTCCCGTCCAAGTTTGTTAAATCAAGACAAATAAGACACCGTCCCTGCCTTTAACGCACCAGATGGAGAAATGCACCACAGACATAAATGTGCAATACAGGCCTGACACTACGGCCACAAGCAAGTCAAAGAACGTGCCAAAAGTTCAGAGGAAGAAGCCTCGGCTTCGCCTTTCGGGAGACCAGTCCAGCTTTCCACCATCACGCTGCTCATCAGGGACCATCTCCGGGGGTCTCCTCTAGACCCCAAGGGAGGAGCGGGTCCCGCCCGCCATTCCCAGGTCTCAGAGTTTACTTGTCCAGAGATGCAACTTCCGGCCTCTTCAGGCCGGGCAAGATTTAAGGAAAGAAAAGAAACATAAGGACCTCCGTTCTTCGGTCTCCGTCCCCTCCCCTTCCCCCGCGTGCCGTCCCCACAACGGGCCAGGACTGAACCCAACTCTCGACCAACTCCCGGCAGCAAAACTAAGCACCCTACTTCCGTTGTCCCCACCTGTTCCCGGCGTCCCCTTCGGCTACTCCCGGCGTTTGCGCAAGCGGTCCCACGTGGGCTCGGGCGGGGCTAGCGCCGCGGCGGGGGCTGGGCACGCCCCTAGCGCATAGCTGGCTTCTGATTGGCTTTCCGGTGCTCGCCCGAGCAGGGTTGGGGCGAGTGGACCGCGCCTCTAAAGGCGCTTGCCAGTGCAATCTGGGCGATCGCTTCCTGGTCCTCGCCTCCTCCGCTGTCTCCCTGGAGTTCTTGCAAGTCGGCCAGGATGTCTCAGGTACAGCGCGTGCACAGCCAGGCTGCGAAGGTGCAGCGGGCGGGAGGCCCGTTGGGGGCTCAGCCGGCTGCCAGAAGCTCTCGGGCTCTTTCCTTCCGTGCCCCTCACTTGCTCATGGGCCCATGCCTAGCCCTGATTCGTTGGACAGAGCCTTGTGAGCGGGATTTTCCGTTTGGGGATTTCTAAATCTGCTGCCCACCCCGCAACTGCCGGAAAGTTGCCCATGGGGTGGACTTCGCTGTGTAGCGGGAGAGGGGTGGGAGTCGAGGGTGCTTGATGGAGAGATGGGGGAAGGGGTTGCACGGATTGGAGGAGCGAGGAGACTCAGTCCCCATCCCGAAGCACAGGGCAGGACGTCGCGGCGGAGTGGGGAAGCGAGGAGTCCGTGGCCGAGAGCTTGGAGGTCAGGGGAAGTACGGGGCCGGCTGCTCAGAGTGCGGGACGAGGAGAATCGCGGCCCGGGGAGAGGTGACCCAGGGGCCCCTCCCTTCTCTCCAGTGTAGACCCTTGTCTGAGACCGAGCTATGTGGGGCGACCTCTGGCTCCTCCCGCCTGCCTCTGCCAATCCGGGCACTGGGACAGAGGTCGGTGTTGAACGCGCGGGCCCCAGGGGGAGGGAGGGGACCAACGGGCTCCGGCGCTGACACCGCGGCACTCATGCCCTGTCCCCTTTCAGCTGTTTCCAGCATACTGTGCCCCGTCTGTCCTCAGGCCAGGGCTTCGCTGCAGCCCCGGCCACTCCCTAGTGCCTGGCCCGGTGGTGGCCAGGCAGTTGGCCGCGCTGCTTCTCCCGCAGAGGGGACCCCCACTGGGGGCGAAGGCTTGGCCTGCCCTCTTCACTGCTGTATTTCCAGACCTGATGCCTGCGTTTGTGAGAGCTCTGGATATATGGTTTTCGATTGAATGAGTGAACTGGAGGGGCTTCCCCTTCTTGTGTTGCTGAATCTTTCTAGCTGCCCTGTTGGGGCAGGGAGGGGCAGACACACTTCAGGGGCTGCATTGCCCGAAGGGTGCCACCTTTCCCACCTCTCCATCCCCGTAACTGGGCTGTCATCAGGCCACAGTAGGATTCTTACCCTCTCCCACCCAGAGGAGGCCCTCAATCCTCTCCTCTCCCTTCCATTTAGGCTGAGTTTGAGAAAGCTGCAGAGGAGGTTAGGCACCTTAAGACCAAGCCATCGGATGAGGAGATGCTGTTCATCTATGGCCACTACAAACAAGCAACTGTGGGCGACATAAATACAGGTATGCAGAGCGGGGGTTGGAAGGGCATCTGCTCATCAAAGCAGGCTCAGCAGCTCAGACTGGAAGTCCCTGGGAACTTCACTCTCAAACTGCCTGAGGCCCTACTCTTCAGGTGGGGTATGGTGATGGTTCCTGAGGTGGAAAAGACCATGTTCCGGATTCTCAGTGTCTCCAGTAGTAACAGAATTCAAATCCTGGTTTTAGAAGGTCTTTACTGGTTATCACCAGCAGCTACTCTCTACTAGGGAAGAAGCAAAGGCTGCAGCTTGGAAAAGACTTGCTGAAGGCTCTCAGCTCAGTAGTATCATTGTTGAGCCGTTCAGCTTCTGCCCTAGATGGGCAGGATCAAAGTTGGAGCACTTTTTGGAGCACTTGACAGCCTGGCCAAGCCTGATGTCAGGAGCAGAGAAGCACCTGGTTTCTTGGGCTAGGTCAGAGCATTTCGCTAACAAGTCTGTGCCTTCCTGATGATAACTTTTTCCCTGCCCAGAAATCTTGGTGCAGATTTTGAGGCTGTGCTTTGGACTGTCATGTTCTGTAATAACATCTTTCCTGCCTTGGGCAGGTTTCATTCTGTCCCTAAGTCCCTGAAACATGGGTGGATACTGAGGCAACAGCGCAGTGCATTCTGTGCAAGGACTCAGGGTTATCATGGCAGCACAGAAGGGAGGTCTCCCCTGCCCCTGCTGAGGAAGAAGGCGAGCATGGTCCCTATTTCCGCAGTAGCTGGGGTGGAAGATGGAGCAGGTGGGCTGGCTGCCAACCAGCTGGAAGCAGGAAATAGTACCCAGAATGACAGATCACAGGCAGTACCATATCAAACCCTGGGGTTCACATGGAGCACTTAGTTGAAGAAGGTCTTATGGCGAAGGTGAGTTTTACAGTGAGTTCGTAAACTCTGTCCTTCCAGGGAGGGGAAGGAAAGGTGAAGTGGGGGAGGCCAGAGGTGCCAAGATGCTTTTCTGACAAACAGTATTTTCACAGAGACTGGCCTGTGCCCGTACTAGAGTTACCGATTTTCACATGAGTCTAGATAGACTGGCATAGGAATCTATCACTTACTGATCAAAGAGGTGTCATCGGCTCTCTCTAGGGCTGTACTATACAGCCCTATTACACGATTATAAAACATGATAGTCCAAACACGATAGTTTAGTATAATAGCCAGTAGCCACATATGACTATATAAATTTTAACTGAGGCTGGGCGCTATGGCTCATGCCTGTAATCCCAGCACTTTGGGAGGCCGAAGCAAGCGAATCATGAGGTCAGGAGTTTGAGACCAACCTGGCTAACGTAGTGAAACCCCATCTCTACTAAAAATACAAAAATTAGCTGGGCATGGTGGCATATGCCTGTAGTCCCAGCTACTTGGGAGGCTGAGGCAGGAGAATCGCTTGAACCTGGGAGGTAGAGGTTGTGGTGAGCCGAGGTCGCACCACTGCACTCCAGCCTGGGCAACAGAACGAGACTCTGTCTCTAAAAAAAAAAATTTTAACTGAAAATAGTTAAATAAAATCAAGTTTAGTCTTCATTCACAGGAACCACATTTCAGATGCCCAGTAGTCATTTCAGGTACTTGGTGTGGCAAGTGGCTCCTGAATTGGACATTGCAAATATACATGTACATTTCCATTTCCACCGCTTGGAGAGAGCTGTCGAGGAGTGCTATTCTAGGATCCTGATGATGACCACAAGGGCAGTTTGTTTCAGCTGTCCCTGGGAACACTTCCCTGAAAGCGCTCAGGGACATTTTCTCAGGCACAGTGCTCCAGGCTACGGACTCTGATTGTTCCCTGTGGCTTTGGGGCTGGGCATCGTAGTGAAATAGGACAACAGGGAGATGGTGAGTGTGTTTCCCAACTGCAGATGACAACAGGTCTATAAGCATAAAGTCATCATATAACTTAAAGAAACCTTACCCTCGGTGAAATCTCCCACAGATCAGCAAGAAATAGACTAACAATTCGGTAGAAAAATGGGGCTAGGATATAAACAGTTCATAGGAAAGGACACCTGATATCATTAATGATTAGGGAGAGAAATTGGGTAGCTAACAGCAGGGGTGAGAGAGAAACTTTATAGTATTTTCCTCTGTAGCTTTTGAATTTTAAGACATATGAATGGATTTTTTTTTTAATTGTAATTAAAGTATAATTTTTTTAAAAGAGAAATTTTGGAGTCATTTAACTTGTAAGACAAAGGCTATCTTGTAATAAGAATACTGTTCTTCCTATTTGCTCTAGATTTTAAGTTTGGATTGGCATACATTGGTTTTCTTAGGGCAGAACCCACTCTACTAGACCTATTTAACCCCATGACAGAGCCTAGAAGGAACAGGTGTAATAGAAGATGGCATTTATGGCAAGAAGGTTGATCAAGTTCTCCATTAGAATTTGAACCAGATCTAATGCCTTTTCTTCCCTTGTTTAAGAACGGCCCGGGATGTTGGACTTCACGGGCAAGGCCAAGTGGGATGCCTGGAATGAGCTGAAAGGTAATTGTTCTAATCAATTTCTCTCATTTGTGAAACCCAGTAGTGAAAGAGTCTTCATTATGAAGTGTAAGGGAAGAGGAGAGAAAACAAAGTCAATGGGGCACGTGTGGGAAACCAGCCTGACCTGTGCCAGAATGGGAAAAAACCGGGCCACCTACTTTTTCTCCTAACACCATTTATGCCTTTTCTAAAAGCACCATCTCTGAGCAGGAGCATCATCTAGAGAGGAGGGGCTGGGAACCAGGCCACTGAAAAATAGTTTGGGAAATGATGTAGTTGGCGTAGGCTTTGGATGTGTTCAGAATAAGGGGTGGTTTCCTGTCTGCAACTCCCTCTCCCCTACAAGGCCAGGCGGTGACCCCCTAACCCCAGTGGCCCTCCCCAGTTCCTTCCTAGCCAGAAGGATACATAAAAGAAGGGAATGAGCTAATGCATGGCCTGCCGCTGGCATCGTAGGCTCAGTGAATGGAGCCATTATATGCTAAGCACCAGCAGCCAAGAAGTATCCAAGCTCGTACTTAATCACGTGCCACCTGCAGCAGCAAGACCCAAGAGTTGGCACCAAAGCTCCTGGCAGCATTAGTGTTCCTGCTGGCTAGTTTCTGAATAAGCCCTCTGTCCTTCTGCGAATGAGAAACCCTTGAATTCAGAAAGGGCCACAATACAATAAACACACTCCTAGGATCTGCAAGTAACTGGGAAGGGAATGCCCATCTGCCTGCCCATTTTCATGGGACATTTCCATACCATCCTCAGGCCCCATGTACTCTCCAGTGCTTCAGAACAAGCTCTGAGTTCCAAAGGGTCTCTATCCTTCACCATAGAATCCAGGAAACTGGGTGTCACTGTCTCTGAGGGATACATTCAGTGTCCTTTCTACTGCAGCAAGAAGACAAAGATTTGTCTCATTCCCCTCCAAGAAGCAGCCACTTTTGGTCAGAGTTCCTGAAACTTTTCTCATAGCCTCTCTCTGGGGAGAAGAGGGTGCCTGGCTTTGCTTTTTCACTGCCAGCTTAACAGCTCTGGAAGATAGGAGCCCAAAACAGAGACACTGAAAAGGCCAAAGCCAATATCAGCCACGAGAGTTAGCAGGACCAGTAAAGTCACCACGATGACAGTTTCCTACCTGTCTGGAGGGTGGCACCTCTCTCCCAAGGCTCACAATGGCCATTCCCCCAGGACAGGTGGGGGACGCAGGTGTCCAGCAGATGGGCGACAGATCTTGGCCAGCCCCACCAGGCTTTCTGAGCACAGTTGCTTATGGAGCATTCACTTCGGGCCAGGTTCTGTGGATACTGTCTCCTGTAATTAGTAGAATCTCAACTTTATTAAGTGAGAAACTGAGCCTAGGAGAGTTACAGCAGAGCTGCCTGGGGCTCTGGAGGCTGCTTGTTTCCTACCATGCTACCTCCCTGACACATAATCCTGTCGATTCCTTACAGGGACTTCCAAGGAAGATGCCATGAAAGCTTACATCAACAAAGTAGAAGAGCTAAAGAAAAAATACGGGATATGAGAGACTGGATTTGGTTACTGTGCCATGTGTTTATCCTAAACTGAGACAATGCCTTGTTTTTTTCTAATACCGTGGATGGTGGGAATTCGGGAAAATAACCAGTTAAACCAGCTACTCAAGGCTGCTCACCATACGGCTCTAACAGATTAGGGGCTAAAACGATTACTGACTTTCCTTGAGTAGTTTTTATCTGAAATCAATTAAAAGTGTATTTGTTACTTTAAATAACTTTAGTGATCTGAGTTCTTGAGATCATTTACTCTGTCTGACCTCAGCCTTGCTTCCTTTTTCTAAAGACCTCTGGTAGTGCTTCAGCTGCATACCTGGTAGAGTATAAGGTGGGCAGTCCTGCCCTGCACCCTGGCCTAAGGTGTGCTGGCCCTTTGTGGGGAGGAGGAGGATGGTAGAAGTGACCTTTCTCTCTTCCTTCCCAGTTCAGCCACGCCGAGGAAGATGAGGCAGGCTGGCTGAGACCACAGTCTGCAAGTACTTCTGACGGGGACGTTCCTGCCCCAGGACCTGTGTGAGGCAGGGTTTACAGTGCTTGAGGTTTGTCTGAGGCCCAGCTGGTCCCTGATTCCAGAGTGCATGAACCAGAGTGGAAGCCCCCATCAAGAATGGAGTGTGAACCTGACAGGAGGCGTTCCCCAAGTCCCAGGGGAAGCCACAGACAGCTGTGTGGGCAACAGTCAGTGGGCAAGGGGTGTGTCCTCTGCAAGGAGCAGAACCCTGGGAGCTTGCAGAGAAGAAAGGCTGGAGCTTGACTCTGGAGGACGTAGGAGGTAGATTGTTGAAAAGTAATAATGAAGAAAAGGAGATAGCTCTCTAGACCCTTCTTGCCAGATGTTCCCTTCCAGCTCTTGGGTTTACAATCCCGCTGCCCTTTGCAGTGGGGATCATACCTCAATATTGTGTAACGGGGATTACTGTGCCCATTATGTGAGTGAGGAAATTAAGGCTCAGAGGTGATTTAACTGGATCCAAGCCCAGGGCTCACTGGCCAGGAGGGCCCTGTTTGTCCCCCTCCACCATGTTCCCTCTCATGGCCCCTGGCTGCCACTTAGTCTGCACCTCTGCTGTGTTGCAGTGAGTGACATCTGTCTCTCTGGGCTAGCATAAGGTGCTGGTGTGAAATCTGTCCCTTGGGCTGTGCAGCTCACTCCGGAAGAGTGGCTTAGACAAGGAGGTCCCACTTCCAAAGCTGGAGTGAGGCACAGATGAGAGAGACTTTTAGGCACCTCAGGTGACTAGGTCATAGCCGGTTTGGGAGATGCCCTCCCCGCTCACTAGAAAGTACTTGTACTGGTTTCTCAGAAAGCAGTGTTTGTGCAGTTCTGAGAGCACCAGCAGCCTGGGGCTGCACCTGCTCCTGTGGCTCCCACAGGAGTCCTTGTACCACCCAGGGCTGGCTCACAGGGTGTCACTTGGGGACAAATTATCAGGGAAACCCACCCCCAATATTTCAACATAGGCTGTTTCTATTTTCCATAAGTTTCAGCCGGCTGAGAAATAAAGAGAAAGAGTACAAAGAGAGGAATTTTACAGCTGGGCCGCCAGGGGTGACGTGACATATCAGTAGGACCGTGATGCCCACCTGAGCCTCAAACCAGCAAGTTTTTATTAAGGGTTTCAAAAGGGGAGGGGGTGTAAAACAGGGAGTAGGTACAAAGATCACATGCTTCAAAAGGCAAAAAGCAGAACTACTAATAAGGGTCTAACAAAGATGACATGCTTCTGAGGGAACAGGACAAAGGGAAAAAGCAGAACTACTGATAAGGGTCCAACAAAGATCACAAGGCAAAGGGCAAAAGCAGAACTAATGATAAGGGTCTATGTTCACTGGTGCACATATTGTCTTGATAAACATCTTAAACAACAGAAAACAGGGTTCAAGAGCAGACAACCAGTCTGACCACAAATTTACCAGGGCAGAGTTTTTCCCCACCCTAGTAAGCCTGAGGGTACTGCAGGAGACCAGGGTGTATCTCAGTCCTTATCTCAACTGCATAAGACAGACATTCCCAGAGCAGTTGTTTATAGACCTCCCCCCAGGAATGCATTCCTTTCCCAGGGTATTAATATTAATATTCCTTGCTAGGAAAAGAATTTAGTGATATCTCTCTTACTTGCACATCCGTTTATAGGCTCTCTGCAAGAAGAAAAATATGGCTCTGTTCGCCTGACCCCACAGGCAGTCAGACCTTATGGTTGTCTTCCCTTGTTCCCCAAAAATCGCTGTTATTCTATTCTTTTTCAAGGTGCACTGATTTCATATTGTTCAAACACATGTTTTACAATCAATTTGTACAGTTAACACAATTATCACAGTGGTCCTGAGGTGACGTACATCCTCAGCTTACGAAGATAACAGGATTAAGAGATTAAAGTAAAGACAGGCATAAGAAATCACAACAGTATTATTTGGGAACTGATAAATATCCATGAAATCTTCACCATTTATGTTCCTCTGCTGCGGCTCTAGCCGGTCCCTCCTTTCGGGGTCCCTGACTTCCCACAACATCTCTCCCTTTCTTTTTATATAAATGTGCCATGGCGATGAAGTCTTGTTCGTTTTCTCGGTTTTGACGCACGATTCTTTGACTGGTCCAGCACACTAAAAACAAGCCAATTAAACAGAGAAACATGATTGCAAAATTTACTACAGTGGAGCCCCCAATAGACTTAATCCAAGTCGTGGGGTTTAATCCAGAAAGACTTCCTGCCACCTGATCTAACACCTCAGCTCCAGGCACAATGGATAAACGAGCTTGAGAGGCTTCAAAAATTTGTTTATTTAATTTAGTTATGTCCAAGGATAAATTATCTTCCCTACCCAGCAGGTGTCCTTTGACCATTTCCCATGAATGATCAGTCTTGTTGTAGGAATATGGTGTGATACAAAGATCAGAAGTATTCCAATCAAATAGCATTTGCATGCGATGTTTGAGACTCATTAGCCAATCTCCAAGCCAAATAACAGACTGTCTTAAATCATTAATTTGATTAGCTAATTTTTGATCAATGCCCTGTTGAGAATTCCACATTTTGGTGGAATTGGCTTGCCAATCATTAACAAAATGAGCGATTTGAATAGATTGGTGTAATGCCACTCCGGCAGTGGTGGCCAGTGCAGTGACTGTAATTAGGCCCATGATCACAGCAATTAAAGTGAAAGCAAATCTCTTAGATCTTTTGAGAATTCGTTGTAACACTTCATTAATTAAATGTACTGAGGGGGAAGATTCCCAAGTTCTGGGTAAAGTTACCGGTATCCAGATTCCTTCTCAAGCTCAAACCAACATTACACTTTTCCTGAAGTCAAAACGGGAGTTAACACAAGTGTATAAATGACAGTTAATGCATTGGACAGTTTGATTGTTCATCCAAATTTTGATATTTTCCACTAACAGCATGTAAGGAGGCTTAACACAACTCACAACTCTGTATAGGAATTGTCAGGCTGGAGGTAAACAAAGCAGAATGTTTGAATCTACGTTGATACTGAGGGAGAGGGGCAGCGGGGGTAACGCACGATGTTCTCCACCATAAAGAAGCAATCCAAGGTGCCTGGGGATGCCGAAGAGGTAGAGGGGCATACCTGGGTCAAGAAGAATTATCATAATGCCAATTGGAGTCTCATAAAGGAGGATCGGCATCAAAAAGAGGAAAAGGGTTCAAAGGGGATTTATCATGGGGTTCAGAATCACGGATGCGAGGGGCGGTAGTGGGGATAACAGACAGAAAAGTTTCCCCTTCCCATACTCGCAGTCCGGACATGGCAAGAGCCAATTTCCAAAGTTCTGGGTGTTCTGAACTCAGAATGGGGAATATCATATGAGGCCTCAGGGGGGTAATGCCCTTATCTTCCCATTTTAAGGGAAAGAAGGAGCTGACCTCCTATGCAAAGTAAGATGAAGATCCTCGTCCTCCCAATAAAAAAATAAAATAAGTAGCCTCCAGGCCTTCCCTTCTGCCAGAGGAGCAATTGTTTTTTAAATAGCCCTTTGGTGCCCAGTCTATTACTAAACTATATGAGTAATACTACTGCATGTGAATTAACACAATCTTCCCAAATTAAAGTTTTAGATGGGCTCTCAAAATTTTTAGGACATGGTTTTCCTACAGGTTTACATTGAAAGTATGGGGTATCTCCTATTACTCCCCTTTTCATTTGTCTTAAAGGAGAAAGGGAGAGGCCAGAGACCAAATGTCCCCATTCCCCTGTGGCTAATCTCTCCGGAAGATAAGCAGCCCAGACTTGAGTTAATAGATGGATACAACCAGGTGCATGTCTGAGGCACAGAGGAGGGTATTTATAACCCATAGTAACATTAAATGCAGTGCCTTCTCCTCCTGGTTGAGCAGGGCAACGGTCATCTGTAGCCCCAGGCATCCACACACTATCGTTAATATAGATTTCTGCAGAAGCATCCATCCAGGTGAGAGGTCGAATAAGTGGAGGACCCCTCCGTTCGGGGTCCCTGACTTCCCGCAACACAAATGAGATTGTCAGTGGGGGCATCACCAAGCGTCACCTCGTCTGTGAGGAGCCCACAGCACCTCTGGTCCATCTTAGCTGGAATCTGGCTTTAGTGACACACTGACTTGTGAATCCTACTTCAGTCTCTCAGTGCTAAATCATGTATCATCTCGGAGCCACAGTTCCCTCATCTGGAAAATGGGTAGAATCTGCACCTCACAGTGCTGACAAAATGGATCAGTGTTTAGCGCAGTGCCTACCCAACAGCAGCTGGTTTGTGGCCCAAAGGTCTCCCTGGCAGGCTGGCCTGGCCTGGTTGCACAGTGCTGCTCCTCACCTTAGCAGGGCTTCAGCAATTTAGGGGTCAACCACGCAAGTAAGTGGGGGTTATCTGAGGATGTCCTCCCCAAACAAATAGTTGCAAGATTCACAAGTCTGGAAATCGGGGCTGAGGACCAGGAGCCAGCCAGAAGGGAACATGGAAAGGCCACTGAATTTCAAGTGGCAGGGGCTTTCACTCAGTCACCACCCAAATTAAATAGACATGGGACAAGGTATGTCACCTCTGTAAGCCTCATATTCTTCATCAGTAAGCCGGGGCTGAGCAGAAGGTCATGTGTCCATTGAAAGCCAGAGAAGGAGAAAGAGAAAACCCCCGGGGCTGGCTGGCTTGATCAGAACCAGGCTTGGGCTGGGAAGTGGTGAGGGGGTAGTTGAAGTACCCACATGATTAAGGGTGCTTAAAATTAAATTATAGGTATTTGAAGTTGAGGATGAGCCAAGAGACATCATCAGCGAGGGCGGCTTTTGCACAGTTGTGCCTTTGGGGTCTGGGTCAGGGCAAGACAAGGCCTGTGCCCTTTGCAGCTCCCATGGAAGAGAAGTTCAGAATGTGTTTTCTCCTGTTTATTTTGTGGTCACAGTCTATCTCTCTTTCAAAAGGACTTGGGACAGCTAAGAATAAACCCCAAAATAAGGGAAGTCCTGTGCTGGACCCTAGGGTTTAAAGATAATGAAGACTCATTCTTGCCTGAAAGCTGTAAACCGCAGCACAACAGATGTGCCATGGGGGGGCCTCTCCTCCCACTCCAAGCAGAGAACCCATCCCCTTCTTGGTAACAACCCGCTGCGTCAGGTACAGCTCAACCCTTGGAAGAGTAGGAATCATTGGTCTACAGTTTTTCTTATTTTATGGTTTTTGGTAAGTATCCTTGCTAAGTAATGAATGAACATAAGTCTAAACTGTAAATATTTTCTTTTTAATGTAGCTGTTGACAACCAAAATGAGTGACCGAGGCAGGTGTCCCCATCAATGGAGCTTTATTGAGCCAGCTTTGAGGGCGTGCCTGGGAAAAACACACGAGCCACACAGACAGATCTGTGGCTGTTTTTCTTTTTCCAAAGAAGCTCTGGGGAGGTTTGGTATTTATACAGTTTCCCTAAAGGGGATGGGGGCGGGGTGGCAGTGACAGGAATGGTTACATACTTGTGAGACCTCAGTCAGTGCCTACTAAGTCTACGTTTTACTAAAATAAGATTTGAAGGAAAAGGGAATAGAGGAAGCAGATGTCTCAGGGAGGGGTGAAGGAACAATTAATCTCATCTTTGTTCTGTACCTGGGAAGATAAGCTGATAATCTACATTATCAGTGTGGAGTCCTTGGAAAGGACTGGTTTCTGTTAGCCCTTAGGATGGTTAGCCAGGGAGAGGGCGTAATGAGGTATGTCTGAACTCCCATCCTATCATGCTCAGGAACTCAGCTTCCAAGGTTTCTCTGGGGTCCTCTTGGCCAAAAGGGGGTACGTTCATTCTGCTGGGGAGCTTGGATTTCATTATTGATATGGCTTGGATGTGTGTTCCCTGCAAATCTCATGTTGAACTGTGAGTCCCAATGTGGAAGGTGGGGCCTGGTGGGAGGTATTGGATCGGGGCGGGGGGGCCGGGGGTGCTCGTTGATCCCCCATGGATGGCTTTAAAAGTCTGGGCCCTCCTCCTCCTCACTCTCTTGCTCCTGCTCTCATATGTGACACGTTTGCTGCCTTCCATCATTGGAAGCTTCCTGAGGCCTCACCAGGTGCAGATGCCAGTACCATGCTTCTTGTATAGCCTACAGAACCATGAGCCAATTAAACTTATTTTATTTGTAAATTACCCAGTCTCAGGTAATTTTTTATTAAAACACTAAGCAGTGCCTAACAGTGATTTCTCATTTCTCTCCTTTGGCCAGGATTTGCCAGAGGCAGCATAGATGACCAAACTTTTATTTTGTCACATATTATTGCCAGGATGGTGTGGCTGCCTGCCCCATGTCCATTCTGTCCCTTGGAACTCCTATTCCCATGGGACTTAGAGCCAAAAGACTTACAGCCAATTAAATGTTCTAGGCCAGATGAGAATGGAGGTGGGCAGGCACTCATCAACCTTAGAACATTTTAAGAGCCAAAAAGCAAGATTATAAAATTGGCTTCTCTATAAGTTCTATGAATTGAGCTACTGTAGTCTTGTTCTTAGTTAAATATGTAGCAATGTAAAACTATTTGAGCTAAGGAACTTAGAGACTTTTGTTGTGCCAAAATGTTTTTTTGCGGTCTCCTTAGAAATTTGTCCTAAGGTAGTCAATAAATTATGTCATATCTCTAGTTTCATAAACCCCATAACTGGGAACAATTATACCCAGAAGCCTTCATCACAAGTGTCTTGATGTCCTTAGCAATTCTCTTTTAAGTCTATGAGAAGCAAAAATTTCTTTATGGTTGGGATGGTGAAAAGGAGCCACACAATGGCCCAGGAGGCAAAGGCCCTAAGCTGGCCAGCTGTTTGAGCATCTATGTGCCCATCCTTGATTTGGAGAGTCTAAACCAATTCTATTCCTCAAAACCGACCCTTACAGTTTCGCATATCCACCTGCTTTATGATCGTCCCTGGGCCTAGAGGGAGGGTGCTTGAACAGTTTTAGCAGCAGGCATTAGTAATGAAAAACAGATCAAGCCTAGTGGGTATGAACCCCAAAAATCTGAGACAGATCTCAGTTAATTTAGAAAGTTTATTTTGCCAAGGTTGAGGATGCGCACCCATGACACAGCCTCAGGAAGTCCTGACAAGATGTGTCCAAGGTGGTCGGGGCACAGCTTGGTTTTATATATTTTAGGGAGACATGAGACATCAATCAATATATGTAAGAAGTACATTGGTTCCATCCAGACAGGTGGGTACAACTCGAAGCAAGGACGGGGCTTCCAGGTCACAGGTAGGTGGGAGACAAATCATTGCATTCTTTCGAGTTTCTGATAAGCCTTTCCAAAGGAGGCAATCAGATATGCATCTATCTCAGTGAACAGAGGGATGACTTTGAATAGAATGGGAAGCAGATTTGCCTTGAGCAGTTCCCAGCTTGACTTTTCCCTTTAGCTTAGTAATTTTGGGGCCCCAAGATTTTCATTTCACATTTTCCCCTTTTTCTTTTTTAACATCTTTTGGAGAAAGCATTTGAAAAGAAAATGAGTTTCCGGTCTCAGGTTGCATCTGATCTCTCATGGCTAGGACAGTTTATTCCTATATGGTTGGGTTCCAAAAGCTCATTAGTGGCTTTGTCCTATGAAGAGAAAATAGAAGGAGGAAGGGGAGAAAAACAACAACAAACAAAAGAAGGATCCTGGAAAGTGGCTTATGTATGTAAATAGGTTGCTGTTATTTTCTTCTGAAGTTTAAATTGTCTAGCTTCAGTTCACAGGGCTTTAAGAAAGCACAGCTTAGTTTTCAGTGATTTCAAATTAGAAAAAAAACTGGGAAAGAAAGGAAAAGAAAGAAGAAAAAATTAAAAATATTATGTTGGAGACTTATAGCCAGGAAAAATTAGAATTCAGCCCAAACTGTAGAAAATAATAAAAACTGAAAATTAGGCAAGATTAGAATCTAACAACAGGTGTACTATAGTTTTTGAAACATAATTTTTCTCTCTCCAGTTTCCCATTTTTACTAAAGACAAATCATGGTAGGACCAATTTGCTTTATTATACTTGGCCAGATTATTTGTATAAAGTACATCAAGAATAATTATTTTTCACTTAGGCTTTTTAAAATTGGCTTTGATGGAACTTTCTCTCAGATAAGACTTTTTAAAAGCCAAACCCAGCCATGGATTTGTATCATCAAATACCTATGAGTTGGGTGAATCTCCTCTCCTCTTGAGGTCCCTGGATAAACCTGGGGCTCCTGGGCCTATCAGAAAGTGACATTCATTACTAACCACAGGTCAGAAACCCTTTAGAGGGACTGTGTAGACAAGGTATGAGGCCAGTTTCCCCAAGGGCTTTTATTGGCTCCATAAGTCAAAGTTGATTCCTTAAAAGAAAGCATACCATTCCAGTCAAAGCCTTGGTAAAATAACCAGTTTCTCCAATTGTGTCCTGTTACAAATGAAAACAGATTCTTACTGCACTTGTGCAAATAACTGTATTGCTGTAAGTTAAGAATACTCAAGCCTGTAATCCCAGCACTTTGGGAGGCCGAGGCAGGTGGATCACGAGGTCACGAGATCGAGACCATCCTACCTAACACACGGTGAAACACCGTCTCTACTAAAAATACAAAAAATTAGCCAGGCATGGTGGCAGGTGCCTGTAGTCCCAGCTACTCAGGAGGCTGAGGCAGGAGAACAGCGTGAACCTGGGAAGCGGAGCTTGCAGTGAGCCGAGATCACACCACTGCACTCCAGCCTGGGTGACAGAGCGAGACTCTGTCTCAACAACAACAACAAAAAGAATACTCACAAATAGTTTTCAAATTCTGGAGAGATCAGGTAGAGAGAAACATATGCTCTAAATTTTGTTCATAGGAGTGTACTAAATTGTTAAAAGCTGTCAATAGCTCAAAAGAAATTTTCAAGACTGAAACACAAAACAAAGGATCAGCAACGTTTTAAGCAAAAAGTCAAAAAGATTAGTTCAGTCCAGGCAGTTAACTCCTGTTCTGTTTGATATTCATGAACATTTTAGCTCTCCATGAGTCCTGAAAGTTTTTCCTCTATTCTGATGCCACAATCTCCAAAGTTATCGAAACCTGCATTCAAGAGCACCTGTTAGAGTTTTATAGCTGATTATAAAATCATCTTCTAAAGAGGACCAAAACAAGACAACAATTGTCCATGGGTGAGAAAAAGTTTTAGGGCAGCCATAGTCAAAGACACAATTGACAAGGAAATTTGTTACCTCTGTCTCACACAATAATTTTAACGTTACAATTATGATTATTACTGATAATGTACACTAAGTCACATAAGAATTACAGAAGTTTCCCATAATTTTGGAGCACATACCAATAACATTTATACAAATACAGTCCAAAGAAAACCAGACACCATTTTATATTTGACAATACTTCCTGTGTAATTTTTGTTCCAAATAAGCCAAATTATGTCATTTTTGAAGTCACTTTTGAAGTCACTTGTTCCCCATAATTTGGAACCTTCCTTTGGATATGATCAAGTCAGATATAGAGTTGGTCAAACCCAATGGGAAAAAGACTGAAACAACAACAAAAACAGAAACAAACAACAACAACAAAAAGTTAAGCAAAACAAACAATTGTACAACTTAGGTGATTACTGAGCACTCTAATGGTAAGGAGAAACTAAGACCAGCTGGTTGTTAACTTTAGCCAAGACAAAATCCCAAATCAGCTACTTACTTAGGGATGGGTCTCATGCTGAAGACTGCTCTCTCCTATCCTAAAAGCAGGGAGGATGGAAACAGAAAGATAAAAGGATCTCAATTCCGGGTGGCTCTGAAGAAGTGTTGAATTATCCCTAGGCTACTTACCTCAAAATTTATTCCGTAAGATAATAGATCCTTGTGTGTTTAAACCACTTTTTTCAGGAGACCGCTACACGCAGACAAATGCAATTCCTAGGTAATAAAGTTACTGTAGTTAGTCAGGGCTGTGCCCATATTAGGTAAGTATGGTAAAGTCCTAGGGTATGGGACCCAGGATTCTGGAACAGAAACTATTGCATTTATAGTTATGTGACAGTCTCAAAAATTTGGTGCTCCAGAAGTAGAAAATGAAAAGGACACAAATTTAAGGGGCTCTTTGAGATGGAGTGTCGCTCTGTCGCCCAGGCTGGAGTGCAGTGGTGAGATCTGGGCACACTGCAACCTCCGCCTCCCGGGTTCAAGCAATTCTCCTGCCTCAGCCTCCTGAGTAGCTGGGATTACAGGCGCGTACCTCCACACCTGGCTAATTTTTATATTTAGTAGAGACGGGGTTTCATCATGTTGGTCACGCTAGTCTTGTAATCCTGACCTCGTGATCCACCCTCCTCAGCCTCCCAAAGTGCTGGGATTACAGGCATGAGCTACCGTGCCTGGCCTAAAAGTTTCTTACATTTGGGTTGTGAGCCTGTATTCCGTATTTGTTACATTAGTCTCTGCACTTTTCAGTATTTTTAAAAATAGTGGGCATGGGATGTAGTGGGAAGAAAATCACTGTAGCACTCCTCCAGGTCAAGTGGGCATGAAGAGACATCCCTACAAAACTTCCTCACTGATGAGGGAAGTGGATTGGCTTAGCTCACTGTGGTAAATTGGATGATTGTTCCCAACCCCTGGCACCCTCCGTAAAGGATTATCTGTCTGTGCCCTTCACTGTTCCAACCTGAAGTGTGCCCACCAGAAGTGAACTGCTCGTCCCCACCCATTCACTCGAGCTTGGTCATAGGACTTGCTTTGCACAACGGCATGTGATCAGACATGATCCAGGAAAGAGCTTTATATGAGCTTGTGTGGCTTAGCCGGCCCTCTTGAACTTCTGCCATCTGCCATGGGAAGAAGATGCCAAGGAGCCACTGTTGCCAGGTACATGAGAGATAAGCAAGGCCTACCTGAAGCTAACCACAGCCTTGAGCAAGTCCAACTGATCCCAGATAAGCCTGGCAGAGCCACCATCAACTGAAGGCCTGTGAGCTAGAAATTAACAAATAAATCTTGTAAGCCACTGAGTCTTAGGGGTTGTTGATCATGCAGCATTATTGCAGCAGATGTTTATAATGAACATCTGATGTTTTTGTCTGTCTGGCATCCTTCTCTCAGCCTACTAAGAACAGTTCCTCTCTCTTTGCAGCAACTGCCAAAAGGTGCTTCTGGCAGGCTGCCAGCCACAGTACCTCATCCCAGAAGTGGATGTATCAGGAGTCCATTCAAGACAGCAGGAAGGGAGAAGAAAGGATAAAAGGGTACCCTTCCTTTTTAAAGATTTGTGGTTAGCAGAATAATGATCTACCCAGAGAGGTTCGTGTCTGAATCCCCCAGAACCTGTGAATAGATTAGGTTGCATGGAAAGGAGAAGTAGGGTTGCTAATCTGCTGATTTTAAGGTGGGGAGATGCCTGGATTATCCAGATGGACCCGGTGTAATCACAAGGGTCCTTAAGTGTGGAAGAGATAGGCAGAACAGGCAATGTCAGGATGGTGCGATGTAAGAACAACTCAGTCAGCCATCACTGACTTTGAAGATGGAAGAAGACACTAACCAAGGCACGTGGCAGCCTCTAGAATCTAGAAAAGGTGAGGAAACAGATTCTCCCCTACAGCCTCCAGAAGGAACAGCCCCCCAGACACCTTGATTGTAGCCTGGTGAGACCCATATCAAACTTCTGACCTCCAGAACTGTAAGTCAATAAATTTATGTTGTTTTAAGCTACTGCATTTGTGGTGATCTGTTACAATAATAGGAGCTGATACAGGATCTTTCTGTAAAGGACCACACACCTGTCATTGGCCAGAATTTAACCACCTAGCCATCCCTAGCTACAAGAGAGATGGGCACATTGCCAACATGAATAAAATCAGGAGAATTTATGTCATTACCAGGGGAAGGAGGAAATGTATGTTGGAGTGAACAAATGGCAGCCTCAGTCACAGAATCCCATTCCTCTGGCCACAGTGACGTTCCAAAGATGGGCATAGGAGTCAACAACACACTAGCTGTCCTCTGAGATCGTATTTGGACGTTAGAAGAAAAATCTCTTTCTCATGGAGATGCTAAGCCTGGAGCTTACTCTAGCCACTCCCTCCACCCTGCCACCCACCAGGAGAGAATGAGTTCAACAAAAAAGAGAGGAAGAGCTAAGAGATGGACATTGTTCTAGTTCTCTATTTTTGTGTAACAAGTCACCTCAGAAATTAAATTAGTGGCTTAAAATAACAACAATCACTTTATTATTATTGTTTTCATGGCTCTGGGGTTAGTTGGGCTCACCTGGGTGGGTCTTGTTCAGGATGGCTCCCAAGGCTGCACCTGATGGTGGAGGCTGGAGTCCCACAGAGCTTCCTCACTCATGTGTCTGGTAGATGATTGATGCTGGCGATTGGCCAGACGCCTACACCTGGCTCCCCATGTGGCTTGGGCTTCCTCAGAGCATGGTGGCCGAGTTCCCAAAGTCGGTGTCCCCAGAGAGTGGGCAGAATTTGTGTCACCTGGTATAACCTAGCCTCATAAATCACACAGCATCCCTTCTGCCATAGTCATAAGCCCACCCAAATTCAAGGAGAAGGAACATAAACCCCATCTCTTCATGGGAGGAAAGTCAAAGTCATATTGTAGGAAAGGCCCATGGGATGGGAGATTGTTGCAGCCATTTTTGGAAAATATAAGCTGCAAGAGATTCCATATTATCACATGAAGCTTCAATCAAACTGTCCTTTCCAATGTAACTCTTTTTTGTGTATGCTGGTACGAGAGAGGTTTCTGTCATTTTCTGGCTACAACAACATTATACACACGTCCCACAAGACTCCATAAGTGGTAGTTCCCTTTCCCCTGTTCCTTCTTTTCCAGTGGCCCTTCACTTTCCCTGTGGATGGTGGAAATTTGTCACTAAAGCTGTCTGTGTTGCAAGAGAGCATAGCAGCAACCTTTGCCACTATGGACGGTTATGAAACTTTTTCAACATACATAAAAGTTGAAATAATTTTACAGCAAACTCCTGTGTATTCACTACACAGATTTTCTTTACTTTAGTTGCATTATCTTTTTTTTCTTTTAAAAAAAAACATTTTGTAGGAATGGGGTTTTTCTGTTTTGTCTACACAGTTCATAGCCCTGCCTTACAACTACACTTTCGGGAAGTTTTATAATGCATCTGCCCCAGCCGAATGCAGGCAGAGCCCTGCTCTTCAGCAGTAGGCTTTGTTCCGCCTACCCACAGACTCAACATTTCCATCAGTACGAATCTAAACTGGAACCTGCACTGTCTTTACAGTATAAGCAAAAAATTTGCAAATTTTGCCATATTCTTGGACAGACTGTAAAAAAGATTTTTAAAAAAAGAAAAGAAGGCAAGGAGCAGTGGCTCACGCCTATAATCCCAGCACTTTGGGAGGCTGAGGCAGGCAGATCACCTGAGGTCGGGAGTTCGAGAAACTTTAGTAGAGACGAGCTCGTCTCTACCAAAAATACAAGCATGCCTGTAATCCCAGCTACTCGGGAGGCTGAGGCAGGAGAATCACTTGAACCCCAGAGGCGGAGGTTGCAGTGAGCCGAGATGGCACCATTGCACTACAGCCTGGGCAAAAAGCAAAACTCCATCTCAAAAAAAAAAAAAGAAAAGAAAGAAAAGAAAAAAGATTTGCAAATTGATTTTTCATCTCTTTCTTTCTTTTTAATTTTAATATAGCAAGCTTATCCTTAAGCAAATTGATTTTTAAGAGATATTAAACAAGCCTTGGCAATATTGCCTTCTCAATCCCCAGAGAGAAATCTTCACATCCCATCTCCAAACTGCTGCATTTTAAGAAATATTTTTCCAAATATGAAAAACAATATGCATGCATTGCAGAAAACTTAGAAAATATTGAAAACTATAAAAAGAGAACAAATAATCTCTCATAATCATTTAGCACATAATGGGAATCATACTGTGTATAAAGTTCTAAACCTGATTTTTCTCCCCTAAAGTATATCATGAAAAATGTCTGCATAATATTTGCATCGCATTGTTAAACTATAATTTAATTAGTACACTATAAGCAATACCCTATTTTTCCTGTTATTATAATAATTTGTTAAACTTTTTTTTTTTTTTTTTTTTGAGACGGAGTCTCGCCCTGTCGCCCAGGCTGGAGTGCAGTGGAGCGATCTCGGCTCACTGGCTCACTGCAAGCTCCGCCTCCCGGGTTCACACCATTCTCCTGCCTCAGCCTCCCAAGTAGCTGGGACTACAGGTGCCCGTCACCACGCCCGGCTAATTTCTTTTTGTATTTTTAGTAGAGACAGGGTTTCACCGTGTTAGCCAGGATGGTCTCGATCTCCTGACTTTGTGATCTGCCCGCCTCGGCCTCCCAAAGTGCTGGGATTCCTCGCCCAGCCTGTTAAATATCTTTATACATGGATCTTTGAAAACATTTTTTTTGCCCCTAGAATAGATATACTCTTGGATATAACTTATTGAGTAAAAATGTATGATCTTTTATACATATTGTTAAATTATTTTTGTAAAAACCTGTTACTAGTAATGTATAAAAGTGCCCTCTCACCAACTTCTTGCTAGCACTGAATATTATTATTTTAAACATTGTTGTTTTTATAATTCAGCCGGTAAGTTGTAGCTTGCAGTTTCAGGCTCCCTTGAAAGTGAAAAAGGTTTGATGGCTGCCTTCTCCAGGATTCTCTTTAGCGGCCTCTGCTGCTTCAGAGGCAGTCTTTCTCTCTCTATCGCTCTCTCTCTCTCCCTTGGGGCCATCTTGCATAATTTCTGGTTTCCTCCTTCCTGTTGTATTTTGGAGTTCTTCCCACAGACTTTTTCTTTTTCAGTCCCAGCTCTCCACTTCAAAGTCTACTTCTGCCAGGGTGCAGCAGGTCAGATGTTTTCCATTAACTAAGGTAGTATATGTTAAATGGTTAACCCAGAACCCTCTGGAGTCAGCAGAGGTGTTGAGTGGAGCTGTGCCTGCCAGGAAATGCCCCCTTATCCTCATTTCTGCCCATTGGGCAGAGCAGCATTTTCCGCTTGGCAGAGCAGGCCTGATGCAGCGCTCAGAGGGAACCAAGCCAGTGCTGGCATTGCTGCCAATAGCTACTGAGGAAGCAATCTCCTTAACGATACATGTGATCAAGACTCAAAAGCTTAAAAGAGAACCTGTAGATCTTGCGTGGGCAGAGGCCATGAGTCATCTAGAAATGGTGTTTGGGGCTGTGAGCAGATGACACCATTTCCAGTGGAGACAGTCACGGGACAGACTGCAGGACAGAACTGGGACCTGGGATCTGCAGAAGCCACATGATGGAGTGATAAGACCACCTGGCCTGGGCCAGGACGCAGACCATTCTTTTAGCCACACCAAACTTTAAAGGACTTTCCATTTGTTATTTCTCTCCATTTTATTATGAAAATAAGTTGAAAGAATTTTCCAGCAAACACCCATGTGTCCACTACATAGATTTTCTCACAGCATTTTACACGAATTGCTTTTTTTTTTTTTTTTTTAACATTTTGTAGAGATGGGGTTTTGCTATTTTGCCCAGGTTGGTCTCAAATCCTGGGCCTCAGGCAATCCTCCTGCCTCGGCCTCCCAAAGTGCTGGGATTACAAGCATGAGTCACTGCACCGGGCTGCATTATCATATATTAATCCACCTATCCATCATCCCTCTATCTCTCAAGCAATCTAAATTATTTTTTCTGTGAATATCAAAATAAGTTGCCGATGTCAGTATGCTTCCCCAAAAAACTGAATCATGTATATTATTAATCAAAGTTCAGTATTTATTTACAGTCCATTATTTCCTTAGGGAAAGATTTATATACCACAGATTGCATGCAAAAACGTGTACTGTGTGATGTTTTAACAAATGCATATACTTGTACAACCCAGATCCCTATCGAAATATAGAACATTACATCCAGAAATTTCCTTCATGCCCCTTCCCAGTCAATATCTGTCATCATGGTCCTAGAGGCAAATTCTGCTCTGGCTTTTTCTACCGCAGATTAGTTTTGCCTGTTCTACAACTTCCTATAGATGAAATTATATATTTGTATTTTTGTGTGTGAGACTTCTTTTACTCCATCTAAGGACACTTTACTATGTAGGAGGAAACTGGCAAACTATAGGGCCTGCCAGGATCCTGTTTTTTGTTTAGGAACAGAGAAAACCTTTTTTCCTAAATCGAATTTTAAGTGACAGTAAGAAACACCATTAAGGGGGCAAAGGTTTCCTATCTCATTCTATGGAGCCAGCACTGCCCTAACACCAAAACCAAACAAAGACATTACAAGAAAAGAAAACTGCAGACCAGTATCTTTTATGAGCATAGATGCAAAATCCTCAACAAAATATTAGCAAATTGAATCCAACAGTTTGATAGAAAAGTGTAACTGACTTTGGGAGGCTGAGGCAGGCAGATCACTTGAGCTCAGGAGTTTGAGACCAGTCTGGGCAACATGGCAAAACCCCACCTCTACTAAAAATACAAAAATTAGCTGGGTATAGCGGTGCACTCCTCTAATCTCAGCTACTGGGGAGGCTTAGGTGGATGGATTGCTTGAGCCTGGGGAGGTTGAGGCTGCGGTGAACCGAGATCATGCCACTGCACTCCAGCCTGGGCAACAGAGCGAGACACTGTCTCAAACAAAACAAAACAAAAAAAAACAAAAGAAAGAAAAGTGTAATCACCCAACAGGTTCTCCTTGCCCACTGCCTAGAGAGAGCTGATTTATCAAGACAGGGGAATTGCAATAGTTTAATTCTCACAGAGCCAGCTGTATGGGTGACTGCAGTTTTATTATTATTCGAATCAGTCTCCCAGAAAGCTAGGGGATCAGGGTTTTTAAGGATAATTTGGTGGGCAGGGGGTCAGAACATGGGAGCACTGACAGGTTGAGTTGGAGATGAAATCATAGGGAGCTGTGCTCTTGTGCTGAGTCAGTTCCTGGATGGGGGCCACAAGACCAGATGAGCCAGTTTCTCGATCTGGGTGGTGCCAGCTGATCCATTGAGTGCAGGGTCTGATCTTAGGTTTTGCAATAGTAATATTATCCCCAGGATAATTTGGGAGGTTTAGAATCTTGCAGCCTCTAGCAGCGTGACCCCTAAACCATAATTTCTAATCTTGTGGCTAATCTGTTAGTCCTGCAAAGGCAGTCTAGTCCCCAGGCAGGAAGCGGATTTGTTTTGGAAGAGGGCCGTTATCATCTTTGTTTCAAAGTTAAGCCATAAACTAAGTTCCTTCCAAAATTAGTTTGGCCTGCACCCAGGAATGAACAAGGACAGTTTGGAGGTTAGAAGAAATATGGAATCAGTTAGGTCAGATCTCTTTCACTGTCATAATTTTCTGTTCTAATTTTTGCAGAGGCGGTTTCAAAAGAATTATACACACAACCAAGTGATATTTCTCCCAGGAATGCAAGGCTGATTTAATATTCAAAATCAATTAATGTTACTCATCACATCAACATGTTAAAAGAGAAAAATCACATGATCTTATTAATAGATGCAGAAAAAGCATTTGACAAAATTCAGCATGCATTTATGATTAAAAAAAGAAAACTTCAGTAAACTAGGAATAGAGGGGAACTTCCTCAACTGGGTGAAGGATATCTACAAAATATCTATAGCTAACATCTTACTTAATAGTGAGAGACTCAAAGCTTTCCCACTAAGGAAACAAGGAATAAAGCAAGGATGTCCTCTCTCCCCACTCCTTTTCAACATTATCCTGGAAGTTCTAGCTAATGCAATGAGATGAGGAAAGGAAATAAAAGAATACAAACTTAAAGAATACAATAAATACAAATAAAAAATACAAATTAGAAAGGAAGAAATAAAACTATTTTTGTTTGCAGATGATATGATCATAGTCAATGAAAAACTTCTGGAACTAATAAGCAATTATAGCAGGATTCCAGGATACAAGGTTAATATACAAAAGCCAATTACTTTCCTATATACCAAGTGGAATTTGAAATTAAAAACACAGTACCATTTCCATTAACATCCCCCAATATGAAATCCTTAATTATAAATCTAACAAACTATATCCAAAATTTTTATGAGGAAAAGTACAAAATTCTGATGAATGAAATCAAAGAACTAAATAAATGGAGGTATATTACATGTTCATGGAGGAAGACTCAATATTTTCAAGATGTTAGCTCTTCCTCAGCTTGATCTAATTTAATGCAGTCCCAATCAAAATTTTATCAAGCTATTTTGTGGATATTGGTAAATTAATTCTGAAGTTTATATGCAGAGGCAAAAGATCTAGAATAGTGAACACGATATCTTCAAGTACAAAGTCGGAGGACTGACAGTACCTGATATCAAGACTTACTATCAAGCTCCAATAAGACAGTGTAGTATTGATGAAAGAATAGCCAAATAGATCAATGGAACAGAAGAGAGAGCCCAGAAAATAGATCCACATAAATACAGCTAAGTGATCTTTGACAAAGGGGCAAAAGCCACACATTGAAGAAAAGATAGTCTTCAACAAATGGTGCTAGAACAACTGGACATCCACAAGCAAAAAAAAAAAAAAAAAAAAAATGACTCTATGCACAGGCCTTCCCCCTTTCGCAAAAACTAACTCAAAATGGATCATAGACCTAAAAGTAAAATGCAAAACTATAAAGCTTCTAGAAGATAACATAGGAGAACACCTAGATGACCTTGGCTATGGTGATAACTTTTTAGATACACACCAAAGGCATGATCCACAAAAGAAATGTGTGTGTGTGTGTGTGTGTGTGTGTGTGTGTGTGTGTGTGAGTGTGTGTGTATTTTTGTAGAGACAGGGTCTTACTTTGTTGCCCAGGCTGGTCTCAAACTCCTGGGCTTAAGTGATCCTCCCGCCTCAGCCTCCCAAAGTGCTGGGAATACAGGTGTGAGCCACCGTAACTGGCTGACACACAAAAAAATTGGTAAGTTGAACTTTTTAAAAATTAAATAATACGGAATAGTCACACTATGGAATAATATACAGTAACAAATGGAAAACGACAACCTCATGCAACATATCCTACAAGGTTGTCAGAGGAACATGTAAAGGGAATGCTGCAAGGTTCTCAGAGGGACATGGCAGAATGGTCTGGTGGAATGGGCCCAGGTCTGGAGGAAGGAAGGCCTTGGGGCCTGATGAGCAAAGTGTGAAGTGTCTAGAGAGGGAGCTTTGGGACAGAGTACATAAAGCATGGGATTTACTTCAGTTCCAGCAGGCCTGGTTTCAAATCCTGGCTCTGCTACTTACCGCTAACCTCTCCGGAACTCCATTTACTCATCACTAAAAGGGATTATTATGATGATTGAATGAAATCAAATGTGTTCAAATGTATAAAGTGCCTGGCATCCAGTACCTACTCAATACATGGAGTGAGTTTTATTATGTGGAGGGAACAAGGTTTTTCAGTGGACTAACAAAGGGCGTGGAATCTAAATAATCTGTCTGTGTGTCTGTTGCCCCCACTGCCCGATGGACAGTGGAATAGGGACTGCACCTGGCACACGGTAGCCATTCAGTATGAGCATTCAAAGAATGAACCTGCATAGGAAGCACTGGAGCTCCTATGACTGAACCAACCGTCATTTTGGGGGTCCCCACAAGCTTACTCAAGTCCTATTGCCTGGCTGACTGTGCAGCCTCTGCTTTTGGTGGCTGGAATTGACACTGCAGGTATAGATTTATGCCAAACCCTGATCTCTTTATGCAGAGCCCAATCCTGGACCCCACCGCCTGCCTCTTCTCACCTGCCTGGTGGGATCTGAGAGGGAACTGCTTCTCTGAGTCGCCTCCTGCTATGCCTCCCCACCCCAACTTTCCCCTGCCTAACTGGCCCCAGGTTATAGCACCCTTGTATGGCCTTGAAAAAGCTGTTCCCTCCTCTCTTGCAACTGATAACACCCTCCTCTATCCAAGCCACCCACAGGGACACATTTCTATCACAGAACTCTAGATGCTTTATTTTTATTTATTTATTTATTATTTTGAGAAGGAGTCACACTGTGTCACCCAGGCTGGAATGCAGTGGTGCAATCTAGGCTCACTGCAACCTCCACCTCCTGGGTTCAAGCGATTCTTCCACCTTGGCCTCCTGAGTAACTGGGATTACAGGTGTGCACCACCAAGCCTGGCTAATTTTTGTGTTTTTGGTAGAGACATGGTTTCCCCATGTCGGCCAGGCTGATCTCGAACTCCTGACCTCAAGTGATCCACCCGCTTCAGCCTCCCAAAGTGCTGGAATTACAGGCATGAGCCACTGCCCCCAGCTACATGCTTTGTTACAATTATTTGTTAGCACAACTGCCTGCTTCCTCCTGGGTAAGGTCCTTGAAGGCAGCGGCTGTATCTTCCCTGTCTCAGAGGTTAGCCACATAAATCCTCAATAAACACACTTATTGAATGGATGAACAGATGGGTGTCAAAATTTCATCTCCTTCTTGTCTTCCTCAGCTGTACCCCATTCAAGGTATTCCAAAACAAATTCTATTAGTAAATCCCCACAGCCAGCAATCATTGCCACACTTAAGATACAAGAGCCCCCCTTATCCACAGTTTCACTTTCCAAGTTTTCAGTCTCCTGCAGCCAACCACAGTCCAAAAATATTACATATAATAAGATATTTGAAAAAGAGACAATTCACATAACTTCTATTATACTATATTGTTATATTTGCTCTATTTTATTATTAGTTATTATTAATCTCTTACTGTGCCTAATTTATAAATTAAACTTTATCATAGGCATGTATTCATAGGAAAGAAACATATATATGTGTGTATGTATATATATGTATATAAAAATATAATTTTATTGCTCAGTCATGGGAAGCACAAAATAGAGTTCTTGCTGAGTGGATGGCTCCTTCCAGGTTCTGCCTCTGCCTTCCTTTACAGCCTTGGGGGCCTCTGAGCTCAGCATGAGGACTGGGAAGGACAATGGAGGTTTTTGTTTTTGTTTTTTTGAGCAGAGTCTCGCTCTGTCACCCTGGCTGGAGTACAGTGGTGTGATCTCAGTCCACCGCAACCTCTGCTTCCCAGCTTCATGCGATTGTCCTGCCTCAGCCTCCCAAGTAGCTGGGACTACAGGCATGTGCCACCACACCCAGCTAATTTTGTATTTTTAGTAGAAATGGGGTTTCACTATGTTGGCCAGGCTGGTCTTGAACTCCTGACCTCAGGTGATCCTCCTGCCTTGGCCTCCCAAAGTGCTGGGATTATAGGTGTGAGCCACCGCACCCAGCCAACAATGGAGGTTTTGATAGGCTAGGTCTTGAATTGACATGCATCACTTTTGTTGATATTCCATTGGCTAGAATTCAGGCACAAGGCACCCAAATTGTAAGAAAGGCTGGGAAATATAGTCCAGCTGTGTGTGCCCAGAGAAAAGAGGAAATGGTTTGCTTAGTAGTCGGCTAGTCTCTGCCACACCACCTTAATGGGAATTATTTTACCAGTTCAAAGATTTGAGAATTTAGATTCGGCTCTATCATTAGCATCAGTAGACTATTTTCATATCAGAAGGGCTTTTGTGTGGTAATTAATACTGCCTTGATTAAACAGAATGCAGTTTTAATAAACCACATTTAGAGAATGATTTTTCTTTAACATTTGGACACTGATTACAGATGTTATTCAATACATTTCCTATGTGACTTAAACTAAAATTATGGTTTTATCATGACAGATTACCTCACACTTCAAATATTCTACTCCAGGAGTCAGCAAACTGAGGCTCACTGCCTGATTTTACAAATAAAGTTTTATTAGCACATAGCCACACCATCATTTCCATATAGTGTATGGCTGCTTTCCCTGTACAACAGCAGAGTTGAGTGGTTGCAACAGTAACCACATGGCCTGTAAAGCCAAAAACATTTACCTCCTGGCTTTTTAAGAAAAAGATTTAGACTGAAACAAAATATCCACAAATATACCAGACAAAAGATTACATTTAAACTTGTTCTAAAATACCACCAGTATGAGCGTCCTCTTTCTTTTTTTCTACTTTTTTTTTTTTTTTTTTTTTTGAGACAGAGTCTTGCTCTGTCTCCCAGACTGGAGTAAAGTGGTGCTATCTCGGTTCACTGCAAACTTTGCCTCCGGGTTCAAGCAATTCTCGTGCCTCAGCCTCCCAAGTAGCTGGGATTACAGGTGCACCACTATGCCCAGCTAATTTTTGTATTTTTAGTAGAGACAGGGTTTCACCATGTTGGCCAGGCTGGCCTTGAACTCCTGACCTCAAGTGATCCACCCGCCTTAGCCTCCCAAAGTGCTGGGATTACAGGCGTGAGCCACTGCACCCAGCCAGGAGGCTTCTTTTTTTTTTTTTTAAGATGGAGTCTCGCTCTGTTGCCAGGCTGGAGTGCAGTGGCACGATCACGGCTCACTGCAACCTCCGCCTCCTGGGTTCAAGCAATTCTCCTGCCTCAGCCTCCCGTGTAGCTGGGATTACAGGCGCAGGCCACCACACCTGGCTGATTTTTGTAGTTTTAGTAGAGACTGGGTTTCACCATGTTAGCCAGGATGGTCTCAATCTCTTGACCTCGTGATCCGCCCCCTTCAGCCTCCTAAAGTGCTGGGATTACACCGCGCCCAGCCAGGAGGCTTCTTATAATCACCATCCTTACACTTGTCCTTTTACCTTTTTAGAGCTTGTAACGCATATATTGATACCTTCAAGCGATACAGCAAACATATCCTGAAAAACAAGGAGCAGAGATTAAGTAGAAGAAGAAAGAGAAGGAGGAAAAGGAAGAGGAGAAAGAGGGACAGGAGGAAACATATGCTTGTTTTATTAGGATGCTTTTTTTTTCATAGATTATTGGGGGACAGGTAGTGTATTTGGTTACATGACTAAGTTCTTTAGTGATGATTTGTGAGATTTTGGTGCACCCATCACCCAAGATTAGGATGCATTTTGATTAATTAGGACAACTAGAGATCTCATCCCCCAGAAGTCACGGATGCAGTCTGGACAGCTGGTCTCTCTGGGAGACTCACCTGGTCCATCATTGTGCAGCACTCTTGGGCATCGTTCTACTCTGGGGCTTTGTGTGACTGACAACACTGATAGGTCCTCCTTGCTTTTCCTGGTCATCTCTCACTTGCTCACGCTTCCATGTTTATTCTTTACCACTTACACATGGAGAATGCGTCTTACATAGACTTAGAAACAGACATATCCACACTCTCCTCACTACTGCAATTTATTTAAATACTATCTTTTTACACTTTCTATAAACATTTCTTTTTCAGGTATCATTATATTCGCATGTCTTTTTAGACTAAACTTATTCTTAACAATACAAGTATTCCATTTTGATGCTCAGATTATGATAAATTGTTGCCAATTGTTACAGTTTGGCCAAGCAGTTCTTTTGGTGCCAAATTTTTGAAACCTTCCATTGTTTGGGGCCAACAGCAGGATATTCTAGGACCATCCTGATCTTTCTTAACTCCCAGGACACAGACAGGCCATCAGTTACCTTCTACTAGAATCCTGATTCCTTTGGTGTAGAGTTATATTAGAGTACAAAACCTTGGCACTTAGAATTAAGCAAAATACTACTGCTTACTGCTGAGTCTTTTTTTTTTTTTTAAAGACAAGGTCTTATTCTGTTGCCTGGACTGGAGTGCGATGGTGCATTTAGAGCTCACTGAAGCCTCGAACCCTTGGGCTCAAGCTATCCTCCCACCTCAGCCTCTCAAGTAGTTAGGACAATGGGTATGTGCCACCTTACCTGGCTAATTTTTAAATTTTTTCTAGAGACTGAGTCTCACCATGTCCAGGCTGATCTCAAACTCCTGTCCTCAAGCAATCCTTCTACCTCGGCCTCCCAAAGCTTTGGGATTACAAGCGTGAGCCACCATGCCCGGCCTACTGAGTCACTTTTGAAGCTACACACATAGAAAAAAGATGTCTTTTGAACATGTCATTAATGCCCTTTCAAACTGATTTTTTTTATTAAATCCTAGAAAGACAAGAATGTTTAAAACTCAACTTTATGAAGACAGACAAGGTTTTCTGACCTCCAAACACTTCCCATTACTTATCAAAAGTAAAGCTTCGAGGGATGAGACTAGACCATTAATATAAACTACAGTATCAAGAAGATACAGAATGACCAGGCTGTTGCGCTCCATGAGACAGAGGAGGGCCTCCAAGGAGGTGTGAGGGGGCAGAGCTGGCAGGGAGGGAGGGAAGGGCTGGAGGTGAGCCCACAGTGTCTTTCGCATCTTCTTGGGCTGAGTACGGAGGAAGGAGGCTAAGTCCTACAAGAGCAAAATACTCAGGTGGTGTGGGGGTGGGATGTTGGATCCGACAGGTGGCTCCTTCCCTGCTTCTGGATACTCTGCTGGGTCTTAGGAATGCTGAGGCCCCCTGCCTAGGAGAATGGGGCCCCAGCACTGAGGGCCAGGCCCAGAGAGCTCCAGCATCCAGAGATGCCCAGGGGTCCCAAAGGTAACCCGGGGCTGGCTCCCTCTGAGGAAGAGAGCCTGAGGAGGAGGAACAGGCTGGACTTTAGGGCCAGAGCTTGAAAAAGAGCGACATCCAGGCCTCAAGGATGGCAGCCCCAGCAAGCGCCCAGGCAAGGGCAGGCCAGCCCAGGCCAGCAAGCACCCAGGCAAGGTCAGGCCAGCAAGCGCCCAGGCAAGGGCAGGCCAGCCCAGGGACTTGGGGAGAAGGCCTGACACGGCCCTGAGTTCCCTAAGGCACTCACACCTCGGTAAGGGATCCAGTGGGGGCCCTGTGACAGTTCCAGGCCAGGGTCCATCCTTCTGCCCCTATCCCCTTGAGAAGGAAGGGTGAGAGAGGAGACCCCTTCAGCGAGGAGAAGAACTGATGGGAAGTCTTAATTCTGAAGGGGCTAAGTCTTTGAAAAAAGTCTCTTTTAAATTGGAGAAGACTGAGATACTTTGACTCAGCAAGTCACCCACTTCTCATCACTCCATACCCACCCTCAGTGGACTGGAAGCAGAGCACGGTGAGGCTGGGCCAGTGATGGAAAACAAAGACGGGGCACATCTGGCTAAGCCAGTGATGGAAAACAAAGACGGGGCACATCTGGCTAAGATAGACCACTCCCAGTCTCCCGACCAGGCAAGGGGAGTTGGGGGAGTGGGGTGGCTCCACCTGCGAAGCACTTTGAGCTTTTGTCTCCAGAGGATGAGCGGATACCTCTACCTACCCAGCATTTTCACAGCCTCCTGGAGACAGGGTCATCCTTGGTCCCCGCAGAAGCAGGGTGCTCATTTGTGAAAGCCCTTCACAGCTTCACCAATCAACGCTTTCCCTTTGCTGCCTGTGTTGCAACACCGTGAGTTTTTCCTTTTCCAAATATGAGTTCTTTTTTTTTTTTTTTTTTTTTTTGAGACAGAGTCTTGCTCCTTTGCCTAGACTGGAAGCAGTGACGTGATCTCAGCTCACTGCAACCTCCACTTCCTGGGTTCAAGCAATTCTCCTGTATTCTCCCGCCTCAGCCTCCAGAGTAGCTGGAATTACAGGAGCCTGCTACCACACCCGGCTAATTTTTGTAGTTTAGTATGGACAGTATTTCACCATGTTGATCAGGCTGGTCTCGAACCCCTGACCTCAAAGGATCCACCCACCTTGGCCTCCCAAAGTGCTGGGATTACAGGTGTGAGCCACTATGCCAGGCCCAAATATGAGTTCTTTTAATTTGAATGTGTTTTTCTGATACACATGCCCCATCCCAAACTGAAGATTTTCATCTCTCTCTCTCTCTTCTCCCACACACATACACACACACGCACACACCCACTCACTCCCTTTAAGAATAGCCCTGGAAGGCCTGTCCTTCTCAGGGACATCCTGGGACAGTCCCATTCATTTCAGGAGCTACACATGCTCAGAGCCTCGTACCTGTGAGCTGCTCCCCAAGAATGGGAGCAGAACTGCCCTTTACAAACACCCGCTTCCAATTCTCCATTTTCAGCATTTTTCCCTTCCTTTTAGTCCCAGCCCCAGAAATGCTTAGGATTTAATGCCGTCTGGGAATATTTGCTTTCCAAAAGGAGAAATGGGGAACAATGCAATGCTCTACCTGAGAGATGACTCATCCGTGGTTCATGCTCAGGCATCAGAGAGCAAGGGAAGCTGCACCGGGGCGAAGCTGCCTTCCTCAGGGCTCCTCCTGCCTCCCCCCAGGGGACACTTCCTTCCCCAACTGCACCACCTGAGACGCCCCAGTGCTCGCCTGGATGTCCAGGCAGGTTAAATAGCTAATTACAAGAAGAATAGTCAACAGCAGCATTTTGGAGCTGTGCACCAGGAAGTCTATTCTATGCTATTACATGGACTAGGCACTAACTTATTCTTTCTTCATAGAGTAAGAAGCTGAGACACAGAGAGGTTAAGTAAGTTGTGCAAGATGCACAGTTGGTAAGGGGCAGGGCCGAGCTGCAAATGCAGGCATCTGGCCCCAGAGCCCTCACCCTAACACTCCACGTTGCCTCCTCTTGGGCTTTTCATGGAAAAAAGGAAATGATGACTCTCCACTTCCTCCTGCCCCCATCTCTGTCCATCCTGGGGACAGGGAGAGCCTGGGACAGAACAGCCCTGGAGCAGACTCACCCACCATGCCCAGGTCTGAGGTGGATCCAGGGTAAGGAGGAGACCCTGGACAGAGAGGGAGCATCACATTGACCGGGAGAAGGGATACAAGTTGCCCACACCCACTGCTGGGTCCAGGGGGCCTAAAGCAAATGGAGGCCAGGTTCTCACCTTTACAGAGGCCGCTGCTGAAATTCTTGGTCTTTGGGCTCACATGTTTATAGACTGCAACACTGCAGTCCCGCATTAGGCTCTGGAGATACACAAATAAATAAGATGTCTCCCTGCTCTCCAGAGTTCCCTGTCACCTGGGAACCATGTGATGAAACCACTGCAGCACCTCTGGGTCTTCTTCCCAAATAATCTAACCCCAATCTGATCAAAACCCCAGATCTATCAGCTTTCAGGAAATACAGGGGGCAGGGAAAGAACGCGTCAAGCTACTCCATGGGGATACAATCAGCAAAATCTGGGTGGCACAACAAACAATCCAGTTTTGTCGAAATAAAATACATGCTACGGGGAAGTAAAGAGAGGAGAGCCTCTGAGAGACAAATCAACACAGCACAGTGCATGGACCCTGGGGGATCCAGACTAGAACAAAGTAACTTTTTTTTTTTTAAGACAGAATCTCACTCTGTCACCCAGGCTGGAGTGCAGTGGCGCGATCTCAGCTCACTGCAACCTCCGCCTTCTGGGTTCAAGCGATTCTCCTGCCTCAGACTCCCGAGTAGCTGGGACTACAGGCATGTGCCACCATGCCCGGCTACTTTTTGTATTTTTAGTAAAGACGAGTCTCGAACTCCTGACCTCAAATGATCTGCCCACCTCAGCCTCCCAAAGTGTTGGGATTACAACCAGTTCTGCAGCAGATGCCAGCTGTGTGTCCTATAACTTAACTCAATTCTGGTACTGTCTACCTGGAAGCAGCATGAGGTGAGGACCTAGCCCCACGAGACTGTCCCTGCTTCAGATGCCAATCACAAGCACAGGTGATGTCTTGTGTTTCTTACCGATGGGCTGCTCTCAGGGTTCCCATGACTACCTCCTCGGAGTCAATTACTTTGCTGCAGTGGCTCACAGAACTCACAGAAACACATGTTTACCAGTTTATTATAAAGGATATTACAATGAGGAAAGAAAATAGCTCTTTTTTTTTTTTTTTTTTTTGGAGACAAAGTTTCACTCTTGTTGCCCAGGCTGGAGTGCAATGGCGCGGTCTTGGCTCATGGCAACCTCCACCTCCCGGGTTCAGGTGATTCTCCTGCCTCAGCCTCCCAAGTAGCTGGGATTACAGGCACCCGCCACCATGCCCAGCTAATTTTTTGTATTTTTAGTAGAGATGGAGTTTCACCATGTTGGCCAGGCTGGTTTCAAACTCCTGACCTCAAAGGATCCACCTGCCTCAGCCTCCCAAAGTGCTGGGAGTAGGGGCGTGAGCCACCACGCCCACCCCAGAATATAACTCTTATCTGAGGAATGGGAGCCCTTTCAAATTATTAGGCCCAGAGAGGAGGCATTGAAATGAGACTGCTGCGATCACATCCTCTTGCCTGCTTTGAGCTATGTTGCATCTCTTGAAACTGCTTGCTATTGCCACGAGTAGCTGTGGATTAACCTAATTATGCCTCACCCAGCATATAACCCACATCCTATAGCGTAACAGTGTATAGCCAATTGCTAATCGATGTCATTCCTGAAAAACAGAATTTCCGACAGAACTTTATATCAGCCATTCCCTGTTTCACTTTTGTTTCCTTTAAAAACCTGCCTGCAAAAAAGGCCACGTGAAGCTCATATCCAGGATTACTTGGGTCTGAGTTTTTTGGGCAGCTGTCCTTATTTTTGCTCAAGTAAACTATTTTCTTATTTTTATTTTTTATTTTTTATTTTTGAGACAGGGTCTCGCTCTGTCACCCATGTTGGAGTACAGTGGCACAATCACAACTCACTGCAGCTTCAACCTCCTAGGCTCAAGTGAACGTCCCATTTCAGCCTCCCAAGTAGCTGGGGCTACAGGTGTGTACCACCAAGCCTGGCTAATTTTGTGTTTTTTGATGAGATCGGATCTCACTATGTTGCCCAGGCTGGTCTCAAACTCCTAGGCTCAAGTGATCCTCCCGCCTTGGCCTCCCAAAGTGCTGGGATTCCAGGCATAAACCACCACACCCAGCTCAAGTAAACTCTTTAAATCACATTTTGCACTTCAGCCTCTTCCTTTTAGGTTGACACAGAGGACGCAGATGAACATGTTATGGAAGAACATGTTATGGGAGAGGCATGGGAGAAGAGTCTCAGAGTTTCCATGCTCTCTCTGGACACGCCACCCCCTAGGAACTTCCATGTGTTCCACTGTCCAGAAACAACCGAACCCAGTCCTTCTCGGTTTTTATGGAGGATTCATTACATATGCATAATTGATGAAATCATTGGCCATTGGTGACCAACTTAACCTTTAGCCCCTCTGCCCTCTCTGAAGGCTAGGAGTGGGAGTGAAAGTCCCAATCTTCTTGGCCAGCCAACAGTTAATTCATCAGCATACAACAAGACACATTGCTTTAGAGATTCCAAGGGTTTTAGGAGTTGCGTGCCAGGAAACAGGGATGAAAGCCAAACATATGTATTATATCTTGGCCAGGTGTGGTGGCTCACACTTATAATCCCAACACTTTGGGAGGCCAAGGTGGAAAAATCATTTGAGTTCAGGAGTTTGAGACCAGCCTGGGCAACATATCCAGACCTCATCTCTACTAAAAATAAAAATTTTAAAATAGTAGCTGGCCCATGTCTGTAGTTCCAGCTACTCGGGAGGCTGAGGCGGGAGGATTACTTGAGCCCAAAATATCAAGGCTGCAGTGAATCACAATCACACCACTGCACTCCAGCCTAGGCAACAGAGCAAGACTTTGTCTCAAAACAAAACAAAAACATATATCTTATCATGAGTCACAATACTGTATCACAAGCACTTACTATATGCCAGAGACTGTGGCATATGCTTAACACATATTATTGCATCTAATTCTTGCAATGACTCTGAGTTAGGGATTGTTATTATCATCATTTCAGAGATGAGAAAACAGCAAAAAGAGGATAGGTGGGTTACCCAAGTCACCGGGACTTTACAGCGGAGCGCCTGTCTCCATGTTCTTGGTGCGATGATCTATACCAGTGGTTCTCAAAGTGTGGTCCCTGGACCAGTAGCCTCAGCATCACCTGAGAACTTAATGGAAGAAAAATTCTTGAGCCCCACCCCTGACCTGCAGCATCAGAGGCTCTGGGGGTAGGGCCCAGCCATCTGGGTTTCAGCAGCCCTCCTGGTAATTGATTCACATTGAAGTTTGAGAGCCACTCTTCTATACTCTACTGCCTGCTTTTGGCCCCATCCTGCAGCAACCACCCAGTGGAAAGAAGCCATGTGAGCTTGGAACCGAAACAACCCAGTTGCAAGGGCAAAGAGGGCAAGAGTGATAAGGTGGTGCTTTTCTAAGCACCAGAGGCTGTTGCAACATCCCGGAAGTTCAGAAAGCACCCAGGGTGCAGGGCCAAAGATTTCTGGTTTATGATCCTTCAGCTACACTGCACTCTTTACACAGGTCTCAAGGAAATTTCTGCTCAGCATTTAAAAATCAGACCCTAAAAGAAACAGAGCCTGAAGGTGTTACCCGAAAACACCGGGGTTCATTTGCCTGGCAAGTAACAAATGACTCCCCACAAGAACACAGGTTTTGATCAATAGGAGTTTTATTCTCCAAAGCAGTGTCTCCCTGACGGAAGTGACAGAAGGGTTTTATGGCGGTGATGCAGACAGCAGAGGGTGCATTGCTGCATGGAGAGGGGGGTCCTAGCGGCGCAGGCACAGCAAGTCATCACGCCAGCATGTGGGTTGCATGTTACGGTTATAAAGCTACAGCTCCACCCAGGGTGGATACTTTAGCATGGTCATCAGGAAAGTTCACTGAGCCTCATCTATAAGTTGCTGGGGTCTGTCAGGAGTCAGTTCCAGACAACTAGGTGACCACATGCCACAAAGGGTTTGGGAAAACCAGGCTGCAGGGCAGGAGGCTGTAAAATACCCTGATTGCTTGAGTGGATTACATTCCTGTAGTCCCTGGAGACCCTCCCTGTCTGCTTACATTTTTGGTAAGTTCTCTCTCCTTCCAGGCATTGTTCCTATTCTGGTTTATTTTTTTCTTTTTTTGAGATAGATGAGACAGAGTCTCGCTCTGTCACCCAGGCTGGACTGCAGCAGCACAATCTCAGCTCCGTCCCAGGTTCAAGTGATTCTCCTGCCTCAGCCTCCTAAATAGCTGGAATTACAGGCACGTGCCACCACGCCTGGCTACTTTTTGTATTTTTAGTAGAGACAGGGTTTTGCCACGTTGGCCAGGCTGGTTTTGAACTCCTAACGTCAGGCGTTCCATCTGCCTCGGCCTCCCAAAGTGCTGAGATTGCAGATATGAGCCACTGTACCTGGCGTTTCCATTCTTCTTTCATTCATTCACTGACTCATCAAACATTTGCTGAGCACTGCCATGTGCCACTCACTGCGTCCAGTGCTGAGAATGCAGATGAGCCATGGAATGGGACGTGGCAGTAAGTGGAAGCTTCCCCTGTTCCTCCATGGCACCGCTCCTCCAACCCCGTTCCTGAGAAGTCCCCAACCTCCAGCCACGAAGGGGTAAGGCCACTTCAGATAGGAGCCTCCAGGGCTCTGCAACTGTTGTGCCAATCGTTGGATGTGAGGTGGGGAGCATGCACAGGCAAGTGGACTTCGCAGCACAGGGACAGGCGAGCCCATGGAGGGAGCCCCCACCCAGACAGAGAGCCCAAAAGTCCCCCCAGTGCTCTGGGTCCAGCGGCCCTAGCTGTGGATGCCGTGACTTGTCCCCAGGGGCAGGGACCAAGCAAGGGGGACTAACACTTATTAAACACTTACTTACAGGGCACAGCTGGTTCTTTCCACCCCAGGGAGTCCTCACAACGGCCATGAGTGTTATCCCTGGTTTCCCAGTGAGGACACAGGAAGGCTGAGGGTCTTGTCCAAGGTCCCACAGCTGGGAATCAGGTTCCTGTCCATCTGATGACACCCCCCATAGCTCTGTGCTGCCTCTGCAGAGGGTGGCCACTGGACCTATCATGCCTCCATGGTATTCCTAGGAGCTGCTTTAGCTCAAGGAGTTTGGTGTAGAAACACAGAGCCTTGGTCTCACCTCTAACCAGCTATGTGGACCCCTTAGGTCTCTTCTCCCCGGAGACCTCCTTTTCCTCATCTGTAGACTAACAGGGTAAGAAGGCCCAGGACTCTGTCCTCTCTGGATCCACACACCTGGCCTCTGGTCCCATCTGCTCTTGAACCTGTATCTCCTATGCTCCCAGGCAGGACCTGCAATGAAAATGCAGGGCCCCTGGCCCCAAAACTATTCAGAATGTCAAAATGCCCTTTCCTACATTATACATTATACATTTCTTCAGATCATAAGTTTTGTTGCCCACTCAACACCAGTGGCAGTTTGGAGAAGGGAGAGGCCATCCAGACCCACACATTGGGCCAAGCAGAAGGCACCACAGAGACCCAAATCAGTATAAAGAGGGGTTCTAAGGATCAGAAAAGGTGAAATCTCTCCCACAAACCCCAGCAGAAGGCATGGCCCGTCTCACTCAAGAAGAGTTGGGATGGGAGTGTCACTGTCACCGGGTGTGACAATGGTGACAGCAGAGCTTAAAGCAAGCACGGGTCCTTCTGAAACAGGGAACTGTGTGTGGGTCATGCACTCACGAAGCTGGCCCTGGTTGGACAGAATCTGGCAGAATTTGGTGGCCCTAAAGAAGAGCCAGGTGCCATCCATTGCATGTTCTCAGGGTAGGAGCTCCTGTACCTCATGTCCTAAGGAGTGCCTAGAAGACAGGAAGCCCTGCCAGTAGGGGCCTGTGGCTGACACCAAGAGCAGCCAAGCCAGGAGCCATTCTTCCCTCCACACCTGCTAGCAGGTGCCCAGGTCCAGACTCACACCTGGTGTATGCCAATCATAACACTCCCATCCCAACTCTCCTTGAGCGAGAGGGGCCATGCCTTCTGCTGGGGCTCGTGGGAGAGATTTCACTTTTTCTGATCCTTAGAACCCCACTTTATACTGATTTGGGTCTCTGTGGTGCCTTCTGCTTGGCCCCATGTGTGGGTCTGGGTGGTCTCTCTCTTCTCCAAACTGGCACTGGTGTTGAGTGGGCAACAAAACTTATGATCTGAAGAAATGTATAATGTAGGAAAGGGCAAGCTTAAAATGGATGTTAGAAAAACTATCATGCATTTCTGCATTGCTCGCTGGAATGCTCACTCTTGACACCTTCACCTCCCAGGGCTGACTTTGCAGAGGCTGCCATGCTGAGAGGAAGCCCAAGCTCCCCCCACATGGATAGACTCCATGGAGAAGACCAATCACCTGACTGCACCCACCTGAGCATCCCCCAGCTGGAAACACCAAAGAACAAAGCAAGACTGGATGTTAGACCTCACAGTTCCTTAAGTCAGGCTAGGCCCTTCCTAGGGCTCCTCTACTGGCCAGATGGATGAAAATTCTGTGGGCTTATACAATATGGTGGAGTCTCCTCAAAACAGAAGGTGTAAAATTATTTATCTCATATTAGGTTTGAAAGCTAATATTGATTTAGAAGAGACCCATTTAAGAAAGAAGTCTTGAAGCTTGAGCCATGCACCTCTCTGGCTCCAAGCCAGTCATTTTTGAACTGCAGTCTTCTGTCTTAGTCCAATTGTGCTTCTATAACAAAATGCCTGAGACCAGGTAATTTATAAAAAACAAATTTATTTTCTCATAGTTCTTGAGGCTGGGAAGTCCAAGATCAAGGCACCAGCAGGTTCGGTGTCCAGTGAGGGCCTATTCCTCATAGATGGCATCGTCCAGGTGTTCTCTTGTGGCAAAAGGAATGAAGGGGAGCAAAGTCTCTCCCTTTGGCCCTTTTTTAAGGACAATAATCTCACCCATGAGGACAGAGCCCAAGCGGCCTAATCACCTCCTAAAGGCCCATTTCTTAATATTGTTGCTCTGGGGATTAAGGCTCAACATGAATTTTGAAGTAGACATGAACATTCAAACCACAGCACTTCCAGTCCCTCAAAGTGCAGAATATGAGCTGGAAGTGGGAGGGGTCAACAAATGACCCTTGACTAAGGGAGCTGGATCACCACCACACAAGCAGCAGCAGGGATGGAGAGCTGAACCTTGGCCTGGGAAGGGGATCCAGGAACATGGCAGGCCCTGGATGCTGGACCTCCAGGGCAGAGCAGGACCAGACGCCAGGCTGACTACTATGGCGAGAGGAATTCCTCCTATTCCCTGTATGAGAAATGGGAATTTTACCATCATCCTTAGAATGCAGAAGCGACATTAGCATTAACATTTACACTTTTAATTGTTGTTGCTGCATTTGGGACTCCCAGCTCTAGGCAATATGATTGCCAAGCCATTGCCATTTGTTACTCCACTAAGGGACATTTGGGAACATCCTGCCTCCCTGGGTTCCAGTGTCACTGCAGCCAGAGGCTGTGTGGGAGATGGGGAGGGACCAGGTGTGCTCCTGCCATAGGGCTCCCCCATCACTGGGTAAACTGAGGCTTGGCCTGATGTCTTTCTAATTTAAAATCGCAGGACCAGGACCTGCACCACTGGACAAAATGAAAGCACCTGTCCCTGCTCAGGAGACAGTGAGAGAGCTTGGCAGTTGGGATGGGGGTTGGGGGTGGAAATAAACAAAAAGATGTACACAAGAAATGGCTGAAAAACAAATAAAATGAATGCTAATGAATACTGTGCAGACTGACTCAGTATATTCCCAGGTACAGTGACCAGTGTGCACAGCCAAGTCCACATGCTCAGTTGCAATGGTGGTCAAATCTCTAGGGAGCCCCCAGCTTCAACGTGTGTGGCTTTTTTTCTCCACTTCAGTTTCAAGTCCCACAGCAAACTGGTTGGCCCACTGGGCCTGGATCTAGGAATGTAGATCCAGGGTGTGGATCTGAGTGTGCCTCCAGCCTTCCCTCCCTAGGGTGTCTCTGTGCAGTGGCCTTGTTCTGTCCTGCTGGGGAGGGACTTTCTTAGGCAGAGAGGAGGGCAGTGGCTGCTGACTGCCCCACCGACGGAGACCCTAGAGGAAGAAGGGACTTCCAAGTGTATATATAATGCCCCAGAACTGTCCCATTTAGGTTGACTAGGCACTCACCCCTCAGACCCATCCATTACTGTCACCACCCCCAGGCCATGTGCCCCTTGCCACAGCCAGGAATGACAGGATTCTGAGACTGTGGCTCCATTGGGAACGGGTAACGTGGGCAAGGGGAGAGGGCCAGTCTCCCCCCAGAGAACAGGGCAGTGCTACCAAAAGAAGAGGGAAAGAGACACAGAGGCACTAAAATCTCTTATGTCTGCAAGATGTGTATATGTTTGTGGCAGTGGGGTGCCAGACTTGGGTGGGGAATAAATCAATTATTTGTCTGTAATGTCAGGCAGAGGCCAGCAGAGGGAGATGTTGGAATGTGTTGGGATTTGTGGGCCCTCTACCCACAGACAGGACTTGGGAAGCCAAGTTTATTCTCGGCTGAGACATTTGTGTTGGTGGTGACCCCAGTAGTTCAGTGTACACTAACTTTGTCTTATGTACAAAACCATTTAAAACAGTGTATAAAATTACCTTCAGACTACATGTAAAAGATGTATATGAAAAAAATGAATTTCATGTTTAGACTTGGGCCCCGTCTTCAAGAGATCTCATTCTGTATATACAGATATTCCGAAATCTGAAAAAAAAAAAAAAATCCAAAATCTGAAACACTTCTGGTCCCAAGCATTTTGGATAAAGGACACTCAATCTGCATTGAATTAACAGCACCGCCCAGCTCAGCGAGCCTGCCAGGGGCGTGAGAGCCCTGAATCCACACAGTCTGCTCCAGTCCCCACTTAGATTTTCCCCAGAGGGAGGCATTTCCTGGTGCTCTTCTCACCATCTAGGCAGCTGGGCATTCTGAAATGTCTCCAGGAAATGCCGTTGGGAGATTTCTGAGACTCTTCAATCAAACCCAGGCCTTCAGGGAGCACCCAGGTTGCAAGTGGTGAGTCCAGAGTGCAAGTGTTGTGCTGAGAGTGCTGATGGTGCAGAAAGCCCTGGATTTGAAACCCCAGATGCAAACGAGCTTGGGTCAGCTGCCTGACTTCCTTGTGCTTCTGTTGCCTCTCCCTAAAATGGAGATATAGTAGTTCCTGCCTAAAAAGTTTGATGCGGGCCGGGTGCGGTGGCTCACGCCTGTAATCCCAACACTTTGGGAGGCCAAGGCGGGCGGATCAGGAGGTCAAGAGATCGAGACCATCCTGGCCAACATGGTGAAACCCCGTCTCTACTAAAAATACAAAAATTAGCTGGGCGTGGTGGCGGGCGCCTGTAGTCCCAGCTACTCGGGAGGCTGAGGCAGGAGAATCGCTTGAACACGGGAGGCAGAGGTTGCAGTGAGCCGAGATCGCGCCACTGCACTCCAGCCTGGCGACAGCCTGGAGACTCCGTCTCAAAAAAAAAAAAAAAAAAAAGTTGATGTGAGGAATAAATGAAACAATACATTCTAGCGTGCCTAGCACAGTATCTAGTACACAAGTGCTCAACAAATATTATAATAATATTGTAATCCCTAACACAGACACACATTGGAATAACCTACGTAACTGGTTGCACATAAATCTGTCCCAAATATTTGCAGCTGACCCCTTCAGGCAGGAACAGCCCATCACAATGGATAGAAAGCATGTTAAATGCCTGTGGGCTCCCTGCCTTCTTAAGGACACATGACCCAACTTTTCCAATTAACTTGAGGTCACAGAACATCAATCAGTATATTATGTGTTTTTGTTTTATTTTAATTTTTGTGGGTACATAGTTGTTGTGTATATCTATGGGTTACATTGGATGTTTCGATACAGCATGCAAAGTGTAATAATCACATCAGGGTATATAGGGTATCCATCACCTCAAGCATTTATCTTTTGTGTTTCAAACAATCCAATTATACTCTTTTACTTATTTTTAAATGTACAATTAATTTTTTTTTACTGTCATCATCCTGTTGCACTAGCAAATACTAGGTCTTATTCATTCTTTCTAACTATTTTTTTGTACCCCTTAATCATCCCTCTTTCACCTCTATCCTCACCCTCCCCAGCTACCCTTCTCAGCCTCTGGTAACCACCTTCTACTCTTCATCTCCAAGAGTTCAATTGTTTTAATGTTTACCTCCCACAGATAAGTGAGAACATGTGATGTTTGTCTTTCTTTGCCCAGCTTATTTCACTTACCATAATGACCTCCAGCTCAATCCGTGTTGTTGCAAATGATAGGATTTCATTCTTTCTTTATAGCTGAATAGTACTCCTTTGTGTGTATGTACCACGTTTTTTTATTTCTTCATCTGTTAACGGACACTCGGGTTGCTTCCAAATCTTGACTATTGTGAACAGTGCTGCAATAAACATGACAGTGCAGATACTTCTTCAATATACCGATTTCCTTTCTTTTGGGTGTACACCTAGCGGTGGGATTGCTGGATCATAGGATAGCTCTATTTTTAGTTTTTTGAGAAACCTCCGAACTGTCCTCCATAGTGATCGTACTAATTTACATTCCCACCAGCAGTGAATGAGAGCTCCTTTTTCTCCACATCCTTGCCAGGATTTATTATTGCCTGTCTTTTGGATAAAAGCCATCTTAACTGGGGTGAGATGATATTTCACTGTAGTTTCGATTTGCATTTCTCTGATGATCATTGATGCAGAGCACCTTTGCATATACCTGTTTGCCATGTGTATGTCTTCTTTCGAGAAATGTCTATTCAGATCTTTTGCCCATTTTAAATCTATTATTAGATTTTTTTTCTATAGAGTTTTTGGAGCTCATTATATGTTCTGGTTATTAATCCCTTTTCAGATAGGTAGTTTGCAAATATTTTCTCCATTCCATGGGTTGTCTCTTCACTTTGTTGTTTCCTTTGCTGTACAGAAGCTTTTTAACTTGATGTGCTCCCATTTGTCCATTTTTGCTTTGGTTGCTATGCCTGAGGCAAAAAGAAAAGTCTTTTCCCACTCCAATGTCCTGGAGAGTTTCGCCAATGTTGTTTTTAGTAGTTTCATAGTTTGGGACCTTAGATTTAAGCCTTCGATCCATTTTGATTTGATTTTTATATATGGAGAGAGATAGGGGTCTAGTTTCATTCTTCTGCATATGGATATCCAGTTTTCCCCCAGCACCATTTGTTGAAGAAACAGTCTTTTCCCCAATGTATGTTCTTGGAAACTTTGTCAAAAATGAGTTTACTGTAGATGTATGAATTTATTTCTGGGCTCTCTATTCTGTTTCACTGGTCTGTGTGTCTGTTTTTAGGCCAGTACCATGCCATTTTGGTTACTATAGCTCTGTAGTATAATTAAAGTCAGGTAATGTGATTCCTCCAATTTTGCTCTTTTTGCTTAGGATAGCTTTGGCTATTCTTGGTCTCTTGTGGTTCCATATTAATTTTAGATTTTTTTCTATTTCTGTAAAGAATGTCATTGGTATTTTGATAGGGTTGCATTAAATCTGTAGATTGCTTTGGGTAGTATAGATATTTTAATGATATCAATTCTTCCAATCCATGAACATGGAATATCCATTTTTTGTGTCCTCCTCAATTTCTTGCGTCAGTGTTTTATAATTTTCATTGCAGAGATCTTTCACTTCTTGGTTAATTCCTAAGTATTTTATTTTATTTGTAGCTATCGTAAATGGGATTGCTTTGATTTCTTTTCAGATTGTTCGATGTTGACATTTACAAATTTTTTGATTTTGTATGTTGACTTTGTATCCTGCAACTTTGCTGAATTTGTTTATCAGTCCTAATAGTTTCTTGGTTGGGTCTTTAGGTTTTACCAAATATAAAATTATATCATCTGCAAACGAGGATAAATTTGACTTCTTCCTTTCCAATTTGGATGCCCTTCATGTCTCTTTCATCTGATTGGTCTAGCTAGAATTTCCAGTACTACATTGAATAACAGTGGTGACAGTGGACATCCTTGTTGTGTTCCAAATCATAGAGGAAAGGCTTTCAGTTTTTCCCCATTCAGTATAATACTAACTGTGGGTCTGTCATATATAGCTTTTATTGTGTTGAGGTATGCTCCTTCTCCACCCAGTTTGTTGAGGGTTTTTATCATGAAGAGATATTGAATTTTACCAAATGCTTCTTTAGCATTCATTAAAATTATCATTTTTTTTGTCCCTCACTCTGTAAATATGATGTATCGCATTGATTGATTTGTGTATGTTGAACCACCGTTGCATCCTTGGGATAAATCACACTTGGTCATGATAAATGATTTTTTTAACATATTGTTGAATTCACTTTGATAGTATTTTGTTGAAGATTTTGGCATCAATATTCATCAGAGATATTGGCCTGTAGTTTTCATTTTCTGATGTGTCTTTGTCTGGTTTTGGGATCAGGGTAATGCTGGCCTTGTAGAATGAGTCTGGAAGTATCATCTCCTCTTCTGTTTTTCAGAATAGTTTGAGTAGCATTGGCACTAGTGCTTAACTATTTGGTAGAATTCAGCAGCGAAGCCAAGTATGCTATGTTAATTTGGTGACGCCAAGTATGCTATGTTAATTCAATGCGGGTTGAGTATCCTTTTTTTTTTTTTTTTTTTTTTGAGACGGAGTCTCGCTCTGTCGCCCAGTGGCACGATCTTGGCTCACTGCAAGCTCCGCCTCCTGGGTTTACGCCATTCTCCTCAGCCTCCGGAGTAGCTGGGACTACAGGCGCCCGCCACCAAGCCCGGCTAGTTTTTTCTATTTTTTGGTAGAGACAGGGTTTCACCATGTTAGCCAGGATGATTGCGATCTCCTGACCTCATGATCCACTCGCCTCAGCCTCCCAGAGTGCTGGGATTACAGGCGTGAGCCACCACACCCGGCCAAGTATCCTTTATCTAAAATACTTGGGACAAGAAGTGTTTCAGATTTCAGATTTTTAAAAAGATTTTGGAATATTTGCTTATACATAATGAGATGTCTTGGATATGGGGCTCAAGTCTAAACATTAAACTGATGTGTTATATACATCTTATACACATATTCTAAAGGTAATTTTATACAATTTTTTAGTAATTTTGTGCATGGAACAAAGCGAACCTTCAGAAAGCAAAGGTGTCACAATCGCAGCCACCCATGTGGACAATCTGTGGTTGTTTGGCATCACCATCACTCCTGACTCTGAATTTATATGCTACCGATAGGCAATCATTTTCTTACCATTATTCACATGTAAATATTTAAGAGTAAAAAATCTTACATATCATTAATAGAGTGAAAAAATAATGTACTCATGGTAATTAAGCAGCATAGTAGCATCACCAGAACACCTGGATCAGCTGCAAAACAACAGCAACAAACAACGGCAGGCTTTTGTTGTCATTTTTAGTGGGGTTTGTTTTTTGTTTTTTGTGTTTTGTTTGTTTCTGAGACATGGTCTCACTCTGTCACTCAGGCTGGTGTGCAGTGGCACGATCATGGCTTACTGCAGCCTCAATCTCCCTAGGCTCAGGTGATCCTCCTGCCTCCTGCCTCCATGCCTCCTGCCTCTGCCTGGGACTACAGGCACATGCCACCATGCCCAACTAATTTTTTTTATTTTTTGTAGAGATGGTTTTCGCTATGTTGCCCAAGCTGGTCTCCAACTCCTGGGTTTGCCATTCTCCCACCTCAGCCTCCAAAACTCTGGGATTAAAGGCATGAGCCCCCAGGGTCCAGCTAATATGTTTTGAATAAAAAGTTACTGTGTGCTGTACTTTATTTCGTAGGTGAGAAGAAACATCAGAAGCAGTTGAGGGCCCAGGAAGTGGGTCTTGTAGAGATGAGGAGGTATTCTGCTGGATGGCTTTTAGAATGTTTCCTCCAGAGTCCTCTGCCTTATTCACAACTGTTTTTGTCTTAAAATCTCTCTTGGATTTTATAAACTGACATGATTTCTTGCTCTGTTAAACTGCTCCAGCCCTTCAATAAGCCCATCACACATTTTCACCACATGGTCTATAGGCACTTTTTCTGCAGTGTTACATTAACAATAACATCTTCATATCTCTATTATTATGATCAACTAGATTTAGAGCCATTTTGGCTTTTTCACCATCAGTAAATGAATGAACAACTAGAGTCTCCTTATTGATCTTGAAAACTTCTTCAATATCCACTTCTCCCAGCTTAGAGACAGATTCTGGAGGTTGTTTTTTTTGTTTGTTTGTTTGTTTGCATATGTAAGGGGGTCAGACATTGCTTTTTTCCCACTTGACATACGGAATCCTTCAAAATCACCACCTTGTTCATTGTCATCACTGAACATAGTTGCAGGCCAGACATTGTTCAAGGCCTACACAACTGTCTTCACTGTGTTCCAAGCATTTGCGACAGCATATATGGCATCCTTCTTGCTAAACTTCTTTTGAAAACCTTTCACACCCACACTTCTGTTCACTGCTGTTAGCATACTGTTCAAGAAAGAGTTTTTATATTTACTCTTTGTTGATTTAAGGATACCCTGGTCACATGGCTGAATTAATAGAGCCATGTTTGGGGAAAGTACATGGCATAAACATTATTTTTTATGAGAATTTCAGCCAGAGGATGAGCAGAACAGTTGTCAAGAAATAACAAAATCTTGCAGTCAACATCTAGTTCAGCTTCCCAGCAGTGAGAACAAGCCACTGGTACAAAATGTTTGTGAAGACAATCAGAAAAGATGTCCCTAGTGATTCATGCCTTTCTGTTAGCATAATAATAAGCTGATAAATTCTTTCCTTGAAAACAGCAAGAATGCAAGCTTTTTCCTATCACAGCAAGTGTACACTTAGCATGCCTGCCACATCAGCACATCCCAGCACAGTTATTCTCTCTGTGGCATCCTTAATTCCTGCAAGGTCTGTCTCATTAGCTGTAGTCAGTGTCTTTTGGGGGCAATAATACTAAAACAATGATGCTTCATCAGCATTATAGACTCGTCCTGGCATCAGATTTTCATCAGCAATGACCTTGGCAAACTCATCAGTGAATTCCTCCACTGCTTTGTGATCAGCAGATGTTTCATCACCAGAAATCTTTAAAAATGTAATGTTATGTCTTTTCTTACATTTCTGCAAAGAATCTGTTGAATATTTACAGTTCCCTTTAATTTTTAGTTCATTGTGACACATCTTTGCTTGTATCATGATCAGCATACCATTAAGGGGCGTGTGTTCATGGCAATGCTGATAGATCCACTCTTTCAATACACAATTGGGATCTTCATTTTTAGCTTTATGCAGTGTTTTTCTATGTTTCATTAACTTCTTCTGTTCATCACTCTCAGTGTAGAGCCTCAACAGTTTATCCTTCTGTTTCTTCAGGTCATATATAATGGCCATTCAAACACTATACTCTTCTGTAAGACGTTTTGCATTTGCACTGCTCTCCAGCTTTTTCAACAGCTTGACTTCCTGTGCTATACATATAAATGTTTCCTCTTTTTGTTTTGCTGTTACCCATAAAGGTGTCTGCAGGCCTTTTTGACATTTTCAAGAACATCTCTTCACTACAGGAAGAGAATTAAAAAAAAAAAAAATGAATAATGCACACACCGTCAGGCCTTGTCCCCACGTACTGCATTGTGGGAAAGCTGCCATTGGCACATCCAACCTGTACACATGTCATTTTGTTACCCTTTGTGGGTGTGCTTGTGTGAAGGAACCTAGGCATGGGCAGAAAAGATACATTGCAACTGAAGGGAACTGGGACTGTCTTTTTTCCCTTGGGGACTCCAAATAAACCGTGTGTTGTACACCTGCATTTTAACTGTGACCCATCATATGAGGTGTAAATTTTCCACTTGTGATATCAAGTCAGCACTCAAAAGTTTTGGATTTTGAGCAAAGTGTGGTGGTGCATGCCTATAGTCCCAGCTACTCAGGAGGCTAAGGTGGGAAGATATTTGAGCACAGGAGATCAAGGCTGCAGTGAGCTATAATTGCACCACTCACTGCACTCCAGCCTGGGCAACAGAATGAGACCCTGTCTCTAAGAAAATAAAATTGAATAAAATGTAAAAGTTTTGGGTTTTGGAGCATTTCAGGTTTTGGACTTTCAAATCAGGGATGCTCAACCTGTAATGATATCAGGGACCCTATTTGATGGTAGAGGAACTTCTGGGGGGCTTGTTCCTTGGTTCTCACTTGTGTTGGACACATGTGAAATTACCAAGTAAGTGGCATGTGGACAAGCAAGAATAGCTTCTCTTTTAAGGTATGTGTGTAAACTGATGCAGCTACACAGATCTCCAGCACACACACACAGAGGCAGTCTCTAACTTACCACATTTACCTACAGGAAGAGCCAACCCCAACCCTCCACTTCTGAGCTCATGTTGCTCTAGGGCAATTATAAACAAACAAATGAAACTCCAAGATCAAAACATCTCCTGAGAACCCAGAACAGATGAAAAGAGTAGAGCAAGAAACTAAGGAAAGCAGAAAGCCTTGAGGGCAGAGGTTTGCAACCTCGAGTGCACATTAAAATCACCTAGGGAACTTTAAAATATGCCCTTGTCCAACCATACCAAAACTCCGAGTTCTTTGGTCTGGGACAGGGGTTTGGTGGTGTTTTCTAAAGCTCCCAAGTGGGCCAGCCATGGTGAGTCACGCCTGTAATCACAGCCCTTTGGGAGGCTTGAGGTGGGAGGATCATTTGAGGCCAGGAATTCAAGACTAGCCTGGGCAATACCGCGAGACCTCCTCCTCCATCTCTACAAAAAAAAAGTTTTAAAAGTTGGCCAGGTGTGGTGGTGCACACCTGTAATCCCAGCCACTTGGGAGGCTGAGGCAGGAGGATGGATACCTTGAGCCCAAAAGTTCAAGGCTACAGTGAGCAACGAAATCATGCCACTGGATGACAAAGCGAGACTCTGTCTCTTAAAAAAAACACATAAAAATAAAAATAAAAAAGCTCCCAGGTGATTCTAATGTGCAGTTAGAGTTGGCAACCCTAGCTTAGAGTCTGGCCTCAAAAGTTTCACTTTACTCTCAGAGTAAATTCCCTAGAGGTTCGCTTTACATTTCTACACTGCCAAATAGCCTGAGAATTAGAGACCTGTTATTGTTCACCAATATCTTCACATTAAAAGTACTTCCCTCCACTTCTTGGAGGGGAGTAAATCATCCATTTACAACTAAATGTTCATTAGTTTCTCACTAATTGAGTTCTAGGTCAATGAAGGAAGAAAAGTTGGCAAATGTGGTAAAGGGCACCTGGGTTGACTGTGTGTGCCACAGCCACAGCTGAAGAGTCTAGGACAATGGTTTTCAACCAGCCAGCCCAAACTATTAAATCTGATCCTCTGGAGCAGGGCCCAAGGGTCCAAGCATCACCCTCCCTCTCCTCCCCACCTTTTTTTAAAAAAGAGACAGAGTTTTGCTCTTTCGCCCAGGCTGAAGTGCAATGACATGATCATAGCTCACTGCAACCTTGAATTCCTGAGCTTAAGTAATCCTCCCAACTCAGCCTTCCAAGTAACTGGAACTACAGGCATGTGCCACCATGTCTGAAATACACACACACACACACACACACACACACACACACACATATACACATATAGCTTGAAAGAGAGTCTGGCTATGTGTCAAAGCTAGTCTTGCACTCCCGTCCTCAAGTGATCCTCCCACCTCAGACTCTCAAAGCAAGCACTGGGCAGCATCCATATTTTTAAAAGCTCCCCATGGGAGTCCACTGAGCAGCCAAGGATGGGAACCACCAGTCCAGTGGGTGAAAGTATCAGGAAGCAGAACATTAGTACAGGAAAGTAGAAGAAAGATATTACCTGTTGTCAGTGTTGAGGCTGAGAGCACAATACCCCCAAAATACAGTGCTTTGGCATATGCTGAGCACTTTTGAATTAAAGGATACTAGAAGGCCTCAGAAGCTCTCTCAGAACCAACGATTTTCTTACTTTCTCTTTTTTCTCCGTCCACCAAACCCCAACTACGAAGCACAGGGAGGTGCTCTCTCTGGAGTTCCCTTATGTGACTAGGGAAAACTTCTTCCAAAAAAATGCAATTTCTTAAGACCCTCTCCTTAGAATGTCATCAAATACGCAGGAAATACTAATTACTGGAGAAAAGAAAAGACTAAAAGTAGTCATCATGCCCAGGTGAATGTTTTTTTTGTTTTGTGTGTGTGTGTGTGTGTGTGTGTGTGTGTGGTTTTTTTTTTTTTTTTTGAGATGGAGTTTAACTCTTGTTGCCCAGGCTGGACTTCAATGGCACGATCTCAGCTCACCGCAACCTCCACCTCCCAGGTTCAAGCGATTCTCCTGCCTCAGCTTCCTGAATAGCTGGGATTACAGGCATGCACCACCACACCTGGCTAATTTTGTATTTTTAGTTGAGATGGGGTTTCTCCATGTTGGTCAGACTGTCTCAAACTCTTGTCCTTAGGTGATCCACCTGCCTTGGTCTCCCAAAGTGCTGGGATTACAGGTGTGAGCCACCACGCCTGGTGTGGATGTTTTACCTATTTTTCTGAGGGCCGCTCCAAGAGATTACTTGGGAGACTTTATCTGCATAGTAAGACAACCTTTGTTCATAATGAGATTCCGCCCCTTACCTTCCCACCATATGACCCAGTGCCCAGAGAAACTTTGTCCCAGACCATTGTCTGTCTTCTGGCCCATTTATTCCCCTTGAAAATCATTTACTAACCTCTCACAATTTCCTGCATTCTGCAATGAAGAGGGCACTATTTAAGCTTTGGCCTTCTGGCCCTTCTTCGGGTCTCATGTTATATATGACTCCTGTTCTTATGCATATCAATACGTTTGTACGTTTTTTCTCCTTTTAATCTGTCCGTTGTCAGTTTGAAGGAAAATTATCTCTGCCACTACTTTGAGGGGGAAAATTTTTTCCTCTGCTCTCTTAGGTTTGTTGACTGTGGGTCTGCAAATTAAACTGACGAAATACAGATTAGAAAGAGAAAAGATAGATTTTAACAATATACATACGAGAGTTCTTGTATGTAATAATATACGTACAAGAAAAAATGTGCCTCAAGGAGATGGTTAGAATTTTGGGTTTATATACCATCTGACTAGGGGAAGGGGGCAGAAAGGACACTTATAGGAAAACAAATGACTTTGGGGAAAAGTAAGTGGGCCTTTAGGAGATAGGACAGTCTTGTGGCAACATTTGTTTATATGTAGTGCTGACTTCTAGTGTGTGATGATAAGAATCAATCTTTACCTGGGTGTAGTGGCTCATGCCTATAATCCCAGCATTTTAGGAGGCTCAGGTTGGAGGATAACTTGAAGCCACGAGTTCAAGACCAGCCTGGGCAACATAATGAGGCTCTGTCACTACAAAAAAAATAAAATAAAATATTAACCAGACATAGTGGTGCAAGCCTGTGGTCCTAGCTACTCAGGAGGCTAAGGTAGGAGAATTACTTGAGCCCAGGAGTTTGGGGTACAGTGAGCCACAATGATAGCACTGCACTCCAGCCTGAGTGACAGAGTGAGACCCTGTCTCTTAACTAACAAACAAAAAGAATCAACCATCCCTGTTGTTCTTGGGGGAGTAATTTATGACAACTGAATTTGAATAGTAGTAGAACATACCACTCCAAAATGTGCCACTTTGGCATAGAATTATTTTGACCTGAAGGCAATTGAGAAGAAGCAAATACAAGAAAAGCTTTCTGCCCTCTCCCCATTTGCCTAAAAGCAGGATAGAAATTTGTAAAGATGTCCTCCCTCCCCTTTCTACCAGGAAAGACAGAAGTTAGTCACCAGAGAGCTGGAGATGATCCTAGATTCTTATCATCCTGGAGACTCCCCAAAGGAATCTACATAGCAAACCTTGCTAACTAGCCCTTATGTACCATTAATCTCCCTATATATTTCCCTTCCCGCATATTGCTACTCTAGAAACTCAAAAGTCTTTTTCCTTTGTCTTGTCACTTCTCTAAGAACTTATTGCTCTTTCATTAAGATGCCATTTTAGTCCATTTGCATTGCTATAAAGAATATCTGGGCCAGGAGCAGTGGCTCATGCCTGTAATCCCAGCACTTTGAGAGGCCGAGGTGGGCAGATCATGGGGTCAGGAGATCAAGACCATCCTGGCTAACACGGTGAAACCCCATCTCTACTAAAAATACAAAAAAATTAGCCTGGCATGGTGGCAGGTGCCTGTAGTCCCAGCTACTCAGGAGGCTGAGGCAGGAGAATGGCATGAACCCGGGAGGTGGAGGTTACAGTGAGCCAAGATCGAGCCACTGCACTCCAACCTGAGCGACAGAGCGAGACTCCATCTCAAAAAAAAAAAAAAGAATATCTGAGACTGGGTAATTTGCAAAGAAAAGTTTATTTGGCTTATAGATATGCAGACTGTACAAGAAGCATGGTACCAGCATCTGCTTCTGGTGAGTGCCTTAAGAAGTTTCACCCATACTGGACGGTGGAGAGGAGCCAGTGTGTGCTGAGATCACATGGTGAGGGAGGAAGGAAGAGTAAGAGGAGAGGAGCTGTTGAGCTCTTTTCAATAACCAGATCTTGCAGGAACTAAGAGTGGGAACTCACTCACTCTGGTGAGAATGGCACCAAGGCATTCATAAGGGATCTTCTCCCACAATCCAAATGCCTCCCACCAGCCCCACCTTCAACACTGGGGATCAAATTTCAACAGGAGAGTTGGTGGGGCCAAACAAATCATATCCAAACCATAGCATTCTGCCCCTGGCCCCCCATGTCTCATGTCCTTCTCACATTGCAGAATATAATTATTCCTTCCAATAGTCCCCAAAAGTCTTAACTTGTTCCAGCACTGACTCAAAAGTCCAAAGTCCCATCTGAGACACAAGGCAAGTTCCTTCCAGCTATGAGACTGTAAAATCAAAAACAAGTTGTTTACTTCCAAGATAAAATGGTGAAACAGACATTGGGTAAACATACCCACTCCAAAAGGGAGAAATCAGCCAAAAGAAAGGAGTAACTGGCCCTATGCAAGTCCAAAACCCAGCAGGGCAGACATTAAATCTTAAAGCTTCAGAATAATCTCCTTTGACTCTGTCACCCTAAAGGAAAAAACTGAGGCAAACTTAATAGAAATAGGGAATTTATTTGAGCCAAGCTTGAGGATTGCAACCCAGGGGTATAGATTTGCCCTGAATATACACTCTGAGAAGCAGCAGTTACAAGTGGATTTTTAAAGGAAAAGAAAGGCAATTCCTAAGTTGTTTACCAAGCATTTGCATTAAAATAAGATAAGATATTGATTGGCTATACATTGTTCTTTGTATCATGAATTCCAGGAACATGAAGGTAATGAGTGAGACAGCTAGTTAGGAACAAGATGTCTTTCAACAATTGTCCCCAGGGATGGGTGCAGGGGAATGAAAGGGAGGTGAGAAGTAGGATGGGATGAAAGTCCCATGCTCATGTCTCTCACATAGCTCAGACTGCCCTAAGCTATTTTACTTTTCTCAACTCCATGTCCTGCATCCTGGGTACACTGGTGCAAGGGGTGGGCTTCCAAGACCTTCGGCAGCCCTGTGTCCATGGCTTTGCTAGGTAAAGCCTACATGGCTCCTCTTACAGGTTGAGGTCTAATGCCTGTGGCTTTTCCAGGCTGAGGTTGCAAGCTGCTGTCCCACAACTCCACTAGGCAGTGACTCAATGGGGACTCTGTGGGGACTCCAACCCCACATTTTCCCTTGGCACTGACCTAATAGAGGGTTTCTGTAGGAGCTGTGCTCCTGCAGGAGTCTTCTTCCTGGGTACTCAGTCTCTCTTATACATCTTCTTAAATCAAGATGGAATCAGCCAAGCCTCTACCACTCTTGCATTCTTCATGCCTGCAGACTTAACACCATGTGGAATCTGTCAAGGTTATAGCTTGTGCTCTTCCAAGTGGTGCCCCAAGCAGTTCCTGGGACCCTTTGAGCCATGGCTGGAGGTGGAGCAGCAGGGATGCAGAGATCATCATCTTGAGATGGTGCAGGGAAGTGGCATCCTGGGCATGGCCCCTGAAACCATTCTGTCCTCCCATGCCTCTGGCCCTGTGATGGGAGAGGTGGCCTCAAAGATTTCTGAAATGTTTTGGGGGACTTTTTCCCATTGTTCTGACTATTAGCACCTGGCTTTCTTTTATCCATGCTAATCTCCCTAGCAAGCGGTTGTTCAGCCAGATTCCTCACCTGAAAATGCTCTTTTTTCCTGTGCCACTGGCCAGATTATGGATGTTCCCAATTTTTATGCTCTGCTTCCCCTTTAATTGTAAATTCCAACTTTAAGTCATTCCTTTGCTCTCAAGTTGATTTAAGTTGTTAAAATCAACTTGTCACTAATCAAATACTATGCTGCTTAGAAATTTCTTCTGCCATATACCCTAGGTCATCACTCTTATATTTAGCCTTCCACAAATTCCTAGGGCATGAACACAATGTGGCCAAGTTCCTTGTTAAGGCATAACAAGGGTGACCTTTGCTCCAGTTCCCAATAAGTTCCTCACTTCCATCTGACACCTCCTCAGCCTAGACTTTGCTATCCATATTTCTATCAGCACTTTGGTCACAACCACTTGATTAGCCTCTAATATTTTAAGTTCTAAACTTTCCCTCATCTTCCTGTCTTCAGCTGAGCCCTGCAAACTCTTCCAACCTCTGCCCCTTATCCAGTTCCAAAGCCACTTCCATATTTTCAGGTATCTTTATAGCAATGCCTACTCTCAGAATCAATTTTCTTAGTCTTTTTGTGTTGCTATAAAGGAATACCTGAGGCTGGGTAGTTTATACAGAAAACAGGCTTATTTGGCTCATGATTCTGCAGGCTGTGCAAGAAGCATGGCATCAGCCTCTGCTTCTGGTGAGGCCTCAGGAAGCTTCCATTCTTGGTGGAAGGTGAAGGGGACCCAGTGTCACACTGTGAGAGAGGATGAAAGAGAGGGGAGGAGCTGCCAGGTTCTTTTCAACAACCAGTTCTCGCAGGAACTAAGAATGAGAACTCACTCACTCCCATGAGAATGGCACCAAATCATTCATGAGGGATCTGTCCCCAGGATCCAAACACCTCCCACTAGGCCCACCTTCAACATTCATATTTCAACATGAGACTTGGAGGAGCCAAACAATCCCTATCCAAATCATAGCCGATGCTGTACAAACCCGAGTTGTATCCCCCTTTTGAGTTTGCTCACACAAGCGTAATACACATGTTAATAAACTTTTGTTTGCTTTTCTCTTGTTAATCTTTCTTTTGTCAGTTTAACGTACAGGGGGCCAGACAATGAACCTAAGATGGGTAGAAGGAAAACAGTTTTTCCGCCTCTAGAAGTTCTTCTTGGGAAGCTCTGTTTTTAGGCTGATAAAAGGTTTAGGACAAACAAAAACAAAACCATTCTCATATGCCTTCAATTCAAAATAACGTGTATGTCATAGTGGTATGTTCTGGGCCCCTTCACTATGAAACAGCTGTGGCCAGGCCTACTCTCCTTTAACTGTCAAATAGAGCAAATGTGTATGTTTACCCTGGGGCACCATCTGTCTCCTGGACACCCCTTGCTCAAACCTCAACTCTAGCCCCCTCATTCATCTTCAGTGGGGAAGGCTGATGCCAGAGGGGAGGACAGAGAAGACATTTGAGCATTATGCACCTGGGACACAGGTTGTGCACACCTTCCAGCCCACTAGTACCTTATCCTAAGCATGTTAATACACTCCCCATCTCTTATCCTGCCTTCCTGCTGCATGTTTTCAATTGATCTAACATGCCGTGTGACTCAGGCAGCCTAATTTGCCCTATGAGCCTTTCTATTTTGTGACCTCTGTCTCAGCCTGTCTGGTGCTGTACTTAGAGGCTTCCATAGCATAAAGATAATTCTCTACATGACAGAACTTGGACAAAGATATTCATCAGTGTGGTTGGCTGAGGGGGACTCTGAAGCGACCTAGTTGTTCACCACTAAAATGAACAAATAAAATGCAGTGGATGAATAGCAGGGTAATCACAGCAGTGAGAGGCAGTGAACTAGATTAGGAGCTTACAAACTTTTTTTATCATGAGCCACAACATAGAAATACTTTTTACATTGTAACATGGGATCTATCTATCTGTCTATATCTATCTATCTATCTATCCATCCATCCGTCTTTGAAAAAAATTCATAAAAATATATTTAATTATGTCTGAGGCACTCTGACATTTTCTATTCATTTTTAATAAATGTTAGTTATGGTCCCACCAAATTCGTTTCACTAGTCACTAGTGGGGCCTAGCCTTTCATTTGCAAAGCACTGACTTCAATGTACATGTACATCAACAGAGATGGTCTTAAATCATGCTGTTGGGGAAGAATAGTAGGAAACAGAACAAGATTTATAGCACAATGCAACTCAGGAAACAAAATCCACACACACACACACAAGGATACACACCTGGTTACAGATATATATCAAACACATTAGAGGGCGTGCCACTATAGGGAATGAAAATAGAGTCTGAGGAAACACATGAAAAACCAACCCTAGAAGGACCTTGAATGTGAGGATTCTGTCAATATGCCATGATCTGAGAAGAATGGTTAATGGGCTCTGAACCAGAGTCCAGCCAAACAAAAAGATGGGGTGGAGGTGGGTTTCCTGCTGGAAAAGAAATTTGAGAATCATGTAAATATTCACAAAGTACTTAGGAGCTGGAGAATATTGTATTTAGAATTCTTTAAACGTATCATTAAAATGGGTTCATAAGGATACAATATCTTCTGGTGCAAAGTTGGAAGAGAGAAGGGTCCCCTCGCCATCAGTGTAGGTGAGACCAACTGAAAGGAAGTGTAGGCTTAGAAGTTTGCAGTCACAGAACAAGGCTGGCCAGTGTACCCACCACTTGCTTCAGAGGAGGGGGCCTGGGACCAGGGACACCTGCCCCCAAGGAAGAGCTCTCTGTTGGGTGGACAGCCCGGCCTCAGTGCTAGCCCCTTCTTGTCCATAGTCCCTGTGACCCAGGAGGCCATGCTTAATGCCACATGACCCTGCCCCCAGCCCTTGGTCACAGCTTTTGGGGATAGCGTTGGGCCCCTAGCTCTGGAGGAACCAGCTCTCAGACTGCTGGGTTATCATTAAACCAAGCAGCCTAGCTCGACTGGGCTACAGAGATTCTCCCTGAGGAATCTGAGCCCAGAAGTGGAGAGATCATTTGCCACAAGGGGTGAGGGCTGCTGTAGAGCAGCCATGAGCTGGAGTCCAGGCAGGAGGCTGCAGTGGGTGGCGAGGTGGGGAAGGCAGATGGTGGTGGGATAGCGAGATGCAGATGTTGCAAGCATGGCTGGGTTATCATCTCACCAGCACAGCAACAGAGCTGGTCTTACAAGCTCAACTCTTACGAGGGCCAGCAGATGACATAGAGGATGGACAGAGCCAGGCGTAAGACTGGTGGGGCCCACAGAGCATAGCCTGTCCATAGGGCAGCACTGCAGGGCTGTGGCCATTGTTCTCATGTGGCCAAGTGATCCTCAGGGTTCCAGATTGTCTCATTTTCAAGAGAAGCCAGGGTTGGGGCTCAGAAAATGATACCCCAAAATGTGGCGCTTTGACTTACTGACCTGAACAAAAAGCCTCTGACGGTCTCTCTGATCTTCCCCGGCTCCATCCTTACTCTCCCAAAGAACAGAGTGAAATTGTTCTCTGAAGTTTCCTAATCTGCCTGAAGTCTGGACCCACTGAAGAAGAAAACAATGGCTCCTGGTCCTTTCCCTGAGTTTTCATTAACTGAACTCATATGGCAGGAAGACCGAAGTCTGTCAACACACCTGGGCAAGCTTTTGTCACAAACTATTGTCTGCTCTGCAGGCTCAACAGACTCTGTTCCAGGCCATTGTGTGTTCTTCAAGACCACTGAATTCCCCTAAAGATCACTTAGCACCCCTCTGAAATCATTCATACTTCTCCATCTCCCTCTCCCCTAGAAAGAAGTGTACAGAACCATCTGTACCCCATCGTGTGGTGGGGTGACCACTCTGTGATTCACCCCCTTGCATGCTAATACATTTCAGTGCCACAACTCCTTTTGCAAGTTGACTTTTCAGTAAACCTTCAGAGGGTAAGAGAAGTTTTTCCTTGACCCCTACACCAGAAATCCAGAATTTAGCATAAAATCCTCTACTTTTTTTTTTTTTTTAACTAAAAACACTTCGAGGCCGGGCATGGTGGCTCATGCCTGTAATCCCAACACCTTGGTAGGCTGAGGTCGGAGAATTGCTTGAGCCTGGGGGGTTGAGGCTGCAGTGAACCATGATGATGCCACCGCACCACAGCCTGACCAACAGGGTGAGACCCTGTCTCTTTAAAAAAAAAAAAAAAAAAAAAAAAAGCCACACCCAACACTTTGTGGAAAAAACAATACAGGACTACAGGCTGAGGATGATGGGCAAGTGCTGGCTGAAGGTCTGAAGTCCATCCCCTTACCCTATTCTCCTGGGGAGGCCACCCTGCCCCCAGTGAATTCCCCGAGAGATCCCAGTTTCCCGTATTGCTCCTCCCAGACCCTTTGACCCAGACTGCTTTCCTTGTAAACATCAAATCTAACAACCTAAGTGGTGGGGTGTTTCCTGGGTTTCCCCAGAGCTTAGGCAAAGCCCTGTGTAAACCATTTAACTTCCATAGTCATCAGCCCAGTCATGCCCAGTACTCATGCCCACACTGTTTCTTCTTTGTCCCTCACTGGTCATTCTGTGCCCACCAACCAACTCCTGGTGCCTAACTTTGCTTCTTGGGCACTTTGATCCCAGCAGGGGTACCCTGATGAGGAAAGAACACAGATCCACTCTGGGGAAGAGATGATCTGGCAGTCCGTGCTGTACAATAACTCTGGGTGCATTTGTTTATTGTCTCCAAGAGACTGAGTGTCCCAGAGTATGCTGATAAGTCCAATGTCCAAGTCTGCGAAGAAAAAGTTGATAGAAGTCTCTCCCGTGGGGGTTCGATGTGTGCCTGGAATCTGTGGGGTCCTGATGCCTCTATCTGTCTCGAGGGAGGACTTGACTTTGGAAAGGGAGGCCCTACAGAAAGGCCACCCTCAGAGGTCCCATCTACATCATTCTCCCTCTCCCCACCTCTCTGGTACCACCTCTAAATACAGAAACACCTTCAAAAAACTCACGTGGGTTAAGTTTCCCATATACAGACACGTTTAGAAGAAAGTTTCCCATATATAGACATATTTAGGAAAGATACTAGTTCCTCCTTGTTTCACTCATTGCTTCAAGCACAGCCAGCCCACCCCTGCATTCCCCCTTAGATGCTGGGTGTCCCCGATGGGGCTGCTGACAGGCCCTTTCTTCAGTTGCAGGGTGAACATCATACCTGTGACCCTTCCTCACCCAAGGGGAAGGCAAGGAGGAAAGACTCAGGGGAGGGCGGGGAAACTCTTTGGCTCCCAGCCGGCTCACACTAAAATGCGGTAAACAAGGTCTGTGTTGCAATCGGGCGCCTGAGAGGAGGTCAAGGAGGTTGAATGCTGGGCTGGGGCTCAAGGCAGAGCAGGGCAGGGCGCAGGGAGCCCTAGCTGGAGGGAAAGGAACCAGCCTGGAAAGGTCTGGAATCAGGAAAACCATGGCGTGGGGGCTGGGAGAAGAGGAAGACCTGGTTGGTAAAGGCGGGGCAGCAGGAGGAGAGGAGAGGGAAGAGGCCATGGGCCACAGACAAGGCAAGACCTGGAGAGGTCAGAAGTACAAGGCACGGGCGGCAGGGAGGGTGGGTCATCCTGGCACCATGCAGCTTTAAAGCTACCCAGTGAGCTTCAAGGGGCTGCTCCTTGCCAACTCCCTGCTATTACCTCTGGGTGTTTGGAGTGTGTCTGCCCCACCTCGTCCCTCCCACCTTCCAACTCCTCAAAAGAGAAACTTCCAGCACTGGGAACTACCCCCAAGACTAAATCTCCGCACAGGGGAGTCGCCTCTCAGATCTAAGTTTCCCTGGGAGCAGGGACCGCGCAAACTTAGAGCCCCCTGGAAACTGGATGGTAAAGATCATGAGTTATTTAGACTTATGCATATGCCAGCCGGGATGGTGCACCTGACACCTTATGCACATTCATTGCTTCATGGGATCCTCTCAACACCAGGAGGGAGATGCTTCCCATTTGACAGAAAAGTGAGGAGCACAGAGGGGAAGTATTTGCTCAGAATGCATTAGAAGCCTGGTTCTTCTGTAAGCAAACCTTATTGACCAACCTGTATTTAGGGACTGGGCATGGAGTGGTGAAAGAGGGAAAAAGTCCCAGCTCTCATGGAGCCCATGATATTTTAGAGAGGGAAAGGGACAATCCAGGAAATAGACAAATAGCCACTTTCAGCTAGTGATCAAGAATTTACAAAGGTAAAAGAGTGGCAAGTGGGGGGTGGAGTGTTACTCTGGCTGGGAAAGTCAGGAGATGCCCCTGAAAAGGCCCTGCAGACACCCAGGGGAAGGTCTTGGCAGGAAGGTCGGGGGCTGGGGGGCCAGGAACCAAAGCTTCCTGAGCCTTGGAAAAGAGGGATGGGAAGATGCTTGAAGGGACAGAGGAAGTGAGAGTGAAGGCTGTTCCACAGGCATCCAGGCTAGAGAGGAGGGGATCTGGGGTGGGCTGAAGCCGGGCAGGCACTGGAGGGGCAGAGAGGAGAGGATGGAGTATATGGAGGGCGTGAGGGCAAAGAGAGCAGGAGGATGTGGAGCCTGAACTACCGAGGCCTGGGAGAGAGCAGAAATGGAGAGGTAGGTTTGGACTCTAAAACTCAAGCACTTTACCATTGACAGGGACTTTGTCTTTTTCTTCTTTGTCCCTCATTGGTCAGGACAGTTGTGACTACATAGTAGGTATTCAATCACTTCATTCATTTAGTCAATGAATATTTATTGAGAACCTACTACATGCCTGGCTCTGTCGTAGGCACCAGCGATACACTGGTGAACAGGACAATGCCCTTGGCCTCTTGGAGCTTACATTAAAAGGGGGAGAGAGGACAAGTAAATATGTGTATGTGGGCAGAAGAGAAAAGAGAATGGAGGGGCTGTTTTAGATGTGGGGGTCGTCGTAGGCCTCTCTGATAAGGTGACATCTGAGCCCAGACTTTAAAGAAGTGAGCTGGTGAGTCTTAAATGGGAGTATCTGGAGGAAGAACATTTCAGGCAGAAGAAGCAGCAAGTACAAAGGCCCCGAGATGAAAGAGTGTTTGCTGACTGAACAACAGATCTAGTGCTTGTTGACTGAATGATCAGGAATTGTGTCCCTACCAATACACTTGAAACTCTCTAAGGAACATGCCTGGATCTTCCTCATCAGGCAAGAGTGGTCAGAGGGGTGGGAAGGAGCCACTTCCTGCCTTTCTTTAAGCCATTCCTCTTTCCCCAGCCCTGGCCAGGCCTAGAAGCAGGGGTCAGGGAGGGTCAAGTGCCGAGTCTGTCACAATCTGGACAAAGGGCAGAGAAAGTCAAAGAATAGGCAGGCTCCATGCTGTCCCACAGCCCAGTACTCATGCCCATGCTGTTTCTGCTTTTAACACCTGGGGGTCCACCCGGTAATCCAACCCCCACCTCTGCCCCTGCCATGTTTCCCCTCACACTAAAACTCCCTGCTTCTCTGGACATTCTTCTCCTGGTGCGGTATTTGTCTCTGCAGGGTTTAAGGGAAAGCTTCTTCACCCTCTGAAGTTTCAATGAAAAATAAACTCACAAAAGGCACATTAAATGGAGAAAAGGTATATACATTAATTCAAGGTGTACACCCCGGGAGAATCACGGAGTATGCCCACCCCTCAGCAGTGCTCAGAAGCTTCTATACTATCCTGGCAGAACAGGTGATGGGAGAGGAGAGAAGACGAATTCTGTAGAGGGGCTAGCCGAATGGATCAGGGAATAGAGATTAACTTGCCGGGTGTGGTCACATTCTCAGTCCTACAGGGAGGAGAAGAAACACAATTGTTCCTTTTGGTGGGTCTGGATGTTAGGCAGATAAAGGAACTTCAGTTTCATCCTGTGTTTTGGGAGAGACGGTGAGGGGAGGGAAGGTCAGAGAGACCTTGAGGCTTTTTCAGTTGTGTATGTCAAAGCGCCATGCTTTGGGACTTCTGACCCCAATACCTCTGGCTATCTCACCAGGATTTGAGAGGGCTGTGGATGCTGCCACTCCCCGCACCACCCCAACCCCCTAAGCCAGAGAGGTACCAGGAGACTCCAGGTCTTAGAGTCTCAGCTCAGATTCCACCCAAATTCTGGCCATATTCCCAGTCCTCATGTGAGCATAAGATGATCAGAACTGGATAGTCACTTCCTCCTTATTATTCTTAAGTCATTTCTGCTTCTCCAACTATCTTGCTGACAAGACATGTTGCTCTAAATTCTACTGATTCAATACTTTTCTATTCTTACCAACAAAGCGTAACAGGCTGTGAGAAACATGCCTGACCACACACGAAACTGGAGAAGGCAGTGGGTGCAGATGACCCGACCTGACTGTTCTTCTGATTTTAATTCCAGGCACTTCCCTCTTGGCCAGGTGAGATGCTATGATCCAGAATCTCACCTGGGAGAGCCCACAGGGCATTCTTAGGGCTCAGTGAAAGGATACCCCCGCAACAGGACAGGTCTTCCTTTCCCATGTGGGCTCTTTATCCAGAACCCAGAGCTGCGGAGAGTCTGGCTTCTGGGACCCTTGACTGGGGAGAAAGCAGGTGGGGGCCACGGAGGGAAGGCCCCAGAGCAGAGAGGCACCAGGCTGGCTGAGCCTGGGCAGCTGCCCTTTGCCTTAGCTCAGTGGTTCTCAAAGCCTGGCCCCCAGGCCAGCAGCACCAACATCACTTGAGGCCACTCAGCCAGAAACTCTGCAGTGGGGCCTCGCAATCTGTTTTAACAAACCTTCCAGGTGACTCTGGTGCAGAATGGTGGCAAGAACTCAAACCTGGACTAGGCCTGCTGGGTAAGTGGAGTCCCAGCTCTCCAGTGGACTCAATGTGGGTGGCCTGGGCCAAGCCTTCCTGTGCCTGGGCCATTTCTCCGTTTGTCAAGCTCCAGGACTGGGGTAAAGGATTTGACAAGGTCTGTTGGGCAGGGATGGAATCAGATGAATATCTAAGTGGAAGATATACAGACAATTGTAACTACCCCTCTTTCTCACATGGCTCTAAAGGGGAAAACAGATGAGTGCAGTTGCTTTGTCTTTGGGTAAAGTCACCAGGAGCTGCCTGCCTGAGTGAACCAGACAATTTAATGTGTGCCATTTAGTGAGGGGCCTTGTTTTACCACCACATTTGAGGATGGGGGGAGGGAAGCCTTTCTGTTGGAATTTGTGGCCCTTGGACACTCCTCCCACCTCCACCCTTTTTGGCGGTAAAAGCTTTTAGGTGCTGCCTCTTTAAGAACTCAGATCCGGCCGGATGCGGTGGCTCATGCCTGTAATCCTAGCACTTTGGAAGGCCGAGATCGGTGGATCACCTGAGGTCAGGAGTTCGAGACCAGCCTGACCAAAATGGTGAAACCCCCGTCTCTGCTAAAAAATACAAAAATTAGCAGGGCTTGATGGGGCGCGCTTGTAATCCCAGCTACTCGGGAGGCTGAGGCAGGAGAATCGCTTGAACGGGTTTGAACCCAGGAGGCGAAGGTTGCAGTGAGCCGTGATCGCGTCATTGCACTCCAGCCTGGGCCACAAGCGCTAGACAACGTCCAGAAAAAAAAAAAGAGAGACCTCAGTTCCCATCGAGGTGGAGAAAAAATAACCACATTTGTTTGGCATATTTGCATTTTTAATAGTCCCTGAGGAGTTCAGGAGGAAACAGGGTTTTACATCCCCTTTTAGGGACGCAAGTAGGATTGCCCCAAAAAGTTCCACTCCGTTCACACTCAGCGAGGGCCCGGCAAGAGCCCCACCTTTCACATTCATTATTTCCCTTACTAACCGAGGCTCCGAGACGCTAAACAAGCAGCCCAAGGTCACACCGCAGAGTGAGGGCAGCAGAGCCTCTGCGCCTGCCTCCTCCCTTCGGACCCTGCCGCGTTCCCAGAGGCTGGACTCAGCAAGCTGGAACAGGAATCGAACCCTCAGGCCCTCGTCGCCGTCCCAGCCCTCGAGGAATCTGCGCCCCAGGCGAAGCTGTCCTCGGAGGTTCGGGAGCGTCGGAGTGACTTCCCGATCCTTTCCCCTGGGACCCGAGGGATCCCTCCCCCCAAGTGCCGGGTCCTCCCCGCGGCTCCCCAGGGGCTCCTCCGGCCGCCCTCGCTGACTCAGCGTAATCCGAGCCGCGGAGGGCGGCGGGGTTGGCGGAGCCCGCCCGGGGTTAATCGCCGAGCTTTGAACGCCCCCTCCCGCCCCGCCCGCCTCCAGCAGCCGCCCCGCCCCTGCGGAGAAGTCCCGGGCTGGCGCCGGCGGCCACAGCGGAGCAGCTGGAGCGATCGAGGCTGCAGCGCGGCCGCCGGGCGCAGCATGACTGCCGTCGGCGTGCAGGTAGCCGGCGCCTGGCGGGGCGCTGACCCGGGGTGCTGCCCCGCCGTGGGAGGTTGGGGGTGGGAGGACGGAGGGAGGGGCGTACCCACCGCGAGCGCCGGCGTCGGGCTGGGGGTGCGAGCGCCCCCCGTGCCCGCCCCCTGTTGCAAACCTGGGTCCGGAGGAGGCTGGGCGGGGAGCAACCTCGGGGGGCCTGCCTGCCTCACATAGCTGCTCCCGAGGCGCGGACTCCGGCTGCTTCTGCTCGCGGCCTTGCAAGCACCCGAGGCTCCCAAACTTCATTTGGAAAGATTTTTCTTCTCTTTGGTGTCACCAGTGACTTACTGGTCAGTTTACCATAAGGGTCCCCCTTTGTGAGAAATGAGGCGCGTCTGGGGTGGAGGGACAGAATCGACTTGCAAAGTGAGGCTTATGTAACAGAGGATGCGTCTCTTGGGAAGTTAGACCTTTCTGGGGGTGGAGGTTAGGAAGACCGTCTCCCTCCCCAAAGCTGCGTTTGGGGTGCTGGGCTGGGGGTGGACTTGCTGAGTCGCGCGGACACCTCAGGGAAAGGCTCTGGCGAGGGAAGAAGCCCGTGTCTCCGAAGATTTGGCTTCTCCTTAGCGTAGTGCACGATGTTTATGTTGGCTAAGAACCTACACATTCCTACCCGCTCCCTCGGGCCTGCTGCTCCCCAAAGGGAAGTCAGTGGGTGGCGGTACCGCTGCCCAGCGGGCGAACTTCCTTTCCGCGCAACTCGCCCGCTGCAGAGTCTATCCGCTGGACTGTCTCCAGGATTAGAGAGGCCCGTTGACTTCGTGTACAAACGCTCAGCCACAACACTGACCTAGTAGACACCGTTCTGCCCATTGTATAGATGAGGTAACCGAGACTCAGAAGTAAGGTGCCCTCCGTGGCTGGCCAAGGAACAGAATCAAGATTCAAACCCAGGGCTTTCTGGCTCCAAATCCCACTGGCTCCTCCTGCCTTTACCTAACGGGAGAAACCCCACCCACAGGACACCCCCAAAACCGCTTCTATAGCCAGGACCTAGGCACCTGGGCGAAGCCGGGCATGGGGCGCAGGGAATTCCTCCCCTTTGTTCTGGGGGATGTCTGGAATCCCGGCCAGGCAGCATGGTGGGACAGACCAGGTGCGGTCCCTCCCCTCTAGGAGCTTACAGCCCATGTAGGGAGAGAGACTTGGAAACAGGGCATGGGGGAGCGAATGCTAAATTAAGAGGTGCAAAAGTTGCCAGACGGGGAAGAGGAGGAAGCCTGGTAGCAAGGTGGGAGCTCAGCTGGGGAGGCCACAGGCTCCAGGTGAAGGGCGGGTGCTCCGGCCGCTTCGGGATGATAACTCTTCATCCCCACAACCATGACTTGCCAGGGGGCAAACACAGGTAGGAAGCAAGTTCTGGGTCATGCAGGCAGCGGTGGGCCAGGCTGCAGCTGAGAGGAGCAGAGGCAGGCCGGCTCATCAGGAGGCTGTGAACTTCCAGGATGTTGACGATGGTGATGGCCTCACCTGGGTAGGGGCAGAGTGGGTGATGAGGGGGAGCAAATATGGGAGACATGTTGGGGATGTGCGGAATGAGTTGGGAGGAGCTTAATTTGTCTACCTGGGGGTGCTTTGGTTAAGGGGAACACATGAGGCCCTGGGTTATAGGAGGAAGACCATGACATTGGACTCAGTAGCCCAGTAGTGTCAAGTGACCCTATTCTATAGGTCACTAGAAATCATGCAAGGTTACAGATGAAAAAGGAAAATGCTTACATTTTTAGCAGAGCAGTTAAGCTCCAGAGAGATTTAAGTGATTGCCTAAAGGTACCCTGCAGGGGTCCTCTAGGTCAGGGGCAGGACTTGACCTCCCCGCTCCCTTCTTTTCCACTGCACACTTGTCCAGCTGCCCTCCAGTAGCCGTTTCAGGCCCTGCATCACTGAAAGCTGGTGGAGATGCCGGGTGGTTAGGAATGAAGACTCTATATGTGTTATTATTGTTATTAATATTAATAGCTACCATGAGTTGGGAGCGGCCCGTGTACCATGCATCTTTATATACAGGATCTCATTTGATTCCTGGGAGTTTCAGTGGTGGCCAGAGAGTTTAAATGAAGCCCTACTTTGGGGCAGGAGCGGGAGGAAACTAGATGAGGTCAGCTGTCTCCACTTTCTGATCCTGACGTGACATCTAAGGGCCTGGAGATTAAAGTCCAGTCTGCCTAGGACAGGTAGGGCTGGAGAAGGGACAGGACGTGCCTGTTTTCCAGCCAGCATGCTGTCTCGGGTTAAAAGGTTTCTGGGTCCTGTGATTTGTTCTCTGCCTGTGGTGCTCCTCCTTTTTAGGACCATTTATCATTCTCTAGGGACCTTGTAACCTTGCCAGGTGCCTTCATGGCTACGACTTTCCTGCAAGTGTCATTAACTTCATTTTCTAGATGAGGAAACAAGGGCTCAGGAAGTTAAGAAACTGCCCAAGGACAAACACCTCTAATGGTTTGTGGAGTAGACACAGGTTTTCAAAGTTTCCTTTGGTTTCTTTCTTACCGGTAGATTTTTTTTTTTTTTGTAATAAAATGCAATACAGACTCCTGGACCCCCAATGTCCCAAGCAGGTACAGGGCTCAGTTGAAGTGAGGAAGGGGATGCAGAGCCAGCCTGCTCAGCTTCCCTGCCCACCCGGCTTCAGCACTGGAAGCCCCACCAGGAGCATGGGGACACAGTTTGAGAACCACAGCCCATACTCTTAGCTCCATGTTTTTGACCGCACCCAGGCTGCCTTCATCTCAGCTAGGACCCAGGCTGGTCCTAGCTCTGGCATGGCCCTTGAGGCATCCCTCTGCACGCACCTTTTCCTCACCAAGAGGGCATGGGGCACAGGGAATTCCTCCCCTTTGTTCTGGGACATGTCTGGAATCCTGGCCAGGCAGCGTGCTGGGACAGACCAAGTGCGGTCCCTCCCATCCAGGAGCTTACAGCCCATGTAGGGAGGGCTGTAAGGGCTCAGTACTGAGCCCCTAGCACAAAGGCCCTGTCCTTAGAAGGCCCTAGTCAGTATTTATTCGCTGAACGGATTCCACCTCCTGCATATCATACAATTGTCTGGGCAGCCATAAAGAGCTTCATTGTGCTTTAGGTGAGTGATCTCAGGCAAGTCACCTGCCCTCTGCATAGTTTCCTTCTCTGTACACCCACCATGGAGCTTCCTACTTTATCAACCTCATAGGTTTAAGAATAAAATAGGATCCTACTTAAGGCAGAGGTGCTGAAAGCAAACTGCATCCTTATTCCTGTATCCCTGGGGTTGAAATTAGCGGTAGCTCCTGTGTCTGGGGCATGTGAGCAGATACTCTTGCTGGGCTCTTTGACCACAGGAGTCTCCCAGAAGCAGGGCTTTATTTTATGTCTCACACAGAGAGGAGTGGCCCAGACCTGCCTCAGGAAGCCTCCATTTGCCCATGGCATAGGACACACCCCATGTTCCTCACTGCTCCATTCTCCTGGGTCCTAGCAGTGACCGTCATGCGTGCCTGTTTTGCATACCTCCCAAACCGAGGTGTAACCTGGGCAGCTTCTAGACACACTGCAAAGCAGGTCATTTAATGTATGACTGTGCAGGAGACTCAGTTTAAAGGAGCTTCAGACGGAAGTGACAGTGGTTGCCAATGACCTTTGACTTATCTCACAGCTCTCCCTTGAGCACCCACTGAATGCCCAGGTATTGGGGACACAGCAGTGCCTAAACACAGAATGTGGTGGTGTGGGGGTAGGGGGCGGCCTTCCCAGAGCACACAGTGTTGGAATGAGACAGAAATAATATGTAACTACAAACTGTCCTCAGAATGGTGAAGAATTTGAACAGGTGCCTGACACAGAATACCAGGAGGGGCCTGACTCTGGGTTGAGTGGGCAGGAAAGCACTCTCTGTGGAGGAGACTTTAAGCTGAGACATGAAGAATGGAGAAGAGGTGTTGTCCTGGAGGGGTGGCAGGAGCTGCAGAAGAGCCACTACAGGCTTAAGGGCCAGTCATCTGAGGAAAGAAAGTTCTAGACATGGGGAGAGGGGAGTGTGCTGGGAGCTGAGGTTGGGTGGGGAGGCGGAGCGGATTGTGAGAGGCTTGTGGGCTGTGTAAAGAGTTCCTGAAGTCTTTCTTTTGCTTTCTGGGTCAGGGCTTGGGTGCAGTGCCCGGGTGGTGTCCTTGAACTGTGAGATGAGACACCTCACTGGACACCTAGCCTGGCTTGCCAGGAGACCGGGGTGGGGGCGCCTCCTTCCAGGGCTGAACCGGAAGTGGAGGAGAGCTGCAATGGCCTTCCCATGCCCAGAAGCTGCAGGAGCAGACAATGGGGTTGGCAAGCTCTGGGTAGGGTACAGGCCGCACAGGTCTGAGGGCAAGATGCAAATGTCACTTTCAGTACCAAGAAAAACGAGGCAATAATCTAGAGTCCTGGGCTGAACGTGGACAGCTCCCGAATCATCAGGTGGGTGGGGATTAGGACAAAATCGTGTATCCTGGGGAGATGGAGGGAAACAGAACTGTGTATTGGTGTGCTAATGTCTCAGTGCTTGGTACAACCCTGGCAACTCTGCCAGGCCGTATTCTTGTTTTATGTACAAAGAAACCGAGGCAGGCTGCATGCTCAAGGTCATGGGATGCAGGCACGACAGGTTTTCTGAACTCAGAACTGACTCAGATTTGCCAGTCGGTTTGGACTTCTCACCCACTCTGAAGATCACAAAAGAAAGAAAGGTCAGGAAGCTCTTAGTGCCTGGTGAATACTGGATGGTAAATGCTCACAGGTCTGGAAGGGAGGAAGGGTTCCCCCCAAACGGTGGGTCTGGTCTGTTCCGGGCTTCACAGGAGACCAAGCAGAGAATAAGACAGTGCGGAGCAGGATGGAGGGCTCAGGGGTCTTCCCTGCAGAGGTTCCTGGGGGCGTGGCAGGGCTGTGGCTGACAGGGTGCTTCCTACGGTTTTTTCCAGGCCCAGAGGCCTTTGGGCCAAAGGCAGCCCCGCCGGTCCTTCTTTGAATCCTTCATCCGGACCCTCATCATCACGTGTGTGGCCCTGGCTGTGGTCCTGTCCTCGGTCTCCATTTGTGATGGGCACTGGCTCCTGGCTGAGGACCGCCTCTTCGGGCTCTGGCACTTCTGCACCACCACCAACCAGACGATCTGCTTCAGAGACCTGGGCCAGGCCCATGTGCCCGGGCTGGCCGTGGGCATGGGCCTGGTACGCAGCGTGGGCGCCTTGGCCGTGGTGGCCGCCATTTTTGGCCTGGAGTTCCTCATGGTGTCCCAGTTGTGCGAGGACAAACACTCACAGTGCAAGTGGGTCATGGGTTCCATCCTCCTCCTGGTGTCTTTCGTCCTCTCCTCCGGCGGGCTCCTGGGTTTTGTGATCCTCCTCAGGAACCAAGTCACACTCATCGGCTTCACCCTAATGTTTTGGTGCGAATTCACTGCCTCCTTCCTCCTCTTCCTGAACGCCATCAGCGGCCTTCACATCAACAGCATCACCCATCCCTGGGAATGACCGTGGAAATTTTAGGCCCCCTCCAGGGACATCAGATTCCACAAGAAAATATGGTCAAAATGGGACTTTTCCAGCATGTGGCCTCTGGTGGGGCTGGGTTGGACAAGGGCCTTGAAACGGCTGCCTGTTTGCCGATAACTTGTGGGTGGTCAGCCAGAAATGGCCCGGGGGCCTCTGCACCTGGTCTGCAGGGCCAGAGGCCAGGAGGGTGCCTCAGTGCCACCAACTGCACAGGCTTAGCCAGATGTTGATTTTAGAGGAAGAAAAAAACATTTTAAAACTCCTTCTTGAATTTTCTTCCCTGGACTGGAATACAGTTGGAAGCACAGGGGTAACTGGTACCTGAGCTAGCTGCACAGCCAAGGATAGTTCATGCCTGTTTCATTGACACGTGCTGGGATAGGGGCTGCAGAATCCCTGGGGCTCCCAGGGTTGTTAAGAATGGATCATTCTTCCAGCTAAGGGTCCAATCAGTGCCTAGGACTTTCTTCCACCAGCTCAAAGGGCCTTCGTATGTATGTCCCTGGCTTCAGCTTTGGTCATGCCAAAGAGGCAGAGTTCAGGATTCCCTCAGAATGCCCTGCACACAGTAGGTTTCCAAACCATTTGACTCGGTTTGCCTCCCTGCCCGTTGTTTAAACCTTACAAACCCTGGATAACCCCATCTTCTAGCAGCTGGCTGTGCCTCTGGGAGCTCTGCCTATCAGAACCCTACCTTAAGGTGGGTTTCCTTCCGAGAAGAGTTCTTGAGCAAGCTCTCCCAGGAGGGCCCACCTGACTGCTAATACACAGCCCTCCCCAAGGCCCGTGTGTGCATGTGTCTGTCTTTTGTGAGGGTTAGACAGCCTCAGGGCACCATTTTTAATCCCAGAACACATTTCAAAGAGCACGTATCTAGACCTGCTGGACTCTGCAGGGGGTGAGGGGGAACAGCGAGAGCTTGGGTAATGATTAACACCCATGCTGGGGATGCATGGAGGTGAAGGGGGCCAGGAACCAGTGGAGATTTCCATCCTTGCCAGCACGTCTGTACTTCTGTTCATTAAAGTGCTCCCTTTCTAGTCCTTTTTCTGCCCAGAAGTAGGTGATGTTATTGCCCTCAGCCCATTTCATTCTACACTGACTCCTTCCCATTCCCTCACCTGTTGAATTCTGGCTCCCAGCAATTGCATGGGTTTTTGGTCTCTGCCCCGGTCTTGTCACTGCTGCAGGTTCCTTTCCTGGTCTGGGCTGAGTGCCTATACCTACGTCTATTGTGATGTTTTAAATTTTTTATTCCAGGATGCATGGAGTCATGAAGCTGTCTGCTTTGTAGGATATAAGGCCATGGGCTTTAAGGTTGAACCACCAAGGTGCCCAGAGTCCATGGAGATCATCCTGGAAAGGTTTCCATGAATTGCTCAGTTTTACAGAGTACAGAGCTCATCAACCACACTGGCGGCATCTTAGCCTGGGAAATGGGAACCTGGAGCAATCTACAAGTTGCAAAGGGGATGTGTAACCCCCTGGTTTCTTCACGGGGAGGGGATGTATGGAGGTGGGGAGTCAGGGCCCAGAGAGGGATGCACTTGTCCAGGGTCACCCAAAGCTGGGAGTAGAGCTGACCCACCCACCAGCAGGATGCCTTTTCCTTGACACGGAGGGGAGTTTCTCTACTTCCCTCCAGAACGCTACCCCCTGAGCACTAGTAGGTTTGGTTTTGCAGAAGCGTTCAAAAATGGAGTCCTTTTTCATCCTCACATGGGGGCAGGGAGTGCAGATATTCAAAGGAACCAAGAACGAGAGTGGAGGGTGAGACTGAAGTCCCCAGGAGCTTAGAGGGGCAGCAGATGGCCCCTGTCCTTCCCTGCCTGGGAGCAGGGAGAGCACAGACACAGCCTTGGAGCATGGGCATTTGAAGTCAAAGGCCCTGGACTGAACTTCCGCCACCTCTTTGCTTAGTAGCTTGGGCAAGTCACAGGGCTTTGGTGGACCTGTCTTCTCTGAAATGGGATCATGCCCCATTTCCTGCTGTGTCTGCCTCAGGCCGAGGACATCTGTGTGGAAGAGCAGGAAAAATAGGGGTGTCCCCCTCACACCCTGTTGGGGGTAGTAAAAGGGGGGATAGTAAAAGGGACTGGGGGCCCTGGGGCTTCCCTGGCCTCCGTGGTGACTTTATCATATTATTTTAGCTGTTGTCCTGAAGGTTTGGGTGAGAGCTGCTAACCAGGTGAGTTACAGTAGGAGACAGACAGCATCCGCCAAGGGCAAACATTTCATGTTGGCTGGGCCTTCTAATCTGGTCCCTGAGTAACTGAGCTGGGGGACCAGGGAGGAGCCCGCCTCCTGCGGGAAGGCATTGGGAGCAGGCAAGAGCGTACACCCTCACCTTGTGTCAAGGCAAAAGGATGGACAAATATAGATTGAATCTCATCCCAGGCACCATTTATTTCCCTGTCCCTTTCTGGGACCCCTGAACTTCTCTTCCCAGAAGAGCAAACGAACCAAATCCCAGGCCCTTGTCCTGCCCCACAGTGCCTCACATCCCTTCGGAAGAGTCCAAGGCCTGGGGAGGGGCATCTTCAGCTGAAGGAGGACACAGGGTGTCTGCTGGGAAGACTGGCTGTCCCACAGCAGTGCCCAGCCTTCGCAGGACCTCTCTTGGTCTCTGTCCGTGGGTGACCCTGCTCCAGCCTCTCAGATGATGCTGGTCCTGCAGGTGCCCTGGCTCTGCTCCAAGTGGCTGGCCTTGGTGCTGTTGCTGAAGGAGGCCACGGGGTGCAGTGGGAACTCACGGAGGTGCCATTGCTGCCACTTCTTCTGAACCTCCAGCTGCACCTGCCCGGGAGACCAGCCATCAGCCCAGGAGGAGAGGACAGTTCTGTGCCTGGAGCCCTGCTCACTCCCCCAGTGACTCCACGCAGGCCCTGCCACTCCTGCCCAGCTGCCCTGTCCCCTAGCCTGCAGGCCACGCAGATTGACTGTTTCCAGCCCCAATGTCCAGTAGCTACTGAGGGTCCCCTCTCTCCTGGGCACATGCACCTGCAATCTCATTACATCGTGTCTTAAAGAAAGGACTTGTGCACCTTGGGACAAGTGTGTGCCCTTGACATTACAAGAGCAGTGGTGGGGAAAGCTAGCTCCCTGGCCCCCAGGCTGAGAGGAAAAGAATCCCGGATTAAGCCAGAGGCTGAGTTCTCTGAAGGTCTGGGGCACTGACAGGGGCTACTGGGCAGAGGGCCAGCTTAGAGGAGGGTGTGGTCTGAAGGTGTGGGTAGGGCAAGGCCTGACTCCACTCAGTGATGGGTCCCCAGTGATTTTAAGTGATTTAAGATGGGTCCCCACTTATTCCCAGGAAGCCACCCAAGCTCAGAACTGATCTGGGAACTAGGGAGTTTCTCTTTGTAAATTTCCTTCACAATTCCCAGCTGCAGCAGCTGAACCTTTGAAGCTAGGCTTGATATTTGATTTTTGGGAAACATCAAAGATCACTCCCATTCAAGTGCAACAAACCAGATAGATGGTCAGTAGTCACAGAAAGCCTTAGCTCATGTTAACCACATAGCTCTGTATGCCCAGAGCCTGGGGTCCTGACCCAGATGCTCCATGTGAGGCTCGAGTCCTCAAAGTGAGTGTGCAGTCTCCCAAGGAGTCAGTGCTCATCTGGAGGTCCCTAAGGATTGAGCTGCAGACAGTTCTGAGTCACCCGTTTCACATATGGGCAGACTGAGGCCCAGAACAGGGCAGTGACTGAGATCGCCCATTAAGCAAGCAGCAGGGCAGTCAGGAACCTGGGTTCTGCCCAACTTTCCTCCTGCATTTGCTGAACAGATCAACATCGGCACCAGGAATGCTTGTTAAAAAACACTTTCTCAGACCCCAGTCCAGACCTACAGAATTTATTTCTGTGGAATGAGAAACTAGGAACAGGGTCCAGCCATGGTTTGAACAAGCCTTGCTCCCATTAAGCAAATTCAGACTCCTAAAAGAACTGGCCAAGCCACCTGCCACCAGACCCAGGACTCCCTCTGACCCTTTCCATCCCCCTTCCTACCACCCCTCCCAGGTAGCTCCTTCTGACCCGGAAACCAATGGCTAGGAGCTCTCCTGGGTACCTGGGTGACCCAAGACTACTCACCTCCCCATTGAGGAAGCAGTAGAGGACGGCCACCACCAGTCCCTGCCAGAAGAAGAGAGGTAGCAGGGTTAGCACAGGTGCTCAGCATGCGGCCTGAACCAGCTGGCCAGCTGCACCCTCCCCAGGTCTCTTAATCACCAGCTACAGGCTCATTTCCCCACCTCTCTTGCCTCACTGGGAATTAGGCTACCTCTTGTGGGCTGCCCACGGTGGCCCTGGCTGTGCTGGCTCATCCAGCATAAACTGTGAACTCCTTGCAGCCAAGGGTAGGCTCCCTTTTGAACACATATGGTGTCAGGGGGGCTGCTAACCCAGCCAGCCGGGATCAGGAAGCTCACCTGGGAGCCACAGGGATGGGTGGCACCTGAAGTCCGCCCACTCTGCCAGGAGGAGTGCAGGCTGCCCAGGGTGAGACCCTGGGCCCTGTGTGGTCTTATTTCAAGATAAACTGGAAATCTGAATATGTTTAAATGTAGATAACTAATTCAAATTGAAAAACAAATGTGTAGGCAGAACAAACTATGTACAGGTCCCGGCCAGCCAGTGGTGAGCAGGGTTGGAGCTCCCTGCTTAATGGACAGGTGGGTGCACCTCCGTGCTCAGAGTTTTATGTTCCCTGGTGTGGCAAGGTCTGTGCCTGTAAGACCCTCCCTCCCTGGTATTTGGAGCTCCTGATTTCCTGATGGTGCCCCCAGGATCCTGGTGTGGAGCTCTGTCAGGGGAGGGACTCCAGGCTGGGGCGCCTGCTTGGAGCCTAAGAGGCCTCCAGATCAGCAGGAAGCAGTGTCTCTGCGGCGCATTCACCCTGCTCCTCTCCTTTCTCAGGGACCCACCTCAGGCCACCCTTCTCTCCCTTACGGGCCTGCCCTCCCCACACAGAGGCCTGACCTCAGATGGCCCAACTCCTCCTCCCTAGTCCCACCCAGGCCTGCCTGTAGCTACTTATGATATTGGAAAGGAACCTCGAAGGGTGATGAATCAGCTCATCGATGGTGGGCTTAATATGTACAACTTCTCAGGGATATTGGCATTTTAAAAAGAGTTAGTGGCGAAGCTGGAAGGGTTTGCTTTAGAATTTCAGGTATCAATGACTGCTACATAGACTGGGGACTATTTGAGGGGCAGAAACACTCAGGGCATCGGTTTCCAAGTATTGCTGCACATTAGAATCACCTGGGACCTTTTATCCAGGTTGCACTCCCCAGATCCCAGTAGCTGGGGGCATCAGCAGCTTTTAAAGATCCCCACACAGTTCCAAAAAACGGGCATCATGGTCCGGGAACTACTGTCAGAGAGGGAGTAAAAGGCACTTCAAGGCAGGCTTTGAAATGAAACAGACTTGGATCGGAGCACAGCTAGGCCTGAGTAATTGTAGGTCCCAGGTGCTTCATTTAACCTCGCCAAAGCTCTCGGAGGCAGGTGGGAGGATCTTCACCTCACAAGCGAGGGAACTGAGGCACGGAGGGGTTTAGGCATGCCTGGAGCTCTGTGTGCTTGGCCCAGAGCCACGAGCAGGCCAAGGATGCTGCCCGTTGCATGGGCTAGGGTTGCCTGGCCTCCGCTGCGCTAGGGTCCAGGGACACATTTTCACTGTTCAGGGGAGGGAGTTAGCTGTGCTCCAGTGTATATAGGGCAGGCCTCACACAAGCCAGCAAGTTTACTAATTTCCACCGTGATTCTGCGATCATTAAGGATGAAGACTTTGAAGAATTTTAATGACATGAAGAAATGCTCATGATGGGCATGATAGAGAATTAAACAAAACAAGCAAGATACAAAACCATACACATCATGATCCCAATTATGTGTGTGTATCTTTGTGGAAAGAAAAGAGACGGAAGTAAACACACCAACACTTTAACAGAAGTTATTTCTGGGTTATGACGTTCTAGATTTTTTTCTTATTATTTTTCTTTTTTTGAAAAACTTTTCCTTATTTCCCAAATTATTCACAATAAGCAAGCATTATTTATACAATTAGAAAGAGTGAATACATATTTTTTTTTGGAGACGGAGTCTCGCTCTGTCACCCAGGCTGGAGTGCAGTGGCGCGATCTCGGCTCACTGCAACCTCTGCCTCCCAGGTTCAAGCAATTCTCTTGCCTCAGCCTCCCGAGTAACTGGGACTACAGGCACACACCACCATGCCTGGGTAATTTTTTGTATTTTAGTAGAGACAGGCTTTCATCATGTTGCCCAGGCTGGTCTCGAACTCCTGAGCTCAGGCAATTCGCCTGCCTCGGCCTCCCGAAGTGCTAGGATTACAGGCGTGAGCCCCCGCGCCCGGCCATAAATACATTTTTAAAGAGTATATGACAGTGATGGTGTTATTACAGTTGTATGTGTTCTTCTTTAAGCCCCGTCTTTTAGAAATGCACACTAAACTCTTTGAAGATGAAATAACATGATGTTTTGAATTTACTTAAAAAGATGGGGGTAGTAGGTAGGGATGGAGATGAAACAAACAGGCCATGAGTGGATACCGCTGAGGCTGGGGATAGGTAATGGGGTTCATTGTCCTATTCTCTTCACTTTTGTATATGAAAAACATTTTCTCATGTGTGTGTATATATAAGAATATATATACATATTCTTATATATATATACACATATGTATATATACATATGAATATATACACATATGTATATATACATATGAATATATACACATATACATATGAATATATACACATATACATATGAATATATACATATATACATATGAATATATACACATATATACGTATGAATATATACACATATATACGTATGAATATATATACACATATATACGTATGAATATATATACACATATATACGTATGAATATATATACACATATACGTATGAATATATATACCCATATACGTATGAATATACACATATATATACGTACGTATATATATACACATATATACGTACGTATATATATACACATATATACGTACGTATATATATACACATATATACGTACGAATATATATACACATATATACGTACGAATATATATACACATATATACGTACGAATATATATACACATATATACGTACGAATATATATACACATATATACGTACGAATATATATACACATATATACGTACGAATATATATACACATATATACGTACGAATATATATACACATATATACGTACGAATATATATACACATATATACGTACGAATATATATACACATATATACGTACGAATATATATACACATATATACGTACGAATATATATACACATATATTCGTACGAATATATATACACATATATTCGTACGAATATATATACACATATATTCGTACGAATATATATACACATATATTCGTACGAATATATATACATATATTCGTACGAATATACACATATATTCGTACGAATATATATACATATATTCGTACGAATATATATACATATATTCGTACGAATATATATACATATATATGTATAAAACTTTAAAAGATCCTTTTTCTTCATCAACATTCGTATGAGAACATCAGGAAAGTGCTTTTGATTTTCTCTTGGCAAGACATTTTCCTAGAGAAGTAGTCCACAGTCCCAACCATTAGCCCCAACTCTGAGGGACAGGAAGTCCCCATCCATGGCCAGGCAGACCCGGGTCCAAGCTCTCAGCATGGTCCCTTTTCTGAGCCAGGTCAAGTCCTTCCACCCGACTGGTCCTCAAATCCTCTACCTGCTAGATGGGCCATTGTGTGCCCAGCCTCCCTGGACGTTACAAGAGCAGTGGTGAGGAAAGCTAGCTCCCTGGCCCCCAGGCCGAGAGGAAAAGAATCCTGGATTAAGCCAGAGGCTGAGTTCTCTGGAGGTCTGGGGCACTGACGGGTTACTGGGTAGAGGGCCAGCTTAGGGGAGGGTGTGGTCTGAAGGTATGGGTAGGGCAAGACCTGACTCCACTCAGTGATGTGTCCCCAGTGAGGCATCCTCCCTAGAACCTGTAAGTAACAGGAAGACCCTACCCTGAACAGAGCTCTAGGGATGAGGGGAGGGTTTGAACCCCTGCTCGCAGGCCGAGGCCACCCCAGTGAAAGCTTGGCTGGACAATATCGCCCTACCGTGGAAATGTCGTTAAGGACTAAGTCCTTTAAAAAAAACTACTGGGAGAATTTTGTCTCAGGCCTAGAGCCTATAATCACTGGCTTCTCCCGGCCGTTAGTTTGATTTTGTCTTATGGATATGCGAAATTTTGAAACAATTGTTTTGTCTTTGCTTTGGCTACTGGGAAGCTCCCTATCATACTTATGACCCATCTCTCCCTCCTGTATAGAACTTTATCGTATTTGTTTCTGTGTAGCAACCCAACCAGTTGTACATTCTTTTTTTCACTGATCCTTCATCGACTTATTTTTTGTCCTTTGTATGTTTTTCCCAAAAGCGACATTGCATTATTTTTGGAAGGAAATAGCTATGAGTAAATAAACAAACGGCATTGTGAAGTTTGGGATTCACGTTCAGGCTCCCTCTGCCCAAACACGTTTACTGTTGTTGTTTTTAAGTTCACAGCATCTTGTGGAATTAGTAGGTAAGCGCTTTTCCACCTCACTTTATTTTTTAAAGTCAGTTTTTAGTTTTAATAATTTGCATATGCACATGGTTTCAGAGAATCAAAGGATTCCTGTTACAGAACCAGCAGCCTCCTGACACCCCACCCTCACTTCCTTTTCCTCACATGCGACTGCTCCTTGAAACTCTCTTAACTGCTTCTAAAAAATATGCTGGTGTCGCCACTTGAGGAGTTTTCAGTCTAGGGCATTTTCTATGGACTTCCCAGTGTGAAGATGAGGACAGTGTTCTCTTCCAAACACCCGCCCCACGCTCCCGCGAGGCTCATCTTCCCGCCCCAGTGTTTGATGACTTGGCCATCCGCGCTTACGTTATTTTGACCATGTATATGTTATTGAGAGTTGTACAATATAGTGTACTGGGGCTACTTTTCCTTTTTATTTTCCCTGAAGTCAGTCTCTCTGTCTCTCTTAGTTTTATCTCCCACCCCCATTTGACTGGTGGGGACCAGGGATCCCACTCAGGGACCTGTAGCACTGTCAGGTCCGACCCCTTCTTCCCCTGGGTCTCTGCCAGATAAGGCATCTGGCTCGCAGTCTCTATGCCCTCCACTTCTCCCTAAGGACACAGAGAACTCCTCTTTTCAGCTGGCAGCCCCAGTCCTGGAAACTTACCTGGAATGAGCCAAGGGCTAGTTCAAAAAACAGCTGGATCTCCATAGCGTCCTCTGGGGAGAAGGCGAAGACGATGTAGTGGATGCCAAAGAGGGGGATCAGCAGGAGAGTGGACCTGGCCAGGCGCCTGGGGACACAGAAAGCCTGTAGCCTCCACTCTGCCTCCCTGCGCCCTTTCTCCTCCTGTAGGCACACAGCTGTGCCACTCCCCAGCTCGGGACTGACTGCTGAGGCTGGCTAGCAGTACCCCAAACTTTTTTGTTTTCATTTTTTATTTTGAAAGTTTCTAACTCCCTCATATCCATCACTCAGATACAACAATTTTTGACTCATGGCAAAGCCCCAAACTTTCTGATCATGCACCTCCATCAGTAAAAAGAAAAAAAAACGGTACCTACACCATTAACTTTATTTATAAATTACGTGCCTATATCACTGCTGCTCTATGTCTAACATCATACAAGCAAAGCCGGCTTTCTCATTTGCTAGATAATAAATATCTGTAGGGACAAATTCTTGTATTTTCTTCCCAGATTAGGGTTGCCAAACTTAGCAAATAAAAATACAGAATCCCCAGTTAAATCTGAATTTCAGATAAACAATGGACACCATGTGGGGGTATAAATATTGAAAAACGATTTGTTGTTTATCCAAAATTCAAATGTAACTGGGCATCCTGTATTTTACCTGGCAACTTTATCCCAGGTCCCCAGGAATCTGACACCAAGTAATCTGAGGCACTGTCAGATTCTCAAAACACGAAACACCATGGAGAAGGTCTCTGGGGGACACTAATTTGTCCTGTTTTTGTTTTGTTTTTTTCTTCTTTTTGAGACAGAGTCTTGCTGTGTTGTGCAGGCAGGAGTGCAGTGGCGCAATCGCGGCTCACTGCAACCTCTGCCTCCCAGGTTCAAGTGATTCTCCTATCTCAGCCTCCCGAGTAGCTGAGATTACAGGCGCCCTCCACCACGCCTGGCTAATTTTTGTATTTTTAGCAAAGACGAGGTTTCACCATCTTGACCAGGCTGGTCTCGAACTCCTGACCTCAAGTGATCTGCCCACCTTGGCCTCCCAAAGTGCTGGGATTATTGGTGTGAGCCACCGCGCCTGGATGCTAATTTGTCTTTAATATAATTTATGGGCTGAATTATGTCCACACCCACTGCCAAATTTTTACACTGAAGTCCTAGCCCCCAGTATCTCAGAATGTGACTGCATTTGGAGAAAGGTCTTGAAAGAGGAGGCTAAGTTACAACAAGGATGGAGTGGGGCCTAATCAAATCAACTGGTGTCCTTAGAAGAGGAAATATGGACACACAGAGGGACACCAGGGATGCCCACACACAGAGCAAAGACCCTGTGAGGACACAGCAAGAAATGCTTCAGAAGAAACCAAACCTGTCGACACCTTGATCTTGGACTTTCAGCCTCCAGAACTCTGAGAAAATACATATCAGCTGTTTAAGCCACCTAGTCTGTGATATTTTGTTATGGAAGCCCTAGAAAACGAACGTATTTCTCTTTAACATTTGAAAGGTCTTAAGTGTTTTTGGATCACGCACTTCCCTAAAATCTGATGAAACCGAAGGTCATCCTCCTCTGAAAATACACATACTGTACCTACACACATTTGTGTGAATTTCAGTCTTTGAAGCCCATGTGGAGACTCCCTAGCCTTGCCCCAAGGATAAGATCTCTCTGCCGTCAGGCTTCCTGCCTGAGATTTCTTAGTGTTTCCACCCCCATACAGTGTCTGAGGCTCTAAAATCAGACCATTCCCCGCAACCGCCCCCATGTACCTGGTAAACTTCTTACGACTAGGTCTACAACGTTTCCTCCGTCTCCAATAGCTAGCACCAGTTAAGTAAACAGTAGGTGCTCAGTAAATGCTTGCTGACTGACCATGCCTCAGTCTTTGCCCTTCACTTACTTATAATGGCTGACTTCATTTCCTCTTGTTTCTTGGGTTCTAAGTTTTCTCATCAGGATTCTTAGAATGTTTATGAAAAGGATGAAATTAATCTGCAAAACACAAGGCAGAGGTGGGGCTGAAGGCATCTTGCTTTTCCAGCCACCTCTCCTGGCCCTGTCCCCTGGACCTGAGGGCAGAGAAGACATTGCAGACACCACAGCCAGGATGGCCCACCAGTGCTGCCGCTCCTCTCCATCCCCTCCCCACCCCCAGTCCTGGTGAAACACTGTCTAGAGTCCATGGCTGGAGGCAGCACTCCCTCCTGCCCCTGGGCTGCAGAAGCTCTAAGGTCTGCTTAGTTGCAAGGCAGATCACTCACCCGTGCAGAGCATTGGAAGCCCCCGGGGATATTGTTAAAATGCAGGTTTGGGGTGGACCTGAGATTCTGCATTTCTAACAAGCTCCCAGGTAATACAATGCCAAAGCTGAAAGCCTTTACAGCAGTGGTTCTCAAAGTTTAGGGTACCCATTGCTGGGCTCTAACCCCACAGGTTATGGTTCAGTAAGTCTGGCGTGGGGCCCAAGAATTATTTTTAACAAGCTCCCAGGTGATGCTGAAGCTGCTGGTGTGAGGACCAGTTTGCAGCTCAATCGCCAGCTTCAAGAAGCCACCCTTGATTACTTCCCTTTCCTGATTCACCGTATTTAGGGATAATATTGCTGTGTAAGAGCACTTAAAATATCTTTTTTTTTCTTGCGAACTATGATTGGAAGAGAAAATATCTTAAAAGGTCAAATGCATGTGTCTGTCAAACATGTATGTGCCTAGTTATCTGCCAATTCAATTGTAACTTCCTGAAGGACAGGAACGCAGTCTTTTTATTCATTTTGGTGTCCCCTCCCCCAACCCCAGTGCCCAGTGCCAACAACATTAGGAAGTTGCCCACATGGTAGCATCTCTCCCTCCCTCACACACCTGCTCCAGCCATTTTATAGAAGCAGGGATCAGTGGAATCACCCAGCCTCACACCCGCATTGTTCACACAAGCAGCCTGGGGCCTGGGAATGCTTGCCAAAAGACACAGGATTAGTGGCTGTCTAGGACTCCTGGCCCAGCACTGCTTTTCGGGGAACCCTGCTTCTCTGCAACTTGCTTATGCATCTTGTTGTAAGCTGGCTATGCATGCTATCAACTCATTAAGGCTATTTAGTTTAATTTTGTTTGCCTTAGAGTTGTATTTAATTTAATAGGGAGCACTTGAAGACAAAAAAAAGAAGGAAGGAAGGAAGGAGGGAGGGAGGGAGGGAAGGAAGGAAGGAAGGAAGAAAGAGGGAGGGAGGGAGGGAAGGAAGGCAGGAAGGAAGGAAGGAAGAAAGAAAAAAGAAAGAAAAAGAAAGAAAGAAAGAAAAATAAATAAATAAATAAATAAATAAATGGAGGGAGGGAAGGAAGGAAAGGAAGGAAGGAAGGAAGCAAGGAAGCAAGCAAGCAAGCAGAAAACAAGGAAAGAAAGAAAGTCTTTAAGTTCCCAAGAATGAGTCCATTTTTAAATAGTGGAATTCCAGGCCCCATGCTAGGTTGGTAGGGAGATATTTTGCATCAGGAGTGCTCATCCAACATCCTCAATTGCTGAATAAACCACAGCCCTCTGAAACCAGCCCTGGACACTGGAGCTGGCCGTCCTTCATCCAGGGTTGTCCTGGGCTGGGCTCTCCGAGTCCCAGAATAACAGCGGGCTTGCTTAACTAAATGAGGAAACAGCCTCCAGCATGATATTATGAAGCCATGGCAAATCAGTTTATCAAGGAATTCCACATGAAACAGGAAAGCTCACATCTATTGCTAAGTGAAAAACAAAAAACAAAAAAACAAAAAAAAAACCTAATTAAGGATTTTGAAAAAGAAAAGTATGTCTGCTCAAAGAAGAAGGAGGAAGGAAAACACATGGTCATAACATATATGTAGCTGGGAGAATGATGAATGATTTTTTTTTTCCTTTTTAAAAAATACATTTTGTGCCAGGCACAGTGGTTCACACCTGCAATTTCAGCATTTTGGGAGGCTGAGGCAGGCAGATCACTCGAGTCCAGGAATTCAAGACCAGCCTGGGCAACACAGTGAAAGCTCATCTCTACAAAAAATTAGCTAGGCGTGGTGGTGGGAGCCTTTAGTCCCAGCTACTCGGGAGGCTGATGTGAGAGGGTCACCTGAGCCCAGGAGGTGGAGGTTGCAGTGAGTCATGGGTTGCGCCACTGCGCTCCAGCCTGGGTGACAGAGTGAGACCCTGTCTCAAAAAGTAAAACCAAAACAAACATTTTGTATTTTGCATTTTTTGCTCAGATTATGTAATTAAAAAAGAATAAAAGAAGGTTGTCATGGAATGGTCCTCTCCTCTCAACCAATCCCAAGATGCCACCCAGGCAGCTACTGGAAGAGAAGGGGCCCTGTCCTGTGCCCTCTCCCCCTACCCCACGCAGGTGAGCCTGCACAGGACACTCACTTTCAACTGGTTCTGCAGCCTTGGGCATCCCTGGGCTGTCCGTGTGGATGTTACTTCCAGCCAAGGGACTGCTTCCATCCATGAGATGATTCCTGTGTGTCCCCATGTGCCTTCCCTCCTCTGTCCCCCTATGCTGAACCATACCCATGGGCTGGGCTACAGGACTCTACCCTGGCACAGAGCAGAATCGCCTGGGGACCAGTACCCAGGCCTCTTGCCAGAAAAAGAAATGGAATCAATAGCTATCAGTATTTTCTAAAAGCTCCCAGGTGATTCAAAAGGGCCACCAGGGTTGACACTCACAAGCTCCTGTCCAAGATGGTCACCCAGCATCTCTTCCCTGGGGCCGCCCCTCCAGGCCTGAGCCCACTCGCAGCACTGCAAAGTCCCAAGACCATGACCCCACTGAGCTTCCCCGATCTGCACTCCCACCCTCTTCAGTGATCTCAGCTTAGCGACTCATCCCAAGTTAACAAGCAAATCCCTAGAAAAATGTTCAAGGCCCACAGGTCTGAACCAGTGAAGGTGGAATTTCAGGCCAATGGGAGCCAGCCAGTTTAGAACAAGGAGCTCTGCTCACCACACTTGAGCTGCTGCTTGTGGGAAAGAACCAGGTTCGCAGGCTCTTGCCTCCAGCTTACCCCTCACTGCACTCCCACACATTCTGCAGGGGGCAGAGCTTCCACACCCCACGCTGCTCACCAACCTCACAAACACTGTGGTTTATCCCTCCTGGCACCTGCAGGGAGCCCTGTCCTTCCACCCTCTGCCCCTGTGGGCTGGTCACCATTTCCGTCTCTCCCACTGATCCCCAGCTAGGGAGAGGAGGGCCACTCACCAGGATGGAGAGGATCACAGGACCACGAATGATCCACCAGATGGATGCGTTGGCATTGATGTCCCAGCACCTAAGGGAGGGACAGCTGGGCATGGTTATGAGCAGGAGCTGTGGGAGCTGGGCTAACCAGCAAGGACATGTTCCCTGAGGTGGCCCTTGGTATGAAGGACCTGTGTTTGTGGCACTGAGCCCCTGCAGTGGTGTGCCCAGCACCATTAGAACACCCCCTCCTGCCACCCAGGAGCACTGCTGGGGCTGAGGGAGTGGCCACCTGTCTCCCTGCGAGAACCTGAGAGCCGGGAGACTCCCAGATCCAAAAGTTAGCTTACTGTCAGAATTCACCAGCGAGCACGGTGGCAAACTCAGCTACCAACAGAAGCCAGGAAGATGACATCAGTAAGAGAAGTGGTGGATGGCTGACATGTGACCTCAGGATCTGGGGACATCAGGCCTGGAGGGTACTGAGCAAACTGGGGAGCATGTGCCCTGTCCAAGACAGCCGCAGCTCTGCTCCAGCTTATTTTTGCCACAAGGAAAAATGGAACGTGTTAAAGGACCTCTCCATTTTTTTCTAGACAAGCTGAAAATCCAGATTTTTTGAAAAAGTGAATTCACCCAATACAAAAATTACTTTGAAGCAATTATTTCGGGCTAAATTTGGACTATAGACACTTGGATGTCTCATTTGACCTCATCCACTTATTGGCCTGGTTGTGTCATTATGCCCCTGAGAAATCAACTCCCATGCTGCCCCGCTGCCTCGCTGCTGCCCTGCTGCCTCTCCTCTTCCCCAGCTTCTTTTAAGCTTGCTTCCCATGTACCTACTCCCAGGTGCGTCCCCTGGGCTCACTGCCACCCTCAATGCCTGACTTCTTTAGAGTCTGGCTCTGCAGGGCTCCTAAACACCCAGGGGTAGAGAGGCATCCAGGAGGGAGATCCCAGGAGGAAGAAAAAGCTGGACTGGCCCTTCCTTGAGTTTCTTCCATGGAGCAACACCTGCCTGGAGCCCCGTAGCTCTTGTCTGGCATCTGACCCACATGCAGAGCGGACAGGCAGCAAGAAGACAGGAAGGCCAGGACAGTGCAGGCATGGCCAAGGCTGCTCGGCCCACCTGGAAACACACCTGGGAAGCAGTGAGCATCAGTCCAGGGAACTCATCTGTGGCCTCTACTTTGAGAAAAAGGCCTTTCCTAGATAGCTCCAAAGAAGTAACTATGCTGTTTGAAAAGCTGGACGATGTCAGATACATTCTTGTTATCCTCCTTCCGTTAGCTTACCCAACATCTTCCAGAAAGTGTCTGGCAATAGCCCACAAAGCAACAAAAATGGCTGGAGAACCTGAGGATTAAAAACAAAGGGAGGGGCAGAAGAGAGAGGACTCAATTTTCAACACACATATCAGAACAGGACAATTGGTTACCCCAGCCCAGCTACTGAGCAGGTGCCAAGATTTGGTTTCCACAGAAACCCCTCTGCCATCTTGTGCCATCTTGTGTGAATGTGGCACCATGTGCCTCAAGGGTGCCGGGCATGCCCTGGGGACTATGGCAGAATCAGAAGGATCCCAAAGGCCACTTGGTGTTAGGGGTCTCCTGGGAACCCAGGCCAGACTCCAGAGGACCACTGCAAAGTATAGAGGGGCTGGGACTCCTGGGCAGGCTCGTGGACACATGGAGGCAGCTGGAGAGCCCCCTTCTCATACTGTGATCTGCCTGGCCACGTGCAGCGGGGAGGAGGAAGTGGAGAAGGGGTGGACACAGGTCATGAAAGAAACGTTGATTTTATTCAAATATTGGTTTGTAAAAAGCTTGGCCATTTAACAGCTAAGGTAAGCCATCACTGTCATGTTTAAACAAAAATATAATTTGGACTAGAGATGAGATCAAGTCCACAAGAATTTAGAAGAGAAAATACAATAACATTTCCTGACTTCTAGTTAAACGTGGCAAACTGAACTTATACATTTATCCCTACTTCCCCTGAAGCCCCTCTAAAATGATAATAAAGAAATAGAAATGGTAAAAGCCCGTAAGGACAAAGACTGAGAAGGAAGGGCAGAGTAGAGGAGAGACGGCAACACGCTTAGGCACACAGAAGCCTGCCAGAGGAGTGGCAGCTGATGTCCCGAGCAGAGGAAGCTGAAACAGAAGTGCTGTCTGGGGCAATGCCGCTGGGGAAGTGCCCAAGGATGCTCTAGGGCCAGGGCACCCGGTACCCAGGAGGCAGGCGGCAGAGTGGGGCTGGGGCAGGAGGATGGTTTGAAGTCTGGATAAGAAACAGATAAGCACCCCAGGCGGCCAGCACTACCCTCACCAGACTGAATAGTCAACTTCCAACAGAGTTTATTCTCTGGAATTACTGAACCAAGGAGAACAGGGCTGCAGCCCAGCAGAGGGTTGGAGGGGTTGCTCAGCTGAGCAGGAATGGAGTGACAGTCTACACCAGCGCTCAAGGTGGCTCTTGAGCACCTGGTATGTGGCTGGTCCCTACTGAGTTGGGCACTAAGTGCAAGATAGATACCATATTTTGAAGACTTGGTACAAATAAAAGGACGTAAAACATGGCCAGACGCGGTGGTTCATGCCTGTAATCTCAGCACTTTGGGAGGCTGAGGCAGGTGGATCACCCGAGGTCAGGAGTTCGAGACCAGCCTGGCCAACATGGCAAAACCCTGTCTCTATTAAAAAAACAAAAACTAGCCAGGCATGGTGGTGCATGCCTGTAATCCCAGCTACTCGGGAGGCTGAGGTGGGAGAATAGCTTGAACCCGGGAGGCGGAGGTTGCAGTGAGTCAAGATTGCGCCACTGCGCTCCAGCCTGGGTGACAAGAGAGGAACTCCATCTCAAAAAAAAAAAAATGTAAAATATGTCATTACCAATTTTTATATTGATTATACATTGAAATGATACTATTTTGGTCACCTTGGGTTGAACAGAATAGATTGTTGAAACAAATACTGCCTGTTTCATTTTACTGTGTTGATTGTGGCTACTAGAAAATTTTAAGCTAGATGTATGGCTCAGATTCTTTTTTTTTTAAGCAGAAATACTTAAATCAGATTCTATTTCTAGTGGACGTGCTCAAGCTGAATGGTAAAAGCCCTGGTCCCCGGGCCGCTCAGTTTTCAGGCCTCTACTGAATGGGCTTCTACCCCTACCCCAGCCCTCTACCCTCTGCCCACCTCCCTGCCACTGCACGCTGGAGATGAAAGGATTCTCTAGAGGAACTGAACAGCCCCAGACAAAGAGCCTATAGATAGCCATGGGGGGACCCCCCAACACTTCCAGTCCAGTGTCCCTTGAGAGACAAACCCCACACCCCCAACAGCCATTAGCCGGCTCTGAAGTGATTCATTCTTAAATAGGAACAGACAGCCAAGGTCACCAACATCTTATTACATAAAAGACACAGACCAAAACAATCAGAGAAAAGGAACTCAGAGGAAACAGACCATACAGGAAGCAGAAGGAACTTGGAACAAAACAACTCTAAGGAACGCCATCGGAGAGATAAAAGGTCGTATCTACAAGACACAAACAGGATGCTGTCAACAGGGAGTGCCCGGAGAACAAGAAAGGGGGCTTAGGAACGGAGCATATGATAACCACAATTAAACACGCAATAGACGGGTTGGAAGATAAAGACTAGGAATCTCTCAGCAGAATAAACAACAGTGGAATGAAAAGTAGGAAAAAGAAATTCGAACATTAGAGGTTATTCCAGGATGTACAACATTAGACTAAAGGGAGTTTCAGAAAACAGAGGATAAAAAACAGAAGGAAAAAACAATTAAATAGATAATGTAAGAACATTTTCAAGAAATGAAAGACATGAATTTTCAGATGAAAGGGACACCGTATGCCAGGAAAAACGATGAAAAAAGGCCTGCATCACAGCACATCCCTGTGACATTTCAGAACACAGAGAGAAGATCCTGCAGCTTATGTAGAAAGGAGTAAAAAGTTCAGGAAGCAAAATGGCATGGCACATCCCATAACACTGATGCCAAAACACAAGACCCTCAAAATTCTGGGGAAAATGATTTTTCAACTTTTTTTTTTTTTTTTTTTTTTGAGATGAAGTCTCACTCTGTTGCCCAGGCTGGAGTGCAGTGGTCTCAGCTCTCTGCAACCTCCACCACCCGGGTTCAAGTGATTCTTCTGTCTCAGCCTCTTGAATAGCTGAGATTACAGGCACCCACCACCACCCCTGACTAATTTTTGTATTTTAGTAGAGACAGGGTTTCAACACGTTGGCCAGGATGGTCTCGAACTCCTGACCTCAAGTGATCTGCCCACCTTGGCCTCCCAAATTGCTGGGATTACAGGTGTGAGCCACTGTGCCTGGACTTCAGCTTGTTTTATGTCCAGCAAAATAATGAATTAGGTATGAAGGTTGAACGAAGATATCTTCAGACATGGGATTAAAAAAATGTTCCTTTCAGGTGCTCTTGGTTAGACAGATACTGGAGGATGTGCTCCAACACAACTAGAGAGTGAACCAAAGACAGGGAGATGAGAAAGAAAGGAAACAGGATTTGTGGAAGAAGGTGAAAGCTAAGGGAGCTGAGCAAATCTGGAGAACAGCCAGGCCAAGTCAAGCAAGAAGGCAGAAAGCTCTAGAAAAAAACACTGGCAAGTATACCAGGTTGAATAGTGTCTCCCTAAAATTCATGTCAACCCAGCACCTCAGACTGTAACCTTACTTGGAAATAGGGTCTTTGCAGATGTAATTGGTTAAGATAAAGTCATACTGGAGTATGGTGGGCCACTACTCCAGCATGATTGGCATCCTTATAAGAAGGCCATGAGAGACACACAGAGAGAGAAGACACAGAGGAAGAAGTCCATGTAAAGACATAAGCAGGAATGGGGCTGATGCAACTACAAACCAAGGAATGCCAAGCATTGCCAGCCACCACCAGAAGGTAGGAAAGAGATATGGGAGGGATCCTCCGTCAGGGCCTCCAAAAGAAACCAACCCTGCCAACGCGTTGATTTCAGACTTCTGGCCTCCAGAACTGTGAGAGAGTAAATTTCTGTTGTTTTAAGCCACCAAGTTTGTGGCAATTTGTTAAGATAGCCTTAGGAACTAATACAGCAGGAAACAAACAAATAGGAACTGATAGATTTCCTATTGCATTTGATGATTTGGAAAATAAATAGCATTGGAAGGCTGTCCAAAGAATTTGAGAGAATTGATGCTGGCAATATATATATATAAAAAGCAAAGGAAAAATGATTCCAGGAAAATAAAAAGTTAATAAGATTGAAAGTAAAATTATTGTACACCACTTGTCTCAGTGGTAAACACTATTTACATAGATATAATAATGTATACACTGAATCTGATTTAGCCAAAAATGATAAGAAACTGTAAAGGAAGAATGGAGGTAGAGGATTAAGAATTTTATATTCTTGGTCAGGCGCAATGGCTCACAACTATAATCCCAGCACTTTGGGAAGTTGATGCAGGAGGATCGTTTGGGCCCAGGAGTTCAAGACCAACCTGGGAGACATGGCAAGACCCTGTCTCTACAATAAATGTAAAAAATCAGCCAGATGTGGTGGCATGCACCTGTAGTCCTAGCTAGTTAGGAGGCTGAGCCAGGAGGATCGCTTGAGCCCAGGAGCTTGAGGTTGCAGTGGGCTGTGATTGAACCACTGCACTCCAGCTTGGGCCAAGAGAGTGAGATCCTGTCTCAGAAAAGAAAAAATAATTTTATATTCTTATCTTCCATCATGTGGAGTCAATAACTAATGCTTCAAACAGACAAATCAAGAAATAGTAGTGTATTGATTTTAGAAACACGAGAGTAAATCTTAGGAGGAACAAGTTAAAAGAGTGAAAGGCATTAACTCTGGAGGCTGAGCTCGGGAATAAGAAGTGAAGGCAGGAGATTTAGCTTTTGTTTATTATAAACCTTGTAGTCTTTTGTTTAATTATTTAAACCAAGTACATGAATGACTTTGATAAAAATAACAATTAAACAAATGCCTTGGGCTGGGTGTGGTGGCTCATGCCTGTAATCCCAGCACTTTGGGAGGCTGAGGCAGGAGGATCACTTGAGGCCAGGAGTTCAAGACCAGCCTGGGCAACATAGTGAGACACTGTCTCTACAAAAAATAAAAATAAGTAAATAAAAATTAGCTAGGTACAGTGGTGCATGCCTGTAGTCACAGCCACTCAGGCGGCTGAGGCAGAAGGATCACTTGAGCCCAGGACGTTGAGGCTGCAGTGAGCCAAGATTGAACAGTTGCACTCCAGCCTGGGTGACAAAGAGAGACCCTATCTTGAAAAAAAAAAAAAAGCCGGGCGTGGTGGCTCACGCCTGTAATCCCAGCACTTTGGGAGGCCGAGTCAGGTGGATCAAGAGGTCAGGAGATTGAGACCATCCTGGCTAACACAGTGAAACCCCGTCTCCACTAAAAACACAAAAAATTAGCTGGGTGTGGTGGTGGGCACCTGTAATCCCAGCTACTCAGGAGGCTGAGGCAGGAGAATGGTGTGAACCCGGGAGGCGGAGCTTGCAGTGAGCCCAGATTGCGCCACTGCACTCCAGCCTGGGCAACAGGGCAAGACTCTCTCTCAAAAAAAAAAAAAAAGTCTTGCCTCAATTCTTAGTGCTTTGGGCAAAGAACATGGGTTTTGAGAGGCACTTGTTCATTATCTTCCATCCTTAGTGGCAAGTTGGTGGGAAAGTTTGCAAAATTTGTAATGGTTTAAGTTGGTGGCTCAGTGTGGCCCCTGGACCAGCAGCATGAGCAACACCTGGGAACACGTCAGAAATGCAGTCTCGGGCCACCCCAGACCCACTGCCTCAGAGTCTCTGGGCGGGGAGTGCAGCAAGCTGGGTTTGGCAGACCTTCACCCATGCTGAGGCAGAACCGCCAGTGCCAGCCGCTCACTCTCACTCGCTGAGTGGCAGCCTGGCTCATCTATAAAGCCTGCGCTGTCACTATTTTCTGGATACAGACTCACACCTCAGCCGCTCTGAAAAAGTCAAAGCTTTGGGTAAGTGTTAAAAACCTTAAACGTGCTCACTCCTTTCCACTCAGGAATCCATATCCTGGGATTCTGTATTACATACAGAAAACACTTTGCCCATAAAGGTATTCATCACTGTGCTATTTATAATAGTGAGACAACCTAAATGTCCAAACAATAGGTATGTGGTTAAATACATCTATATCACATCTATCTATCTATGTGGTAGTTTAAAATGTTTATGAAAGATTTGACATAATACAGAACATGCTTATGTGTTAATGGGAAGAAGCGAAATTCAAAATTCTTCATAGAGAATGACCACAGCTATGTGAGGAAAAACTGCAAGTAGAAAAAAAGGTTGGAAGGAAATCTCAGAAAAAGTTCAATCTGTGGGACTAGGGTAATTTTTTTTTTTCTACTTAAAAAAATTTTTTTTACAAGGTTTTACAGTAGGGGTGTACCCATTTAAGCAACCTATCTTTGATGAAATCAGTATAATTTCAAGCAGGGGCCGTTACCTTCGCATGAAAAGGGCTTCTCACAGATAGAGGGGCTTCAGGCCTTCTAGGGACCCTTCAGGGTCTCTTTGGTGTCTGGCAGGCAAACAGGCCAGGAGGAAGAGAACCATTGCTGTTTTATATGTCACTCAATTCTCAGCACCCAGCACAGGGCTGGCGTACAGTAGATGCTCCACAAAGATTTGAAGAAGAAAGGAAGGTTCTTATTATTTCATTCCAACATCTTAAAATCCTGTGACAGAGATACTATCACAATGCAGCTTTGTAATCCCTGAACACAGGAAGTGCTCAAAGAATGTTGAATAAATTATGGTCCTGATATTATAGATGGGAAAACGGTCCATGTTCATACAGCTGAATCTTGGCGTATCTGGGATTTAAAGCTTAGTGAACTGGGCTCAGTGAGTTGGGTGCTTTTTTGGCAGAGCCAGCTGCATAAGGCAAGTCCCTGGTCCCCAGGCACTCTGGGATTGCTGGCCTCTAGAGACGTCGGCATAACTCTGCAACCTCCCGATGGCCCGGGGTCAGGTGCTGACTGGGCTGCCAAGGTTCAGAAGCAGGAGGGCTCAGCAAGCAGGAGGGCTCAGCAAGCAGGAGGGCTCAGCAAGCTCTGCCAGCTCAGGCAGCTCCCCTGATCGGGAGACAGGGCCCTTGTAAATAAGGATTTAGACAAGCAGAAAAGGCAGCACAGGGCATTCCTGGCAGGGACACTTCTTAAAGGCACCAGGAAGAAACCAAAAGAAGCTAATGCTTGGTGCACATGACTATCTCTGTAAGCCTTTGAGTCACTCACAGGAACCTGGCTCTCTGTCTAGAACTCCTTAGGGTAACGTTCATGTTTATCAAATGAGCAACTAATGGATGAATGGATAGAGGAATGGATGGATGAGTGGGTGGATGTGTGCATGGGTGGGTGGGTGGATGGATGGATGGATGGATGGATGGATGGATGGATGGGTGTTAATGGCAGGGTAAAAGTTAAAGGGCTTTGGAAACAGACAAGTCTTGGCTTGAATCCTGAGGTCTGTCCTTGTTTACCATGTGAGTTGGTATGTTACGTTGTGTCTGTGAGCTGAGGTCTCTGAGAGGCCTCTGGAGATTGCTACGATGATTAAATGATACATGTAAAGTGCTGAATCCAATGCCTGGCACATAGCAAGTGCCCCTAAAATGGAAGTTGTTTGTCGTCTTCATTGACCGAAAAGGAAAAGGGACAGAGATGGAATGGGGGCCCGCACTTGGCTGTCTCGCTCTCATTCTCCCTCTTTCCTAGACAATGAATCCCGAATTTCCTTTAGGAAGTCATGTGGTTTGAGTAGCTAAGGCCAATCAACATATTTCATTCTCTCAGGCCTCTGTGACTAGTTCAAGGGTGTCTATGAGATTCAAGCAGTCCAACCAGAGTGCACCTCAGAATATTTGCTAAGAATGCTGGATGGAGTCTCTTTCTTTCTCTCGTTGGAGTTCGGTACAAGGAAGTCTCTAGCCCAGAAGCTGTTGGCCATTCCATTGGGAACACCAGCTTAACTACAAAGCCGATGTTACGAAAGGCAAAGTAGAGACAGAAAGCAACAGTGTGACGCTGCTGGATTCAGCCTCTCCTGAAGTTGGTGATCACTGGACTTTTCAGTTATATGAGCCAATTAATTTCGTTTATGTTTAAAGGTTTACAGATTTTCTGATGCCAGCAGTCAAAAGCGTTCTAATACAGAAAGGAAGCAAGAAAGAGGACGTAGGAATGCACCGTCTAAAGGCAGACGAGGCAACAAGTATTGGGTGGGAACGAACTGTAAAAAGCTCTAGATGCCAGAAACTGGGGCTAAATTTGAGCTAGGATTTCCCACTTGACAGATAAGTAAACTGAGACCAGAGGGTTAAACATCAAGGAACTTGTCTAAGATTACACAAGTTAGCTGGATGCGGTGGCTCACGCCTGTAATCCCATCACTTTGGGAGGCCGAGGCGGGCGGATCACCTGAGGTCAGGAGTTCAAAACTAGTCTGACCAACAGGGCGAAACCCTGTCTCTACTAAAAATACAAAATTAGCTGGGTGTGGTGGCACATGCCTGTAATCCCAGCTACTTGGGAAGCTGAGGTAGGAGAATCACTTGAACCTGGGAGATGAAGGTTGCAGTGAGCCAAGATCATGCCATTGCACTTCAGCCTGGGCAACAAGAGCAAAACTCCAACTCAAAAAAAAAAAAAAAAAAAAAGATTACACAAGTTAGTTAAGTGTGGAGCTGGAACTAAAAGCCGAACCCTCCGACTCTCGACTCAGCACCCCTTCCCACATACCATGCAGATATCAGACCCAGGGAGAAACATACCCCATCCGAATGCCACAAATCCCTGGAGGTACTTTCTTTCAGAGAAGAAGGAGATGGCGAGGAGTGTGTGAAGGTAGAGGCCTTCCACCAGCAGCCAGGAGTAGTTGGCCATGATGCAGTACTGGAACAGCACCATGACCAGCTTGCAGCCCGCCTGGAGAGAGAGAGGCAGCTGAACCCAGGCCGGGTGGCAGTGGGGTTCCCTCTGGTGAGTGGCCCCAAAGGGAGCAACAGGGTGTTGTAGGGGCAGGAGCCAGGCCACAAGAGCGGGCCTCTGGGGTTCAAGGCCATCTTCTGTGGCCTTCCTCCATCAGGCCTGCAGCATTCTCTAGAGAGTAGGAGTCCACAGGCCTAGTGGGTTCAGTCAAGCTGGCCAATCAATGAGCCATCATAGGAGCAGGAACTAGGTTCAAATCCTAGCACTGGCTGCCAGGCTAGATGAGGAGGCAGTCCTTCAACTACAGAACTGTGTCGGATACTGCCCAATCCCCTCATTTTTTCAGATGAGGAAACCAAGGCCTAGAAAGGGAAGAGATTTCTGAGCAAAGGGTTAAAAAAATCTTTTCTAAGCTCAGTTCCCTTGCAAACACATAATGAAGGGATGTGCCAACTCTGTTAGGAGGTACCACTGATTATGGTAAAAATGGCCCTGGCTGGTACATTGCACTCTCCACATATCTGATGGGGATGTCATGGAGTTGGACTTCCCTGATGCAGTGACTGACTCTTTTAACAGGCATGTCCCCTGCAGGGATCCCCGGAAGTTATGCCTGTAGAATTGTGGGGCACCAGGCTTCTACACCAGCACAGCTCCTGTACCTCTGCCATGGTAGGGCCTTTGTCCTTTTCTTTGCATTGGGCTGTCCCCTGGGGATGGGACAGCTCCCGGGATAGCCGTAGGGCTGCTGCAAAGACAAGCCCGAGAAGGAGGAGCGCCCGGTGCTGCCTGGGGACAGTGGTGGTTCCTGCCTTATGGCCTTCCCAGAGGCTCTGACTCCAGGCAAGGCCCATGGTTGACTTGTGAGTCTAATGTTTAGTAAAACCTGAGAAGGTTCCCTGCTGGGGCATTGCTGGCCTTGTCCACTGCTGGTCAGTAATGAAGCGTGGCTAGGATTTAAGGCTCCTGACTCCCAGCAGGTACTCTTGTTTCATCCTGGAGACCTCCTTGAGAGACATGGATCCTACCTGAAGAACCTCTCAGTCTGAGTCAGAAAATACACACACACACACACACACACACAACTCTGAACAATACAAACAGGTGAGTGGTAGGAAGTGGCAGGCAGGTTGGCTGAACTAATCTCAATTTCCAATCTCTTTTCTCCCTTGCTCGCCTCTACTATAGAGATTGTGATAGTAAAAAACTCTATCACCCTGCTTCCTTTGCGATTAAGTGTGGTTACATGACTCAACTCTAGCCAATGAGATGTAGGTAGGAGTTTCTGGGGAAGGTGCCCTTTCTCAATAGAAAGGCAAAGCTGCCCAAAAGATAAAAAAATGTTTAACGTTTTACCTTTCTCCTTCTTGCCTGGAACACAGACAGGAGGCCTGGGGTTGCAGCAGTCATATTGCAACCATGTGGTATAAAGCATGACATCAAAGGCCTACTCTAAGGATGGCAGTGCGGAAACAGGGGAAAAGACTGTGTCCCTCATGGTATCACACAGCCATTGCACCACCTCATCTGTGGACTGCTTACGTAGGAAACAGCCCCCATTTGTTTAAGACCCCAATATATAGTTTTCTGTTATTCGCAGCAAAAGGAATCCCAACTGACACACAGGGTGATTGCAATGAATTGAGTCATCTGGGCATTTGGAAGGAGAAAGGGGGTTAGATTTAAGAAAACACAACGTTTTATTGCAAATACATTTATACAGACATACTGGCCCATGCTCACCCTTTTCTTTTTATGACCAACCCCCACCCTCTCCAGACTGGGTCATCTTTCTTCAGCTGGGAACTGGCAGAAGTAGGGAAAAGAGGAGTCTCCCTATATATCTAATTCCTAGAGTGACCAGTTCACTCCTGGACACTGGGAGTTTACGGCAACCCCCATGAGCTTCTCTCCTACATGACCCAGATTGTGCACATGTGGCTGTGGAATCTCCCTGAACCTCCTGGCCCAGTGTCAGCACTGGCTGCTTTATCCTTGGTATTAAGTGCAGCCTCAGCAGGGGCTTGGGGGAAGGACAACTAGGCTACTCCCCTCTCCAAAGCTAGGCTGGGGAAGGCAGGCGGGCCTGGCGACATCCTGGGGCACCCAGACATATTACCCTGTGGGCATCGCAGTAGGTGACATCATCTGAGGAGAAGAGCACGGCGTCCTTGATGAAGTTGGACAGGGCACGAAGGATGAAGGACACGAACAGGTGCATGTGGATGTAGTTGCGAGTGCAGTGGAGCCTCCTGCAGGGAGAGAATGTAGGGACATAGAGGCCAGAGCCTGAGGGGCTGGGACTCAGCCAGGCCCACCTGCCACCAGTGCACTGGGGAAACTGAGGCCCTAGACTTCAGCTCTTTCCGGGTAACACATTCTGTGAGCATAACCTGAATGAGGAACTGGGTCTCCAGGTGGCCAGTCTAATTTGCTACATGCTGCAGTGAGAAAAAAAAAAAAAAAGGCCAGCCACAGTGTGGCTCACACCTGTAATCCCAGTACTTAGGGAGGCCAAGGCAGGAAGATCACTTGAGGCCATGAGTTCAACATATTGAGACTTCTGTATCTACAAAAAAATTGTTTTTGTTTTTAATTAGCTGGGCATGGTGGTGCCTGCCTGTATTCCTTGTACAAGAGGCTGAAGTGGGAGGATTGCTTGAGCCCAGGAGTTCTACCATTGCCACTGCACTCCAGCCTCAGCAGCAGAGCAAGACTTTGTCTCTAAATGAATAAATAAAAAGCTGGGGCTGTAGGGGCAACATTGTATTCTGCCCTGACCTACCACCATCTCCAGCTCCCAGAATTGTTTTGGGGGAGGGGTGAGGACGGCAACCAGAACGGGAGAGGGCTAGGGGCACAGAAGGAACACAGGCTGCGGGGAGAAAGCAGACCCTGGCTCTGCCACTTAGCAGCTATATGACCTTGAGCAAGACTTTTCACTTCCCGGAGCCTCAGTGTCCTCCTCTGCTGCAGGGGACAGAAGTCAGTTACTTGTTCTGCTTCTTCTGGTACCGGAAACAGGCTTTCTTCTGGGAAACCCATTCCAGCTCTGGATTGGGAGGGCTCCACCCTTCTCACCCTCATGACAGACTTGATCAATCAGAGTGCTCCATCGCTGTCCATAGTGATTGGCTCAGAGTTGGGCATGTGACCTAAGCCCGGCCTATGAGAACTCTGAGGACTTTTACTGGAACCAGAGGGGAAGAGGCTCTTGTTGGCCCTGGTGTTGCTGAGCTAGCAGGATGAATGCCAGCAACTGCTGGTGGTTGTCTCTGCCACTTCTGCAGAAAGCCTCCCAGAGGATGAGGCCAACCCAGAGCAGTGGAATGGAGGGAGACGGACCTAGCTGCTGATGCCACTGAACACCTAGATCCAGCCATGCCTACAGCAGATGCCCATGAACTTGCCACTTACATGGGTCAGGTCGCCTTTGTTTTTCTTATGCTGTTTCGAGGTGGATTTCTGTCTCTTGCAACAGAATCTCGCTAGTACTACTGTAAAATGGGGTTCCTGTTACCTATCTCATAGCATTGTGTGAAAATTAGAATACATATAAAGCGACCGGCCGCAAGTTCTCAGTAGTGCTTAGTAAATGTTGAAAAAATAAAGGGATGAATGAGGTCACAGGAACCTCGATGTTTTGCCATAGGTCAGCTTTAGATCAAGAGACGACAAGGTAGTTCACTCAGACCTTCCTCTTTCTGTCCTGGGTGGTTGAGAAGAGACCCAAAGTCTGTACCTGAGGAGGGCTGGGGTATGGAGAGCTGGCAGTGTGTTCTCACCGGAAAGCACAGAGGATGCCAAGGGCGACCAGGAGCATGACCAGGGAGGAGCTGTAGCCCACGGTGTACATGACTTTCAGCTTCAGCAGGTAGGAGTGCTGCAGAGAGAGGCACGTGTCAGCCCCGCCGGCCCTCCTGGCTAGCTCTGCCTTCTGTGCCTCACTGCATCCGCTTCAGGCAGCTTGAACCCACCGACGCTGCTATTCTGTCCATACCTCAAGGACGCCAATTCACAGACACATAACACCGTAACATCCTGGCATTGGAAAAGCCCTTAGGGATCATCTGATGATCCCTAAGGATCATCCCTAAGTTTGAATTGATGCCAATTCAAACTTCCATCTTATGTATAGGGCCCCTTACCAACTCTCTGAATTCAAACCTTTGCTTGAATACCTCTAGAGACAAAGTGCTCACTGCCCTTTGAGAAAGTTATTTGGTGTAAAATAGCACAAAATATTAGATTTTGTTTATGTGAAGCTAAAATCAATTACTTGCACCACCTATTGGTCCATTTTCTGTCTTCTGGATCCACTTAAAATGGATTTGTCTTTTATATAAGGCAGGTTTTATATAGAAAAGTTACAAAGGTCATACAGGGAGGCCTGCCATTTTTTAATACAGCTATTCTGCCCATCTGTTTCTCTTTCATTTTCTCTATGTCAAATATTCCCTGTGTCAGGTCGGGTGCGTTGGCTCATGCCTGTAATCCCAGCACTTTGGGAGTCTAAGGAGGAAGGATTGCTCGAGCTCAGGAGTTCAAGACCAGCCTGGGCAACATTGCGAAACACTGTCTCTACAAAAAATTTTAAAATTAGCCAGGCACAATGGTGCACACATGTGGTCACAGCCACTCAGAGGCTGAGGTAGGAGGATCACTCCAGCCTGGGAGGTCAAGGCTGCAGTGAGCTGTGATCCAGCCACTGCACTCCAGCCTGGATGACAGAGTAAGACCCTGTCTCAAATAAATAAATATATACATACATACATACATACATACATACATATTCCCTGTGTCTTTAACCTCTTTCCACAATCCTTCAACCTTTAGTTAAATTAATATGCTCCAGTTTGTTAATGTCCTTCTTAAATAAGACCCCCAGAACCACATAGCTGAAAAGCTCCAGATGCATTCTCTGACCAGGAAGAGGTAGAAGGGATCCATCACCTCCCATCTCCCCTGATCTATACATTGCGCGCCTATGCAGCCAAGCAGGCATTCACTTATTCAGCAGCCACTTCACACTATTGGCTCATCTTTGAGTCAAAAAGATCTAAGTGGAATATTGGTCAGAAAATTAAAAGATCTGGCCAGGCATGGTGGCTCACACCTATAATCCCTGCACTTTAGGAGGCCAAAGTCGGTGGATCACTCGAGGTTAGAGTTCGAGACCAGCCTGGACAACGTGGAGAAACCCTGTCTCTACCAAAAATACAAAAATTAGCCAGGCATGGTGGCGTGCACCTGTAATCCCAGCTACTTGGAAGGCTGAGGCAGGAGGCTCGCTTGAACCCGGGAGGTGGGGGTTGCAGTGAGCTGAGATTGCACCACTGCACTCCAGCCTGGGCTGGAGACCCTGTCTCAAAAAAAAAAAAAAATTGAAAGATCTGCATTTAGGTCCAAAAAATAAAGTATCAAAAAGAATCAAGGGAATAAAAATTAAAAGAATAATTTTTACCAACCAAACTAACAAATATGTAAAAGTAATAATTTCCTCTGCAGGTGAGGGTATAGTGGGACTCAAAACTGGTTCAATCTTTCTGGAAGGTAATATAGAAATATGTATCAAGAACCTTTGAAATATGACCTTTTGACCTCCCTTCTACCTTCAGGAATTGATTCTAAGAAATAATCAGAAATTTAAAAGCATATTTATACATGAAGATGTTTATCACAGAAGTATTAGTGATAAAAAAAACCCAAATGTCCAACAATAGAATAGTTACATCAATTATTTCAAATACAAATTACTTTCATGGTATACCGCTAATAAAATGTTGTTTACCAAGAATTTAAAATGAGTCAGGACATGCTGATATATTATTACATGAAAAAGCAGAATTCAAACTTTACATGTGCAATGTGATTCCAGCTATATGTAAAAACATATTAGGGAATTATATGAAAACTGATTCTGCTGAGAATTTTTAAAATAAATAAATTTTAAAAAGATTTATATGAAATTACCTTTTGTGTAGATCCAAAATGATTGAATATCAACACAAAAAATAAAGAAAACAAAAAAACTGAATATCAGCCATTCCATGTGGTTCAATCTCATACATACAGAGAGACAAGATTGTAAAGAGATATGGCTGATGTTAACAGTGGTTAACTTTGTATTATAGGCTTGCAAATAGAGTTGTTATTTTCTTTTATAATTTTTCTATACTTCTAATTTTTCCACAGTGGATAAGGGCTATTTATAACCAAAAGAAAAGGGTAATTATTTTTTTAAGAAGGCACAAGAATAGAATAGGGGAAACCTGGCTGACAGCTCTTCATGGGAAAGTAACCTTGAGGTTAGAAAGACCCAAGCTCCATGGTGTCACACAGTGTACTGTAGAGAAAGAACACAGGCTTCAGAGCCAGGAGACAAGGGTTCCAAACCCGGACTGTGACTCACCAACTGTGTGACCTTGAGCAAATTATTTAACTTCTTTGAGCCTCAGATTCCTCATCTGCAAAATGGGGATAATAATATCTACCTTGCAGACTTGTTGGAAGAACAAATACAGTGTCAGATAGAGTACCTAGACAATGCCTTGGCATGTAGGAAACACTCAGTGTATGGTAATTTTAATTTTTCCCCATCCCACCATCCTCCTTCAAAATGAGTCAGCGGTTTGAGATGGTAGGAAGTCTGAGCATGAAATGGCTCAAAAATTAGCTTTATTCTCAGTTACACTGATGGAGTGCTGTGGGCAGCTGGCCACGTGGGAATGTTTGGAGAGGCTAGGCATGTTATTTTAAGAGTCACATTAATAAACTGAAGCATTTCCAGAGGAGGGTGATTGTGTCATCTGTAGAGTACATGAAAAAACTGGGTCCATGACACCTGGAGGGGAAAAACACACACTTAGAGGAGAAAAGTGTTAGACTGAACAACATGTAGAAGAAGGGCCAGACCTCATGTGTGAGCTCCAGTTGGGGGAAGTTTCCAGAAAGGAGGTAGATTTTGACTCGGGGTGACTGATCATTTTCTGACAGCAGGAGGTGGCCTTCGATAGGAAGGCTACCATGTGACATTGAGTTCCCCACTGATGTAACTGCTCTCCTGAGAGCCAGGAGTCACCTCTCAGGGATGTGAGGAAGACCCTTGAAGGGCAGTGGGTTGCCTTGAATTAATGGTTCCTAGGCTTTGGGACATCAAAGACCTGTGAAATGTCAAAAAATTGAGGACCAATATGTTAACATATAATCTCGCCATGTACAGATGAGCCGCATTGCAGAGGGTGTCAGCCTCACTCCTGGGGATACCTGGACCAGCCTGCAAGAGCCTGAAGAGGCACAGGGTGACAAGGGGGGTGTCATGCAGAAGATTCTGCACTGTCCCGTGGCTGTGGCCATTGCTTGCCAGGTGACCAGCCCGCTTCTCATGTAGACCCGTTCTTGCCTTGTAAGGTAGGAACCATAAGACCTCACCCACCCAGAAACAGCCTTGCTCCCTGAAGGTTTCATGTGACCTTCGGTCCTTAGCTTTTTTTTTGTTGGTTTTTGAGACAGGGTCTCACTCTGTCATCCAGGCTGGAGTACAGTAGCACGATCATGGCTCACTACAGCCTCAACCTCCCAGGCTCAAGCAATCTTCCTGCCTTAACCTCCGAGTAGCTAAGACTACAGGCAAGTGCCATCACACTCAGCTACTTAAAAAAATTTTTTTTGTAGAGATAGGGTCTCCCTATGTGGCCCAGACTGGTCTTGAGCTCAGGAGTTCAAGTGATTCTCCCAGCCCAGCCTCCCAAAGTGCTGAGACTACAGGCATGAGCCACCACACCCAGCCAGTCCTCAGCTCTTAACATCTAAAAGTGTGCACCACTCCTGGAGGACATGGGGCCCAGAAGCCTCACTGTTGTCTGTCCTGAATTCAGTTGCCTCTCTTACTGCTGTATGTTCTGACTGTACCACCTGCTTTCTGTAGCCTTTAGATCATCTGTCACAGACATTTTTTGTTAAGGGACAGAGAGTAAATATTTTGGGCTCTGAGTGCCCTGTGGTCTCTTTTGCAAATACTCAACTCTGCCCTTGTCATGTAAACGTAGCCTTACTGTGGTAGGAATGGGCTTGGCTGTGTTCCAATAAAACTTTATTTACAAAAGCAGGCAGTGGAGCCTCATTGGGTCCAAGAGCTACAGTTTGCAAATCCCATTTTATTTACCCATGTGACATCTATGTGCGGTCTTACTGCCAATCTGAGTCCACTATTGGTGTCAGTAATATTGTGTGTCAATAATATAGTGGTGTATACCAAGTAAGGATGTCACAAAAAGAAAAGAAGAAAAAAAGAAAAGCAACTAATACATACCTTCACCCTCAGTTGATAAAAAGACATTTTAATAATAAGAAATAGGATGGTTTAAATCTCAGAATAAAGAACAAAACTCGTGCCAATTTGTGGACTGGCATTTAGGGACCGGTGAATCACGTGGTCAGGAAACCCTTCCAATCTCAGAGCTGTTGTTTTGTTTTGTTTTTTTAATGCAAGCTGAAGCCAAGCTAGGTCTCCTTTCCACCATTTTTGGACAATCATTTTTCTGAGTTAAGTCCAAAGCGTTACATTTTCCTTTATGAAATTTCAGCTCCTTGGTTTGGGGATTTTACAGTTTTAATCTTGGCATGAACGTTGTGGTTAAGGCCCTGGGCTCCATTATTCGTACTGATTAGTGTAAACCAACAGTTCTCATTGTGTGGATGTTTTTTCCTATTTTGGGGGCAGAGTCTCGCTCTGTCGCCCAGGCTGGAGCGCAGTGGCGAGATCTTGGCTCACTGCAACCTCTACCTCCCAAGTTCAAGCGACTCTTGTGCCTCAGCCTCCCAAGTAGCTGGGATTACAGGCACACGTCACCATGCCCGGCTAATTTTTGTATTTTTAGTAGAGACAGAGTTTCGCCATGTTGGCCAAGCTGGTCTCAAACCCTTGACCTCAAGTGATCCACCCGTCTCGACCTCCCAAAGTGGTGGGATTACAGGCATGAGCCACTGTGCCTGGCCTGTGGCTGCAATTTCTGATGGCAGTCATCTTACAATGCCAGCCTAAGGAAGAAGCCACCAGGACAGCAGGGAGAGAGATGCAAATGACACAGACCCTGGTGATTCTGTGGTGCTGCCTCATCAAAGAATCCTGAAGCCCATTCTCTGCATTTCCAGTTACGCAAGCCACATGTGCTTATTAAACCAGTTAGAAATGTGTGTTATTTGCAGTACAAAGCCTTCTTATGAACCTCATCCGGCCACCCATCATGATATTATTCCTTTTTAGTTTTATGGATTTTACAAATTTGAAACAAATAAGCCCCCTCTCTTCATATAAGTCGATGATAGAACTGTTCCTCTGCAGAAGGCAGAGCCCACTCACCATCCCTCCAAGACCACGAGTGCTCACTCCTTGTCGAATCTCCTTATTAAATCATCCCACTCTGACCAGATCTGAAGACCTCGTGTATGTTCCCAATGGGATGACAAGCCCTGGGAAGGAAAGAACTGCTTCCTCTCCCTTGGAGCTTGCCTTCCTCCACATAGAGCAAGGCTGATGCGCTACAGAGAGAGGGGTCTTCGCAAAATGCAGAAGACGGGGTGCTCTGACACACAACTTCCTCCCTTCTCCCTGAATTCTGCCACTCTCCACCCGTGCTTTCTCCCATGACCTCACCCTACCCTCCAAGGGACAGGCAAAGCTTGCCCATATTCCTTCTAGGGAGTTTAGCTAATGGGACCTGCTGAAAGTGTACTCCCTGGGCGGGGCACACATCTTATGGGGAGGTATCAGAAGACAGAGGACGGAGCACTGGTGCTTTTGGAGCTAGGCTTGGTTTAAATCCTACCTCCACTACTTTACAAGCATGTTCCTTAATCCCTGAGCCTCAGTTTCCTCTTCTGCAAAGTGAGGAAAACAATGAATGTACAGGATTATTTTGAGGATTTAATACAATTGCGCATCAAGCAGCTGGCACTCAGTAGATGTTTAAGTGCACAAACAAATATTTATTGGGCACCTCATAGGTGCCAAGCATTGTGCTGGGCACTGGGGCCTGGAAATGAACAAGACTCTCTGATTTGTCACCGTGATTTTGCCCAGACCCAACCCTGGCCCACAGCAGGTGCTCAGTGAGTGTTTGTGGAGTGAATGAATGCCTTTGAGGAGCATGTATTTTAGTGAGAGAGATGGAGGCAGGTGGCACACGCTGATCATTTTAATGTAACATGGTAGGTAATAGTTGGAGGCCAACACCAGGCTCTAAGGGAGCCCTTCCCGTGGGGAGGGGAAGAAAGGGCTGGCATGGATGGGCCCGAGGGGAGTCTCAAAGGATATATAAGAATCAGTCAAGAAAAGAGAGGAGGAAAGTGCTCTCCAGGCAAGGGGCCCTAACGGGGGCAAAGGCCCAGGTGGGAGGCAGGATGGCACAGTGTGCATGAGATTTGAGAGAAAGGGCCATCCTGGGAAAGGACAGTGATGCAGAGTGAGCTGAGCCCAGACAGGGCCCTGATGGCCACCCTCAGAGGAAGCCTCTGGAGGTCCCCAGCAAAGGTCAGCCGATTGCCGAAGGGAGCATCCCCTCAGCTAGGGCAGCTCTGCAGCCGGACTCCCTCCTTGCTTATCAGAGCCGGGAGACTCCTTCGAATGCTGTAAACATTTTTTTTTTTAAGAGACAGGGCTCAATCCTGTCCTCCATTGCCCAGGTTAGAGTGCAGCGACACAATCACTGCTCACTGCATCCTCAAACTCTCCAGCTCAGGCGATCCTCCTGCCTCAGCTTCCTGAGTAGCTGGGACTATAGGCACGCACCACCACGCTCAGCTAATTTTTAAACATTTTTTGTAGATCCAATGTTTCACTATGTTGCCCTGGCCTCAGGCAATCCTCCCACCTCATCCTCCCAAAGTGCTGGGATTATAGGTGTAAGCCGCCACACCCGGCCAAAAGCAAACATTTACTGAGCACTTACTGTGACCAGGCGCCCAACTCAGGATGCACATATATTAACTCATTTAGTTCTCTTGACAAGCCTATGTTGTCAGCATTATTAACACCATTTCCCAGATGAAGAAAGTGAGGCACGTAGTGATTAAATCTTCCCCAGCCCCACTAAGGTCAAGGTCGGAATTCAGACGCACCAGCCTTGCTCTGAGCATTTAGCCACTATGTTAGCGTCTCTTTCAGTTGAATGAATACAGCACCCCCAGTCTCGCGGTGGTATGCGACAGTTCCTACCTGTGCCTGGGTTCCTCCTAACCATCATCTCCGGGTCGATAGACCAGGGCAGTGAGGCAGACCCACTGACACCTCTGTGAGTAGGAGGCATGGGGACAGGGGGTAGCCCTTACATCCTGACCACTGTCCCAGGCCTGTGCCACCCTGTCCTCTCCCAGGGCCTCCTCTCCCAGGGCCTCCTCACCCTATAGGTTCCTGTCCCCGGGTTCGTGGGGTGGAGGTTGACAGGCTTACCCGCTTCTCGTTGGAAGAGTCGTTCACATTAACGCCACAGGCCAGATTAGGCCTGGGGAAGGTTTCTGACCAGCCATCCTGTGTGCAGTTTCGGAACAAGGAACCTGTGGGTGCCAAGAGTCCTGTAGGTGAGCCATGGGCCCAGGCACTGTGATTTTCATAGTAACATCTATTGTAACATGTAGCTGCTACAACCACTCTATAGTGTGGAAACTGAGGCACACAGCAGTTCCAGAACTTGCCCAAGACCACACCCTAGTAAATAGGGGGAAAGTGATTTGAACCCTGGGGCTCGGGCTCCAGAGCCCAAGCTCTTAAGCACACACCACGTGCCAGTCCCCCTTCTCACCCCAGCCGGGTGCTGCTCCTGATCCCAGGCCCTGCCACCGTTTAACAGGTGGGTACCCCGGAGAATCTGTGGTGGCTGCCCAGTACCTGGCCACTCCCATCATGACTTTTTCTCAGGCTCCCATTTTTACTCATCCTGCTCCATGGAAGTTCTGTTTTAAATGGAACTTCATGCCCTGCTCACTCAGCCATTTGAAAACCACCAGAGTGCCATTGAGATGAACCCCTCCAGGCAGCGCCCCTCACGGAAGGGTGGAGGGTCCTTCGGCCACGACCTGTAGGCCACCCCTCTGCATTTCTCTGCATAATAGATCGTGAGACCACCACAGTCCTCCGGCTCAGCTGCTCACTGCCCCCCACCCCTGGCACGAGGACGCATGCTGGGCCCTCTCACCACATGGGCAGTGGCTTCCCCGCCTCCCCAGTGCCTGGCCCAGAGCCTCTGCTTATCAAACGCGGGCTGGCTGGCTGGACAGAAAGGCAAATTGAATGGGGATAAAGAGCCTGCCCTGAACTCTTCTCATAGGGAAGAGGAGAGCACTTCCCCACTGGAGCTTTTACAGCAGGAGCCCAGCCTGCGGAAGGGAGCCACTAGCCAGGAGGGAAGTCTTGGAAGGCCACCGTGAGGAGTTTCCCTCCTCGGGCTGAATGGCCTCGCTGAATTCTGTACTCTGAGCTGCCAAGGAGGGCTGGGATCTGGCTCCCCAGCTCAGGCCGGTGTAAGTGTTGCAGGGGGCAGGATGCTGATGGCCGAGTCCTGTGGGTAGGAGCCCTGCCACCCCTTTGCTCTCACTGGAGCCTTAACAGCCCCAGCTGAGCGTGGCATGCTTCTTTACACAGTCTCCAGGGGCTGGGCCCCTGGCTAACAGGGTTTAGGGTCTAATCCTCACAGTGCCCCACTGAAGGAGGTGCTGCTGCCCATTTTACAGGACAGAACACCAAGGCCCAGAATTGAGCTATCATGCCCAGCCACAGCGTATGCTATCACTGTTCTACCCACCCACCGGGCCCTCTTCCTGAAGTCTCAGGGGCAGCGTCTAGGACCAGGAGACCGTGTCCTCTGAGATCTGGGCATGCCTGCCCTGTGGAGGCTCAGGAGGCCTGGAGCGCAGGTTTAGAAGCAGCCAGATCTGAGTCTGAAACCCAGTGCAGCCTCTTGGTCACTGTGTGACCTTCGGTGCATCATTTCTCTGTGCCACAAAATAATCACCCACACTGCAAGAGTGAGCAGGGAACATGAGAGCACACGGAAAATGCCTAGGCTGGTGCCAGGCACAGAGCGGGCACCGAGGCATCACTCCCCTCTCTTTTTGGCCTTTCTAAAATAGGCAGAAGTGGGAGGGGCTTGGAATCTTGGAATTTAGGCGAGGGGTGGGGAGGTTTCTGGAACTGAATCAAGAGAGTTAGGTTGTCAGATGGGAAACAACGGTGGTCAAATTTAGGCTGGGTGGATGGGAAAGCAAGTTAAGGGAACACAAATTCCCCCAAGGCCAGAATCGAAGGTTATAAGACAGCGCGTGCCTAGAGGCTGGGCTCCCTGTGGGCTCGCCCAGGGCAGCAGGCCTGCCCGTTTGGGGCCCTCTCCTCACTGACACAGCAGGACTCCCAAGACAGATGCTGCATGTGACCCAGGCCAGGTGCCCAGAGCTGCTAACAAGGCAGGGCCCCCTGCCTTCCACTCTGTAGAGCTGCAAAGCAGCTGCCTCCCCACTTCCCCAGGGCTGAATTCCTAATAGGTAAGGGAAACTTAACCAGGCACAGGCCAGTGTGCACCTCAGGGGACCCCTGAAAGGATGTTTGTGCATATATATATATATATAGATGTAGATATTTATATTATATATATAATATAAATAGATATTTATATTTATATTTGTATTATATTATAAATATAAAATAAATATATATATTATGTGCATATATATAAATATATAGATATATAGATATATATTTATGCAGTTCGGGGAAAGACTAGTCCAAAGCTTTCATCTGATTTTCAGAAGGCTCCGGGACCCTAATCAGGTTGGGAAGCATGACCGCTTTAAGGCCAGATCCTCACTAAGTAGGAAGAGAAAGAGGGCCAAGGGGATGCCGCTGGGGAATTGTGTTTTTTAATAAGGAACTCTGGAAGACCAGCGTCCTTTTCAGAATCAAAGGAATACACCCTAGAGGGAGCATTCTAGGCCTGGCATGAACAGAAACATCTGGGGGCAGAATCGGCCTGCGGTTTCTCCAGTCACATGGACCCCACCCCTCCTGTCAGGACCCATGTAGTAGGTGCCCTCAAGGAGAATTAATTTATTTTCCAGAGCACCTTGTCCTCACTGGGCGCTCCCCCTGGGGTTAGGGTTGGGGGCACCACCTAGGGAAGCCTGCCTTCCTGCCGGGAGATGAAGGGGCAGGAGTCTAATCAGACCCAGAAGTAGATCTATGGGGATGAAGGAGGGGTGGGTGGGAGTTCTTGATGATAAATTGAGGCCAGACAGCTGTTGACCTGTGCTCTTGGGCCACCCACCCCCAGGCTGGGTATGAACAACGTGGCCCCCACCACCCTGGAGGGAGCCCAGAGCCCAATAGGCAGGCCTTTGGTGTGGCCCTGCAGGCCCACAGCGACACCATGTGGCGGCGAGAAGAAACTGCAGCAGAGTCGGCACAGGACCCCAGCTTCCATCCTCACGTTGTGTGGACATGGTCCAGCTTCCTGCCGCGGACCATGAGCAATCCAAGGGTAGGGGAGCCTCAAGAGGGAGACACTGAGCCTTTACGTAATGAGGCAGGGAGGGGTTCAAGCAATTAATTGAGAAAGGATGTGACAGGACTGGCACCTGGTCACTTTGTGGCCGTGAGCACCAGCTCCGCCTATCCCCTCTGCAGGGCAGAAGGGACAGTGCTGCGGGAGGCGGAGGTGCTGTGGCTCTGGGAAGGCTGAAAAGGGACGGCTGCAAAGGAGAAGAGCTTCGAGTCCTTTCCATCAGGAGAAAAACCCGGTCAGCTGTGGAGGAGCACTGCACAGGAGTCAGAAAGTGGAGTCTGGGCGTGACCTTGCACCTGACCAGCCTGGGGCTCTAGGTCCGCCACATCTGGACTAATCTCCTGTGTCCTGAGCTCCCAGGACCCCAGAGGCAAGCATGGAGGGGCCACGCTGGCAGGTAAAGTTGGTAAGCTTGCGGGGGTGTGTGTGGCAGGGGTAGGGGAGGGAAGGTGGGAAGGAGAAAAAGGAAAAGAAGGGAGAGGAGTAGGGGAGAAGGGACAAAATTTATTTCCAAGCACAGCCTTACAGGGCAGGTCTTATTTATTTTCCCCATTTTACAGTCAAGAAAATTGAGGCTCCCCAGCAGTGAGCAACTTGGATCCCGGGGCTGACTGGCACCCAGCTAAAAGACATTTCCCCAGGTCCCTTGCAGTTAGATGTTGCCATGTGACTGAGTTCTAGCCGAGGGAATGTGGGCAGAGTGGGATCCTTCCCAGGCCCGCCCCTTATGAACCTCTGCTGTGTGGTCCTCCGAGTTCTTTCCTCTCCGCCAGTCAGCCTGGAAACTATGTGATGCCACGGTTGTGAGGTGTGGGGTGCTGGGGTCACCGTGTAGAGGAGAGCTGCCTGCTAATCAGGAATACCTGTTTCCTGTTCTGGACGTTTTTTGTTTGTTTGTTTGTTTGTTTGTTTGTTTGTGACAGAGTCTCACTCTGTCGCCCAGGCTGGGGTGCAGTGGCACGAGCTCAGCTAACTGCAACCTCAGCCTCCCAGGTTCAAGTGATTCTCGTGCCTCGGCCTCCTGAGTAGCTGGGATTACAGGTGTGCACCACCACGCCTAGCTAATTTTTGTACTTTTAGAAGAGATGGGGTTTCACCATGTTGGCCAGGCTGGTCTCGAACTCCCGACCTCAGGAGATCCGCCCACCTCGGCCTCCCAAAGTACTGGGATTACAGGTGTGAGCCACCGCACCCAGCCTGTTTTGGACTTTCTGTGGACAAATTTGCATGAAGGCTTTGAGATGTGGGGCATTGTCTGTTACAGCAGCTAGCATTACCAAGCCAGGAATTGGAGGAGCGGGTTTCAAGCCTGTCTACCTCATTTCCCCCAGTTCCCATAGTGTAGGGTGTTGAGTGAGGCTTCGAGGGAGCAGCATGTTCCCCAAATATGTGTGTGTGTGCACACATGTGCGTATGTACAGCAGAATTATGGTGAGAAGAATCTCCACTCCCTTCCCACAGTCTCTGAACCGTGGTCATCTTTGCCTTGCCTGACTTTGAAAGGCTGGTGGGTTTTAGTGTTAAATCACCTATTCTTGTTCAGGCTTCATCTGGCAGCTTTGCTGTCCTGCATGGACCAGGAAAGAGGGGCAGCTGCACAGCTTTTCTCAGTCCCTGTTATTATTACTCTTTACTGGATCAAGGGAAAAGTCCTGTGATCTGCAGGGGGTTTATGATGAATAAATGAGCCCGTATGTACATATAAAAATGTCCAGTGCATGGTCGACTTCTAATCAATGTGAGTCAACTAGGAAAATTCTTAAATCCGCAGCTGTCTTCTGGTAAGACAACCCCTCGCCCCAGGAGGCCAGGGGCTCCCAGGGAGCCAATTTCTCAGCAGGGCCTGACAGTGGAAGGAAGTATTTTGGAAGGCCAGGCCATTAGGGAGCCTGCCACTACCAGGAGGGGTTCCAGACATGGGGACTGGAACAAGGCCCCTGGTTGCTAAGGGGGCAGAAACATGGAAGGAAGGAAGAGAGCTCCTAGCTGAAGGGCCTGGGGAAGACAGAAGCAGGCCCAGCCTCCCTTATCGCCTTCCCCAGTGCACTGCCTCCTGCCCCCTTGCTTGACACCCTCAGAATTTGAGTCCACCCCACATTCCCAAGCAAGGCTTCTAATCCTTTGCAGTGATCTCCCCCATCATTGTACCCATACTTGTCCTCAGAGAAGGTTCCTTGGCCTCCTGCCTCTAAGCTGAGGCCCCACCCAGAGGGACACCCCTCAGCCTGTCCGCCAGGCCCCATGGGCCGAGTGGTTACCATTTCTGCTGGTGAGCATCCGGAGGAATCTCGGGCATTCCACCTCCACCATCCGGCCCGGCACAGAAGAGGGCCAGCAGCTTATGTTGTCCCACATCCCCTCACAACCTGCCAAGAAAAGCAGCATCAGACAAGGATGGGGGATGGACCGAGGGCTGCCCTACCATCCTGTCCACATCACCGACACCCTTGCCTGCCTGGAATTCCCACTAGACTACTTTCAAAGCTCTCATTAGGTGCTGACTCCTCAGGATCAGGAACCTATCCTGTCTAATGCACCCTTGGACTCTGCCATGTACACGGTAGTGCTCAGTGTTGAAGATAGAAGGAAGTAAGAAAGGGAGGGAGGAAGGGAAGAAGGAAAGAAGGAAGGCGCCCTCTCCTATAAGCTTTGCAAGTAAAGGTCTGGATTTCTCTGGAGCAGATGGCACATCTGTTGGCCAATCAGTTTGCATTAAACAACTAAGCAGCAATGGGTCTCCCTTCTAGCTTCATGGTACGACTACCTGGGGAGCTTTAGAAATAGACCTAGCCGGCGTGGCACACAGGGATCCTGCATGAATTGGTTTGGGTGGGCCCAGGCATCATGTCCTTTGAAAGCCTTACAGGTAATTCTAACGTTTGACTGCAGGGTTGAGAACTCTTGTCCCATGATTCTCAAACTTCAGCTTGCATCAGAGTCACCCAGAGGGATTATTAAAACACAGATTGCTCAGTAAGTCTGGGGTGGGGCCTGAGTATCTGCATTTCTAACAAGTTCCCAAGTGATGCTGATGCTGTTTGTCCTGGGACCACACTCAGAGCCACTGCCCTGGCCTATGGACACAGCTCCACAAGTGTCACCACTGTATTTGCTGCAAGAATATTATTGAGGATGTTGCTTTCTACATCACTTGAGTTCCCTTGATGAGGCCCCTCTGGAAGGAGAACCAGGTCTCAATGCAGTGAGAAGCTGAACTTATTGTGAACGACTAGTATACATAGACACTACATTTGAAGCTGGTTTCCTCTTTGATTTGGCTGCTAGGAAGCTCAGAGCCAGATGCGTGGCCCACTTCTGAAAACTGAAAGATTTTAAGATGAATAAAAAAAATTACTAGGTGTTTTCAATGCAAAACTAGGCATTGTCTAAGCACAGCCTTCTGGATTATCTGATTCAATGGGGTGTCAGGTCTTTTATTGTCTTCGAGCTACACTGCAACTCTGTAAGTTCTAGATGATTGGTAGCAATGCAAATGATTCTCGTCCATAGGCACAATAATTATTGTCCAGTTGAAATACAATTAATTTCACTTCCCTCCCTGTGTATTCAGTCAGCTTTGCATCTATTTGTAAATTCATGTTATCATTCTGCCTTATAGGTATGGTACTGTATTAGTCTGTTTTCATGCTGCTGATAAAGACATACCTGAGACTGGGTAATTATGAAGGAAAGAGGTTTAACGGACTCACAGTTTCACATAGCTGAGAGGTCTCACAATCATGGTGGAAGACGAAGAAAGAGCAAAGGGACTTCTTACATGGCGGTGGGCAGGAGGACACATGCAGGGAAACTCCCGTTTATGAAACCACCAGATCTCATGAGACTTATTCACTATCACGAGAACAGCATGGGAGAAACCTGCCCCCACAATTCTATTACCTTCCACCAGGTCCCTCCCATGACACATGGGAATTCTGAGAGCTACAATTCAAGATGAGATTTGAGTGGGGACATAGCCAAACCATATCAGTTACTTTGAATGCTATGAACCAGTGATAAGATCTTACTGAGTCCCTCACAAATTAAACAAGCTGTTCGGCAGGTATTCATTTTATATTTGTGTGTGAGCTGTGACTGTACTGTCTTTTAAGACATCATTTCACATAACAACTCACCAATTCTCCCAAAGTTGATCCAAGGGCAGCCACACAGGGAAACTGCTTCCTGCAACAGACTTCTGGAACCCGTGCCCTCTGAGAGGTCATCGCTGGGGTCAGGCTTGGAAGGGGCTAGAAATGAGCTGAGGGACACCCATGAGGCGAGCCGCAGTCAGCGCTCCTCCCGTTTGGGGAACATGGTGCAGGGCAGAGCCCAAAAAGAAAGAGCCAGGACTCAAGTCGGCCGACCCGGCCTCCAGGCCTCCCCCACCTTGCCAGCTGCCCTGCTCACTTGCTTATCTCTTGTGGGAGGACCGGCACCTCCCTCCTGAGGCTATCCAGAGGAAGAGCTCAAAGCCCAACTGAAAAGCCTGCCCAGAGCAGGCACTGGGACTGGCAACCCCTTTCCCGCTGGCCTCCCCAGGCCTGTTCCTTTTTCATCTGGATTCAGGAGGTTGGACTAGGCTGGGTCCCCTGAATGGCAATTCTTAGCTCTGGGGACTGGGCGATGGATGCGGTGTGCAGACATTGCGGGAGTACCCAGATGGCAAATGCTCAGCTTTTTTAAGGAGCAAGAACCTGTTTTTAGGCATCAATCTGACCAGACCCAAAGCATCCATAGTGTCCTTGACCCCTTCATCCCCTCTAAGTGAAATCTCCCTGGTGACCTGTCCCATTGCAGAAGTGTGACCCTCCAGCCTACATCAGAATGAGCTGGGTGCCTGTCAGAGATATGCAGATCTCTAGGCCCCAGATCCTCCTTGTGAGACCAGACCCAGGAATCTGCATTTTAAGAATTCCCCAAAAATGCCGCTGAAGTGGTTCCAGGGCTTGCTTTGAGAATTTCCACTCTGAGTCTCCCTGCTCCTCACAGCTGAGGGTTCCTCATTTCTAGGCTTAGCCCTACCCCTGGCTCCCAGGAGCAATTCACAGAGAGTGAGACAGGCAGTCACAGACCCACCAGTGGGGGTCACTACCAGCTGTGTCTTCACCTTGGTACCTGGGTACAGATGCCTCCCCCACCACCAGGCAGAGAGCCCAGGAGAGCACGCCCCTGTGCCTACGATGGGCCAGGCATAGCACAAGTGCTCAGCAAACACAGCAGATGAACAAATGAAGGGACGCCAGCTGGAACCACTGCCTCCCACACCAGTCCCGCCAGGCATCCCTCATAAACGGGCTTTCACCTTGACACCCAGTTGACTTCTACATTCTGCATCCAGGGCCTGCCAGCTCTGGTGCTGTGCTGATGGGGAGGAGCCCTGTGCGTCCCACACTTGAGCTCCTGTAATCCCATGGCGGTGCCCCCAGTTCCCGATGTGCCTGGCTCTACCCCCACTTTATAAACGCAGCAATCAAGCAGAGCCAGAAGTGGCTTCCCAGGCCACACAGCCAGGACATGGAGGGGATGAAAGCTGTCTCCACCCAGCCCTCCACCCACCTGACCAGTCTCCAGGTGACACCGGCCCCAGCTGCCAAGTGCCCTCCTTGTTCAAGCCAGGCTCTGGGAACTGGAGAGGGACAGAAGGGGTAGGGAACGGTAGGGTGGGCCGGGCCAGGGCCTGGGTTAGGGGGGATGCTGGCCTAGAGCGGGGCAGGTGTGGCCTGTTTCTCCCTGAAGAGAGGCCCAGCCCCTAGCAGGAGAGGGGAAGTGGGAGGGCCCAGAGAGGAACCCAGTCCTGAAATCAGGACGCCTGTGGGGGCTTTGGAGGCGGGGCAGTCCCAGGAGCCACAAGGGCAGGCTGCAACCATGAGCAAGGGTGTCGTAGAATTGTAGAGGGACACAGAAGGCAGTGTGTGGGCGGAGCTTTCACAGGACAGTGGAAGCATCTATGAGGCCAAGGGGCAGGGGTCTGTGTCCTTGGAGGCATATGGGAGATGAGGAACTCCTTGGATGTTCCAGAAGCTTCACCTGCAAGAGGAGGAGCCGGAGCTTCTCTCTGCTGTGCACTCCCCAGGGACGGCTCCGCCACTATCCCGAGGCTGCCCGTCTACATTCCAGCTGTGGACGCTGCTGGCTGGGCCTGAGCAGGGTCTCGGGAACTCAGCAGGCCTGCCGGGTAACCCTGGGCCTACCCAGATGCCTGTGGGATGGGGACTTGGTCCTGAGGACCCTTTACGGACAGCCCACTCTGTGTCTCCGTGCTGACCTAGCCTGGCACCTGGAGTCTCAGGAGGCCAAGGGTGACCCAGAGCCCTCTTTCCCTGTGCGGCCGTCTCAGGGTTGCAGCAGGATGCCTCGTTTCAAGTTGCAGCTCCCCTGCCAGCTCGGGTCAGCCTCTCTTGCATTGGAAGCAGCTGGGGCATTTCCAGAGCATGGAAAAAGGCAGGAGCCTTTTGCCTCACTTGTGGAAAAACAGATTCAGTGCTGGCTGGACTGGCCAGGTCAGCCAGGGTACCAGCCGCAGGCTCCAGGCCATGAGGCTGGACAATGCCTGGCTGGTTGGCCAGACAGATGTGGACGGTGCCAGCACGTCTGAGAGGCTTCCTAACTTGGGTCACGTCAGGCAGGGCCCCCAGGGATGCCTGGGGACAGGCCATGCCAGGCCTGTGCTGGATGCACATCAGACATCCTGGAGCTGAGGTTGACAGCAGCTCAAGGGTGAGTAGGGTCACTGCCCCACGGCGGAGATGAGGAAGCTGAGGTTCCAAGAGGGGGAAGTGAGAAGTGTGGGTGACAGAGCTGGTGATAATGGAGCTGGGATCCCACTCAGCCTTCCCATCTCCCCAGCCTGGGACAGGCTGCCTCCTCCAGGCTGGCCTTGGTGGCAGCAGACCTGGCTGCTAGCCCCCCACAGTGTTGATCGTTTCCTGAACACGAGTGACACTGCCTTGTTCTCTCCCAGCCCTGGCTCCAGCGTCTGGGCACAGAAGGCACAGAACAGACCCAGGGTTTCCCAGCGTGCGATGAGCTCACCACTCACTGGTGGCCTGTGCTTTTGGCTGGTACATGGTTGAACATTTTTTCATAGTTGCACTTTTTTAAAGAAAATGTGTATTAGAAACATTATAAAACTAGCATATCACATCTGTGATTTTATAGCTACTATTGTTTAGGATGAGGCTAAGTTTTTTAAAAGTCCATTGATTGAAAGGAAAACATATGAAGGAAATCATAGCACAGGAGGTGCGTGGCTCTAGCCAGGCTGGAGGGAATGTGGCTTGGGGGAGCTGGACAGTCCCTGTGGCCTCCTCAGTGCTTGTGGAGGCTGCCTTGCACGGTCCCCAGGCTTTGAATGCAGCATCTCAGACTCCACTCCGGGACTCCCCAGTCCCCCAAGCCAAGCAGGAATGGGAGGCAGGGGAGAGCGCTCCCAGCTTAGCTTCGGATACCTGTCCTGGCTCTGGCCTTCCCAGGGAGCCCTGGCAGGGAAGGGACACAGCCCAGGACTAGGGTCATCCTGGGCAGTTTTAGTTCCAGAGCAGCACAGCTCACTGCCTGACTTGGGGGTAAGCGGCATTCATTGAGATAGGGGATGGGGGAGCTTTGTCAATAGGGCCACACTTACTGAGCCACGAGGGAGGGGTCACCGCCCCAGGAGAGCCAGGGCTAGAAGGAATATACATTAGCTGTGTGGGCAGGCAGATCCAAAGCATGTGAAGAGCAGGGCTTCCCACGCCTCTGTCGTCTCTGATGGCCACCTCCGCCACCAATTGTCTGGCTGGAGGGGATGGGATGGAAGGCTGGGAAGTTTAAGTGGGGAAACAAGAGAAGACAATGCCACCACCTGGGGAGGAGGGGTTGCCTGCCCCAGTGCCCGTGGCCCAGGAGGACAGCATGGGATACCAGGTTGAGGGAGGTGGTATGGTGGAGATAGAATGGGCTTTGGACCCAAGCCTACTTTGGGTATGACACTTAACCTCTGTGAGCCTCAGTTTCCTCATCTATAAAATGGGCACAGTAATATTTCCCAGGATTTTTGAGAGAATTAAATGATATGTGGGTGCGGTGGAATACTTTCTGATCCATCAATCTCTTCTTTTTTCTTCTCCTGTTTTTTTTGTTTGTTTGTTTGTTTTTTGCCTTTTCTCTCTCCTTCCTCCTCAGATTGAAGTCACAGAGAAAGGCAGGAAAACTTCCTGGCTTAGGTTTCCAAAGGCCTCTGGGGGATGAAGAGGTATGCTGGGATAATCAAAGCACTTGGGAGAAAACAGAAAAAGAGCAAGAATTCCCAGAGACTGGGGAGAGATGGAGGGGAAGTGATGAGCTGGGACATGGAGGGTTCCAGAAGAGGTGCAAATACCCTGCTGCCCAGCCAGCCCTGAGGAGGTGGGATGGCCCAGAGGAGAAACAGCTGTGGGGGCAGGTCTAGATGGGCAGACCACACACAGCCTTGCCGAGCCCATGCCTCCCGGCAAAGCACAGGAGGGGCCAGTGGCCCAGGATAGACAGGGCTCTGCCAGTCACCACCTGTGACTAACACCATCATCAGCTGCAGGCGAGATCCCCCTGAACGTGGTGGTGCTACGTGAATCTCTAGCCACCTGGGAAAATTGCAGGGGAAGATCCAGAAATGTCTGCCATCCCAGGAGAATGCAATCAGAATTAAAGTCAGAAAACGGAGAAAGTTCTATTTTTGCCCAAAGGGGTTTATAGATAAAGATTCCTGGTCTTTATATTTGTGGAGCCCCTGGCCCTGGGCCAGGTCTGAAGCAGACCCAGCAATGTCAGCTTCCTCTGTCCTGCCCACAGGGATAGAGAGGTGGCCCCAGAGGCAGGTCTGGGTGGGTTGGGGGAGGACTGAGAGAGGGGAAAGGGCCATCTCAGAGGGCAGGACAGTGCCTGGGAGTTTGCCCTGCATTCACCTGGCATGGAGCCTCTATCCTCCAGTCCTCTATTTATAAATAAGCTCAGATGGCCTGATAAAAACCTGGGACTATTTCTGGAGCAATGTGTCAGGCTGCAGTGGCAGGGGGCCAGGAACAGCCCGGCCCCCGGGGCCATGCTGAACTGGGCCACTCACACCCCTCCATGTCCCTGGTGCTCACTTCATCGGCTGATGGGGTCACCAGGGAAGCCACAGCTCCTCTTTGTCTTGGCCTTGTGTCTGTCCTCTCCTACCTTCTGCTTCTGCCGGTGTTTGCTCTTTCCTCTGCCCGCGGACCGCCACATCCATCTCTCAGGCACTTCCACTGCTCACCCCCACTCATCCCTTTCTCCTCCCCAGAACCCACAGTGGCTTAGGACGAGCTCCTGCACAGCGGCCTGTTTCCCAATTGCATCGTGTATCTCTTTGCCTCTCTTGGCTCAGCCATGGCCCCAGCCCCAGGCCATCCAAGGGGCAGCCTGGTGAGGTTTCTTCAACTTTGCTAATGACTTGACCTACAGTCTTAAGTCAAGAAGGTGTCGCTCTCCTTTGTGATGGCTGGACGCACAGGAGCTGTGGTCAGGATGGGGCTAGAGGAGCTGAAATCCCAGGGCAACAAGGGTATTTAAAAACACATCGCAGGAGAAACAGCTAAAGAGTCTTGGAACCAGGAATCATAAGCTGTTTGATGGGATGAACTATCTTGGGAGTGATGAGGTCCCCATCACTGAAAGTATTCAAGCAGAGAGAGTCATGGAATTAGGAGACGGAAGAGCATCAGACACTGAATGAAGTCTGCACTACATGAGATGAAGAACCCTTCCAGCCCTGAGGCCGAGCAGCCACTTCTCTGGAGCAGGCTGGCCCATCTATGTCCAGGAGGCCAGCCCCAGGCTAGCTTCTGAGCACGGGGAGCTAAGTCCTTCGCCTTCCAGAGACTGCACAAAGTGTGTGCCACCTCCACAGAACCCTCCTCATCCACCCGAGAACTCTTCCTCACCTGACCTAAAGCTCTTCATTTCATACCACCTTTCAAGCGAATTAAGGATTAATTGCCAGCAGCAATCTCTGTCTTTGTTTGTTTTCTCTAATGGAAAACCTTTCTCTCGGGAGGGTAAGGTTATCAGTCATTCACAGCTCAGTTGTGCTGTGTTTGATTAGACTGGACGGCAAAGCTGAGTCCTGTTTCGGCTCTGTGCGATCCTGGGCCCCTTGGAGCCTGTTTTCTCATCTATGAAATGGGAGTAATAATAGTGCTTATTGCACAGTTGTTTTAAGAACTAAAAATTTAAATTGCCTAGAATGTTATACAAACATAAGCTGCCATATTTTGGAAAAATGAGCCAAGATCAGTGGTGCCAAGGGAAGAATGGGCAGAGGTGAGCTGTGGGCAGCCGTGGAGGATGGTCCACGGTGTGGCTGCCAGAGGGCATCGGGGGCCAGGCAACTCCAGAAAGGAGCTAGGAATGTTAGAGAAAACTGCACTAACAGCCAGCATGCGTGAAGAACTGATTCATACTACACCGTGGATGAACCTCAAGAACATTATTCTCGGCAAAAGCAGACAGACACAAAAGGTCACATAGCAAATGCTTCCGTTGATATGAAATGTCCAGCACTGGCAAATCCACAGAGACAGAAAGTAGATTAGTAATAGCCAGCGGCTGCAGACAGGGAAGGAGGGGAGTGATGACTTAATGGGTACAGGGATTTTATTTTGGGGTAATGAAGATATTTTGGAATGAGACAGAGCTGGTGGCTGCATAGAGCACTATGAAAGTGCTAATTGCCATTGAATTATTCACTTCAAAACAGTTAATTTAACGCTATGTGAATTTCACCTCAATAAAAAAGGTACAAAATAAAAAGCCTGTTTTCCTGGACCCATGCTCTGTGGAGTGGGCAACCAGCAGGTAGAGACAAGAAGGAAAATGGGATGTCATGACCCCACTTGAAGGCAAGGTCACTAAGGCTCAGAGAGGACCAGTGTCTTGCTCAAGGTCACAGAGCACCTGTGTGACACAGCAGGACACATGCCCAGGTCTGTCTGACTGTCAAGCCCACACCTTTCCTGTCACCACACTGTCCTTCTGGAACATTCTTCCCCTGGGGAGAGCCATGGCCCTTCCACCTGCCAGCTCTGAGGGGGTATTGGCCTCTGTAAACAAAGTAATAAATAGCCCTGTGGGGCAGGCCGTGCAGCTATTAGGGTGACCCTGAAACGTTCCCAGAAAATGCCAGTAAGACCTTGGCCACCTAACCCGGAATGGCTGAAGAGTTAATTTTTTATTTGTGATAAGTGTGGCGGGCTCGGTGACAGCTCCTTGAGTGGTGTTTCCTGTGACTGGTCTGGCGTTCAAACATTAACCTCTACCCCAGGGAGCTTAACCATTAACCCTGCACCCTCAACGGAGAGCCCCAGCAGCCCCTCCCCCCACACAGGTGTCAGGATAGAGTCTCGGTGCTGGGAGAGGCCCCCTGGACACCAGATCTAGGCCTTGGCCATTTCTCCTCTTAGTCTTTTAGGGGATTTTTCCTCAGACATCACACCCGCTCCACACTCCCAGATGGAGCCCTTGGCCCTGGCTTCTGACCCCCTCAGTGGGGCAGATCTGAAGACTTTTCCAGCAGGCAGAGTCCTTGGGCCTCTTTGGAGCTTTAAAACCATGTTTTCAAAGTAACAGATCCCCTTTCCTAAATGCACACTGCAGAAGGTCACTATGCAAAACAGATCCCAGTGACAGCTGTTTGTGATGGGTGGGGGGCCAGCTGAGCCACCCTTTCACCCACCTGCACGCTGGCCCTCCTTGGTTCAGCCGCCAGGGCCTGGCCAGACACCACAGCTCTTGCAAAGCCAGGGGAGCCCTTTTCTTAAGCAGAGTAAGGTCCGGAAGAGAGGGGTATGGTCAGGGCTTGCCCAGGTCCCCCCAGTGAGTGTGAGGCAGAAGTCAGGCAGGAATCCCCAGTGAGCTTTCTCAGCCCTGGATGCACGGTCAGGACCTGGCGGAAAGCGCTGGTTCACTGCATGGGGAGCCTTAGGGAAGAAAGATGACCGATTCTGCTCAGATCGGTCAACCTGGAATTGAGACATGGACGTGGGTGCAACTTCCCGGAGTAATGTGAATGTGCACTTGGCATTGGTAAGGTGACTGGGCAACAGGTTCGCAGAAGAGGCGCCACCCACAGGCAGGGCTGAGGGCCTAAGTGAACACCAGCCATTCATGGCAGAGGTCAGCTTGGCTGCACCGAAGGGCTGGGACAGAGAGGCCATGAGAGGAGCTTCTGCCTTCTTCAGGTAGTCATTCACTTATTCTCCACAACAGCGTCATGAAGTTGATCAGATTATTTTCCCCACTTTAAAATGGGCACATTGAGGAGTGGGGAGAATCCTCTAGCCCAAGAGCCCCATAAAGGAAGAGTGGCACCGACTCCGGCTGACTCTATTTGCTTTCTGCCTGGCATTCAGCCCTGCTCATTTCGTCAGATCCAGCAGTGAGTGGCCTCACAGCAGACCCTCTGCCGCCACGGGGAGAGTCTTTTCCTCGAACCGTGAGAGCCCAACAGGAATGCTGGGTGCCCAGAGGGGAGCAGGAACCCCATCTGGCGTGGTCACTAGTCAGAGCCTGAGTGGGGCAGGCAGAGCCGGCTCACCACTCCATAGGGGAAGGCCAGGGAAGACAGGGACTCACCTCTCTCCCCCAAGGTTAGACCCTGGAAAGCATCCCTCCACCGGTGACCAGGACCACGTTGCTCGCCTCAGCTAATTTGTGACAAGTTGGGCAGCTGGTGGCATTTGTGTCCTCTGCGGGGGCCTCACCTGCCTCCAAGGCTCCACCTCATCTCCCACTCTCTCCTTGGGGCCAGCTGTCTTTTGTTTTATCCTTTCTCCCTGCTCTCAGTCATGTATCTGCCCTCATTCACTCAGTAAGTCAGTCAACAAACACACACTGAATACTCGGTCTGGCAAGCCCTGTGTCAAGCACTGAGGAAGAAAGAAGGCGACACTGTAGCTGCCTCAGGCTGGGGCAGGGACAGTCCAGGAAACACACCTTTACAGTGCAGTGCAGAGGTGCGAGACGAGAGAGAAACAGTATCCTGCAGGAGTCGGGGTAACTCGCTTGACCAGGGGAGCTATGGGCATTCAGACATCATTCCTAGAGGAGTCTGAAAAGGTGGGTAGCTTCAGAGGGAAGAAGATGGAGAATGGTGTTGTAGCAGAGCAGTCTGCATGTGCAAAGGTTGGAGGCAGGAAAGAAATGGACAGGCAGGAAATTGCAAGCAATTTGGTTGACAGTTGAGCTGATTGGCAGTGTTTGGGGTGGAGATGTGGACAGGGGCCAAGTCAGGAGCTGGGCCTCATCCTGGAACCACTGGAGAACAGTGGGACATTTTAAACACATGTTATGTTAAAATAATCATCCCTTACTTCTCCGTGTAAACGAAAGTTCACCATCAGCCCCACCAGAGACTCCGCATTCTAGGCCCTATCTCACAGGGCTGCTGTCATTGGAATTTCAGGCATTGTCCTTGGGGACAGGAGGTGGGGGACACCCACAATTTGGCTGCACCTCTGGCTGGCCTTGTTGGTGCCTTGCTTCCTGCTGTCCCAGACGCAGTTTCCGGGGGTAGCAGGAAATCAGAAGGCTCTCTTTGGTGCCCCCATGAATGCCATAAGACCATGGTCTAGCTCCCCAAGTGCAGTCGGAGCCAGAGGGAAAGTGCAGTCAGGTAGAGGGAAAGCAAAGGCTCAAACTGTGGGAGAGATGTCTGTTCTGTCCCTGTCCCTTGCGCAGTGGCCGAGTGCATGGGCTAAAGCACATTTGCAGCATCCATGCTGCTGCCTCCGCTGCTCACAAACCCTCATGTTCCTCTGCTTCCAGCTGCTCCTGACAAATGAGGGCCGGGAGTGCTCCAGGCTGGCTCCTGGGTTCTCTTCCCTTCCCGCTCCTGCACTCTCCTGGTGCAACCTCAGCCTCACCTGCCGCCTATGCGGAGGTTTATCCCCAGCCTTCATCCCCACTCTGAAGTCTCACCTCTACACGTCTAAAACTACATGTGTGATTTTTTATCTCCTCTCCTCCAAAATGCTGATCTTCCTTTATTCCTTCCTCCAATTGCTCAAGTCAAACACCTGGGGGCCATCCTGGATTCTCCATCTCTCACCTCATTCCCAGTCCAGCTCATCACCATGTGTGGTCAGTGTCCCCACCCACACAGCTCTGCCACGGGGGTGTACCTCTCCAGCCCTTGCAGTGGAACCTGCTTGTAACTCCTTAGCCTTAACCTTTTCTGGGCACACCAATCTCACTTTCACCCACTGGCCCAGTATCCCTTTGTCTGGGGGCTTTCTCTAGCTACTGATTGTCCCTAAGCACAGCAGGCTGGAAGTGCAAGGGAATGAAAACTGCTCGCTCTGAAGCAGCCCCATCTCTGACTGACAGGGCACTGGTGGATGCATCCTCCAGCTCCTGTGCGACTTGGAGGCGTGTGTTCCACAAGTGCCCACAGTGATGATGCAACATTTGCCAGCTTTCTTCTCTTCCCTGTCTCGGTTCCCAGTCCTACAGATCTGGCCTGGAATCACCTGCTTCTGGGGAATCCAAACAATGACATCGTATCCAGTCCCAATGATCATATCTCTTGCCTAGACCACCAGGCTCACAGCGAGTCTCTCTGAACTACTCATGTCCTTTTCCAGTTCACCTCCCACACTGTGGCAGAGGTGATCTTTTCATAATGCAGACGGTAACACTCCTGGCCTCCTAAGACTCTCCAAGGCTTTTGCTTCTCTTAGGATAGGATGAAAATCCCCCAAGGGATGATGAGCCCCTGTGGTCTCATCCTGCAGCAGGATCCCTCATGTCTGTGCCCAGCAACCACCAGTCAGGCTCCGGCCTTGGCTCAAACGTCATTTCCTCAAGAAAGCCCTCGTGGAGGCCCAGGCCAGGTGAAGCCTCCTGATTAGACACTCAGGCAGACCCACATACTGTTCTTATCTCATCATTTTACATGTTTCTTTCTTTCTTTCATTATTATTAATATTATTTTTTTTGACAGAGTTTCACTCTTGTTGCCCAGGCTGGAGTGCAATGGTGCGATCTTGGCTCACTGCAACCTCAGCCTCCTGGGTTCAAGCGATCCTCCTGCCTCAGCCTCCTGAGTAGCTGGGATTACAGGCGCCCACAACCACACCCGGCTAATTTTGTATTTTTAGTAGAGACAGGGTTTCACCTTGTTGGCCAGGCTGGTCTCAAACTCCTGACCTCAGGTGATCCACCTGCCTCGGCCCTCCAAAGTGCTGGGATTACAGGTGTAAGCCGCTGTGCCCGGCAATCAATTTCTAATCACTTGATCCATGTCTCCCTCACCAGGCTGAGTCATGGGGACAATGGCAAAGGCTGCCCACTGCCATCCTTCTCTTCTTTCTTACTAGGAGGACCTGGTTTTGCTCCAGGTGGCTACATGCACAGCTATAAACTCAACCTGCAACATCCATTGCAGCTGGGGTGGCCATGCAGTCCTATTCCAGCTGATGAAGTATACACAGAAGTCACTGGAGACACTGGAGAGTGTCAGGAAAGTCTGGCTTCCCAGTATATCTCATCCTTCCTTCTAGTGAGTTTCTTCTACTTCCTGCCAGAAATGCAGGTATTCTTCTCTCCTCCCTGAAGGTACAGCAGCCATTATATGACCATGAGGACAGAAGCCACACATTCAGGCAAAAGAGAGGAATCTGGAATATGGCAACATCTTGGAACTTTGCTCCAGCTCTTTTTGTAATATGCAACAAATAAATTCCTGTCTGGTGAAACCAGTGTATCAGGCTCCTGCCACACACTGCAAAACGCATTCCTAAGTGATGAGAGCACAGCCGACAACGCTTGTTTCTCACCACTCACCTGACACCACCAAGTGCTAAATAAGCATTCTTTGAATGAATGCTTTTCATTTCACACCAACTCCATAAAATAGATGTCAAAACTGAGGCCTTGTTCAAGATCAGTCTGTCTAATTTAAAAGCCTGGGTTCTGTTTATTTTTCTTTCCCGCTGTCTTTCTTTTCAAATGGAAGAAAAATCATATAACATAACACTAACCATTAACCATTTAAAGTGTACAATTTAGTGGTTTAGTACCTTCATAATAAAATATTGTGGAAACATCACCTCTATCTAGTTCTAACACATTTTTACCAATTCCAAAAGGAAACCTGTACCCCTCAAGCAATCACTTCCCATTGTTCCTTCCTTCAGCCTTGGCAAGCACTAATCTAATTTGTCTCTACAGGTTTGGCTCATCTGCACATTTTATATCAGTGAAATCATACAGTGTGTTCCTTTATTTTACTTTTTTAATATTTATTTATTTATTTATTTATTTATTTATTTATTTATTTATTTATTTTGAGACAGAGTCTCACTCTGTCACCCAGGCTGGAGTGCAATGACATGATCTCTGCAGCCTCTACCTCCCGTGCTCAAGCGATTCTCCTGCCTCAGCTTCCTGAGTAGCTGGAATTACAGGTGCCCACCACCATGCTGGCTAATTTTTGTATTTTTAATAGAGATGGGGTTTCACCATGTTGGCCAGGCTGGTCTTGAACTCCCGACCTCAAATAATCTGTGCACCTTGGCCTCCCAAAGTGCTGGGATTACAGGCGTGAGCCACTGCACCCAGCCACAATGTGTGTCCTTTTGTATCTGGCTTGTTTCACTTAGCATTATGTTTCAAGGTTTGTCCATGCTGTAGAACATATCATCACTTCTTTCTTTTAAAGGCTGAATAATATCCCATTGGATGGATAAACCACATTTTGTTTATCCATTCGTCAGTTGATGGGCATTAGGGGTGTTTCCACTTCTTCATCCTTGTGAAGGGGGCTGTTATGAACATCCATGTACAGATGTCCATTTGAACCCTGGCAGTGGGTTCTTAATGCTATACCCCTCCTTATCCTTAGATGACAGAGAGCAAAGATGAGACGTTTAGTAAGGGAATAAAAATAAAGTTAACATTTAAATATAAACTTAGTGCTTAAAGTGTTGATTAATAATAATAATTAACATTTAAATTAGCAATATTTACAAGGCAGCTGTATTTAACACACTTTATCTCATTTATCATTATAATCCTGAAGAAGACATTATCACCTCCATTCTTCTTCTTTTTTTTTTTTTTTTTGAGACAGAGTTTCACTCTTGTTGCCCAGGCTGGAGTGCAATGGTGCCATTTCAACTCACTGCAACCTCTGCATCCCGGGTTCAAGCGATTCTCCTGCCTCAGCCTCCCTAGTAGCTGGAATTACAGGCATGCGCCACCACGCCCGGCTAATTTTGCATTTTTAGTAGAGGTGGGGTTTCACCATATTGGTCAAGCTGGTCTCGAACTCCTGACCTCAGGTGATCCACTCACCTCAGCCTCCCAAAGTGCTGGGATTACAGGCATGAGCCACCACGCCTGGCCACCTCCATTCTATAAATCAGAAAATGGAGACTCAGAGGGCTAAATAATTTGCCTGTGTTCACACAGCCGGTGAGTGTCACCTAGCAGGCAGGCCACACTACTGTGGACCCAGGCTGCCTTTCCTACTACCTCACTCATGGAGCTGGCAGGGAGGTGGGAGGATGAATGAGAGGAGAACTGTCTTGCAGAGAAATTCCCACCAAGCTCTTACGTTGGCCAAGTCAGCATGCAGAAGCTGATGATAGGAAAACACCGGCTATGTTTACTTGCCCAGAGAAAGGAAGAGTGGTGAGGATCTGGCTTTGGGGTCCATGCGATCTGCTCACCAGAACCACTCCAGCCCTGCCCCACCAGCTGATTGTCTGAGTGAGAAAAGCTGGACCAGCCTCCCACATCCCATCCTGGCCCAGGATAAGCTCCCCCTGCCCAGCAGGACCGGACATGCTCCACCCCCAAGAGAGGACATGGGCTGTGGCAAGCCTCATACCTGGCACTGGCTGCTCCGTGCCCAGGTCTCCTGTCTGCTCTCTGGAGAGTTCCTGCAGGCACTGGTCTTGCTCTTCCCACAGCACTTGTAGCACGTCACATAGTCGGGGAAGGGCTCCAGTCTGCAAGTCCAAAACCAGGGATGCTCATCATTGCCACTAACTCAATTTTGCCACATGGGGGAGAATGGGGCAAGACAATGCAGATTCAATGGGGATTCAAGTAAAGCAAAGCCCTTGCCTGCAAGGATCTCCTGGTCTGCAGGAAAGGTGGAGGCAGCCACTCCTGGGAGAGAATTCAGAACACAGCTGGGAAAGCTGGGATGTGCAAATCATCTGTGGCTTGTCCACTGCAAATTTTGCTTTTAAGTTTATGAAGGCTCCTGAGCCCAACAAGCTGTTTGCTTTCTCAGCATCTTATTCTACATCTGTGGGACTTACTTTATGCTACTCCAACTGTGTGAGTGTTTTCTTTTTTGAAAGCTTAGTGTTTTTTGTTTTCTTTGGTCTTGTTTTCTATTTTTCTAGAGACAGGGTCGTTCTCTGTCACTCAGGCTGGAGTGCAGTGGTGTGATCATAGCTCACTGCAGCCTTGATCTCCTGGGCTCAAGCAATCCTCCCACCTCAGTGCTCCCAGCAGCTAGGACTACAGGCCAGGCATGTGCCACCATGCCTGGATATAGATTTACACACACACACACACAAATGCAAACACACACACACAGATATATATACACACACATAAAAGAGAGAAGGGGGTCTCTCTATGTTGCCCAGACTGGTATCAAACTCCTGGGATTATAGGCATGAGCCACTGTGTCCAGCCTGAAAACCTAGTTTTGATTCAGACAAGTTCTTTAAAATGTACACTTAACCATCTTCTTGTCCCACAGAAGAGCGCATAATCACACCTAGAACAGCGACTGCAGGGAGGAGTTGGACAGGAGAGTGGAGGAGGGACTGGCACTCAGCTGTGACTTCCTCACTCTTTCCAGTGGCACACAGCTCACGTACTACTGCTCTTGTCCTCTTCCTTGTGGGGTCTCACCTGGTTCTTGCTGAAGCCCATAGTCTCTGGAAATTCCAACATAATGGAGCAGGGAGAGAAGACCCTGGAGACAAAGCCACATTCCAAATTGGCCCAAGTAATCAAAAGTTCTGGGCCAGAGAAGGACAGCTAAGGTAGCACTATGGTCAAATGGCTCAGAGGCAAGTAGAAGTCATCTTCTGATTAGCTCCTATTCAGGATCTTCCACATGTTACCACCCTTCACTAGTGCTATCGGAAAGGATCTACCAGCTGCAGCAACTGCTCCTCTCCCCGACTCCATGACACCAACTGACCAAGGTTTATGTTCCCCATGAAAAACACATCACCTCCCCTGGCCCAGAGCTTGTGATCAGTCATGGCCGGCTGTTGCAGAAACACCTGGGCCCAGCCAGCTCTAGGATCATAGAATGCTCATTCTTTCCCCACCTCTCAGCCTTAAGTTTCCATTTACTCTCGACACCATACAGCAAATGTGTTAATCATGTTGTTTGTCATTTAGACTCTTGATTGGAACAGGCAGTTTCCCTAAGAATATAGCAGTTGTCAAGAGAGCTGGCATTGGCACACAGCTCACGCACTCCTGCTCTTGTCTTCTTCCTTGTGGGGTCTCACCTGGTTCTTGCCGAAGCCCATAGTCTCTGGCACCCTCTGGCTTCTCAGTGGAGGAAGTGGAAGAGCTTGAGTGGAAAAATCCACCTAGAGATTGGCAGGCACTGCCTGTTAGTTCACTGGTCAGCACACATGCTGTTCAGAGCTGCTTAGAAATTAACATGACTCTCAACAGGACAGAAAGTGCTGGAGGTAGTGAGACCAGGTATAACCTTTTAAGTAATTTAAGGAATTGTAGATGGTAAGTGTCACAGAAATGTTCATACCCTTTGGCCAACTAACTGTACTTCTGGGAATCCATCCCACATGTGGGGAAAGCTTTATATAGACAGATTCTGTCACAGCTTTATATATAATATAGAAAAAAAAGACAGACTTCTGCTTCCAGAAAAATGGGTTAGATGTACTTTTCCCTATTACGTCTACTAAGTGCAAATAAGATCCTGGACATTATATACAAAACAAACATAAGAAGACTCTGAAAAGTGGAAGAAGAAGACAGATGGACTAGGGGCCCTGGAGCCCAAGAATGACCCAGTGGTGAGTCCCACCTCATATATCACAGGACTGGAGCTGAAGATGTTGGCAATAAGGAAGCACTGCCAGATAGTGACAAAAACAACCCCAGCAAATGCCTGATCTTTAGCCAACGACCAGGAAAGGGGCATCTAGCGAAACAGAAAACTTTTAGCCAATAACCACCCTACTCCTGCCAACCACCACAGAAAACCTGTGGCCCCACTCCCACATCCCTGGAAAGGTGAAGTAGGGAGTCCGGACCCCCACCCTTGCCAAGCCATAACTGGTAACCAGCCTTGGTGATGTTAGGAGGTGATACGTGTGTTTCACAGAGACTGCAAACTCTGGCCAGGGCAGTGCCAGAGAGGCCAAATAGGAGCTGTAACTTTCATCCCTGCTGTGTGGTAATGAAGTCTCCCCCAACCCATGATATCAGTGGAAACTAGACTACTACCCTAGTTCAGAAGTAACAAGGTCCTCCTCTTCATGTCTTCACCAGAAGGTGTCAGAGAAGTCCTAATGGAGAGTTGGGGTTTCCACTACCACCGAGTGGCACTGTGGCCACCCCCACTGCTGTGTCAGTGGAGACTGTGTGTGGAGCTGATACTCCCACCCCACACTTATCATCAGTCACTAGGCTCCTCCCCCACTCTGCAGGTGTCAAATAAGGCAGAGTGGGAACGTTGGACTTCTATTTTCACCTGGTCATAAGAAGGGAGCACCCATTCCCCCCACTTCCCCTCTCAAAAAAAAAAAAGCTAACTAAAAGAGAAGGCTTGAATAAGATCCACAGTTCCATAACATAAAATGAAAATGTCTATCTTTCATCATATCAAGAACCAGGAAGATTTCAAACTGGATGAGAAAAACATAATTAACAGATGCCAACACTGAGATGATAGAGTTGTTAGAATGATCTGACAAAGATTTTAAAGCATTATGAACATGCTAGAAACAAATGTAGAAATACAAACATCAGCAAAAAGGAAAGGAAAGGAAGGAAGGAAGGAAGGCAGGAAGGCAGGCAGGCAGGCAGGCAGGCTAAGCAAAGAAATAAAAGATATAAAGAAGAATCAAATGGAAATTTTAGAAGTGAAAAAGATAATAAACAAAATAAGCTCCGTGGATGGGCTCAAAAGCAGAATGATGGTGATGGAAGGAAGGGTGGATAGAGAAAAGAAGCAGTGACCTAGAAGATAGAACACTAGAAATTACACAACCTGAACAACAGAGAGAAAATAAACTGAAAATAAAAATTAAGAAACCTTGAGGAACCTGATGGGGATTATAACAAAATACCTAGCATTCATTTCTTAGGAGTTTCAGAAGGAGAGGAGAAAGAGGGTGGAGTTGAAAAAAGTACTCCAAAAAATAATGGCTGAAAACTTCCCAAATTTGGCAAGAGACATACACTTGTAGACTGAAGAACACAAACCAGCCCTAAAGAAGATAAATCCTTAAAAGTCCACACCAAGGCACATTATTTTTGAAAACTAAAGACTAAGAAAAAACCTAGAAAGCAGCCAGAGAAAAACTACACTTTATCTAAAGGGGGAAAACAGTTAAGATGACAACTGGTTTTCCATCAGAAGTTACAGGAAGATGGCACAATATTTTTAAAGTGCTGAAAGAAAAGTATTGTCAACCATGAATCCTATACTCAGTAAAAATATCCTCCAGGAATGAAGGGGAAATCAAGACATTCTCAAATAAGAAAAAGTAAAAGAATTTGTTGCCAGTAGACTCACCCTAAAAGAATGGCTAAAAGAACTTCTCTAAATATAAAGAAAAAGTTAAAGAAGGAAAACTGTAACATTAGCAAGGAAGAAGAACACAGTAAGCAAAAATGTGGGTAAATGCGATAGGTTTTCCTTCTCTTCAGTTTTCTAAATTATGTTAATGATTGAAGCAAAAATTACAACACTGTCTGATTTTATTCTAAATGTATATCAACTACATATTTAAGACAAGTATATTACAAATGCGGGATGATAAAGGGACAAAAATAGAGATAAGATTCTATACTATCCTTGAACTGGGAGCATGAGAACACCAGTAGCCTATTATAAGTTATGTATGTATAATGGAATATCTAAGAGCAACTTAAAAAGCTGCTTAAAGAGATACACTCAAAAGCACTGTAGATAAATCAAAATAGAATTTTAAAAATTGTTCAACTAACCCACAAGAAGGCAGAGAAAAGTAAACTAAGAAATAAAAATCTTAGAGAACAAATATAAAACAAAAAATAAAAAGGCAGATTGAAGCCCTCACATATCAATAGTGACATTAAATGTAAATGGTCTAAACACACCAATTTTAAAAAGAGAGACTGGCATATTGGATTTTAAAACATGATTAAACTATACACTGTCTACAAGAAACTCACTGTAAATATAATCTAGGCAGGTTGAAAGGACAGAAAAATATATATTATGTAAACATTAATCAAAGAAATCAGGAGTGACTATATTAATGTAAGATAAAGTACAGTGTAGAGCAAAAACAATAACCAGAAACAGAAAGACACATTACATAATGATAAAAAAAGGCAAGCTATCAAAAAATACATAGCAATGGTAAATGTGTATGCACCAAACAATCATGCTGTAAAATATGTGAAACAAAAACTGATAGAACTGAAAGGAGAAATAGGCAAATCTACAATTTTAGTTGGAGACTACACACTCTTCTCTTAACAATGGATAGAATAACTAGACAGAAAATCAGCAAGGATCTAGGAAAACACCATTAACAAAGACAATCTAATTAACGTTTATAGAACATTTCACCCAACAACAGCAGAATACACATTTTAATCAAGTGCTCATGGAACATTTATCAAGCAGATCATGTTGTGGGCCATAAAACAAAACACAACAAATTTAAAAGAACTGAAATCATATACAATGTGTTCTCTGACCACAATGAAAACAAATTAAAAATAAATAACAGAAAGAAAAATGGAAAATCTCCAAACACTTGGAAATGAAGCAACACACTTCTAAACAATCCATGAGTTTAATATTGAAAATGAATCAATGTAATTTATCGTATTAACAGCTGAAGAAAAATCACATGATCATATCAATAGAGGCAGAAAAATTATTTGAGAAAATTCAATGTCCATTAATGAAAAAACTCTCAGAAAAATAGGAACAGAGGGGAGCTTCTTCAACTTGATAAAGAGCATCCAAAAAAAACCTACAGCTAAAACCATACTTAATGTTGACATTTCTTGCCTTAAGGATGGCAAGATGTCTACTCTCACAATTCTTATGCAACACAATATTGGAAGTCTTAGCCAATGCAATAAGACAAGAAAAAGAAATAAAGGCATACAGATAAGAAGGAGGAACACATACATATACATAAGACACTCAGACAACTCAATAGCAAAAATAAATATACACTTCAATTTAAAAATGGGCAAAAGGACTAAATAGACTTTTCTCAAAAGAAGACATACAAATGGCAGCAGGTATATGAAAAATGCTCAACATCACTAATCATTAGAAAAATGCAAATCAAAACCACAATGAGACAGTATTTCACCCCAGTTAGGACTAAACTAAAAAGTGTAGTCCTAAAAGTTTAGTCCTTAAAAAGACAAAAAGTACTAAATGTTGGCAAGGATGAGAAGAAGGGGAATGCTTGTATACTGCTGATGGGATGAATTGTAGTACAGCTATTATGGAAAACAGTATGGAGGTTTCTCAAAAAACTAAAAATAGAACTACCATATGATCCAGGAATTTCACTTCTGGGTATATATCCAAAAGAAAGGAAATCAGTATGTCAAAGAGATATATGCAGTCTCATGTTTATTGCAGCACTATTCACAATAGCCAAGATATGGAATCAACCTAAGTACCCATCAGCAGATGAGTAGATAAAGAAAATGTGGTATATATACACAGAGGAATATTATTCAGCCATAAAAATCAATGAAATCCTGTCATTTGTGGCAACACAGTTGGAAATGGAGGTCATTATGCTAAGTGAAATATGCCAAGCACAAAAAGACAAAAAAAATCACATGTTCTCACTCATACATGGGAACTAAAAAGGTGGATCACATGAAGATAGAGACTAGATGGGTGGTTACCAGAGGCTGGGAAGGGTAGGGGAGAAAAGGGGTTGAAGAGAGGTTGAATAATGGGTACAAATATAGTTTTGATAGAAGAAATATGACTTAGTGTTTGATAGATCAGTAGGGTGACTATAGTTTAAAATAATCTGTTGTATATTTCAAAATAGCTAGAAGACAATAATTTCAATATTTCTAGCATTAAGAAAAGACAAATATTTAAGGTGATGGCTATCCCAACTACACTGATTTGATCTTTACAAATTATATGAATGTATATGATTATCACATGAACCCCCAAAATATATATATCTAAATGTGTCAATTAAAAAAATTTAATAACAAAAGGTTGAAAAAGAAAAGAAGTAAGCCAGACACAAAAAGACAAATATTGCATGTTGTCACTAGCATGTAGGAGCTTAAAAAGTGGATCTTGGCCAGGCATCGTGGCTCATGCCTGTAATCCCAGCACTTTGGGAGGCCAAGGCAGGTGGATCACGAGGTCAGGAGATCGAGACCATCCTGGCTAACACGGTGAAACCCTGTCTCTACTAAAAATACAAAAAATTAGCCAGGCTTGGTGGCAGGCACCTGTAGTTCCAGCTACTCGGGAGGCTGAGGCAGGAGAATGGGGTGAACCTGGTAGGTGGAGCTTGCAGTAAGCCGAGATCATGCCACTGCACTCCAGCCTGAACAACAGAATGAGACTCCATCTAAAAAAAAAAAAAAGTGGATCTCTTGGAGGTAGAGAATAGAATGGTGTTTACCACCTGCTGGGAAGGGTGGGGGAGGAAAGGATGAACAGATGTTGGTTAATGGGTACAAAAATACAGTTAGGTAGAAGGAATAAGTTCTAGCCTTTGATAATATAAGTAGGGAGATGATAGTTAGCAATAATTTATCATACATTTCAAAGTAGCTAGAAGAATTGTAATGTTTCCAACAAAAAGAAAAGATAAATGTTTGAGGAGATAAATATCCCAATTACCCTGACTTGATCATAACATATTGTATACCTGCATCGAAATATCACAATTACCTCCAAAATATGTAAAACTATGATACACCAATCAAAAAATACAAAGAAGAAGAAGAAGAAAAACCTATTTGCAGATAACATGACTGTCTACATAGAAAATCCCAAGGAATCTACCAAAAAAAAATCCTAGAACTAAAAAGTATATTCAGGAAGGTCTCAGGATAAAAACTAAACACACACAAACAAATTGTATTTCTATATACTTGCAGTGAGCACATGCACAGTGAATTAAAAACCCAGTGGCCAGGCGTAGTGGCTCATGCCTGTAATCATAGCACTTTGGGCGGCCAAGGTAGGTGGATTGCTTGAATCCAGGAGTTCAAGACCAACCTGGGCAAGATGTCAAAACCCCATTTCTACAAAAAATACAAAAATTAGTTGGGTGTGGTGTCATGAGCCCGTAGTCCCAGATACTTGGAAGGCTGAGGCAGGAGGCTTAAGCCCATGAGGTTGAGGCTGCAGTGAACAGAGATTGCACCACTGCTCTCCAGACTCAGAGACAGAGTGAGACCCTGTCTCAAAAAAAAGAAAATACAGTATCACTCAGAATCAATTAAAAAAAGAGATGCTTAGGCATAAATCCAGCAAAACATGTGCAGAATTTATATGCTGAGAACAACATAATGCTGATAAAAGGAATCAGAAGTCTAAATAAATGAAGAGACATACCATGTTCATGGATTAGAAGACTTGACATAGTAAAGATGTCAGTTCTTTCCAAACTATGTTTAACACAATTCCTATCAAAATCCCAGCAAGTGTTTTGGAGATACAAAGATTATTCTAAAATTTATGTAGAAAAGCAAAAGAATGAGAATACCTAAAAGAGGTGTTTTTTTTTAAGAAGTGAAATTAATTATTCATAAGTGCTAAAACCAGGAATCAACTAGGACTTCCTTCTATAGGTCAATGGATAAACAGATCATAATACAGACATACAATTGATGATTATCCAGTGATAAAATAAAGGAATGAGCTGCTGGGCACTGTGGCTCACACTTGTAATCCCAGTGCTTAGAGAGGCTGAGGCCAGAGGATTGCTTGAGTCCGGGAGTTCAAGACCAACCTGGGCGACAGAGTGAGACCTCGTCAAAAAAAAAAAAAAGAAAGAAAGAAAAGAAAAAAGAAGGCTGGGCATGGTGGCTCACACCTGTAATCCCAGCACTTTCAGCACTTTGAGAGACCGAGGCAGGTAGATCATGAGGTCAGGAGATCGAGACCATCCTGGCTAACACAGTGGAACCTCATCTCTACTAAAAAAAAAAAAATACAAAAAATTAGCCAGGTGTGGTGGCAGCCACATGTAGTCCCAGCTACTCGGGAGGTTGAGGCGGGAGAATGGTGTGAACCTGGGAAGCAGAGCTTGCAATGAGCCAAGATAGCGCCAGTGCACTCCAGCCTGGGCGACAAAGCAAGACTCCATCTCAAAAAAAAAAAAAAAAAAATAGAAAAGAAAAAGGAAAAAAGAAATGAGCCATTAAGTCACAAAAAGACACAAAGTAATCTTAAATACAGATTGCTAAGTGAAAGAAGTCAATCTAAAAAGGTTACCAGCTGGCAGTGGCGTCTTACACTTGTAATCTCAGCACTTTAGGAGGCTGAGGCAAGAGGCTTGCTTGAGTCCAGGAGTTCAAGACCAGCCTGGCAACACAGTGAGATCCCATCGCTTAAAAAAATTATTTTAAAAATTAGCCTGGCATGGTGGCGTGCATAGGATTGCTTGAGCCTGGGAGGTGGTGGCTGCAGTGAGCCATGATAGCACTACTGCACTCCAGTCTGGGGGACAGAGTGAGAAATAAATCATTCAATAAATTACATACTATATAATCTCAACTGTATGGAAAAGGCAAAAACTTTGGTGACAGTAAAAAAAATCAGTGGTTGCCAGGGGACAATAGGGAGGGAGAGTGGGCTAAGTTGGAATGGAAGAATAGGTGGAACGTGGGACTTTTAGGGCAGTGAATCGATTCTGCATGATACTGTAATAGCGGATACATGTCATTATACATTTGTCAAAACCCATAGAATATACAACACAAAGTTTATTGTAAACTATGAACTTTAGTTAGTAATATTGTATCAACATAAGCTCAGCAATTGTAATAAATAAACCACATTGATGCAAGATGTTAATAGGGAAAACTGGAGAGGAGGGATTGAAGGGGTATATGGAAACTCTTTGTACTTTCCACTCAATTTTTCTGTATACCTAATTCCTTTCAACAAAATTAATTCTATTAATTTTAAGAAAAGTGGAAAGAATCGGTTTACCTGATTTTAAGATGTATTATACAGGTACAGTAATCAAACAGGATATCAATGGAAGAATAGAAAAGTAGATCAATGGACACAATAGAAAACCTAGAAATAGACCTACGTAAATATGCACAACCAATTACTGACAAAGGTACAAAGGGATTCAATGAAAGGATCATCTTTTCAACAAATGGTGTTGAAGCAACCGAACATCTGTAGACAATAAAATGAACCTTGAGCTCAGTCTCACACTTTACACAAAAATTAAAATGGATCACGGGCTTAAATTCAAGCTATGAAACTTTTATTTAAAAGCATAGGAGCTCAGCTGCAGTGGTGCATGCCTGTAATCTCAGCACTTTGGGAGGCTGAGGCAGGCGGATCACCTGGGATCGGGAGTTCGAGATCAGCCTGACCAAGATGGTGAAACCCCACCTACTAAAAACACAAAAATTAGCTGGGCGTGGTGGCGCACACCTATAATCCCAGCTACTAGGGAGGCTGAGGCAGGAGAATCACTTGAATCCAGGAGATGGAGGTTGCAGTGAGCTAAGATTGCGCCACAACACTCCAGCCTGGGTGACAAAGTAAGACTCTGTCTCAAAAAATAAAAATTAAAAATAAATAAATAAATAAATAAAAGCATAGGAGAAAATCTTCAAATCTAAAGCTGCATAGAGTTCTTATGCTTGGCACCAAAAGCATGATCCATATAAGAAAAGATTGACAAATTAGACACAATAAAAATTAAAACCTTTGCTCCTTGAAAAACCATGTTAAGAAGATGAAGAGACAAGCTATGGAATCGGAGAAAATGTTTACAAACTACATATTCAAGGAAGGAATAATATCTAAAATATACAAAGAATGCTTGAAACTCAACAGTAAAGAAGCAAAAATTCTAATTAGATCATAAGCAAAAGACATGAAGAGATAGTTTACAGAAGATATACAGATGGCACAGAGAAATGCAAATCAAAACCACAATGAGATACCATCTCACACCAGTTACAATGGCGATCATTAAAAAGTCAGGAAACAACAGGTGCTAGAGAGGATGTGGAGAAATAGGAACACTTTTACACTGTTGGTGGAACTGTAAACTAGTTCAACCATTGTGGAAGTCAGTGTGGCGATTCCTCAGGGATCTAGAACTAGAAATACCATTTGACCCAGCCATCCCATTACTGGGTATATACTCAAATGACTATAAATCATGCTGCTATAAAGACACATGCACACATATGTTTATTGCAGCGCTATTCACAATAGCAAAGACTTGGAACCAACCCAAATGTCCAACAATGATAGACTAGATTAAAAAAATGTGTTGTGTGGTGGGGGGAGGGGGGAGGGATAACATTAGGAGATATATCTAATGTTAAATGACTAGTTAATGGGTGTAGCGCACCAACATGGCACATGTATACATATGTAACTAACCTGCACGTTGTGCACATGTACCCTAAAATTTAAAGTATAATAAAAAAAAGAAAAAAAAATGTGGCACATATACACCATGGAATACTATGCAGCCATAAAAAATGATGAGTTCATGTCCTTTGTAGGGACATGGATGAAGCTGGAAACCATCGTTCTCAGCAAACTATCGCAAGGACAAAAAACCAAACACCGCATGTTCGCACTCATAGGTGGGAACTGAACAATGAGAACACATGGACACAGGAAGGGGAACATCACACACCGGGGCCTGTTGTGGGGTGGCGGGAGGGGGGAGGGATAGCTTTAGGAGATATACCTAATGCTAAATGAAGAGTTAATGGGTGCAGCACACCAACATGGCACATGTATACATATGTAACTAACCTGCATGTTGTGCACACGTACCCTAAAACTTAAAGTATAATTTAAAAAAACAGAGAAAAAAAGATATACAGATGGCAAACAAGCACATGAACATGTATTCAACATTATTAGCTATTAGGTAAATCCAAATTAAAACCTTTATATGGTATCACTCCATATCTATCAGAATGGCTAAAATACAAAAGTAACAACACCCAATGCTGGCAAGGTCACAGGGAAATTGGATCACTCAGACATTGCTGGTAGAAATGTAAAATGGTACAGTCACTGTAGAAAACAGGTTGGCAGTGTCTTGAAAACCAACCAGGCAACTAAACATGCAACTACGACAGTCCTGGGCATTTATCCCAGAGGAATGAAAACTCACGTTCACAGAAAAACCTGTTCATAAATATTTATAGCAGCTTTATTCATAAAAGCCCCCAAACTTAAACAATCCAGATGTTTTCCAATGGGTAAGCAGTTCAATAAACTGTGGTACATTCATACTATGGAACCCTATTCGGCAATAAAAAGAGCAAACTATTGATATATGCACCAACCTAGACGAATCGCCAGAGAAATATGCTGAATGAAAAGAAGCTAATGCGAAGAAATTACATACTATATTATTCCATTTATCCATTTGTATAGCATTCCTTATTTTATTTTATAATATTTATTTATTTATTTATTTATCTTTTAGAGACAGGGTCTCGCTCAGTCACCCAGGCTGGAGTGCAGTGGTGTAATCATAGTTCACCGCAGCCTTGAATCCCCAGGCTCAAGAATCCTCCTGCCTTAGCTTCCTGCACAGGTAGGGCTACGCATGCACTGCCATAGCCAGGCTAATTTTTAATACTTTTTGTAGAAATGGGGTCTCTGTTCCCAGGCTGATCTTGAACTCTTGGCCTCAAGCAATCCTCCTGCCTCAGCCTCTCAAAGTCTTGGGATTACAGACACGAGCCACCATGTCTGGCCTATATAATGCTCTTGAAATGACAAAATTATAGAAATGGAGAAGAGATGCGTGTTGTCAGGAGTTAAGGACGGGGTGAGAATGGGAGAAAAGTGGAAATAACTATAATAGGGCACCATGAAGGGCCCTTGTGATGCCAGAAATATTCTGTATCTTGACTGCAGCAATGTCAATATCATGATTGTAATCTTGTACTGTCTATATATAGTTTTGCAAGATGTTACCATTGGGAGAAACTGGGCAAAAGTTACAAGAGATCTCTCTGTATTATTTCTTACAACTGCATGTTAATTTACAACTATTTCAAAATAAAAAGTTGAATTACAAAAAAAAGACAACTTAATTATCTGAGTATAAAAGAACATCTAGCTAGGTAAAGTATGTTGAGTCCATTTAACAGGATATGTTCAGGCATTACATATGATTATTTAAGGAAAGTGTTTAGCAGTACAGACTATCAACAGTAATACCGTGATGTTAAACAGGAAAATCAAGACAAACTTATATGTACAGTATGATTGTAATTATGTTAAATGTACTAATTTTTCAGAGAAAAATCTGGAAGAAAATGCATGAAAATATTATGAAAATTATCTTTTAAACCTTTTAAAATAATGTTTAAATATGCAGAGGAAGGTAGACAACCAATGTGTGTGTAGCCCTGCTATCACTAAGTGAACATGTCAACAGAGCTGCCATTTGTCAGGGGAATAGGGGAAGAACTCGTCCCCTGGCTGTCACTAGTAAGGTAGGCTGGGGACTCAGCAGCAGTTATTAGTTTAAAGAAAGAAATTATTTCTTTAAATCAAGGTTTCTGAACTAAGAGCCAAATTTGCTATGGGTGTCATATATGAAATGAAAGTCCGCATTCCATTTCCTCTTTCTCGTTCTTTTTTTTTTTTTTTTCTTTTTTTTTTTTTGAGGCAGAGTCTGGCTCTGTCGCCCAGGCTAGAATGATGCAGTGGCACGATCTTGGCTCACTGCAACCTCTGCCTCCCAGGTTCAAGCGACTCTCCTGCCTCTGCCTCCCAAGTAGGTGGGATTACAGGCACCAGCCACCACGCCCAACTAATTTTTGTATTTTTAGTAGAGATGGAGTTTCACCACATTGGCCAGGATGATCTTGATCTCTTGACCTCGTGATCTGCCCATCTCGGCCTCCCAAAGTGCTGGCTCATTCTCACTCTTACCACCCGTCTCTTTTGGCAGAGACTGTTTCCCCAGTAAATATTCTTCCCTTTCTCTAGTATAATCAAAACTTAACTAGGCAATTGGTTACCCACTTAGACACTACAGTTTCCAATTTCCTTGCAACTAAGGCGTGCCCATGAGATTAGATTCTAGCAATGGATTGGAGTGAAAAACACATGTGCAAATTCTGTCTCATGCCCTTGAAGGAAAGGGACGTGCCTCCCTCTTCTACGTGTGGATATTGCGGTGAACCATATTCAACCATGGGGATGGGAGTAACAGCCCTAAGGCTGATTGTTCTGCTGGACTAAGAGGACTAAACTTATCCTGGAGTTTGCTTCTGAACCTCCACATTCCATCATATTCTCTTTTCTAAAAATTTTCTTTTTCTTTCTTTCTTTTTCTTCTTCTTCTTCTTCTTTTTTTTTTTTTTTTTTTTTTTTTGGCAATCTCGCTCTGTTGCCCAGGCTGAAGTGTAGTGATACAATCATAGCTCACTGCAGCCTCGACCTCCCAGGCTCAAGCCATCCTCCCATCTCAGCCTCTTGAGTAGCTGGGACTACAGGCGCATACCACCACACTCAGCTAATTTTGTATTTTTTTGGTAGAGACAAGGTTTTGCCATGTTGCTCAGGCTGGTTTTGAACTTATGAGGCTCAAGTGACCCTCCTGCCTCAGCCTCCCAAAGTGCTGGGATTACAGGTGTGAGCCACTGTGCCTGGCCTAAATTAATTTTTTTCATTGATAAATAAAAACTGTATAGATTTATTATGCACATGTTGTTTTGAAATATGTATACACTGTAGAAAGGCTCTTATTGAGCTAATTAACATAGGCATTATTTCACTTTTGTGTGTGCGGTGAAAACACTTAAAATCTACTCTCTAAGCAATTTTCAAAAACACAATACATTGTTATTAACTTTAGTCATCATGTTGTACATCCATTGCGTCCTCTTGATGTTAATATACAGGAAGTAACTCAGACTTAGGAAATTTACTGCCAAGGACAGGAAAGAAGTATGCTGTAGTTACAAGTACTGGTCTCAACGCCCTATGGGGTTTATACATACATATGACTCCTATCATGGTGGGCGAGGTGTACTTCTTTGCTTGGCCTTGGCCGTGTGACCATGGTCAATGGGACGTTAGTGATTTGATGTGAGCAGAGGTTTGAAATGCTTACCTGCATTTCAGAACCTGGGGTAGCTTGCTCATCTTAGAATGAATGACAGGTGTAGAAGACTGAACCTAACCCAGGGGATGGAGCCAAGCCGGGAGAGCCCAGCCTGGATCAATCACACCCTAGCTCAACTGTAAATGCCAAGAGGGAAATAAACACTTATTGCTGCATGCCACTGAGATGTGTGCAATTGTTATGCCGCCTAGCTGACTGATACAGGGTAGGAAATAAACTCCAGGGCGGTATCAATGTGTGTGAATAGTGAATGAGGTTTCCCAAAAGTAGATGTCAATTTCCACTGTAAGAGTTGAAAGTCCTCTGGCAAAGAGGACTCTCTTGAGAGCAACAGAGCAAGGTTAGAAATGGGATAACATATCTATGATGGGAAGCCCTGTGCAAGAAGAGTTCAACTTCCTTGGCGATTTTCCTTTGGACTATAGAAACAGCAACAATGGAGGATAGTTTAACTTTTTCTTCTCATCCAACAATTCTTTTTTTTAACTGTGGTAAAATATACATAACATAAAATTTACCATTTTAACCATTTAATGTGTGCAATTCAGTGGTATTAGGTATACTCACAATGTTGTGCAACCATCCCCAGTATCCATTTCCATTACCCCGAACAGAAGCTCTGAACTCATCATTTAGCAATAACTCCACATCCCCCCATTTCCCCAGCCCCTGGTAACCTCTATTCTACTTTCTGACTCTAAGAATTTGCCTATTCTAGATACCTCACATAAATGAATCACACAGTATTGGTTTCATTGCACCTCGCTTGTTTCGCTCAGCACATTTTCAGGGTTAATCTATGTAGCAACACGTATCAGAATTTCCTTTTTTTTTTTATTTTACTTTAAGTTCTAGGGTACATGTGCACAACATGCAGGTTTGTTACATAGGTATACATGTGCCATGTTGGTTTGCTGCACCCATCAACCTGTCATCTACATTAGGAATTTCTCCTTAATGCTATCCCTCCCCCAGCCCCCTACCCCCTGACAGGCCCCGTGTATTATGTTCCTCACCCTGTGTCCATGTGTTCTCATTGTTCAACTCCCACTTATGGTTGTGAAGTGGAGCATCTCACATTTGTTTTGCCCTTGATCCTTCCTCTAAAATGTAACAAGCCAAGATAATGTGGGGGGAGGGGGTATGCCAACTAAAGAAATGTGTGGTGTCCACCAGTGTCTGTGAGACAGGAATGTCATTCTGCTGAGAGGACTGAGTCCATGTTTCCAGGTGGTGACCGGCAAAGAGGGACTGGGGTCCCCAGGGTTGCTGGGAGCGCCTGGGAAGAGCATGTGGCTCCTTGGAGCAACCACCCAGAAGATGTGGGAGATGAGAAACAAGCCCTTTTGCTATCTACATCAACCTAGAGAAGAGGGGGAGAGGCTGACATTTAGTAGCTATATGCATGTGTATATGTACACATATTGTATATATTCATTAAATTTAAAAGTATTAAATACATTTTAGTTGTAATTCACAGGAGGGACAAATGAAGATGAAAGAATTGCTGAACTTTATGTAAAATTTTCCTCAAAACAAGAGCTATTCATTTTTTTTAAATCCCTTTAAATTTTTAAAATTGAGTTTGTATAACCACACTGAGCCTTTTTTTTAAATTTGTACTAGTACCAAAGAGTATAATGACAAATAGTATTTCCCTTCCATAACCTTTACCTGCTCTCCAGGCAACCATTTTCAACTCCTTTTAGTTGTTTATTTTCATTTTTGTCTCCATGTTTTAAAATTATATTCTTGGCTGGGCATGGTGGCTCACGCCTGTAATCCCAGCACTTTGGGAGGCTGAGGCGGGCAGATCACAAGGTCAAGAGATGGAGACCATCCTGGCTACCGCGGTGAAACCCCGTCTCTACTAAAAATACAAAAAAAAAAAATTAGCCAGGCGTGATGGCGAGCACCTGTAGTCCTGGCTACTTGGGAGGCTGAGGCAGGAGAATGGTGTGAACTTGGGAGGCAGAGCTTGCAGTGAGCCCAGATAGCGCCACTGCACTCCAGCTTGGGTGAAAGAGCAATCTCTTTGAGATCTCCGTCTCAAAAAAAAAAAATTATATTCTTTTACTGTTGTTATTTCTTGGTTTTTAAATTTGAGACAGTCAAACTTCCTATTAGGGAAGAGAAAGATGAGATGTTTTAAAATCTCCCTACATATACTTCTCTCCTCATATATTACATATACTAATCTTCATTTCATTTTTAGTGAAGAATGGTCTACATTTATAATGACTTATTTTGACTAGGAAATATTGTTCGCTGCTGAGTCAAATCATGTAAAATGATTATGTGTCTTTCTTGTACATTTTGTTTTTCCTGAGGTCTATCATTATTGTTTTTTCATTGGATTAGTTTTCCATGTACATATGGCTAATTTTTCCAAGTGCTCCCACAGCTCTGTTACACATCTATCCACAGTCCTATTGGTTTTTCCTCCGGATATTTCTGTCTCAGAGTTCTCCTTCCTCTTGCTCCACCCAGGCCTGCTATCTGGCTGTGGTTTGGGGTGCCCTCTCCCTGTCTCCTGGCTGGGGTCTCATTTCCTAGGTATCATGGCTTTTTCCTTGGTTTGCTCTCATTTTGCAAAAGCACAGAATTCTCTAGTAACCTCCTAAGAAAAAGTACATGGGGGTAAATTTTTGAATCTTTGCAGAAGTGAAAATATTTTTATTAATTTGATTAATTATTAAACTAATTAACAATTTGGGTAGAAAATACTAGGCTGAAATAATTTTCCTTCCAAATTTTGAAGGCATTTCTCCTCTTCTTGTATTGTTAATAAGAAATCCAATTCTGATTCCAAATCTTTTGTATACAACTTTTTTGTTTTGTCCCTAGATATATGTAAGATTTTTCTTTGTTCTTAGGTATTTTGAAATTTCTTGAGGAAATGGTTGTTTTTAAATTTATTGATTGGATACTCAGTCAGCATTTCAATCTGAAGACTTGTGTTCTTCATTTCTGGGAATTTAAAAAATATTATGTTTTTAATTTATTATTTCCTCCCTTCATCTTTATGCTGTCTCTCTGGAATTCCCACTAGCAGAGTATCGGACGAGGTGCACTGATTCTCCAATCTTTTCATCTTTCTCTACTATTCTACCATTTTGTCTTCGTGATCTTCTTCCTCTTCCTCTTCCCCTTCCCCTTCCCCTTCCCCTTCCCCTTCCCCTTCTCCTTCTCCTTCTCCTTCTCCTTCTCCTTCTCCTTCTCCTTCTCCTTCTCCTTCTTCTTCTTTCTTTTTGAGATGGAGTCCCGCTCTATTTCCCAGGCTGGAGTGCAGTGGCGCAATCTCAGCTCACTGCATCCTCTGCCTCCCAGGCTCAACTGATTCTCCTGCCTCAGCCTCCCGAGTAGCTGGGATTACAGGTGCGTGCCACCAAGCCCAGCTAATTTTTGTATTTTTAGTAGAGACGGGGTTTCACCTTGTTGGTCAGGCTGGTCTCCAACTCCTGACCTCAGGTGATCAACCCTCCTCAGCCTCCCAAAATGCTGGGATTACAGGCGTGAGCCACCGTGCCCAGCCTTTGTGATTTTCTTTATAAAAGATTTCCTTGACATTATCTGTAGAGTTTTTTTATGAATGTTTTGTTTCATACATTTAACTTCCAAGAATCCTTTCTTACTCTGAGATGATTCCTTTTCTATAGCATCCTTTTCTAGTTTTGTGGCTCAGGCATCATTTTCACAAAGGATTTCCAAATATTAGTTGTACGTCTTAAGTTTGTCTCCTCTTGTCTACATGATCTGTTTCCTTGAGGCACTTTTCTCATGATTGTTTGCTTCCACATTGGAGGCCCTCCTCAATGTACGATCTAAGCTTGAGACAGTAACATAGTCCTTGGAAACACTGTGGACCTAAACAGCTTCTTGCCTGGTGGCCTTCACTGTAACATAACCAGGCCAAGAGGGAGCCCACTGCTGGGGTCTATGAGTGGACTCTCCTCAGTGTCTGGGGCCTTTCCAGGGTGCCACAGGATGACTTGACAGTTTCTCCTCTGCCTGCTACAGGCATTGAGGTTATTCTTTCCATACAGCTATCACTTCATCACTTTTCATTTTCCAAAGATTTCTGGAAATTTCTGCTTCATCTCTGTCTCTTGTTTTGTTCTCTTTGTATGGGTTTATACCTTTTCTATTCCTTTACTGTCATTTTAAAAGTGTTTCCAGAGACAGAGCAGATAAATATATGTGGTCAATCTGTCATCTTAAACTGAATGCCCTAAGCATATTTAAAAAAATTCCTCAAAAATTTAATAAGAGATTGTCAGAGAAAAATCACTAAATGGTACTTTTCTATATTATTTTATTATTTTTATTAACTAAACAAAAACATACATTACATATTCTTTCCTTTTTGGTTTCAGAGCCTGAGTCTAAGTCATCATTACATGGAGTTTTGGAAATATTGCTAAAATCATGTCAAAGTTTGGATTTTAAAATATTTAGACCACAAACGTTTTGTATAACTTTTGTCTTTTCCTAGAATTTTAAATCCACTTTCTTTTTTCTTGTTGATCACAAAATTCACAGGCCTTCACCTCATTAATTACACATCAGAGCTGTACTTCAAGGTTCTGAAGAGAACGGCTTTCTGTAACATTGCCTACTGTCTTCTCTGGGGTGTTCTTCAAGGAGCCCTTTGATTTTCTGAACTGAATCTTTTCTAGGGTCTTTTGCAGAACCATGGAACTGGTGCCCATCCATTGCTTTTCTGGGTAAATTCCACTTTTTAGTATCCCATAATTTTACATTGAGTTTTGGTTTTGCTACATAAAACTATGGTAATTTTTTAAAGAAGAAGTGCTTAAGTTGTAAACTGTGTGAGTCACTGCATGTCTAACAGTGTCTCTGCAGGGTGTATCACCCTTTGTCTCACTCAACACATAGTCGTGGTTGGTCCCACTGTGGTGTATAAGTTCACCTCTTGCTTGACAATTCTATGATGAACTTCCACCATCTCTTTCTTTGGGTTATTTTTCCAGATGGTAGACATGTTTTGAGGTGTCTGCTTAGCCCCTGAACCAACAACTGCCCCCTGGGAAGAACCCTTTCATGTCTAGGCTGGGTGGTTTATGCTGTGTGATCCTATCCCACTGATTAGACCAAAGGAGAAAACCTAACCAGGTGTGAGACAATCTGCCTTCCTTGGATATTTGGTGTTGGCATGGGGAGAAAGCCAATCTCTCCCATTTCCAAAGCATGCAAACTTGGAGGCTATGGAGCATCCATATACTATCCTGTAGAAAGCAACAGAAAAATCCAGTCTGCAGAGAGAAAGAATAACAAAGAAGACACAAATAAGAGAGAAAATATGTCAAGTGGGTTCTGTTAGCTATTTTGGAGTTTAATTTTGGACTCTTAAGTCAAGATGGCAAAATCTGGGAGGAGATATAATAAAAATCTTTTAAATTCTGAATAAAGGCTGGGTGCAGTGGCTCACGGCTGCAATCCTAGCACTTTGGGAGGCCAAGGCAGGTGGATCACCTGAGGTCGGGAGTTTGAGACCAGCCTGACCAACATGGAGAAACCCCGTCTCTACTAAAAATACAAAAAAATCAGCCAAGCGTGGTGGCGCATGCCTGTAATCCCAGCCACTCAGGAAGCTGAGGCAGGAGAATCTCTTGAACCCGGGAGGCAGAGGTTGCAGTGAGCCAACATCATGCCACTGCACTCCAGCCTGGCAACAGAGCTAGACTCTGTCTCAAAAGAAAAAAAAAATCTGAATAAGGTAAAGAGACTCAACATCATCTCTCTTCTCACACTTTATAATTACTTGCCTAACAACCAGAGACTGGAAAGATATCGCTTCAAGGGGGGAAAGGAAAGTAATAGTCTAATTTATACAATGAGAAATAAAAACAGGAAACTCATCATTATATAACCTATTCAAAACTCAAAATTTTAGCAAACATTTATTGGGCACCTACTATATGCTTAGCAGTCTGCCCATCACTGGTGACATGAAGGTGAATGGGACATAGATTCTGTCCTTGAAGCTCATGGTCTCCAACAGGGGCCAGAGAAGTCAATGGCCAGAGGGCCCAATGTAAGTGCTGTGAGGAATTTTAAATGGGAGTGGCATTGCCAAGTCTGCCATTATGAGAAGGAAGGAGGATGGGGTCAGAGTAGTAGTAAAGAACCCCTAGGAGATGGCTCTACCATTTAAGCAAGACGTGAGGATTGTCTTTGAAATAATTACTTTTCAGTGTCAACTTGACTGGATTAAGGGCTAACTGCATAGTTGGTAAAACACTATTTCTGGGTGTTTCTGGAGGAGATTGGCTCAGGAGTTGGTAGACTGAGTGAGGAAGATCTGCTTCAACGTGGGCAGGCACCATCCAATCGGCTGGGCACTGAATACAACAAAAAAGGCAGAGAAAGGTAAATTCACTAACTTACTCTCTCTCTTTCTCTCTCTTTCCTGGAACTGGGACACCCTTCTCCTGTCCTTGAACATCAGAATCCCAGGTTCTACAGCCTTGGATTTTAGAACTTGCACAAGTGGTCCCCCCATGGTTCCCAGGACTCTAGCTTCTGACTGAGTTCCACCATCATCTTCCCTGATTCTGAGGCGGTCAGACTCAGAACCACGTTGGCCTGAGCCATGTTGCTGGCAAGATGGAAAGGAAGGAGGTGCCCAGCACTGCATGCCTCTAAGATGTGTTGGGTATTTCCTAGTGTCTCAGTGTAACTATTCATAGTATCTCTTCTCTCTCAAAAACTGCATGGATGACCCTTGGTAGGATCCGGACTGGAAAGTATCTAGTGCATACAAATGGCCAACAGGTAAATGAAAAGCTGCTCAACATCACCAATCATGAAGGAAATGCAAATCAAAGCCGCAATGAGCCATCATCTCACACCTGTTAGGGGGGCTAATGTGGGGTGAGAACAAGTGCTAACAATGATGTGGAGAAAAGGAGACTCTTACATACTATTGGAAGAAATGTAAACTGGCTTAGCCATTATGAAAGACAGCATGGAGCTTCCTCAAAAAAATTCAAAATAGAACTAACATATGATTCAGGAATCACACTTCTGGTCATAAACCCAAAGGAAATGAAATCAGCACCTCGTAGAGGTACCTGTGCCCCCATGCTCACTGAAGCACTATTCACCATTGCCAAGATGTGGGAGCAACTTACGTGTCTCTCAACAGATGAATGGATGAAGAAACATGCTGCATATATACAATGGAATGCCAGTCAGCTTTAAAAAAGGAGATCCTATCATTAGTGACAACATGAATAAACTTGAAAGACATGGTGCTAAGTGAAATAAGCTGGTCACAGAAAGAAAAATACTGCATGATCTTACTTATATGTGGAATATTACAAAGTTGAATACAAAGCAGCAGGGAGTTGAATGGTGGTTGCCAGGGCCTGGGAGGGGGTGGGAATGGAGAGATATAGGTCAAAGGGTATGAAGTTGCAGTTACACCAGGATGAATAAGTCTAGAGATCTAATGTACAGCATGAAGACTATAGTTAATAATACTGTATCGGGCCGGGTGTGGTGGTTCACGCCTATAATCCCAGCACTTGGGGAGGCTGAGGTGGGCTGATCACCTGAGGTCGGAAGTTCAAGACCAGCCTGGCCAACATGGTGGAACCGCGTCCCCACTAAAAATACACAATTAGCCAGGCATGGTGGCGCATGCCTCTAATCCCAGCTACTCGGGAGGCTGAGGCGGGAGGATCACTTGAACCTCTTGAACCCGGGAGGCAGAGGTTGCAGTGAGCTGAGATCGCACCATTGCACTCTGGGCTGGGCAAAAAGAGCGAAATTCTGTCTCAAAAGTAATAACAATAATAATAACACTGTATCGTACACTGGAATTTTGCCATAAGAGTAGATTTCAGGTGCTCTTACCACACACACACACACATGCACACAAATGGTAACTTTGTGAAGAAACATATGTTAATTTGCTTGACTATAGTAATCACTTCACTGTGTATTTCAAAATATCATGTTGTACACTTTAAGTGCTTTTTTTTTTTTGAGACGGAGTCTCACTCTTTCACCCAGGCTGGAGTGCAGTGGCACAATCATGGCTCACTGCAGCCTCTACTTCCCTGGTTCAAGCATTCCTCCCGCCTCAACCTCCTGGGTAGCTGGGACTACAGGCACACACCACCACACCCAGCTAATTTTTAAAATTTTTTGTAGAGACAAGGTCTCCTATGTTGCCCAGGCTGGTCTTGAACTCCCAGGCTCAAGCCATCCACCTGCCTCAGCCTCCCCAAGTGCTGGGATTACAGGAGTGAGCCACCGTGCTTAGTCTACAATTTTTATTTTTTAAAAAAGATTATAAAAAAGAATCCAGTGAATGTGGCAAATCGAAGGGCACTGGTGAGGCTGGTTTCTGTGGGTGGAGCGTGGGAGCCAGGTTGCAGTGTGAGAGTGAGTGAAGTGGAGGCAATGAAGGTGGACGCGTCTTACAGGAAGCTGGCCACCAGGGGGCAGAGAGCAGAGGGCTATTTACTGCCTGGGCTGGATAGACTTGGGGAAGTTAACCAGCTGATGAGAAAAGTCAGCGGAGAGGAAGAGGGTGAAGGTTGGGTGAGATGGCTGTCATTGTGTTGTCCTGGGAAGGAAGTCGGTAGGGGTAGGAGTAGGGACAGGCTGTTGTCTGGGGAACAGCCTCTCTTCCACTTGGATGCTGTTATGGACTGAATGTGTCTCCACTAAATTCATATGTTGAAGCCCTACCCCCAGGGTGGCTGTATTTGGAGGTAGGGCCCATAAGGAGGTAATTAAGGTTAAACAGCATTGTAGTAATAGGGCCCTGATCCTATAGGATTAGTGTCCTTACAAGAAGAAATACCAGAAAGGTGTTTCCCTCCCCTCCCCTGCATCCACACACTCACTGGAAATGCCACATGAGGACAAAGTGGCCATGTGCAAGCCAGGAAGAGGGTCCCCACCAGAGACCAAACCCTTGGGGATCTTGATCTCACACTTCCAACCTCCAGAACCGCGAGATTAATTTCTTTTGTTTAAGTCCCCAAGTCTGTGGTATTTTGTTATGATAACACAGCTGACTAAGACAGACGGGAAGGAAAGGAACAGAGGGTACAATTTAGACACATCTGTAAGGGCAAGATGTTGGTTAGAAGTTCATCCAGGTAGTCTCAACTCTTGGGAAATGGAAGGTGAGCCCATCTGTTGAACATGAGAGGGAGGCGGGAGGTGAGAAATTTGAAAGACACGTGGCCATCAGGAGCACGCCTAAGAGCCTCAGGTGAGGGAAGTGGGGTGGGGCATGGCAGGATCTGGAGATGACTCTGGGAACCTCAGGAGCCTGCAGCACAATGGGCTAAGACTGCGGGACGTGATGAACCAGGGATGACCCTCCCCAAATGCCATCCTTGGAACAGACGCACAATGTAGAGGCTGGGTGGGCCCCAGGAGTCCATAGGAATGCTGAGCAGCCTTCTGTTTGTAATGTAAGCAAGTAGATAGCATCTGAGTATTGTGGTTTTACCTTGAGCTGCAGGTTGTCCCGAAGCCTGAGTGAAGGTCAGTGGTGAGAACCTACAGCTTGCTAAGAGCAGGGATGCAGAGACCAAGCTGGGGCTCACTGCAAGAGGCTGTTCTGGTGGTGGAGCTCGAATCCCAGATATTAAATCTAGGCTTTCAGCAAGGGGGTGCCAGGAAGAGAGGCTATGTCCTCCCTTGTCATGGTAGGAAATCTGGGGACTTCCCAACCTGGGTGGGGATCATGAGGACAGGGTGAGGTTGGGAAGTTCTGCGGGAACTCCAAAGGGTGACGATGCCAAAGCAGGTGGACTCCCCCTTTTTTTTTGAGACGGAGTTTTGCTCTTGCTGCCCAGACTGGAGTACAATGGCATGATCTCAGCTGACTGCAACCTCCGCCTCCCAAGTTCAAGCGATTCTCCTGCCTCAGCTTCCCGAGTAGCTGAGATTACAGGCCACCACGCCCAGCTAATTTTTTTGTACTTTTAGTAAAGACAGGGTTTCTCCATGTTGGTCGGACTGGTCTCAGACTGGTCTCAAACTCCCGATCTCAGGTGATCCACCCGCCTCGGCCTCCCAAAGTTCTGGGATTACAGGCATGGGCCACCGCGCTCCGCCTAAGTGGACTCCCCTAAACTGTTTGGGAACTGGTATCTCCTCCTGTTGGATTTTGTGACCCCATGCTCATTTCTGGGCCCCTCAATAAATGCTGTGTGTAACTCAGTATTTTTTTATGTTTCACAAATTGATTAGTTTAAATGAAAATTAATGCTATTTTGAAGTTTGGGAGATAATTTTATGACAGCTCCTTGGGCACCAGAAACCCGGAACAGGCCTCTCTTTTGGAGCAGATGCATGTGCTGGTTAAGAAGCTCTGCGGTGGCTCACGCCTGTAATCCCAGCACTTTGGGAGGCCAAGGTGGGTGGATCACGAGGTCAGGAGTTCAAGACAAGCCTGGCCAATGTGGTGAAACCCCATCTCTACTAAAAAATACAAAAATTAGCCAGACATTGTGGTGCATGCCTGTAGTCCCAGCTACTCAGGAGGCTGAGGCAGGAGAATCGCTTGAACCTGGGAGACGGAGGTTGCAGTGAGCCAAGATCTCGCCACTGCACTCCAGCCTAGGTGACAGAGTGAGATGAGACTCTGTCTCAAAAAAAAAAAAAAAAAGAAAAAAAGAAAAGAAAAACAAAGAAAAAAAAAAGAAAAAAAAACAAAAAAGAAGTTCCAGGTTTAAGGTCTCATGTCACCATGTCCAGCTGGGTGGCCTTAAGCAAATGGCTTCACATCTATCCAAGTGTCAGTTTCCTCATCTGCACCATGGGGCTAATAACTGTTGAAGTGAGTGTTAGTGTTAGGAGGGACTCAGCAGAGTGTCTGGTAGAAAATAAGAGTCAATTAAAGGAGCCTTCATCATCCTTCACTTATTAACTTCAGGGATAATAAAAATCTCAAAAGAAATCCACAAATACTTCTTCAGAAAACTAGAAAGTGTTTTTCCAGGTACACAAAAAAAATCCCCAGTGACCCTCTCTGAAAAGTCATCAATAATCAGCTCCCAGGCTGGGCATGGTGGCTCATACCCATAATCCCAACACTTTGGGAGTCTAAGGCAGGAGGATCACTTGAGCCCAGGAGTTCAGGACCAACCTGGGAGACATGGTGAGACCCATCTCTAAAAAAATTAAAAAATTAGATGGGGATGGTGGCAGGTGTCTGTAGTTTCAGCTGCTTGGGAGGCTGAGGTGGGAAGATCACTTGAGCCAGGAAGTTCAAGGCTGCAGTGAGCCATAATCGCACCATTGCACTCCAGCCCGGGCAACAGGGTAATTACCAGCTCTGCAGGCAACGCTTGCAGGCCTTTCTAAGGTTCTGCTCACTGTGCAGCCACAGGGCTTGTCAGCTTCTGGATCCAGATGCATGACCGGACAGGGCAGCGACCACCATGTACTGAAGGCTTCCATGTGCCAGAGCCTGTACTTGGAATTTTTATATTTCTTAGCCATCAACTGAGGAGGGATGGAGATAGGAGGGAAAAAGATGGGAAGGGAGGGTGGAATAGATCAAGGAAACATTCTCCACAGAAGTCCTTTGTCCAGTTTGGAAACTGGTTTTCATCAGGCACACCTGTTTCCATCCTCTGACTCAGATGCCGTATCACCAACCCCACTGCCCCAAACCCAATGTGAAATGAATACCTATTGTTAGCCCTATCTGTGTATCTGTCCTGAAACATGACAACCTTTAAGGCAACGGTTCTCAAGCAGGGGCGATTTTGCCCTTCCTACCCCCAGAAAAAATTTGGCAATGTCTAGAGATACATTTTCTGTTGTCACAGCTTTGGAGTGATCATGGGCTTCTAGAGGGCAGAGGTCCATGATGCTGCTAGACATTGTACAATGCACAGGACAGCTCTCAGAAGAGAGAATTATCTGGCTCCAAATGTCAGTAGTGTGAAGAAACTCTGCTTGAAGGAAAAACCAGCCCCACACACCTCACTTAACTCACTAAGGTTAACAAATTGGCAGTTTGCCAAATGTCATGGATTAAAAAGCCCTACCTTGAGTGACTCTTTCTCTACAGCCTGACACATTTCTGTACAATTTAGCAAGTAAGGAGTGCTTTCAAGAGGTGATTCTTCCTTATTTGTTGCTGCATCAGCATGATTTCATTCAGTCATCCATGCATTCATTCAACAAACACTCACTGAGCTCCTTCTTACACTGTGACAGACTCTAGGGATGAAAGATGAACAAGATGAGTCTCCATGTTCAAGTTCAAAGTGTGCATATTGGGGTTTGGGGGACAGATGTGTTAGTAAATAATTACAGTAATGTTCCAGGTAAAAGTTCTCATGAGATGTATGGGGGTGGGGCCGCAGAGGGGGCTGTGATCAGTATTTCTTATAGGGAGGCCTCAGAAAACTGCCCCATTCGGCCACTTTTTGGGTTTCACTTACAAGGGTCACTTCTGACGCCTCCCTATATGGAGTAGAGGGAGAGCGGTAATAAGCAATTTGGCCTCACTGACCCCCCTCCATTGGGAAGATGCCTATAATCTCCCTCAAGGGGGAGCTTCAAATGAATAAAAAATTATTTGAACACACTTAGATTTCAAAATCAAATGTGTGACCACCCAGAGTCAAACAGAAGGAAAGCAGGGCTCCAGAGGCTGGGAAATATTCCAACCAAAGTAGGTCAGTTCCACTCCTATTTATTACAGGAGTTCTCAGCCAAGAAGTGTGAGATCTAAGGTCTACAGAAGCCGTAAAATAACCCAAGGACCACGACTTATACACAGGAAACCATCTTGTGATTATGTAAGGCAGTAATGCACATTTGAAAATACAAGGGACCGCCGGGCGCGGTGGTTCATGCCTCTAATCGCAGCACTTTGGGAGGCCGAGGCAGGCAGGTCACCTGAGGTCAGGAGTTTCAGACCAGCCTGACCAACATGGAGAAATCCCATCTCTACTAAAAATACAAAAAATTGGCCGAGCATGGTGGCACATGCCTGTAATCCCAGCTACTTGGGAGGCTGAGGCAGGAGAATCCCTTGAACCTGGGAGGCGGAGGTTACAGTAAGCCAAGATCGCGCCACTGCGCTCCAGCCTGGGCAACAAGAGTGAAACTCTGTCTCAAAAGAAAAAAAAAAAAGAAAAAGAAAAAGGAAATACAAGGGGTATAAAAGACAGAGCCCTGGATGGTTGGGAATCAAGAGATCTGGGTGCTAACCTTAGTGGGTTAAGTGGGGTATGTGGGGCGAGTAGAGCTGCTAGTCCCGGCTCTACTACTAACTTGCTGATCTCGGGCAGCTCCCTTCTCTCTGAGAGTCTCAGTGTGCTCATTTTTAAAATGAGGGATTGGGACCATAGCATAATGAAGCATCCTTCCAAGGTACACTGAAGACTTAAACCAAGTGAAGCCTCTCATTTTCCCCTTCCATTTATTCCTGTGATAATCCAGGGATTTCCTTGAGATAAAAATGTAGGCTGAACCTCAGTCCTGCACTCGAGGTACCAGTTACGACAGTCTCAGAGTCACTGCAAATACTTAAGAAGGAGGCTGGGAGGGTCCCAAGGAAGGAGCTATTGCCTCTCCCACCCCCAGCCACGGAATAACACACCTTCTGGCTCTACCTGGCTTTGCACTGTCCCCAGTATCCCAGTTGGCATTTCTCCAAATTGGGAGTCAAAACTCATGAGTGCATGCTGTTGCTCTAGCGTCTTCCAAGGCCAGCACTGCCACTGAAGAGAGGAGGCTCCACGGTGGCAAGGGAGCTCCAAGCAAGCTCCAAATTGCACTCATCCCAACTACTGCTGCTGAAAGTCTTGGGGCTACCAGAAAAATGAGCATCTCCTGAGTGTCAACACTCTGGTCGGCTCCGGGAGCATTGGTTTTCCTTATAATCAAACCAGAGGAGACTAAGGGAAGACAAGGAGGCTGGACACCATGAGACTTGCCCAGGACAGAGATCAGAGACTCAGTTGGGTCCCCAAGCGCGTTCCCTGGGGAGCTTCTTGGAAGAGACGACTTGGGGACCAATTTGGAATGCTAGTGGGAAGGGATGATTCTGGAATCTGGCCCCCACCTCTAACCCCCACTCCCTCCCCATTCCTTCCTTTCTGCTGGTCTGGGTGGGGCCACTCTCTTTATCAGAGATCCCGGAGCTCAGAGAGGCCCGGGACTCCCAGGAATTTCTGTTGGAAAGAAAAACAAACCACCCATCCTGCCGCTATTATTATTATTATTATTATTATTATTATTATTATTATTATTATTATTTTCCTCCTCCAGCCCCTTGCCAGGACCTGGCTTTGGGGAACAGCAGCGCCCTGGAGCCACCAGGCACGCAGACATTAGGGAGCCGCATCCCACACGAGACGGTGTGGGGAGAGCGGCAGGCGGTCCCATCGCAGACCCAGAAGCTCCTGCCAGAGCTCCCTCAGGTTTTCCCATCCGCAGCCCGTGAGTGTGAAAATGTCAAGGTTTGGGGGCAGACTGATACTGATGTGGGTTCCAATCCTCTTTTTCTGACTTGCAGCAAGAATTTTTATTCCCCCTCTCCTCTCCTTTCCTTTCCTTTCTTTGTCTGTAAAGTGACGGTGATAATAGCAGCCTCGAAAGGTGATTACCAGGTTTCAAGGAAAGATTGGAGGCAAAGCGCCCAGGACACAGTAGGCACTGCCACGGGCGGCTCCAGAATTTCCGTGTAGGAGAGTTTCAGAAGCCAGACCAGAGGAAGGGGTCGGTGGTGGGCACAGGGATTCATCTTAGAGCCGCCTTCGTCTGGCGCGCACGATGTTTTTCTTTGGGAAAGGGTCCCTCCGGAGAAGAGCTGGGAGAGATTAATGTTGGGAGGATTGGGAGGGAAGAGTCCCTATTCCTCATGGGAAGATCTGCTAGTCCCTCTCCACCTGCATCCTGCCCGAGGCCGGAGAAAGGGCGAGACTGTCGCTCCCTCGGGTCCCCAGCCTGCAGAAGGGCGCAGTACTCACCGAGTGCGCGGCGCAGGCGAGCAGCACCGGCAGTAGTAGCTGCTGCAGCGGCGGCGACAGGTGGGGACGCATGGTGCCCGCACGTTCCCCGAGGGCGCCCCGACGTCCGCCTGCCCGTGCCCTCTGCCCGCTCGGGAGCTCAGCGCCCCGCGCAGGGTCCCGGGCTCCGGCCGGCCGCTGCGCCCCGAGGAGCCATGGCTGAGCCACCCGACCTGCGGCGGGCCCCGGGACTGCTCCTCCTCGGACCAGGTGGCCGCGCGCGCTAAGCCGCCCGCCCCATTGATCAGGACGCGGCTTTGCCGGCGCGCCTCCTCCACCCGGCAGGGACTGGCGCGGGGTCGGCGCGGAGGCTGGCAGGGGAGGAGGCAGAGGGAGGGCGCGGGGACCCGGAGTCGGCTCCCGCAGGCTGGGCCCAAGCTGGAGGAGGCCAGGAGAGGGCACGCTGGCTTAGCCTTCTACGCGGCAATCCCGCCCAACCCCGGGTCCGGAAAGAGCACTGTCTCTGGAGTCCACGGACAGAAAGCGCAAGCTCGCTGGGGGCCGGTGGGCAACTTAGGTCACCTTTGTAAGCCTCGGCTTTCTCATCCCTAACAACACGTCTGATAATACCCACTCTCGGACTGAAAGTTGTCACACAGTCGAGGCCCATTGCATCTATTCCCCCCGATAGCTACCTTGCACTTTATTTCCGATTTTTTCATTATTGAAGTCATTAGCGCTAATTCCATGAAGTTTCACTCCCATGAACTCCTCCTTTGATGATGACCAAGGAGGATCTGTGGTACACTCAGGCATCTGGGGACCGTCCTGAGGATGAACCCCCTGGGAGGCTATTTAAGCCTCAGGCAGGTAGTCCCAGTAGCCCTCTCCATCGGTGCTGTGTATCCTGGAGGTTTGCTTTTGGCCTCTTAGTACAAGGCGTCTCTTAGTACAAGACGTCCTCTTAGTACAAGGCGTCTCTTTTGGCCTCTTAGTACAGGGCGATGGCCCTTTTTTACTGTTACATAAAAAAGAGAGTCTCACCATGTTGCCCAGGCTGGTCTTGAACTCTTGGGCTCAAGAGATCCTCTCACCTCGGCCTCCCAAAGTGCTGGGATTACAGGCATGAGCCACTGGGCCCAGCACTAGATGGGTCTTGCAAACTCAATTTTCCTTAGTCTGCACTGGTGCCCACTCCCTTCCTTCTTCTCTCTCCTCCTTTCTTGATCTTTCTCCCAGGCACTTTAAGTACATCAGCTCATTTAATTCTCCCTCACACCCCTAGGTGATACGATGTCCATTTGACAGAGGAGGGCATTGGAGGTGGAGGAGGATTCATTACATGTCTGGGTACTGCAACTCAGAGGCTCAGACAGGAAAGCCTGAATCTACCCTTACATGGCTGACCCGACTCTCTGTAACTGGCCCTTACGCAGAAGGCCATGCAGCTGTTAAGGTAACAATGTGTTGTCCTTAGCAGCCTTCCCTACCGGAAGAGACTATTAGTAAATTGAGGCTGGTAAATCCCAGCAGAAATAAAAGGGAGGAAAATCCATTCAGCTCCTAGGTCCAAAACCAATGCTCAGTACACATCAAACCTAAAGTATACATAATCACCAACCCCCTGCTAGAAACTCTTTCTACATAAATACTCACCCAAGGGCCTAATGAAATGTGCAAGGATGTTTGCGGAAGCACTATGACAGTGGCAGGAAACGAGATGATATATGGGGAAAGGGAATCACCCTTATTTCTTTCTTTCTCATGGGCAGCAGTCATTACTATAATGCTCCTGACTTGTTTCTACCCCTTCCCTCTCTCTGTCTGTCTATCCCCCACCTCTCTCTCATGTGCACCCACACGCAAGCATGCATGCAGGCACGTATACACAGGTGAGGCCAGCTTACATGATTGATGCATTTGGAATAAGGAACTGGCATGAGTTCGGTCCCCTCCTCTCTCCTTCCTTTGACAGTGTGCCCCCCTACAGAGAGCCTGTAACTGGATTTCCCTGGGCCAGGCTGTGATTAGTGGTCGAGGCTCTACTGGAACTGGTCCAGTATGAACTGTTGTCTCTCTAATTCTGGGGTTTAGTTAGGAAACCCACTTGCCTACAAGTATAAACCACATTCTGCAATACTGACTTTATAAAGTGATATTTGGCCGCATCTGTCTTGATCTTATTTCTCAATTGGTTCAAGTTTCAGGCTAGAAAGAAAAATGTTATTTCCTAGGCTGCTTGAACCGCAGCACCCTAAATATCCATCGCAAAGTGCCTGAGGTAAGGACTTGCAATTTTTACTATACAGATTTCTGTGTTGTTTGAATGTTTTCTGTAACAACGCTGCGTATGGCTGTTTGGCGTTGAAATAAATAAAAAGAAAACAACACAAAAATGCAATCCGTGCTTTATACCAGAGCTTCGTGATATCTGATGAAAAAACAAAACAACATTAGTTCTGGGCAATTCAATACATTTCTGGCCTGTAGCAAGCCATTCTTGCTTAAATGGGAAGCTCTGCCTCTCAGAGAGTTGAGAAAAGGGATTGAAGTGCTCCCTGAAAGGTCCTTAAAACCTGCCTAAGACAATTTCACAATAGGGGTAGAAGGGAAGAGGTAGGAAAACTAACCATATATTTACCACCTGTCGTGTGCTGGGGAGTCTGTTAGGAAGCTCGGGTGTGTTATCATATCCAGTCCTCCAAGACCATAAAAGAGATGGGAACTTGAGGCTTAGGAAAGATAAGTGCTTGCCTCCATCAGCACAGCTAATAAGGGGAGGAGCCAGGATTTGAATTCAGGACTGAGCCCAAGCCTGTGTCGTGAAGGAAACAAAATATTTCACTCTATTATTTGACATATTTTGAGATGGCTGTTCAGAGGGCCTCCAAACAGAAGTAGCCCTGCAAGGCTGTCTTTTACTGGGGAGATTGCATCTGGAGAGAGAACTCTGCACTGATGCAGCCAGGCTTTCTCTGTGGAACCTCCCATATCCAGATCTAAGAAAGGTTAACTGAGAGTTCAACACCTTAACTGTCTGAAAGACACACACACACACACAATCTGTCCTCTCTTAGGCCTGCTACCTGTGAGGTTTCATCTGCATAACAAGCCCAACTTTACCAGCCAGGCCTCCTCTTCTCCACCACCCCCCAACCTATTTTGCCACACACCATAAGCCCCCATTCTTCCTGTAACTTCAAGATGGAATATGAAAGCGTCCACCCTCTGGCCATTTCTTTGAGTTGTGTTTTGAAAGACTCCTGTGCACATTTTAAAATTTGCATGCCTTTTCGCCTATGAATCTGCCTTTTTTTTTTTCAGTTGATTTTCAGTGGAACTTCAGAGGGCAAAAGGGAAGTTTTTCCTTGGTGCCTAGAGCTCTTTGCATGGTACTGGGATTCCTCTCCAACATGGAGATGGTCTCCTTGTACTTAGGCTTCACAAGCTCTTTTGTGTGCATCTTCTTATTAATTAACAGAGCTCTGTGAGGTAGGTAGGGATGAGCAGGCAGGGGCCTGGCAGAAGAAGGAGAAACTGTGGCTCAAACGGTTTAATCAAAGGGAGTTTAATGAAAGGACTATGTGCAGAGGGTAGGCAGGAACCAGCAAGGGATGGTGAGGTGGAGGGATCGGCAACAGGAAGTCTGAAGGGTGACGAAGACTCTCCTTGACTAAAGTTTAGTCAGGCTCCTCTAGCCCTCTTCCCAACTAAGCTTTGACCTTGGCCCCCCGTCCTGTTTTCAGTTTCCCTAGCCCAGTCTCGGTAAGGATCCTGTGAAGTGAGTTTAGGAAGATCTCCTACTCCACTCTTGATATCTCATCACTTTTGATATCTGCTTCAGTTCCTCATTCTCCACCTTTGATATTTAAGCCCTTGGTCTGCCTTTAGCAAGAATCCTATTTAGAAGGGTTTAGCAAGAATCCTGCCAGCACTGATATCTCCTCTTAGTAATTTTCCATCCACTGACCCTTACCCTGCACCTGGGCTGTAAATCTTCACTTATCCCTGTTGTATTTGGAGTAGAGCGTGATTGCTCCTCCCCATCACAAAGCCCCTGTTGCTATAGTCTTGAAATAAATCATCCTTACCATTTTGGCAAGTGTCGCAATAACTTTTTCTTTAACAAGGGGCAAAGAGTGAAAGCAGTGCTTCTAAAAGCTGGCAAGAGTTGTTCTTGGGAGAGAGGTCACCTATAAGGGCTGTTGGGGCTCAGAAACTGTTACCCCAAAATGTGGCATTTTGACATGCTGATCTGAAGAAGGCTTAAGGTCTATCTGACCTTCCCCTCTACCCCTGCCCAACCCCTGTCTCTCCCAAAGCATAGGACGAAGCTGTTCCCTGAAGTTTCTTTATCTGCCTAAAGTCAGGACCCACCAAGAACAATTGTTTTTCTTCTCCTCTCTGGTATCTCATTATCTATTACAGAAAGAAGACCAAGAATGTAACCATACCTCAACAGACCCTTTTACAAGATGTTTGTGTCTCAGACTCCTTCAATTCCAAAGAAAGCTATTTACAAGTTAATCTCTATTTCCCATCCATTCATTCTCCCTAGAAGTCATTTTGCCCCTCAACAGAATGACTCTCTCCCCCACTCCATAACCTGTTTTGCCATAATCTAAGCCTCCCATTCTTTCTGTAACCTCAAGATGATATTGAGAAAACTGTTACTTGAGGAATGCAAATCCTTTTAATTATCAGGCCCAGAAAGACATTAAAATGAGACCATGTTCACATCTTCCTCCCCACTTTGACCTATGTATTTATCTTTTTTTTTTTTTTTGAGACAAAGTCTCTCTCTGTTGCCCAGGCGCCCAGGCTGAAGTGGAGTGGTGCCATCTCAGCTCACTGCAACCTCCTCCTCCCGGGTTCAAGCAGTTCTCTTGCCTCAGCCTCCTAAGTAGCAGGGATTACAGGTGTGTGCCACCACGTCTGGCTAATTTTTGTATTTTTAGTAGTGATAGGGTTTCAACATGTTGACTGGGATGCTCTCAAATTCCTGGCCTCAAGTAATCCTCCCACCTTGGCCTCCCAAAGTGCTGGGATTACAGGTGTGCACCACCACACCCGGCCTATGTATTAATCTCTTGAAATCACTTGCTGTTGCCACGAAGAGCTACAAATTAACCTAATAATGCCACACTGGACACTATAACCCATACACCACAGCTTACCGCTTATAACCAAACACTAATCAATGTTATTCCTGTAAACCAATGAGAATTACTGACAGACAACTTTTCATCAGCCCACTCCATGTCCCCCTTTTCTGCCTTTAAAAATCCACTTGACAGCTACTCGGGAGGCTGAGGCAGGAGAATGGCGTGAACCCGGGAAGGGGAGCTTGCAGTGAGCCGAGATTGCGCCACTGCAGTCCGCAGTCCGGCCTGGGCGACAGAGCGAGACTCCGTCTCAAAAAAAAAAAAAAAAAAAAAAAAAAGAGTGAGGGCTTCAGTCCATCTTTGGACAGGAGGTTTAGGTAATGAGCACTGCAGAGAATGGCCTTTTTTCTGCCTCTGTCTCAGGACTGGGGTCAAAGTTTTTCTGCCTCTGTCTCACAGCGGAGGTTTGGGTCAAAGGATTGGCATTAGGCACCAGTGGTCTTGCTTTACGTAGCATACTTTCAACATTGCAGCTGCTTTCCTGTTTTTGAAATTCGGGTTTGATTTTTCATTTGTGACAAACTCCTTTGAGTTAACCAGCAGCTGGTTTTATGTACAACACTTATGGGGCATTGTTTTGTGGATGTCTAGGAGAGAGGACCCACCTAACCCAGGATGGTCATAAGCAACTGTGACCAAAAGAAAAAGTGGAGGGGGAATCTCTTGAAATACCTAAAGTAATTTATTTGCACACACAATCAGAAAAAACTGGCTGTAGAACCAGATAACTTAAATACGGGACTTGCCCCCAGTGGCACCCAAAATCCTTTAAAACAAATTCTGAGAAAAATTGCCTTCATTCAGGAGGCAAACCAAAGATGTCCATCACCAACACCTGAAGAAGTTCCCCAGGTCTTTGAGCCCCTGCCTGAAACTCCTACTGTGGCAGTTCCAGAGTCACTATGAACCGCATCTGGTTCTGAACCGTTCTGTGCCCAATTAAAAAGGGCACTCAATGAACAAGATGAGTCTCCAAAACACAACTTTGTTGCCCAGCTGACAATTGCTTAGGGTAATAAAACAGGTAATTAAAAGATTAATAGTCCTTTAAAGGGGGAAATGGATGAAAATAAAAGTGTTGAGCTTATAAAAATGCAGATCCAACAAATCTTTCCTAAACCAGAAGTACTCACTGACACTGATGTTGAAAGGCTAATATCCAGGGAATTTGCTAAACAATATTAGATCTGAAACAAGTTAAAAATCCTTTAAATGCGGCCAGGCATGGTGGCTCACTCCTGTAATCCCAGCACTTTGGGATGCCCAGGTGGGCGGATCACCTGACGTCAGGAGTTCAAGACTAGCCTGACCGAAACATGGAGAAACTCTGTCTCTACTAAAAATACAAAATTAGCCAGGTGTGTGGCACATGCCCATAATCCCAACTACTTGGGAAGCTGAGGCAGGAGAATCGCTTGAACCCGGGAGGCGGAGGTTGCAGTGAGCCAAGATTGTGCCATTGCATTCCAGCCTGGGCAACAAGAATGAAACTCTGTCTCAAAAAAAAAAAAAAAAAAAAGAGCCTGAAAATAAATAATTAATTAATTAAAATTAAAATTTAAAAATCCTTTAAATGCTCAAACTACCTTCTTTGTATCACCTGCAAGATTTGCCAAAAGAAAAAAGAAAATAAGTAAATAAAAGCACTCCATCCTGTGGTCTAGTGGCAAGGATCTGGAATCTGGAGCTCTCACTGCTACGGCCGATGTTCAATTCCTGGTGAGGGAACCAGTTCCTTTTGGTTTGATGTTTGCATGACTTTTGACTTTTAGGGATATTGCTTTGCCACTTGGGAGGGTGTCTTTGGGAAAAAAGATTCAAAAGCCAGAAATATCAGCCTTTTGTCCTGGCTGAAATCTAATAATAAGAGATTTGAAAGGAATTTTTTTAAAAGGAGCTCTATGGCCAGACTGTTACACACACAGACACACACAGACACACACACACACACACAGCAGAAAAAAAAATTCTGGTTTTTCTCTTTGGATCTTGTTTTTTGGAATTTTTTTTCCAGTGGCCTGAAATTATGTGCTTGGTCCTTGTGTTTACTTCCCTTCTTAAGGATTGTTCTCTCATTTGCTTCTACTCTTCCCTATTCTTTCTTTCTCTTTGCTGCCTTCAGTACCACAGAAAGAATCTAGAGGTGACATCTAATGATTCGAACACTTTAAGGAACATAGGAAAAGTACCACTGCCCCCTTTTGGTGGTCTTCTGTCTTCCTGTAGAGTATAAAGAGTTGTAAACAGATTTTTCTCACGCCTAAAACTCTACTCTTTTGTATTGTGTTGCCTGATCTCTTTGGCTTTTGGGGATATCAGAGATTGCTTTGTAGTGTGAGAGAGAACTTGACGTTGGTGTGTGTGATGACTGGCAACAGCTGCAGTTTTGGAGGTGGCCAAGAGCACTTGTTTACAGTAAACAGTTATTACTACAGGAGACTACTTATTTCTTTGTGTTTAGATAAGAAATGTGTGGTTTAAACACTTATAATGTCTTTGTAGCAAAGTGCACTCTGAAAGTGTTGCATGTGCTTCCCTCTTTTTGGGGACCTGGAAATCAACGTAAAAGTGAGATCCTCGATCTTTAAGGGTCTAAATGTTCTGCCTTCAGTTGTGCCTGCTTTTCACATATTTAAATCATTAGGCGCTAAAAACTGTAAATGCTTCGTTGGTCCTTTGGTCCTCTTCCTTAATGGGCTCCACCCTGATCCCAGTGGTCCAGTTGGAAAACAGACACTAAATTAAGTGCTACCTTAATTTACTTGATAAAGTAACTTGATAAATACTTGATAAATAAACTTGATCTCTTTATAAAATTATATGGTAAATTCCTATGATTTTGTATTGCCTTGACATCCATTTTTAACGTTCCTCTAACACACCCAAACTCCTTGAAAAAGCTTAAATTCTCTCTGTCTCTCTGTTTTTTGTGTGTGTGTGTATGTTTGGAACGTAAATTGCTACCTTGCTTTCTCTAAAATTCAGTAAGTGCTTGGACCATGTGGGACAAATAACCTTTAACTTGTTCCATTTACAAAGGCATAGTTTGAATCCAGCTGTCCTTTTAAACCAGTGAATTTTATTTGTCTTGTGGCCAAAATTATAAAATCAATGCTATAAAGTTTTTGTGTCTATCTGTATCTTTACATGTATGTGTATATGTCTGTCTATAGACTGTCTACATGAGTATCAAATTGACTTATAAATAAATGAGTACTCATAAGTTAAGTAAATAAGCCCACATGCTTTTCAAGTACACATGACTTTAATAATCTTCAGCACATAAAGAGTTTCAATACTGTTGGCAAAATAAAATAGAAATGCCTTCAGATATTAATTTAGACATTTTTTCCTGGGTTTCCATTATAAACCTTCCTGAAGGTTTATAATATCTCTGCTAGATGTTTTTTTCAATCCCCTGGGTTTACCATGAGCTGCTTTCGATCTTCTGTCTTCTATCTATAAGGAGACACAAGGATTTGGGACCTTTGTCTGTAGACACTCAGGTGAGACCCTAGAAAATAAGGCCAGAAAGAAATGTGGGTTGTACTAACAAAACTTTCCTTTTTTTTTTTTTTTGTTCTGAGCTGTCTCCCCTTGTGAGTCCTTGGTTAAGTCATAATCTTCATTACAGTTTACTGGCTTTGGTAAGTCACTTAAAAGGTAACTTTGGTTTAAAAAAAAAAGTCAAAAAGTCATAAATATCAGCTGTGTGTCCCAGCTAAAATCTGATAATAAAATATTTAAAAGGAATTTTTTAAAAGAGCTCAATAGTCAAAAGTTTACTTAAAAGTTTACCCTCAAAGGGCAAAAGGGAAAATTTCCCTTGGCCCCTACAGTTTGGCACAGTTGGTAGGACCAAAGCTCTGCTCTTCTGGAAGCTACACTTAAGGGAATCCAAGGCCTGATTAGCCCTCTGAAAGTTCACTGAACAATCAACTCACAAAGCACAAATTAATTGGAGACAGGCATGCAAAATTTATTAACATGTGTACAGAGAACCACAGAGTGATTGCCTACTCCCCGAGAGAGTACAGAGGCTTATATATCATCTTGAGGTGACAGAAAGAATGGGGACTCAGAGCATGGCCAAAACCAGATTTTGGTGATAAATCAGATGATAGTGGCAAGACAGGTTGTAGGAGGGAGAGAAGAGGAGGCTTGGCTAGCAAAGTGGTCATGTTATGTGGATGAAACCTCACAGGAATTTCTATGGAAACAAAAGAAAAACAAAGGTTAATGGTTAGAACAAACTATAGTCTACAGTTTTATCTATCATTTTTCCTTCAATTGAAAACAACTTTTAAAGTGCTCTAATTAGATAAAATTACTTTCCCTTCAAGAAAAACCACACTTTCATGCTTTTATAAGCTCACAGAGAAATTAAGAAAGTATCAAAAATATCATAGAAGCAGCAGCTTTATGATCTTCAAGTTGAAGGTCTCCAGTAAAGACCTTCAAACTTCTAGTATAAACCTGTCTGACCAATAAACCCAGGCAAAGAATGTCTAAATTAAATTGTGAAGATTATTTTATTTTACCAAAAATTTGAAAACTCTATTTATTTACCAAAGGTTACTAAAGTCACACGAACTTGAAAAGTATTTGTGATAGTTATTTAATTTATGAGTACTCACTCATCTTTAATTTGGTATCATGTGTAGATAATATATAAACATATGTTTAGACATATACATGTATGTAGACACAATGTATAACATACACATGCATACATGTATGTATTTTAACACAAAAGAGATAAAGGAGTTTAATGTAAAAGAGAATAGTGCTTTAGGCTTGAGAGAAATTTCTCCATTTATAGCATATGAAGTTTCATGAGATAAAACAGAGGTTCCTTCCAAAAAGAGGAGTCACCATGTTGGCCAGGATGGTCTCGATCTCCTGACCTCGTGATCCACCCACCTCGGCCTCCCAAAGTGCTGGGATTACAGGGGTGAGCTACTGCACCTGGCCGAGGTCAGATGATTTCTTTATGGCCAGTTTTTATACAGAAAGGCAGAGGAAAAGTTAGAGTAATATTTTTAGGTTTTTGTGGTTAGCTTTGGAGAAAAGGAGTTCTGGTTTCCATGATCTACCTTAGGGAAAAGGACCTGTTCCAGTGGCTGGCCTTTGGAGAGAGCAGGACTGAGAGATAGGCGGGCAAGAGAAGGTCAGAGAAAAACTTTTGCTTCTGAGGCCTTCATTTTGGGCCACTGTTTTCTGAGTCTCAAAATCTTGTTTATTCCAAAATAGCCATAAGAGAGGAATTGAAATGTTCCCAACACATAGAAATGGTAAATACTCGAGGTAATGAACACCCCAAAGACCCTGACTTGATCATTACCTAGTCTAAGTATGTCACAAAATGTCACCCATACTCCATAAATATGTGGAAAGATTATGTATCAATAAAAACAAAAACAGAACAAAACGGAATAAGAAATCCTTTCTCTGTGTCTTTGAGATGTATGCAAATCTTTTTAAAACCTAAACAAGGCTCTTGCCAATTTGCATCCCAGGAATGTGTTTCTTGGAGGCCTTAGATCCATCTCCTTGAAATGTGAACACCCAGGAGATGGCCCCCTGTCTTCCTGTCTCTGTGGGGGTTTAGCCTAGGCATTTGGCTCTTCGTTGTGATTTCCTGCTTCTTACAATTAGGAAATCTGAAACGTTTTCTTTTTCTATTTGATAAAGACAATTACATGTTTATAAAAGATTATATCTGCCTGGCCATATAAAAGGGTGAGGTTTCTATCTGTCTTGGCAAACTCTTGTGGATTGCCAGTGATGCACATCACAGTCTGGCTTGATGCTTCTTTCATCATAAAATAGTTTCATTGTTTTCCTCATTTTGTGGAGCAGATTCACCAGGTTGACAGATCTTATTTTTAATTACTTTTCCAATTATGACTTATGTTTCTTTGTGTTTTTTCAACAGCAATAAACGCTTGTTGGAGAGCTAACTTTCAGTTGATGAGTATTTACTGAACGCCTACTCTGTCCCAGGTGCTATGCTAAGATGACAGAGACCTGAGGAAATTGCCTTTGGCAGCCCCAGACCCACATAAAGCCAGGGTGCTATGATAGCACCCCCTCTCAGGAGGCCCAGAAAGATGACTGAGACTAGGGTTAAAGAAATAAGAGACTTGCATAATCACATATTTAGCAAACCTATTGGATGGCTGACACTAGCAACTGCAGAATGTATGGTGGATGATATTGCAAATTGTGATAAATTATATGGTAATATATAATGAGGGACCGGGCCAAGCCTGGAGTATTAATGCATTAGCTTGAGTCAGATCAGCCATCATTTTTGCAGGTCAAATACATTTGAATATCAACAATGTTGTGAGATTCAAGTTAATAGACATCTGTTGGTTTTGCTGTCCAGTCTTCATTCCCCCTTCTTCTGGCATAAGAACCTCCTTTCCCGGATTCTTAGACCATGTAACTTGGGTGGGGCTTTCTCCATGAGCAACTGCAGGAGTGAGCACATGACCCAGGCCTGGATAAAGAGCTTCACCCCATCCTCCAACCAACTAACCACAGTGATTTCTTCAGGGATGGGCACAGGACTCAACCTGGACCAATAGGGGTGGCACCAGCAAAACCTATGTGTTGGCATTATGATCAAGCTAAAAGGAAGATGGTAGCCTTTTCTACAGCATGAGGAGATCCTGGCTGAGAATGAAGCCAACTTGGCCGGGGAGAACCAAGAGATAGAGTGGACAAAATCCTGATATCATCATGTAGCACCTAGATACAGCTGTGACTGACGCCTCTCTCTCTCTCTTCTCCTGCCCCGCACCCTCACCCCCTTCCCATATATTTCAACTGTTTAAATCAATTTCCATAACTTGTAACTGAAAGAGCCCTGACTTATACTTAGGGAAGTCTCTCTGGTGAAGTGATCTTTGAGCTGAAGGGGCTGATTTGGGGCCAGGAGTGAGGGTAGGGGATGGTGAGGGGGAAGGAGAGTTCTGGGAAGGAAGTGAGAAATTGGCTACCCCTGCGTGTCTGGGTCTAAGGTCTTCACCACATGACTACACAAGTGCAATAAACTTGCTCTGCCCCGTTGCGGTGTTGAATAAACCAAACAAAACGATCTGCCCTCTCGTGAATGTCAGCTTTACTGGGAGCTGAGCTAATGTATTATTGATGAGGCATAAATAATGGGACAAGCATGATTTCCTATTCAGTCCAGAAGTACAAAGGTATAACACTAACATTTTAATGAGGTTTCTATGGCCCAGGCTCGCTGTTTACACTCTGGAAATGTGGACTGGCTTTCTCAGGAAAGCAGGCTTTTCTTTACTTTTCTTATTTCTCTCCTCCATTTGTCAGCATCCTTTTGAATATTTATATAAATTATTATAATTAACACAGATCGAATAAAAGAGAGCAAATAAGAACCATGCCTGAAAGGCACTGTTACTAGTCTTCCCAAGGCCTTATCTTCACTGGATGGAGCAAAGAAAGGTCAGGTGTACCCCCACCTCCCAGAGACTCCCCACATTTCTGCCTGATAAGGCCTTTGAAACAAAGACAAGAATGTTGACAGCAGACAAATCTAGTTTCAATAGTCCTCACTCAAACTGGCTGAAACAGCAATTAAGTTGTTTCTTGGCTCACATAACGAGAGTGCAGACACAGAGCCTGTTTCAGGGTGGACTCATGCATGGACCAGCCTCTGTTTGCCTATGGTTCTCTTGGCTCTGCCCTCCTTGGAGTTGGATAACACCAGGATGGTGGCCAGGTGGCTACAGCAGTTCTGCAGCTTCACATCCACAATTACCTCCAGAAGAACAGACTGTGGTATTCTATCAAAAATGTTGACACTCGGTTGGGCGCAGTATGGCTCACACCTGTAGTCTCAGCACTTTGGGAAGCCAAGGAGGGCTGATCACCTGAGGTCAGGAGTTCGAGACCAGCCTGGCCAACATGGTGAAACCCCATCTCTACCCAAAATACAAAAATTAGCTGGTGCGGCAGCACACACCTGTAGTCCCAGCTACTTGGGAGGCTGAGGCAGGAAAATCGCTTGAACCAGGGAGACAGAGGTTGCAATGAGCCAAGATCGTGCCACTGCACTTCAGCCTGGGCAACAGAGACTCCATATCAAAAAAAAAAAAAAAAAAAGATGTTGACACTCCTCCATCCAAAGGTAGTCTATGTTTCCTCTTCTTAGAACTGGGTGGGCATTCATAACTACCTCAACTAATGGATGAGGTGGATGTGATGCTGTATGACTGACTTCTAAGCCTAGGTCATAGAAGGGAATACAGCTTAAGCCTGGCTCTCTCCTGGGACACTTGCCATTGGGACCTGCGGCCAGGTTGTGAGGGAGTCTGGCCACATATGACTGTGTTGTCAGGCTCCCAGCTGACAGCTTTAGTATCAACCACCAGATGATGCTGTGGGCAGTCAGAATATGCCACCCCAGAACATCCTTTTTTGGCATATTTCAAGTTGATTATTTAGAGAACTGCAGATAGGAATAGTTCTGAAAGCTGTCCTTTTATAAAGGAAATTTATATTTATCTACAATAGTAAAGTAAACAGCAGATGCAAGCAAAGCTTTTTCTCTGAAGCCCCTTTATTTGCCTAAAGAAGAATGAGGGTCTGATATCTTCCCAAGACAGAGATTACCACAGGCAATCACCTATTCTTTTGATGGCTGTTACCTGACCTTATCAGCACAATAAGATAACCTTTGCTCACAGTGCATTTCCTCCCCTCACCCTCCAATAGTTTGTCACCAGCATCTCCCAGGAGCCTTTAATTCTCTTTTTATAACTCAAAATACTATCTGAGCTTCTAGACCTCATTGGGTTATTGGGTACTCACTTTCTTGTGATACCTCAGTGCATGTAAATAAATTGGCATGCTTTTTCTCCTCTTAATCTTTCTATTGCCTGTATATTTCAGACCCAAACCTTCAGAGGGGAAAGGGAAAAAATTTCCTTTGCCTCTATGATGACTTTAGAAGATTCTATCTTCCAGCTTTCATATTTTCCACCTGGCGCCCCAAACATCCATGGAGCAGAAACAAACCATCTCCGCTGTGTCTTGTCTAAATTTCCATCCCAGAAAAAACATAAGAAAAGATAAAGGATTATAGTTGTTTCAAATCACTAAGTTTTGGAGTAATATGTTATGGAGCAATAGATAATAAATACAACATAATTTTTAATTCTGAAAGGTGAAACCTATTAACAGCACAGTCAAATGACAAACTGGGAAAAAATTTTGCGACAGTTATCACAGAACAAAAGATGAATGTTTCTATATATAAAGAGCTCCAACAACTCAATAAGAAAAAGACCAAAAGCCAAATGGAAAAACGGGTAAGGGACATGGCTTTACAGAAAAGAAAACACAAACGTCTCCTAAACATATGAAAACATGCTCATCATTAGAGAAATGCAAAATAAAACCTCACTGAAATACAATTTTTCACCATCAGATTGACAAAAATGTAAAAGTTTTATAATATACTCAGTGAGGCTGTAAAGAAACAAGCACTCCTATGCATTACAAATAGGAGTAGAAATTAATACAACACCCATGCAAGACAATTTAGCAATAGTTGTCAATATTACAAATGCACAGATTTTTTGACTTAGCAATTCAACTTTGGAAACTTTTCCTACAGATATACTCGTATGTATATGAATGGATATATATGTGTCTGTAGAAGTGATGTACACATCTATACAAATAATTAAAACATTGCTTATAATAGCAAAAGTTCAGGAACAACCTAAATATTCAACAATGGGGAACTAGTTAAAGAAATATGGAATGTTACGTAGTTATAAAAAAGAATGAGGAGGTACTTCATGTACAGATATGGTATAATCATTCAGATATATTTTTAAGTGAAGAAAAGGGAGACAGAAAAGTAAGCAATTTGGGCTTTTTAAACAATGGGTAAGGCCAGGCACAGTGGCTCACACCTGTAATCCCAGCACTTTGGGAGGCCGAGGTAGGCCTCCCTCAACACTTGAGCCCAGGAGTTCCAGACCAGCCTGGGCAACATGACCAAACCTTGTCTCTACAAAAAAATTATGCCCGCATGGTGGTGCATGCCTGTGGTCCCAGCTACTCAAAAGGCTGAAGCAAGAGAATCACCTGAGTCTGGGGTTCCGTCAAGGCTGCAGTGAGCCATGATCACACCATTGCACTCCAGCCTGGGTGACAAAGAAGACTCTGTCTCAAAAATATATAAATAAAATAAGCAAGAGATAAACTTCTTACAAATATAAGCATACACACAATTGTTTTGATATGTATAATATATTCCTGTAAAGATAAATTCTGATCTGGTAACATGAGTTACCTCTGGGAGAGAGAACTTGATGGCAAAAGGCAGAAGAAGGAGAGAGATTTTTCACTTCTTGAATTTTGAACCACATGACTATATTACCCATATTCCAAAGATATATATAATTTAAACTTTAGAAATCACTTGGCATAACTCATTAATTAGTTACTTCTGCAAATATTTTTGAGGTCCCAGGATGTGCCAGGTAGTGGACAAGGCACTGCATACACTGTGGTGAACTAGTCAGCCTTCACTGAACTTACAGTCCAAGAAGGCAGATGTCAAAGAGGTCAACCCAGCAGCTATGGTCTGAATGTGTCTCCCAAAATTCCTTTGTTGAAACCTAACCCACAAGGTGATGGTATTCAGAAGTTAAGCCTTTTGGAACGTGTTAGATTATGAAGGTGAAGCCCTCGTGAATGGGCTGAATGAAACTGGCATAAGTGAAATGGGCTTATGAAACAGGCGTAAGGGAGCTCATTTACCCCTTCCACCACGTGAGGACATAGCCAGAAGTCTCCATCTATGAACCAGAAAGTGGTCCCTCAGCAGACACTAAATGTGCTGGTGCCTTGATCTTGGACTTCCCAGCCTGCAGAACCATGAGAAATATATTTCTGTTGTTTGTAAGGAACCCAGTCTAAGGGGTTTTGCTACAGCAGCCAGAATGGACTAAGACAGCTATGAAGGGAAAGAACACAGTACTGGAGACAGCACCAAGGTGCAGGACCTGATACAGAAAGAAAGCCAGGAAAAGCCCCACTGAGGAAGAAACCCTTAGGCTGAGTAGGAATCAGCCAAGTTTCTGGTTATTTATTGCTACAGAATAACCTACTATCCCAAAACTCAAAGGCATGAAACAACATCATTTTATTATATCTCACAAATTCTGGTGTCAAGAATTCAGGTAGGACGCCACTGGGCAGTTAAAGCAGTCATAGACCCACCCAGACTCAAGGGGAGGGGACAGGGACCCCACCTCTTCATGGAGCAGTGGCAAAGAATTTGCAGCCAGCTTTCACTCTCCATACCAGGCAAAGGGGAGGTGGGGAAACACAATGAAGCAGGGCGAGGAGGAGGCAAATCAAGGGGCCAGCAGCCAGGTCCTACAAAGCCCTAAAAGACTGTTAAGGATTTTTTTTGCCAGCCACTGTGGCTTGCACTTATAATCCTAGCATATTGGGAAGCTAAGGCAGGATCACTTAAGTCTGGGAGTTCAAGACCAGCCTGGGCAACACAGTGAGACTCTGTCTGTACAAAAAGTTAAAAAAAAAATTAGCCAGGCATGGTGTCATGCACCTATAGTCCTAGCTATTCTGGGAGGCTCACCTGAGCCCAGGAGTTCAAGGCTGTAGTGAGCTATGATGGCGCCACTGCACTCCAGCCTGGGCAACAGGGCGAGACCCTGTTTCTGTTGGGTGGCGGGGAAAGAGTGTTAAGGATGTTGAATTTTCTCTTCTGTACAATTTGAAGCCACCAAGGGGTTTTAAGCAAGGAAATTAACGGCTCCCCACGTATTACTGAAGCTTATAGCTTCCAAGCCTTTTATCACGCTTGTCTTATTGCACTCATATGGCAGATGCTGGGACACCTTTGTGTTCCACTCATTGTAAATTCTATAAGTGAATTTAAATTCAATGAGTGAATTGTGTTCACTCATTGAAATAAATAAATGTGGACCACATAAATAAATGGATTAAATAATTGATTATCTAATATAGCTATAATTATAGGGCTCCATCAGTTTAATTATTCTCAAACTTTAATGTGCCTATGAATCTTCTGGGGCATCTTATTAAAATGCAGGTTTTGGTCCAGTAGCCTGAACCAAAGTCTGGTATAGCCCAAAACTCTGCATTCCTAACAAGCTCCTGTGCCACAGTTTACACCTTGAGAAGTAAGTGTCCAGAAGTCATTATATGTCAGTTGTTTTCAGTGGGAAGAAAGAGAAAATGGAATGCAAGGACCAAACAAATAGAAGTGAAGTGACATCATCCAGCCCCAGGGTCTCTCTGTCTCCTTGTTCTCCTGTCCTTGTCACCTCTTTAACACTTGGGCCCCTCATGGCCTCTGATGGCAGCTGCAGTTCCGGGATCATTTCCTGACACTAAGAAGTCAAGAAGAAGAAAGATACTGTATCTATGTATATCTTCTTAGGAGAAAGAAAGTCTTTTCCAGAGGTCCCCAGAACCCTTTTCCTGTCCCCGTGGCCAGAATGGGGCTACATATACAACCCTAACTAAATCATGGGCAATGTCGGCAAGGGGATCAGGAATTCCATACTTGGCCTGGATTGCATTGTTTTGTTTTGTTTTGAGACAGGATCTCTGTCACCCAAGCTAGAGTGCAGTGTCATGATCATAGCTCACTGCAGCCTCCAACTCCTGTGCTCAAGCAATCATCCCACCTCAGCCTCCTGTGTAGCTGAAACTACAGGTGTGAGCCACCACATTGGGCTAATTTATAAAATTTTTTGTAGAGATGAGATTTCACTATGTTGCCCTGCCTCCTCTCAAACTCCTGGGCTCAAGTGATCCTCCCACCTCAGTATCCCAAAGTGCTGGGGATTACAGGCATGAGCCACCATGCCTGGCCTGGCCTAGATTAATCAAGGTCTACTGTTAGAATTGGGGACTGGGGAGAAACTTCAGGAAAGCTGTGGTTCCATTAGAAAGAAAGTGGAAGGAGGCAACCAGCAGTGTCCACTACACTATAAAATTCAAATGGGTTTACTTCTTATACAGAGACCTATGGGTTATCCATATATATAATAGGAACTTTGGTGATTTTTCTTAAAAAAGTTAAATACCAATTAAAAAGTGTTACCCAATATCCATTAAAAAGCATATGGAGTCTAAGGCAGAAAAATTGCTTGAGGCCAGGATTTCAAACCAAGCCTTGGTAACACAGCAAGACCCCCACCCCTACAAAAAATTAAAAATAAAAAAGTATATGAAAACAAATATCTCATGATTTGTGCTGGATGGAGAGGTCTGGGACTGTGGGAAGCATAGTACCTGTTCTGAAATCTACAGCTTTGTACCAACAAAACAGAAGGAACTAAAGCAACCTACTCTATAAACAAATGAATTGTTTCACCCCCTTGGCCAACAGTTACTGAGTAATCAATATGGACAAAGAACTGTGTCAAGGTGGCCGAGCGCCGTGGCTCATGCCTGTAATCCCAGCACTTTGGGAGCCGAGGCCGGTGGATCATCTGAGGTCAGGAGTTTGAGACCAGCCTGGCCAACAAGGCGAAACCCTGTCTCTACTAAAAATGCAAACAATTAGCTGGTCGTGGTGGCGGGCGCCTATAATCCCAGCTACTCGGGAGGCTGAGGCAAGAGAGTCTCTTGAACCCGGGAGGCAGAGGTTGCAGTGAGCCAAGATTGGGCCATTGCATTCCAGCCTGGGCAACAAGGCAAAACTCTGTCTCAAGAAAAAAAAAAAAAACTGTGTCAAGGGCTCTGGGAGATCCTAAGACAAGGTACAGTTCCCTCCCCCAAGAATTCTGCAGTTTAAGTCACAGACATGAATCATGTTGGGTGCAATATAAAGATAGTGGAACAGAGGGTTATGGAAGCCCAGAGGAGGGAAAGAGTCTTTCCGGACTGGTGGGTTAGAAGGAGGGTGGGGAGGAGAGGAGACCTTATCTACAGCTAGCCTTGAAAGATGGGGAGATTTTTAGTAAGTAATAATGGTAGGGGACAGAGAGGAATTGGAGAATGGGAAGATGGAAAAAATGAACATTTCCCATTGGGAAAGAGCAGGGAGGGAATATACGCATCCAGCACAAGTGGCAATGTAGGCAAGACAGGTACCCTCACTGGACTCTTACTATAGCCTCTCGTCAACATGAAGCCATAAGTAACATCAAGCAAGTATCAAAGCCACACAAGGAGGGAGTGAGACAAGGACAGTTCCTGGGAAAAGAGAAGCTTAAGCTGTCTTTGAAAAAAAATAATATTCATGGATGAGCAGGGTGGAATGGACCAGGGCAGGAGGTCAGAGGAGCGGGCACGGTTTCATGTTTACAACCCCTAAATATCAGTATCAAGGACATAAACAGTTTCTTCAATGAATAAATTGCAACAACTAACAAAGAAATGAAAGAGGAATCTGTTGATGAAAAGAGACCTAAAAGACACATCAATCTATTCCAATTTGCAAATTGTATTTGAATTCTGATTCAAACTCTAAAAATAAATATGAGATAATTTGAAGATGTTAATAAATTATAATTTTTAAGGTATTGTGGTTTTTTTAAGAATCCTTATCTTTTGGAGGTATATTTTGAAATATTTATGGATGAAATATCTGGGATTTTCTTCAAAATAATACAAGGAGTCAGGGAAAGATACGGATGAAACAGGATTGGCTAGGATTTGATCATCGTTGCAGCTGGGTGTTGAAGATCTATTTTACCCTTCGGTCTGCCTTTGTGTACGTTTGAAATTTACCGTAACAGAAAATGTAAAACAAACTACAAGAAAGTGGGCGTCGTGAGTGATGCCTGTCAGGTGAAGCCCCGCCCACTGGCTCGGGCGGCTCCGCCCCGTCCGTCTTCTCTCCCGCGCTCCGCTCTTGAAGGGTTCCAGTGTGTGGTGTTTCCAACTTTCTCATGTCCCCTCGGGAATCCATTCGTATCCCATGCCATAAGTCGCGCTGTCTATTCTTGACCAGGCCCGGCAAACTGCTCCGAGCTCCCAGGAATCACCCGCCGCCTCCGGTCGTGGCCCGCAGCAGCCCGGCTCCCCCGCCCTGGGGCGTTTGGTCGCGCCCGGCCGCCGGCCCTGGGAGCGCGTCCGCGTCGTCATGGCGACGCTCCGAGCGGGCGCCGGCGCTGGCGCCGGCCGAATCCGGCCCGGGAACCACCTCCAGGGTGAGCGGCCAGGGACCTGGGGCCCGGGTGGCCCAGGGTCGGCCGCTGGGGCGCCGCAGCCTAGCTGCTGAGGCGACCGAGCCCCGGGTGGTGTCCAGCCGCAAGTCGGCCGCGGCTTGGGTCCGAGGAGAGTCGGGCCCAGAGGGTGACCTGAGGATGGTGGGGGGAGCGGTGCGCGGGCCTGGGGCGACCCTGACCCTTAGCAGGAGTGGAATGAAAGGTCGCGGAGGGGAGGAGGCGCTTGGCCGGGGCGAGAGGGCCTGCCCGGGGTGAGAGAATGGGGCGAGGGAACGAGGGTGCGGCGGTGAGACCCGGAGCCAGGCCTACCGGGGCGGTGGGCGAGCCGGCGTGTGGGCGGCGTGGAGACCGCCTGGCTCCTGGGCCTGCCTGAAGCACAGGGGATGTGAGGCTCCGGGAGGAGACGGGCTGCAGGCTGATCCTAGGGCTGGCGTTGAAGGGCTGGAGGGAAGGGAAGCAGGTGAGGAGGGGGCCATGCAGCCTTCAGCGATGCTATGAGAGGTGGTGCGAGGGGAGGGGAGAAGAGGGGAGGGGAGGGGAGAACTTCTTTCTGAAAGTTATTGTTAAGCGCCTTCCTTCATAGATTCACTGCCTGTCGCTTGATGTTGTCCGTCTTGGGAGTCTGAAGCTATGGGTCTTCTCCAGAAAAAACAAAACCGAAAAAACACACAAAGATCCACACTAATTAACATTCCATTTCAGAGGCTTCGCCGACCAGCCCCATGGCCTGCGCAAGGGCCCCAAGTTAAGAGATTTAGTTGTGCAATATATAAGGGAATGTGAGATTTGTAAAATGTTGTTACAGGGTTATAAATTATTAACACCAAATGAGTAATAGAAGCAGTGATTGCTAAAGAATGTTAAAGTGTGTTGGGATCACTGTGAACTTCATGAAGAAAGTGGAACTTAAAATGAGTGTGTTAAGGGAAGGCAAATCGGACACAGGGTTCGACATGAATCAAGATCCACAGAGCTGGAATACCCCCATGTCTGGCACCTGGCTGGCCGTAGGTTTCACCACCTCCTCATCACCCCCTCCTCATCACCCTGTTAGCAGAGGGATGGAGGAGGGTGACTCTGAAATGCCAGTGTCCTGTAAACAGTGCCTCCAAATGTTAAAGGCTTCCATAGTCAAATATTCTAAGAAACTCATTTGGAGAAATCTCTGAAAGAAGAGTCTTATTTGGAAGTCTTATTTAACTGTTTACATCAATACTTTCCAAACTTGTTTGACTGAGAGCCTTTATTTTTCCCTTCTCGGGCCCCTGCAATGAACTCAAGAAGCATCTCAGAAGTACATTTCAGGAAAAGCTCCTGGGGAGAATCAAGGACCACAGAAGGGTTTGGAGCAATGGCATGACATTGGGTTGCAATGGGTTATGTAAGAAGATTAATGGGACAGCCATGTGTGGGAATGGAGTGGCCCGCAGAGAGGAGAGCCAGGGAGGGCATGAACCACAGTAAACCACACAGAGACGAGGTACATTTATCAAAGAAAGAGAAAAAATGTGCGTGGTTTCTCATGGATGATTATACTGCTGCTCTTTCCTCCCCAGGACATGACCTTTGGCTCTAAAAAGAAGACTCCATTTTTCATGATAAAATGGCAGTGGTGAAAACCCCCAGCAGAGGACTAAAGAATGCTAAAGAACCCTTTAATAATGCATCACCCCATCTCTTGAAGAACCTAGTGGAGGAGCCGAAAAAAAGAAAAGAAGTACCTAATCACCTCCTAGAATCAAGTAAGTGGCTAGAAGACAGATTTGCTTTACAGCTCACATCTTCCCAGGCGAGCCAAAGTCCAGAGAGCATAATGGGACTTTTAGTGCTGATTTATCTATATCATTTTATAGGCTTATACTAATTTTTATTACTAAGAACAGTAGTTCTATTTAGATCCATCTGCTTAACTGATAGGTTTTTGTGGGGTATGTAAATTAATCAAGTTCTGTTGCTTCTACTTCTTCTAATGTCTTTCCTATCTGCTCCCCTTATCTTGTTTCTCATGTTCAGCAGGCAGCTGGGACTCCTCCCCCACCACATTCTCCTCCTGTCAGTTTGCTTTCTAAAATCCTGGCTGGCTTTTATCCCTAATCTGCTCAAACTCCCAACAGTCCCCCTTGCATACAGAATAAAGTCACAATTCCTTTGCTTGGCCCCCTTCACTGTCTGATCTGAACCTGTCCACCCAGCACCATCCCCATCGCCATGCCCCACTCATTTCCAGCTCTGGCTACATGAGGTTCCTTCCTGTCCTTCGGACCACAGGCATTTTAGACCTTTTTGCCTTTTCATGTACATATCCTGTGTCTGGAAAGCCTGGGAAATCCTATAGCTATTATGGAAAAGGATAATCATTTTGCCTACATTTTTCCCATTCAATCCACACAACAATACATCATGAGGTAGGATCTATTTACGTTTTACTCTTGGAGAAGGTGAAACTCAAAGAGACCACATTATTTCCCCAACATGGCACACCTGGTAAGTGGAGAGCTGGTGTTCAGCCACCAGAGCCCTGGGTCTAGCTCTTAACATGCTTGGTTACCCACCACTCATCTTTTAAAGCCCATCTCAAATGTGAGGACATAATAGTGTATTTGGATATGCTTCTTTTGTCACTGTAGAACTTGTCAAGTGAAAATTGATATACTTGACCATTTCTGGGCATTAGAAGAAAAATGCCAGTTTTATATCTACTTCGTGGATCTAAAATAAAATCTTTCAACATTAAAAAAATCATAGAATAGGCCAGGTGCGGTGGCTCACTCCTATAATCCCAGCACTTTGGGAGGCCAAGGCGGTTGGATCATTTGAGGTCAGGAGTTTGAGACCAGCCTGAACAACATGGTGAAACCCCAACTCTACTAAAATACAAAAATTAGCTGTGTGTGGTGGCAGGCGCCTGTAATCTCAGCTACTTGGGAGGCTGAGGCAGGACAATCACTTGAACCCAGGAGGCGGAGGTTGCAGTGAGCCAAGATGGCGCCACTGCACTCCAGTCAGGGCAACAGAGCGAGACTCCCTCCCTCTCAAAAAAAGATAATCAATCAATAAAAATAAATATAAATAAATTTTAAAATTACGGAATATGGTAATTTCAGTGCTTAAAAATGACCAAATAATAACCTACAGAGATCGTCAGTTCCCCTACCACACCAGCCTTAACCCATTGTAGCTGTTCAGTTTGGCCCAAGTGGATGACAGTGACAGCTCACCTGGTGAGAAGAAAAAAACATCAAATGTTTCACACCCACTTCAGATGTATCCTAGAATTATGATGATCAAAGGGATGGGGTGAAGGTGTCTGTGCCTCATAAGATTTGGATGCAGTCAAAGTCAAATGTTATTATTTGTAAGAAGGTGGGCAGTACATTCATGAGGAAGGCAGATTACTGGTTGGAATCAGACAGACCTGGGGTTGATTTTTTTGTTTGTTTGTTTTTTGTTTTTTTGAGACGGTGTTGTTCTGTTGTCCAGGCTGGAGAGCAGTGGTACAATCACAGCTCACTGCAGTCTCAATCTTCTGGGCTCAAGTGATCCTTGCACCTCAGCCTCCCATGTAGCTGGGATCACAAGCGCACACTACCACACCCAGCTAATTTTAAAATTTTTTGCAGAGACATGGTCTCACTGTGTTGCCCAGGCTGGTCTCTAACTCCTGGGCTCAAGCGATCCTCCTGTCTCAGCCTCCCAAAATGCTGGGATTACATGTGTGAGCCACCATGCCTACCTTTTATTTTTGATTACCAGCTGTGGGCAAGTTTCTTAACCTTGCTAAGTCTTACCTCCTTCATCTGTAAAGTAGAAATAATACCTACCTCAAAGGGCTGGAGTGAGGATTATAAACAAATGTATGCATAGCACTGCCTGGCACAAAGCACTTACATAGAGTGGGTTCTCAGCACCTTCTCCAAACATCTGCTCCTGCCTAAATAAAGAGCTGGGAAAATTTTTGTAGACCTGGACACTTTTGTGAGCTCAGCCGTTTAAAAGGGACATTCACATGACACCAAAAGCAGTTTGAGACTTACTGTTCCGAGTGATAACTTTTCAGAGCTTTAAGTTTTAATATTACTCTACATCACATTGTAATTCTAATCAGAGGAAATCAAATAATAAAAGTTAAATACATAGTAATAAACTTAAGTGTGCGGTGTTTGGATACTTTGATCTGGGTATTCATTATGTAATAAGTAATCTCAGTGCTAGGCAGAGCAAAGACAGGCCATGTGCTCTTTATGAGCTGGTGATTTATGACAAAGATGTGTACAAAATGTGTGAAGAGCAAATTCTTTTACTAGGTAACAGACAATCTACCTGACTTTGTATTGTAATGATAGTATCTCCCAAGTGATGTTTAAAAATAGAGAGGGAGAAAGAGTTCAGTTTATTTAGAACAGATAATTAATCTTGTTGACAGCTGGATCCAATGTCTGCAATTTTCATATGCTTAAAATGCCCTAAATTAAAGAAAGCTATGTTAATAAGGATCAACTTTAATTTAATATTTTCTTTGATGTCTCATGATGTGCTTATCTACATTGTTTTTATAGAGGTTTATGCAAAACTTGTGAATAATAAGGTCATACAGGCAAGACCTGGCATAATACATTTTGGAGGCTATCAAGTAGAAAAACAACACCAACAGATTCTGGTAGGTACTTTTTAAATGGGATAATTAATCATCATAATGAAGTGACAAAAATGTTCTGAATTTATATTATTCACTTATCTAAAGCACAGCATAATCAGCCGTAGTGCAAGAGTAAATTGGGCCAGAAAGGTAGTTCTATGATGAGAAACTTTAAGGTTGCATCAATGTCTTGGACAAGTTACTTTCCTCTTGCCAAAGGCTCCCCTTGCACTCTTTCCAGATAGGTGTCATTGCTGAGTGACTCATAGGGGCCAGATGCTGTGCTTCATGATTTACATGATTTAATTTAATCCTTATGCTAGCTCTGTGGAGGCTGCATTATTCCTCTCATTATATATATAGATGAGGAAACAGAGACTCCAAAAGATTAAATAATTTATTCAAGGACATAGAGCTGCTTAGTGTCAGAGGCAGAATTTGGCTCCTGGGCTGCCTTTCTCCAGATCACTCTTGCTCCAGTCCTGTAGCACCAGGAAGAGGGGTGTCCCTTTCCTATGAAGCTCCAGCCAGGGCTTCCTTTTACCTGCGTGGGTCAGATGCCCATGCCTAATCAGTCACTCTGGCCAGAGAGAATCTGTCTAGGTCCAGGGAGGCAGGGGTCAGCCCCACTGAAGAACAGGCTCCTGAAGAGACAGCTGAAGGGCTGGACTGCAAAGTAGCCAAAGCCTATAGCAACTGCTGTTTAGCACAGAGCCACACTGAGGCCCAACTCTTGCTGGGTCCCCTTCATTGACCTGGATGTTGACTAGGGTGGGCTCTGCCTTACTTCAGCGTCCCACCTAAGCATCCTGTGCGTAAATGGACCTGAACAACCTCAGTGACTTCACCATGATCCCCTAGTCATGCCTGGCAGAACTTCTCAGAACTACTCCAGTTCGGCCCTAGATCCAGGCCAAACTGGCCCCATGTGTTGTTGGGGAGGGGCGGAGGTGGGCTCTTTGCACATGCGCCCTCTGAGACTCTGCCTTTGTGTGTGATGTCCCTCCTGTGGCCCTGTCTCCAGCCACCACAAGACTACTTTTAGATGTACGCATTCTTAGAAGCCGTATCTTAAGGTAGATTATTTTAAGAAAGTTCTATCACGTTCGATTGTTTAGAGTGAGGCAAAACACTGGAGGAAACTGACAAATAGTAAAGGTATCGGGAAGGAAATTTCCGTCAGGAAGACCCCAAAGAACAGAGGAGAACACAGTTTCCATGAATCCTTATACAATGAAGTGAGTAGCGAGAATAGATGAGGAGGGGAACCTGTTAGGTGCCAAGTATTTCCTCTTAGGAAAAGGATTAGGATTTGAAACTCTTATTAGGAACTTCACCCATCAACCTCCAAGGTCACATTTCTTACAACACAGCATCAAAGACCAAAGTTAATGATTCATTTTGAAGCCTACTGTTCGTGGTTATAAGGTTTGCTGTCTATGCTGTGGTAGGATAGATCTAAAATAATTATGATTCATAATTACTAATTGTTTATAAATGAAATATATGCCAAAGGCTAAGATAAAATTTTATTACTTGCTCCTTATGCTTTCTTTCTTTTCTTACTGCTTTATTGAGTGATCATTTATTACCATAAATTTACCCATTTACAGTATGTATACAATTCAATAATTTTTAGTGTATTCTCAGAGTTGTGCAACCATTGCCACAATCTAAGTTGAGAACATTTTTATCACTTGAAGAAGAAACCCCACACCCACTTTCAGTCACTCCTTATCCCCTATTCCCCTCCCACTCCCACCCTAGGCAATCACTCATCCAGTTTCTGTCTATAGATTTGCCTCTTCCTGGACATTTCATATGAACGCAATCATACAATACCAGGTCTCTTGTGACTGACTTCTTTCACTTAGCATAGTGTTTTCCAGGCTTATCCAAGTCATAGCATGTAGCAGTACTTTATCCCCTTTTATGGCTGAACAGCATTCCATTGTGTGGATAGATCACATTTGGTTTATCCACTTATCAGCTGATGGATGTTGGATTGTTTCCACATTGGGGCTATCATGAATGATGCTGCTATGAACATTCATGGGCTTGCTTTTGTGGACATATTTACCATTCCCTTGGAGATATACATAGGAGGAGCATTATTGGGTTATATGGTTTGTTAGCTTCCTGTGGCTGCCATACCACAAATTTAGGGTATTAAAGAAACAACTAACAAAGTCATAAAGACTTACTCCTGTGTTTTCTTCTAAGAGTTTTATAGTTTTAGCTTTCATATTTAGACCTATAGTTTATTTTGAGTTAATTTTTATGTATTATGTGAGGTAGGGGTTCAACTTCAATCTTTTGCATGTTCTACCATCATTTGTTGAAAGGACTATTTTTTCCCCATTGAATGGTCTTGGCCCTCTTGCTGAAAATCAATTTACTGTAAATGTAAGAGTTTATTTCTGAACCCCCGGTTCTACTCCATTGACCTGTATGCCTACACTGATGGAAGTACCACCCTTAATTACTGTAGCTTGTGGTAAATTTTGAAATCAGGAAGTGCGAGTCCTCCAGTTTTGTTCTTTTTCAAGACCATGTTGGCTATTCTGGGTTCCTTGCAATTCCAAATGAATTTTAGGATCAGCTTTTCAATTTCTGCAAGAATACTTTTGGGTTTTTGATGGGAATTGCATTGAATCTGTAGATCAATTTGGGGAATATTGCAACCTTAAGAATATTAAGTCACAATTCTTTTTTATAATAAATGTTTCGTAACTTTTGTCACTAGCCCTAGGATATTTTCCACCTGTGTGGGTTCTGAAGAGGAGGGCTCACCTTCCTTAAAATAGACTTTCCTCAGAATTACATAGTTATAATTAGCTTGCTAAGGGTCCTGTAGTTTCAAGAAATATTGACATTTTTTAAATGATGGCAACTATTAGAGTTAATAATGAACTGGTAAGTTAAAAGTTGCTATACCAAAAAAATTAACAACATAACACTTTTGGGTCACAACATAGCTTTTTAAAACTGGCCTTTTTTTTTTTTTTTTTTTTGCTTAGTATAATGTTAGTGATTCCAATAATGTTACTAAACTTAAAAATATTTCAGCCTCCTCATAATTTTAATCATATTATTGTACACTTTACTATTTATTTATTTCATAATAAATAGAAATATTTCTTTCTTTAATAAGAAATAAATAGAAATATTTCTTTCTTTAATAAGAAATAAATAGAAATATTTCTTTCTTTAATAAGAAATAAATAGAAATATTTCTTTCTTTAATAAGAAATAAATAGAAATATTTCTTTCTTTAATAAGAAATAAATAGAAATATTTCTTTCTTTAATAAGAAATAAATAGAAATATTTCTTTCTTTAATAAGAAATAAATAGAAATATTTCTTTCTTTAATAAGAAATAAATAGAAATATTTCTTTCTTTAATAAGAAATAAATAGAAATATTTCTTTCTTTAATAAGAAATAAATAGAAATATTTCTTTCTTTAATAAGAAATAAATAGAAATATTTCTTTCTTTAATAAGAAATAAATAGAAATATTTCTTTCTTTAATAAGAAATAAATAGAAATATTTCTTTCTTTAATAAGAAATAAATAGAAATATTTCTTTAATAAGAAATAAATAGAAATATTTCTTTCTTTAATAAGAAATAAATAGAAATATTTCTTTAATAAGAAATAAAGAGAAATATTTCTTTCTTTAATAAGAAATAAATAAATAGATAAGAAACAGCATATTATTTTGTTATCTCTAACGAAGTTGTACTCTCTGGTTGATGTTACCTTGTTTCTAATAGAGTTAAGGATTTTCTTCTGTTTAATTTCACCCACAGTTGGTGAGAGTCCCCATTACATGCCAAACAAAGTGTTGAAGCATTATGGGAAATGCTAAGATAAATAAAATCAAGGAGTTTTCCAAGTAGCAGAAAGTGTTTCAAAACCACCAAATAACTCAGACATGAGACCAGGCAAGCAAGGTGGCATGAGGAAGTCCAAAGAAAATGTTCTGTGGAGAAAAGGCACCGTTTCACCTCTGTAGGAGGGTGTTGGAGGCGTGTGGAGGAGAGGCCATTGGGGGTAGCCCAAAAGCCAAGTAGGAAGTGGGGAGAAGGGATTTGGGGCCCAGAGAAAGACATGCAGGGGCTTGAGTTGAGCCAACAAACGGCGTATTTGGAGGCTGGTTTGCCTGGATGGTAGGGCTTTGGAGCGGGTAATGGAGAAGGTGAGACATGTGGGTTGGGACAAGAATATCAACGTAAGGAACGTGCATGTGATTCAGAAAGCAGCAGGAAGTTAAGGAAGTATTTTTGAGCAGGGTTATGATGCATTTGAGGAAGATCAACTTAGTGGAATTTTAAAGGATAATGTGGTTCTCAACATTTTCTTTCATTAGCATCCCTTAGGGAGACATGAATGAGAGAAACTAAATACTAAGGAATAAGATTTTGTCAGGTAGGATTGAGCTTTGGAAGGTTGTAGCCATCACAATGTCTAAGATTCCTTTGTCCTCCCAAGAATCAGTTTTCACTTCCTTCCCTTGTGGGTAATTTCACCCCCACTGAGAATTCGTGGGGAGCAAGGGAGTATGGTTTAGTTATTGAAAAAGATATGAAGCCTCAGCTCGGCGTCATTCTGCTGCAGAATGGAGACCATGTCTGTCTTTCATATTGCTGCTTCCCCAGCACCTTGTGCAGTGCCTGACATGCAGAAGGCACCCAACAAGCCCTTGTGAGTGAAGGATGTGGAACTCACTTTAATGTAAGAGTTGTGAGGTTATTAGAAGAGTGGCAGAGGCTCATTAATTCCAAGTAAATACAATGTAAAGTCTAGGTGGTCATACTGCTTCGATCAGACATTAAATCAAACAAATAGATAAAAGTAAAGTGATTTCATCTTAATAACATTCTCGGAAATCTTGGGAGAGCCAGCCCCCTGTTTCCACGGCAAAGTGAAGCGGAAGCTTAAGGCAGTTACCTTGAAATTCTTGCCAAACAAGGTGGAAAATCCAACAACTGCTTTTATCTTGGTTTTGCTACAGCAAACTATGCAAATTGCCCAAGAATGGAATGACTGAATGTGTATTTAAAACCACAAATAAATTGTTCATTAACATTTCAGATCAATCCAGATCTGGCTAAAGGATCTGAAACATTTTGCTTGCATTCATGTTGAAATCAGTGTTTCAATTTACTTTAAAATTTGAAATAATGGTCCCTGGTTTTCTCAAAACCAAGACCCCTTAAATTTGTTTTTACCTTTGTGGAGTGATTTGGTCCTGGAAATTATTAAGTAAATAATCCATCAATTTTCCTTTAAGACAACCAGTGTTGCTATTGCCAGCCCAAAACAAAATTGTTAGCCTAAAAAGTCTTACCTTAAATAAATGAACAGTTTCTTCTGGCTTTGTCAAATAATATTTGTTTTTACATCAGTTTACATTAGAGACCTATTCTATTACAGCCTTAGAGACCCTGAAGATCTTGCATCTCAAAATCAGGGCCATGAATCGCATTGGCTTCTCAGTGTGTGGGGTTGGGGGAATTGAAGCCACAGTATAAACATAGTACGTCTTTCTAGAGCATCAATTTTACTCTTGCATTTTGGAGAAATGCAATATAGAGCAAAATTTTAGAGTAAATGCATGACCAAGATGCATTTTAAAATAAAACGCTTTAAAGAACTTATAAGGCTGCTTGAATTTGTCCTTGGATCCCTTATGTTAAGTATGAACCTTCTTTGAGAAGCTGTGTCACTGAACTTGCAGGCCAAAGTGTTGTGTTTGAAGGTTGTGTTTGAAGGGTCGGGACCCACTCCAAGCCAAGACTTCACTGGAGGGCAGGTTCTGCCATTCCCTCTAGAAGGAGGAGAATAGACTCCCCCAAGGAGACACAGAAGGGAGCCTGAAGCAGCATGGGATTGGGGGTGAAGAGAGCTGTGAGCCCTCTTGGGGAAATTCCTACAAATCCTGAGTAATGGCTGTTAAACTTATGACTATTTTATGTGTGGTTGATGGTTTTTGTGGGGTTTTTGTGGAGTGGGAAGCGGTTCTGAAAAACTCTAGAAGGGGCTGAATTTCACTTTGGAGTAAATATGGTGCCCTGTGGAGACAGCACCAAGGAAACAGGGACCCCCAGGCCAGCAGAAGGTCAGCTCCCAGGGGAACAGAGATTCCGGAGGGACTAGGAGTTCTACTGACCAAAAATTGAAACACAGGGTAGGATTTTAGGCAATTTTATGTTGCCTAAGGGTAACGCTGGATTACTTGTGTTTTGTTATGTTTTCAAATAAACTCTTCATATTAATTTAACATACACTTTCTAAGCACTTTATTCATTTTCCCAAGGTTTGTTTTTCCTTTGAATGATTATTATTTTCCCCAGTTTTAGTTATAAATGGAAAGGCAGGACTGCCATTTTATCCCTGAAGGGATATTATTTATAACGATCTAAAAATAAAGCTGATCTGCTGATAAAGTATTAAAAAAAAGACAGGAAATGCAGGCTGGGCACTGAGATGTGCTGAGCCATGAGACGGTAGGATGTAGTGGAAAGAGCCCTAGCCCAGAGCTGGAGACCAGGTTCTAGGTCCAGGTCTTGCACTCACCCTGTGGCATGGACAGTACCAGGTCACTGTGTCTTCATGAAATAAGGACATTGCACAAAATGGCCTCTGCAGTCTTCCTGGGCTCAGACAAATCTTTGAGAGGACAAAGAACATGGATGATTATGGGAAGCAATGAGTATTTGCAACCAAAAATTGAGAACTGCAAAATTAATAAAATCTTCCTATTTTGGAAGTCAGGCTTTTGGATGTTGACTTTGTTTTCTAAAGTGTAGAAAATAAGCTGTTCATTTTTGCTATAATTTGTCATGTTTTGTTGTTGTTTTAAGTTCACTGAAAAAGCTCATTGGCACGATGTCCCCTGGAATTGTCTTAGACATTATTTGGTTGAAATATCCCTGCCCGCACCATCACTATGTCTGCTGACTGCCTTCTCTGCCATCCACCACGTGGATCACAGCTCACTGCTGCCTCAAACTCCTGGGCTCAAGTGATCCTCCCACCTCCGCCTCCCAAGTAGCTGGGACTACAGGTGTGAGCCACTGCACCCAGCTGTCCAGGCCTTCAGTCTCCACTAGTCTCCATTTCACTTCAGATCTTAAGCAGAAGCTGAACGTTTTCTTCCTGTTTCTGAGCTCCTATTAACTAAATATCTACAGTTTTGTTTGAGTCTGTTGTTTCTTATTTCTCTGTTGATCCAAATGAACAATTCCAGTTCAAGAATCTTTTAAAGGTGGACATGGGAAACTATAGTCAAATAATGTATCTTTTATTATCACAAATTGGATCTATGTTGTTTTATTCTCTAAGAAAATCATCTAGTATTTTCTTATTGCTAAATTTTTTTTCTTTTTTTTTTTTTTGAGACAGAGTTTCACTCTTGTCACCCAGGTTGGAGTGCAATGGCGCGATCTCAGCTCACTGCAACCTCCACCTCCCAGTTCAAGCGATTCTCCTGCCTCAGCCTCCCGAGTAGCTGGGATTACAGGCTCCCACCACCACGCCCAGCTATTTTTGTATTATTAGTAGAGATGGAGTTTTACCATGTTGGCCAGACTGGTCTCAAACTCCTGACCTCAGGTGATCCACCTGCCTTGACCTCCCAAAGTGCTGGGATTACAGGTGTGAGCCACTGTGCCCAGCCCTCCTATTGCAAATTTTTTACTCACTTGACAATATAGATATTATGTCATGAATTCTAGCATGCCCCCTTCATGTTCAAATGGGTAGTGGGTAGATTTGGATTTGCTGTGACATACTCATGTTGGAGGAAAGGTCAAGTCTCTTTATTTGTCCATAGGTGCTGGCTGGATCTCCAGTCTTGGGAGTTTAGGTTCCTGTCTTCCTTGGGACCATTCAGGAATACTGGAAAAATGGAGCGAACCCAGCAGCTTTGAGGACAGATCTCTGTTCTGGTCTTCTGCCCATAATGTCGCTTGTTGGAAACTGATTTAAGCCAGTGAGCTTATTTCTAATTGTCAGGCAGATATTGAGAGTCTGACCCTGACAGCATGTGGGAGTCATAGGTCCACTCCTCAGCAGCCTTGCTACAGGTGGTCGGCTGCAGCGAACAGGTCTGAGAAGACACTCTGCAACACATATGAACACTTACTAGCAAGCAGGCAAAAAGATCATTGTGTTTGTAATCTCACGAAGTCCCAGCTGCAGTTCCTAGTGGGGAGGCTTTGATGGCCGCAGGTATGACAACTGGCTGACCGAATACTTTAGTAAAGTGCAGAGCATGGGGGACTAAGGGAGTCTGGGGCCCTTGAATGTCATTCTAAAGGATATTGGTCTTTTGCACTCACCAGATTGTCATACCCCTTTTGTTTGAGAGTGGAAATGCCTGGATAATATTTCTAGTTAATCCATAGATTCTGAGTATCCTTTCTGCTACTATAGAAGACTCTCCAGAATGGATTTAGGTGGCATAATTGAAACACTCTGATGGCTGCCTGTGGAGTGTAGATGCTGGGTTAGGATCCTTCAGTGCTCACAAAGCACTCCTAGAAGCCAGGCACGGTGGCTTACGCCTGTAATCCCAGCACTTTGGGAGTCCGAGGTGGGTGGATCATGAGGTCAGGAGTTCGAGACCAGCCTGACCAACATGGTGAAACCCCATCTGTCTCTACTAAAAATACAAAAGTTAGCTGGGCCAGGAGAATCACTTGAACCTGGGAGGCAGAGGCTGCAGTGAGCGAAGATCGCGCCACTGCACTCCAGCCTGGGCAACAGAGCAAGACTCCGTCTCAAAAAAAAAAAAAAAAAAAGCACCCCTAGAGTGCAGATTGCTGATTTCCTCTAAGCTTAACCACTCCCAGGGTACATATTAAAACCAGCTTATGCACCCTTGTTTGTTGCAGTGTTCTTACTGAATTATTTTTAAGTAATAACAGATGATAGAACCACTTCCACTTCCAGCTCTTCCTGGACTCCAGCTTGAGGACTTCACAGCCCTCCCCCAATGAGAAGCATGGGGACAAAGCTCTTTGTTAAGATTCCAGGCCTGGGGCTGAGTGGCCCCTCTCCATCCTCAGGCGGGCCCTGTCATCCCAGGACTCTGAGTGTGATGGACTCAGCAAACCTCTCCTCCCAGTCTCTCTCAAAAGGGCTGCTCTCATGGGTCTGGCCCCTGGGAACTCATATCTTCACCAAGACTGCCCATGTGCAGGGCCCCTTGGAGGCCAAGAGAAGCCTGGGAAACTTTTTGTTTGGGCTTTTAACAAGTTTCGTAAGAAAGGGAAGATACACCAAAACAGGGTCACAAAAATTGTAGTGCTTTAAGAATGTTCACATGTAATAAATAAGAACTTTTTAAACACATGCATGACCAGACACAGTGGCTTACACCTGTAATCCCAGCACTTTCAGAGGCCAACGTGAGAAGACCCTTTGAGCCCAGGAGTTCGAGACCAGCCTGGACAACATAATGAGACCCCATCTCTACAAAAAATAAAAAATAAAAATTAGCTGGGCATGGTGGTGCATGCCTATAATCCCAGCTACTCAGGAGCAAATGCAGGAGGTTTGCTTGAACGCAGGAGTTCGAGGCTTCAGTGAGCTATGATTGTGCCACTGCACTGCAGCCCGAGCAACACAGAAAGACCCTGTCTCAAAAATAAAAAACAAAAAACCAACAACAACAACAAAAAAACACAGGCAAACACAGTGTACCCTCATCAGGAGAGAATGTCTAAAGTCTAATTTAGGGCATTGAAGAATGTCAGTCCTCAAGCAATGGGACTTCCAAGCCCCTGGGACAGACCCAGCGTCTGGCCTAGACTTCAGAAACCAAAGGTCTCTTAACCTTCTCCTGGCCCAGGCAAAGCCCAGATCCCCAGAATTCAAAATTCTTGTGTCCCTTTCAAACGAAGGAAGGAAAAACACCTTTCCTCAGAGACCCAGCTGACATATCCACCAGATGATCCTGCCTCACAGGGATGGCCTTCTCCTGTCACTGTCAGAGAATTCCCACCCTCAACTTCCTTTTCATCTGCCCAGGCGTGGATTGGAGGCTGTCTTAGTCACGTTCTTTTTCCTGACTTTCTGATGGTCTCAGTGTCCTCTGGGCCCCTAAACCAGTGGCATGTAATTAGAGAACCTTTAGGAATTGGTGCCTGACTTAGCTCGATTGAATCGCAGGACTAAATTGAATTAAACAAAAAGCACTTGCAGTAACATTCAGGACTGTGGGGAGGGGGCCCTAAAGGATGCTAAGTCTCGGGCTGGGGTGGGAGGGTACTGCAGGTATTGTTCCTAAGGGGGAAAGTGGGGACATGGGGCACGTTTTATAATTCTTGAAATGGTGTGTGTTATGTTTATTATTTTTTAAATGGTGTATGATGTATTTCAAATATTTTGAAAAGTTAAATATAGGATATCTCCTCAAATTCTTTTAGGAACAGATGAAGTCTACATAAATGAGGTGAGTATGCAAATAAAGCCGTGTATTTCCTCTAAATACTTCTTTTTCTCTCCCAGCATCTGGTCAATGTTTCCAATGAAGACACACGTGTTCATATTTTACCCCCGCAAACCAAATACTTTGAGATCAATTATGTAAGAAAGGTAAGCGTCATTGGTTTACCTGTTCTCCCACGGTGTGGTTGTCTGCGTCTCAGGCCTGTGTGGGGTGGGGGGTGTGTGGTGTGTTGTCACCCCCGGTGCTGCTCTCTGTGCAGTCCGGGGCTTGTCCCAACAAGATGCCACCTGTCTTCCAGGAACACCACCTGGTCCCTGGCTTGTCCCTCACGGTCACCGTTACATTTTCTCCAGATGAGTGGCGATACTATTATGACTGCATCCGTGTTCACTGTAAGGTAGGTCTCTTAAAATTGCTTTTTTTTTTTTTTTTTTTTGATGGTGGGTTAAAACTTACATTCTCAATGGTGGCAGAAAGAGAGGTGGAATGACCACTGAGAGCTTTCTTGGCCCAGTACCGGGTGTTCCCCAGGTCACCAGTGTGACTGGCGTGCAAAGCTTGTTGCCCAGTGACATGGCCCAAGATGGGAAAGTGTTAGGCTGCAGAGGACCTGGACAGAGTCAGGAGACGCGGTTTGCTGCAGGCTTCCCACTGCCCTGTGCCTAAAGCTTCATCTATCATGTGGTGCTGGCAGTTGCCGAAGCCTTTTCAAATAACTTCAACATACTCCCTTAAATGCTAGGTTGAAAAATTTACAACCATCCAAGTTATGATTATAAACACCAGCCACTGGCCTATGCCTGGGAATGTCTGCAGAGGCAGCCCTGGTGCAGGGGATGGGGGTGGTTCCGGGAGGTGGGGACTGTTTGAGTTCTTCTGAGCCTTTCCTAGGTCACCTAATTCATCCTTTGGCCTCCAGCCAGAGCTGCCGTCATTCCTTCTCTTAAAACTGTCCCCTCTGCCCCTCCCTTTGCTCTATAGTCCAGACCCCAGTCTTCAGCTTGAGAAGCCATTAGGTTAGCTAAATTATTGATGTTTCAAAACCAAAACAGAAGAGTATACATTAGTAACAAATGAGTTTCTACTTTTTTTCTTTTCAGGCAAATTTCCTACAATCTGCACAATAAGGTGACTTGCCGTGAAAGCATTTCACTTTTTCTTTCCAAAAAAGTTATAAAAATTTGCAAAGTTAACTTTTATAAATTGATAGTGTTGTCTCTGACTCACTTCGTCATATTAGAGATGCATTTCCATAGGGGGAGGGAAAGAATCTTAGACCCAACATACCCACAATAGTATTTTAGATCAAGAAGCACATTTCCTTAAGAATATGATAGACCATTATTATTTTTTTGGAGTTTCAATTAAAAAAAAAATGGCCAGGCGCGATGGCTCATGTGTGTAATCCCTGCACTTTGGGAGGCCGAGGTGGGTGGATCACCTGAGGTCAGGAGTTTGAGACTAGCCTGGCCAACATGGTGAAACCCCATCTCTACTAAAAATACAAAAAATTAGCCAGGCCTAGTGGCATGCACCTGTAGTCCCAGCTACTCGGGAGGCTGAGGCAGGAGAATCACTTGAACTCAGGAGGTGGAGGTTGCGGTGAGCCAAGGTTGCACCACTGCACTCCAGCCTGGGCAACAAAGCGAGACTCCATCTCAAAAAAAAATAAAAAAATAAAAACAAAACCAGAATATTGCTTTCAGATGGAATATTCTGTGCTGAACAGAAGAAGAATGCCTAGAACAGGCATTGTATAAAATGCCAGGACACATTTCCTGTTACTACCAAATAATGCTAATAATAATACCTCACTTTTATGCAGTACTTTTGACATTTTAATGCCATCATCTGCTTTAATTCTTAAAAATGCCTTTAAGGAAAAATATGATTATCTCCATTTTGCAAAGAAAGAAACTATGCCTGGAGAGGTTAAAAGTCCTTCTGAAGGTTAACGTCATATGAGACAAGAAGCAAGTTTCTGTGCCCTCTTGCCAATACATTGTTTTCTATTCTGTGCTGTCTGGATCAGATGATTCTGTGCTGGTTTCTCTTTTTCTTGGGCCACTAAAGACTGTGTTTCTTTATAATTTTCTGAAATAGAAGCAGATAGATTACTGTCTTCATATCTCTATGAGGCGTCATTATCTTTAGCTTCCTTGGATAATAGCGAACATCATTTCAATAAAGAGTACTTAAAATTTTCTACGCTTTGTTTATGGCTAAGAAAACTCAGTATGTCTAATGTTGTAGTTAAGCGCTGAAGTTTCTTAAGGAAATATTTTTTAACGATGGAAACAAGATAAGAAATAAAGCATCTACAAGTTTGTCTAAAAGTTGTAGTCTTCAGAATGTTAAACTTGACTTTTTCTGGTTAATTTTAGGGAGATGACACTTTGCTTGTTCCTATTCATGCCTATCCAGTCATGAACTCACTAGACTTTCCTTCATTTATAAATCTGTCAAATGTTCTACTTGGTGAAAGGTGAGTTACCAAAATGTCAACAAAATGTATAGGATGTGAAAAACTAAGAGATACTCATACAAAACCTTAGACTTTTGTTTTTCCTAATGGAAGTTCATCCTTCCACCTGAAATAGACTGGACTTGTCATTGTAAAAGGCAAAAAAAAAAAAAGCAAAAGCAAAAACCAAACATGCGTCAAAAGATCATAAGCAAGAAAGGGAATTTATTGGGTCAATTAACTGAAAGGTGCAGTCCGGGTGGATCTTCAGGTGCCTCTGGATCTAGGGATTTAAATCCGGTTGCAGGAGCCTGACTCTCCCCATATCTTAGTTCCACCATCTTGCGCTTCATTCTCAACAGGTCCCCTTCATGGGGGCAAGACAGCCTCCAGTAGCTCCAGACATTAGCCTGGGGATGAGGTGATTGGAGAGGGTGGAGGGGTTGGGGGCATTCAAGCAAAACCCCAGGACTGAGGCTTATCAGACCTCATATACCCATCCATTAACCAATCTGTTTTGGAGACAAAGGCAAAGACAACAGAATTTCACTATAGGAGCCAATGCTCAGATTCTCTCCTTTTTTTGGTGAATGATTCCAATGTAATTTAAGGAATGTCTTGTTCTTTCAGTATATACTAAAAGTCTGTCCCTAGATGGATATTGAGCTGTTAGATATTGATATATAGTTGCCCTTCAATATCCATAGAGGATTGATTGGTTCCAGGACCCCCCACAGGGTCCATGGATGCTCTAATCCCTTATGTCAAATGGCATAGAGTGGGCCTGGTGGCTCACGCTTGTAATCCCAACACTGTAGGAGGCCGAGGCAGAGGATGGCTTGAGCCCAGGACTTTGAGACCAGCCTGAACAACAAAAAAGACCCCATCTCTACAAAATAAAAATTTAGAAGTTAGCCAGGTATGGTGATGTGTGCCTGTAGTCCCAGCTACTTGGTAGGCTGAGGCAGGAGGATTGCTAGAGCCGAGGAGTTTGAGGCTGCAATGGGCTGTGATCACACCACTACACTCCAGCCTGGGTGACAGAGTGAGATCCTGTCTCTAAAATATAAAAAATAAAATGGCATAGTATTTACATATAACCTATGCACATTCTCCTGTGTACTTCAAATCATCTCTAGATTACTTATAATGCTAATACAATGTAAACACTATGTAAATAGTTGTCATACTGTATAGTTTAGGTAATAATGACAAGGCAAAAAGTCTATACATGTTCAGTACAGAGATAGCCATCCATTGCTTTTTCATATATTTTTGATCTGTGGTTGGTTAAATCCATGGATATGGAACCCTCAAATGCAGAGGGCCTAGTGTATAATGGCCATGCCAGTTGTTAAAATATTTAAATACTTCTGTACTGGTTGGAAAATATATACTGTCCTGAGTCCCCTATCCCTCCACCCCACCTACCTGGACTCTCCCCTGCCCCCACCTGCCTCCTCCCCATTGATGCAGCAACTAAGGGGTTAATACCTAGCAATTTAGGAGTGGAGGAGGACATCTGCAGGACCTGGTTCCAGCTTTATACAGTATTCACTCTGATTGATTGCTGTCTGTGAAGTGCTGATGGGTTGATATTTTGAATATCACTCATGGTGAAAAGAAGACTAAATAAAGGCTCCAGTTCTGGAGGCCTCAGAGTCTAATGGGGATAGGACCATGTCATCAATTAATCACTCCAGTTGCTAAGAACAACTCATACAGGAGGTGACAGCTGGGTTATCCTCCAAGGATGCCATGGGCTGGGGACAAGAGGATGGCACCGCAGGCAGAGAAAGAGCCTCTGCAAAGGCGTGATGGCAGCAGAGAGCATGGACTCCATCTTGCAGGTGATGAATGGCCACTGGGAGATTTTAATCCACTCAGTAGCTGGTAAATGCCAGATCCCTCTAGATATAGGGCCAGCAGGTAGATAAAGACTGTGGGCTTCAGCAGGCTTATGGAGGGGGAAGCAAGGCCTAAAGAGCCTGCAGGCAGCACTGAGCAGGGGACTGTAAGCTGCTGATGACCGGGTGGATCAAGTTAGAAAGAGCAGCCACAGAACCCTTTTAGTGGTGGTAGAGGCTTATGGACCGTGCATATGAGCTTTGAGGTCCTTCTTTTTCAGTACAACCTGCTGTCCTTGAATGGAACTCCAAAGTTTAGATCTGGAACAATTTCCTTGGTTCAGCTGTTGCGTTGCCCTCCTCTCTGCCCCCTCCAGAGTGAGACAGTAAGCTTCTCACTCACTCTCTCTGCTTACTTTTGTTTTTAAAAAGCTCTTTAAAAATTGTAAAATAAATAATACATATAAAATAATCTATAATAATTTGCACAGTTTGAATAATAATAATAACAATGAATACTGGTTTTAAGGCATGAAATATGACCATTACCTTTGCAATCACTCTTCTGAATCTTGTAATAACCATTCCCTGGGTTTACTTTAGTAGTTTTGATGCATGCACATGCACCCCTAAATCATACATTGTTTAGCTTTGCCAGTTTTTGATCTTTACATAGATGGAATCCTACCGTGTAAGTTCTTTTGTAACCTGCGTTTTTCATTCAACATTATGTTTTTGCGGTTCAGCCACATTATTATACACAGTTGTAGCTCACTGCTATATACTGTCCACTGTATGAATTCACCACAGTTTTTTATCCACTCCACTGCTGATGGACCGATGGGTAGTTTCCACTATTTTGTTTTGTTTTGTTTTGTTTTTGCTATGCTGAACATTGCTGGCATATATCCTTGTAAAGTACATGGCTCCTGTACACATGTTCTAGAGCTTCTCCAGGGTATATACCTAAATGGGGAATTGCAGGTCACAGCACAGATTGGGTTACTATGTAATGGCTGTCTGTTTTCTAAAATGGTTGTAGGCCTTTACACACCCACCTGCAGTGTGTGAGGATTTCTGTTTCTCCTACATTGTTGCTAACAATGGGAACTATCAGACTTCTGCATTTTTGGTGACTTTTACATTCTTAGCCCCGTGCTCTTCCATTCTCTCTTTATTTTTCCCAAAAAGTTCTGCAAGAACTCCACCACAGTACTTCCTCCTTCCCACTCACCAACCCTTCCTGTGTTCGCTCACTCCTCCTCAGTATTAAATGGTCTGTGCAGGGACCCCAAGAGTTTAAAAAGGTGAATCCTTCCTTGCAGGGTCCACTCACTCTCTGAATTTTGAGAACAGATATTTCCTTTGAGTGGGCAAATATAGCAATTTTTATCAAAGTTGAAGTGGCAGAAAACAACTAACTCCCTAGTTCATTAATTCTTTTTTATTTTCTTCTTTTTTCCCCTCTATAAATTACTTTTTGTTTGGATCATAAGCCAGGCTTATGAGTTGAGAACAATGATTTATAAAACTGGTGAAAATAATATGCCTAATAATGCAGACATCATCCTTGGGCTCTTAATACAAAAATGTACCAACCTCCCTAGAGGCTGTTCCCAAGCTACTTTGTATATAACACCATTCATTTGTAACCAGAATGAAAATTTCAGCTAAACAGTTTATTTAACTGTGTTATTGTATATAATGATGTGATATTTTTAAAAAATCTTTCAAAAGATAAGCATGCTACTGTTTTCCTCCAGACATTCTGGCAGCAGGCATAGCCTTCCAAGACTTCATACCCTTAACGTAATGGCTTATAATCAACTTTTAACTACTCAAACTGTCCTATGCTACATTCAATCCAAAATGTGTGGTAACAGGACAGGGGGTGACTACTAGAACACGTTTTCAGCTAAAGTGTTTTCTATTAATCCTAGGCTACCCTGGGGTTGAAGGTATCATTTGGGTGGGCTGTTTATTCAGTATTCATTCAGTCGGTTAACAAACCTTTATTGAATGCCTTCCATGTGCCAGGCACAGTGTTAGGTTCTGAGGATGCAGAGATGATCAAGACCTGGTACCATGACTAAATAGACAGTTTCCATTCCTAATTCAGTGTATGCTGAAAAGGGATGACCCGGCTTGGTTGAGGTCAGTTGGGGGCAGGTAGGATGAGGAGCTCAGGCACCACTTCCAGGAGGAGGACATGCCTGAGCTGAGTTTGGAAATTTGACTAGAAATGAGCCAGCAAAAGGAGGGTGTGGAGTAGAAAAGAAGAGGGGGTGTCCCAGGAATCGTCATCTGTAGAAAATATTAAAGCAATCAACTCTACTAAAAGTGAGTCGGCTTTTGCATGTTACCATGCACTAACAATTCTGAATATTGCCAGTGATAAAAATACTCCTCCTGCAAGGGTGGACTTGCTCCCGACCACCGCCTCTGATGCATGAGAAGCTATCTCCTTAAATGCCAGTCTCACCTTTGGTCTCCTAGCTTGCCACTCTCATTTTTGTTCGTGTCACAGCACTTTGTTTCCTGTGAGAGCCATCGAGCTATCCTACTCTGTGCTGACTGCAGTCCAGCCTTGCTCCTTCTCTGCCTTAGCATGAGTACCCCCCCAGCTCCTACAGACATGAGCAGCCTCAACGTGGCTCCATTCCTTTCTGCAGGGGCAGTTTGTCATTGGATTATGGGCCTAGAAATGTGCACCTCTGAGTGCTGCCTCTTGGCCCGTGTCCCAGCTACCTGGCAGCTTCTGAGCCCTACCTCACTGGTCTTTCCTACCCGCACACCCCACTCAGAGGCAACTCCTGGGTCAGTGCCTCTTTTGGCTTAACCGTCTACTTGTCATGATGTCTTTCAGAGATGGGACTTCTGACCGTGCTTGCAGGGTTTTTTTTTTCCTTCTAAGTTTTAGATTTTATTTTTATTGTATTGTATCAAAATATATGTAGCATAAAATTTACCATCTTAACCATTTTTATGACTATTTATCTTACCATAATAGGGCCTGGAGATTTTTGAAGACTTTATATTCTTATAGCAGTTTTTAATTCATAGCAAAATTGAAAGGAATGTACAGAGATTTCCCATATCTCCCTGCCCCATGCATGCAGAGCTTCTCCTTATCAACAACCCCCACCCAAGTGCCGTATTTGTTACAATCAATGAACCTACATTGACACATCATTATCACCCAAAGTCCATAGTTTAGGGTTCACTCTTGGTGCTGTATAGCCTGTGGGTCTGGACAAATGTGTGGCATATGTCCACCATTGTAGTATCATACAGAGTATTTTCACTGCTCTAAAAATCCCATGCTTCTATTCATTCCTCCTCCAACCCCCACAACCACTGGCAACCACTGTTTATTTTTTTTACTGTCACCATAGTTTTTCAGAATGTCATATAGTTGGAATCATATAGTATTTAGTCTTTTTCTGATTGGGTGCTTTCACTTAAAATATGCATTTAAGTTTCCTCCATATCTTTTCAGGGCTTGGTAGCTGATTTATTTTCAGTGCTGTATAATATTCCATAGTATAGATGTACTACAGTTTACTTATTCATCCACCTACTGAATGGCATCTTGGCAGCTTCTAAGTTTTGGTAATTATGAATAAAACTGCATTAAACATCCATATGCAGGTTTTTGTGTGGATGTAAGTTTTCAATTCCTTTGGGTAGATACCAAAGAACATGATTATTGGATTGTATGGTAAGAGTATGTTTAGTTTTAAAAGAAACTACCAAACTATCTTCCAAAATGTCTACAGTGATCTACTCTGATGATTTCCTTTAATTGGTGCAGTTAGACTACTGATGTTCACAGTGATTACTGATATAGTTCTATTAATATCTAGCATATTTGTTAGTTTTGTAATTGTTGCCCTTGTACTTTGGTTCTCTTTTTATCTTCCACTATTTATCTTCCTGTGGTTTTAACCATGTATTTTATGTGATTCCATTTTCTCTCTTTTCTTTTAGCATACCAGTTATATTTCTTTGTTTCCTTTTTTTAGTGGTTGCCCTAGAGTTTGCAAAATGTATTTACAACTAATCCAAGCCACTTTCAAATAACACTGTACTGCTTCACAGATAGTTTGAGTACCTTAAGATAGCAAAATAATCCTAATTTCTTCCTCTCCTCTCATGTATAACTGCTGTCACTCATTTCACTTATATATAAGTATACATTAGCATTATGTATACACATATCTGTGACTATTTGAACGTATAAGATATATACATAAGAACACATAATTGAAGTCATTGTTGCTATTATCCTGAACAAACTGTTAGCTGTTAGATCAATTAAAAATAAAAAATAAAAGTTTTAATTTTACCTTCATTTTTTCCTTCTTCAGTGTTCTTCCTTTATTTTTATTTTTATTTTTATTTTAAGTTCTGGGATACATGTGCAGGATGTGCAGGTTTGTTACATAGGTAAATGTGTGCCATGGTGGTTTGCTGTACCTAACAACCCATCACCTAGGTATTAAGCCCAGCATGCATTAGCTATTTTTCCTAATGCTCTCCCTCCCCGTGCCCCCCACCTCCCGACAGGCCCCAGTGTGTGTTGTTCCCCTCCCTGTGTCCATGTGTTTTCATTGTTCAGTTCCCACTTATATGTGAGAACATGCAGTGTTTGATTTTCTGTTCCTGTGTTAGTTGGCTGAGGATAATGGCTTCCAGATCCATCCATGTTCCTGCAAAGGACATTATTTCATTCCTTTTTATGGCTGGATAGTATTCCATGGTGTATACGTACCACATTGTCTTTATCCAGCCTATCATTGATGGGCATTTGGGTTGATTCCATGTCTTCGTTATTGTGAATAGTGCTGCAACGATTGTTCTTTCTTTATGTAAGTTCAAGTTTTGACCCATATTATATTAATTTTCTCTAAAGAACTTCTTTTAACGTTTCTCGCAAGGCAGGTCCACTGGCAACAAATTCCCTTGGTCATTTTTGTCCGAGAAAGTTTTTATTTCCCCTTCACTTTTGAAGGATAATTTCACAGGGCACAGAATTCTGAGTCGGTGGTTTTTTTTCCTCTCAACACTTTAAATATTTCACTCCACTCTCTTCTTGCTTCCATGGTTTCTGAGGATAAGTCTGATGTAATTCTTATCTTTGTTTCTCTACTGGGAAATTTTTTTTTCCCTCTGACTTCTTTCAATTTATTTATTTATTTATTTATTTTTGAGATGGAGTCTCGCTCTGTCACCCAGGCTGGAGTGCAGTGGCACAATCTCGGCTCATTGCAACCTCTGTCTCCTGGGTTCACACCATTCTCCTGCCTCAGGGACTACAGGCACCCACCACCACACCCAGCTAATTTTTTGTATTTTTAGTAGAGATGGGGTTTCACCGTGTTAGCCAGGATGGCCTTGATCTCCTGACCTTGTGATCCACCCACCTCGACCTCCCAAAGTGCTGGGATTACAGATGTGAGCCACCGCACCGGCCTTCTTTCAATATTTTTTTTTCTCTCTGGTTCTCTGTAGTTTGAAGACAGTATGCCTAAGTGTAGGGTTTTTTGCCTTTTTTTCTTTTCTTTTGCATTTATCCTCAGTGGTTTGATGTCTGACATTCATTTATGGAAATTATTAGGCATTGTTTTAAATATTTCTTCTATTTTTTTTCTTTCTTCTCCATCTGGCATTCCCATTACATGTATAATATACCTTTTGTAGTTGTCCCACAGTTTTTGGATATTCTGTTTTTGTTTTTGTTTTTCAGTCTTTTTTCCTCTTTATTTTTCTGTTTTAGAAGTTTCTATTGATATATCCTCAAGCTCAGAGATTCTCTCCTTAGCTGTGTCCAACCTGCTAATAAGCCTATCAAAGGCATTCTTCATTTCTGTTATTATGTTTTTGATCACTAGAATTTCTTTTTGGTTCTTCTTTAGGATTTCCATCTCTCTGCTTACACTTCCCATTTTTTCTTGCATGCTGTCTACTTATCCATAGAGCCCTTAGCATATTAATTATAGTTGTTTTAAATTCCCTGTCTGATAATTTTAGCATTTCTGCCATTTCTGGTTCTGATGCTTCCTTTGTCTCTTCAAACTGTTTTTTGCCTTTTAGTATGTCTTGTAATTTTTCCTTGATAGCCAGACATCATGTACTGGGTAAAAGGAACTGCTGTAAGCAGACTTTTATAATGTGTTGGTAAAGTCACAGCAGGAGGGTATTCTACAATCCTGTGATTAAGTCTCAGTCTCTTAGTGAGCCTGTGCCTCTGGACTGTGAACTTCACAAGTACTTCTTAGTTGTCCCTCACCTGCTTAGGTGAGACAGAATGGCTAGTGGGCTGGAGCTAAGTCTTTTCATTCTCCCATGTGAAGACTAGAGCTAGCTAGAACTGGGTATTTCTCTTTCTGATTTCACAGCATGAACAAAGACACACTTATACTTTCCAAAAAAGTCTTATTCAGGTATAATTCACATATGATAAAATTTGCTAATTTAAAATGTACGATTCACTCTTTTTTAGTATATGCAACTATCACCACATGCAAGTTTAGAACATTTTTATAACCCCCCCAAAAAAACCCATACCAACACCTATATCCCACTCTCAAACTTTCCAGCCTCAGCCAAAGCTGATTTTACTTTCCATCTCTATAAATTTGCCTGTTCTGGACATTTTATATAAATGGAACCATACAACATGAGGTCTAGTGTGACTGATTTCTTTCACTTTGCAATCATGTTTTCAAAGGCCATCAACTTGTAGCTTATCCAACTCAAATCACTACTTCATTCTTTTTCATTGCTGAATAACATTTCATTTAATGGATATAACACATTTTATTTATCCATTCATCAGTTGATAAACATATGGGTTGTTTCTACTTTGGGGCAATTATGAATAATGGTGCTATGAACATTTGTGTATATGTTTTTATAAGGATACATATTTTCATTTCTCTTGGTAAATACCTAGAAGTGGAATTGTTAGGTCATATGGTAAATCTATGTTTAATATTTTAAGAACTGCCAGACTGTTTTGCAAAGTGGCTGTACCATTTACATTTCCACCAGCAATGTATGAAGGTGGATCTCTTGAGCTCAGGAGTTCAAGACCAGCCTGGCCAACATGGTGAAATCCCATCTCCACCAAAAAATACAAAAAAGTTAGCTAGGTGTGGTTACACCGTTAAATTAGTATAACAACCCCCTTTTTTTTTTTTTTTTTTTTTTTTGAGCTGGAGTTTCACTCTTGTCACCCAGGCTAGAGTGCAGTGGTGCAATCTCGGCTCACTCAACCTCCGCCTCCCGGGTTCAAGTAATTGTCTTGCCTCAGTCTCCCAAGTAGCTGGGACTACAGGTGTGCGACACCACACTCAACTAATTTTTGTATTTTTAGTAGAGACGGGGTTTCGCCCTGTTGGTCAGTCTGGTCTCGAATTCCTGACCTCAGGTGATCCACCCACCTCCGCCTCCCAGAGTGCTGGCATTACAGGCATGAGCCACCACGCCCGGCCAACAACCACTTTTTTTTTCAAGCTTTTTTTCTTGAGACAGAGTTTCACTCTGTCACCCAGGCTAGAGGGCAGTGTCAGGATCTCGGCTCACTGCAACCTCTGCCTTTCAGGCTCAAACAATCCTCCCACCTCAGCCTCCTGAGTAGCTTGGACCACAGACATGCACCACCACACCTAGCTAACTTTTTTGTATTTTTTGGTGGAGATGGGATTTCACCATGTTGGCCAGGCTGGTCTTGAACTCCTGAGCTCAAGAGATCCACCTGTCTTGGCCTCCCAAAGTGCTGGGATTACAGGCGTGAGCCACCACACCCAGCCTAACAACTACTTCACAGCTAAAAAAGAAATACTGTACATGATGAGAAAGCACAAAGCTGATGGGAGACCATAAATTCAGCAAAAGGTGAATTCAGAAGGGTATGTTTTCCCTTTCACATAGAATCAATTGGGACAGAATTGTCAGAGGTTGTAGGATTTGTGTTTAATACCACTAATTCTGCTTTCTTACTTTGGGGTTGCCCCTTACTTTGGGGCTGCCCCTTACTTTGGGGCTGCTTTTGCAGTCTGGGGAGAACCTCTCTTAGGGTAGGATGAGACCTCAGCACATTTTCCCCAAGGTCCTGAATTGGGCTGGTATGTATTCGTCAGATGCATTTTCAGTGGCTGGATTTGATGGTTATAAATTTTCCTTACTGAGATAAAATTCTATGTGGGCACTTGCCAGCCACCTATAAACAACTTTGGTGGCTTGAGGTCTGGTAAAATGTATTTTGACAGCCTCTGTAAATAACAGAAAGTTGCATTCCAGTTTCTGTCCAACATTTCCAAGTCAAACACAGCATCTGTGGGGTGCAGAGGACTTTCAGTTCTCTTTCCCTTCTGTAGGTTGAAACTGTGCTTTATAACTAGATATCCTAACCATTATGGCTGGTTAAAATTTATAATTATTCAATATCTTAAAGAGTATTATAGATAAAATACAATCTCAATCTTCTTATAATAAGTAAATATGGATATGCTTATATTAGATACAGAAATTTTATATTTTTCCATTCCCATGGTTCTAAAAAGATTCATGTTAATTCATCATGCTCTGTAGTTTACCCAACAGCGTCTTCCTGGTACCAGATAACTAGTTGAAACTTGGAGCAGGTCCAGTTGGTTGACCAGTTGCTCTCCCATCAACTCATTTTCCTTGCACCAAGATGACTTTAACCAATTGGTTAGCGTGCTCTAGACAAACCTGCCTGAAACTCACCTGGGGAAGTGATGACAAATCCAGGAGAGGATCCACTGTGGATCTGGTGGCTGAAGATCTGGTAAAATGATGCCATGGGCAAGGCCGCCATGGGCTCCTGCAGCAAGTGGACCATGTACTCATCTCAAGGCTATAGAGGCTCTGTAGCCTGCAGGGCCACATTAACAACATTCACAGAAGAGGCTCCTGGTGACTCCATTCCAAAGCCAGGATACTTTAGCTTCTTGAACTTTTATGTCATAAGGTCAGAAATTTACCAAAGGATGCTTTTCCTTACTTAGTGAATCTTATGGCTCCTTTTAGAAAGCGTGGGAACAACCAAGGTCAGAATATGATGTTTGAGTGTAACCAAATTCTCCTACTGCCCCTGGAGCTTAAAGCATCTGGGCCACATGGGAATGTGCACTCTTAAGCTAGTGCTAAGAAGGAAGATTGATGGTGAGAGTTTGCCCCCACGTAGACAGCCCCCAGTCTTGCATTGTGCCAATAAACAGTCTCTAGGAGAGGGGGCTGAGAACCAGCTGTAACTGGGTTAAAATGCAGATGTCAGGAGAAGACGATCAAATTGATGTTCACAAGTGTTTTTTGAAGCCCTCCCTACTCGGAGAGAAAAAATTCACTTTTTTCAGCTTGTCAAGGGAAACACTGCTTACTCATATGAGGGACTCATTTTATGTGCCCCAAGCTTGAAGTTGATGGAAAGGAGCAGCAGCATTTTATGAAAGCATCTGACCAGGGTGACGTGAGCTCACGACATAGTCGTTCTTTACTTTCACCCCTATTTGGGTGTAGAATCCACAGTGAGCTTTTATTGCAAATTGATATTTGCATAAAACAATTCTTGTCATTTAACAACAGCCTAGCTGGGTGCACCTGTAGTCTCAGCTACTCAGGAGGCTGAGGCAGGAGGATCACTTGAGCCCAGGAGTTCGAGGATGTAGTGAGCTCTGATGGTGCCACTGCACTCTAGCCTGCAACAGAGCGAGACCTCATCACTAAGAAGTAAAGAATTTTTAAAAAGCCTAAATGTTTATTATAGGAAAAATTCTTCCATACATTGTTGTGTAAAACTTCTTTAATTTAATATACCTTTGCTGACCTAATGTCAGTCTAGTTACTCATCTTGACCCAGTCTCTTTTATGAATTTTAGCAAGAAAAGAAAATCATCCAACCTCTAAACTATAGGGATCTGTAATGCAATAATAAAAGGGCCTACATATTTCTTCCTTTCATTTACCGAAGTGGGCGCCACCTTGATATAGTCAACAAAGGGAACTTTCAGTGGAAGACTTGGGTTATTCTTTTCAAAATTTTCTCACAAAATGTTAAATTCTAGACTTGTGGTTCCTAGAGAAAGCAAATGATAGACTGAAAAACCTAAGATGAAGAAAGCCAGTGTTGACCTTATAAAAGCCTACCTTGAAAATGGTGATACTCTGCTCTCCTCCCCTAGACTTTGTGCAAATGGGTCAATTGGTTTGCATGAGGCCAAGGGGTGGAGTGGTACAAATCTGGGAACAACGTCTAGAGCAGATGATTGTATGTACCAGGGGCAGTGGTTACAGGTGGAACCTTTTTCTTGTTTAGGGTTTTCTGTCTAGTCTGTATAAACTCTTGGAATGATTCATTACATTCAACAGCATGTACACATTGTGGCTTCTGTGAAACTACCAAGCTAGTATCAGTACTGAGAAGTAAGAAACTTTAAACTACTATTAGAAAAAGTGTTCATGGATGAATTCCCACGAATATTTAAGAATATAACATAGGGAATTTCAGAGTCTGCGCCACAGTACATTCCTGGAAGGAGCAAAGGTGACAGTTGTGGATGGTTTTTGGCCCTGGAGAGACACCCCTACATTGAGAGTGCTTTCTGGGTTCTCTTCCTCCTTGCCTGATTAATACAGCTGTCAAACCTGACACCTGAACACTGCACAAGTAGCCACCTTTGGCCACTGCTTCTGCTGCAGCAGCCCAGGTTTGTAGTATCTGCACACACATGCATGCACACACACACACACTCACATACATGCACTTTTAATGTAGTTTCTAGCATGTGATTATGTAATGCTTGTCAAAATATTTAGAATAGAGTAACTACCAACCCATTCACTGAACTGACTATAATTTCTTAAATAATTTTTTAAATTAAATCTGCCCCAAATTTCTCACCCCAGATTCTTATATACTGCAATTTCAAAACCACAAGTATTTGAATTTAAGTTGCTTTGTTTTTTAAAAATGGATTTCTTACTCCAGCACCAAGTGAGCTTCTTGTTTTAATTATTGCTGGTGGGTAAGGTATTGGGACCAGTAAACTGGCAGCTGGGGATCCTGCCGGCTGTTTCAGGCCAAACGTTATTATGGGTCATTTAGCTCTGAGGAAGTGTGGTTTGAAGATGGTCAGTGTGTGGTTTCTTCTGCTGCCTACTCTAAGAGAAAAGGCTAGCAGCAGTTTTTAGTGTGTCCTCTTATCTTTCCCCAATAAATGCTATAGTTTTCTCAACAAAAAAAGAAATTAGTCTGCAGGATGCTTTTCATGTCCCTTCACATCCATCTTAGCTGCCTTCCTCCCCTCGACCATGGCTTTCGCTCCTGATGCCAGCTCGCCGTGTTCTCGGGCCCCAGCCACAGGCCCTTGCTCCCACCTCCAGTCGGCCCTCCTGAATCTCCTTCCTCACCCCACCTTCCTCCATGTTATCTGCAACTCTGGTGAGGTGCAAAGAGCTATTGTCAAATGTGTTAATTATATTAATACTTTCATCTTAAGTGCAGTTAATATTTAATTTTTCATCAGTATTTTATACTGTATAATTTCACTCCTATGAAGTATTTAGAGTAGTCAGATTCACAGAGACAAAATAAAATGGTGGTTGCCCGGGGCTGTGGGGAAGCAGAATGGGGAGTTGGTGTTTAATGAATATAGCATTTCAGTTTTGCAAGATGAAAAAGTTTTGTGGGCAGACAGTGGTAATAGTTTCACAATAGCATGGCTGTACTTAATGCCACTGAATGGTACACTTAAAATGGTTAAAATAGTACATTTTATATTATGTACATTTTACCACATTTGTTTTAAAAACCTGTGTTTTTGAAATATGAATAGGGTACATATGATCTCTGCAGATGACAGATATCATGTCATCTGGTCACCTCTAACTTGTTCTGAATTCAAGTTAGCTTCCAGAGAAATGCCTTCACTTCCTTTACCAAGTATGAAGAGGTGGCCTTATTTAATTCAGTTTGTTCCCTAGTGTCTTCAGAATTCTTCCTTTTCTTAAATTTCTGGGACAGAGGTGAAGGTGGAGGGGTGGGAGCAGCTTTACCAATAGGTGGGACTAAGTCAGGTTGAAGAGGGAACTGAACTAAGAGCTAGGAAGTCAAAGGTCAGGCCAGGAGAGAAACCATCAAGCCCCCTTGACTCTTCCATTCCACTCACTTTTTTCTTTTAACCTTAAACTAAAGTTTTATTTGGGAATTTTAACTTCATTTCTTTTCCTTCAACTTTTATTTTAGGTTCGGGGATACATGCACATATTTGTTACACAGGTAAACCCATTTCACAGGGGTTTATTTTACAGATCATTTCATTACCCAGGTACTATGCCTAGTACCTAATAGCCAGTAGTTACTTTTCCTGCCCCTCTCCCTCCTCTCACCCTCCACACTCCATAGGCCCCAGGGTGTGTTGTTCACCTCTGTGTGTTCACGTGTTCTCATCATTCAGCTCTCACTTACAAGTGAAAACATGCGGTATTTGGTTTTCTGTTTCTGCATTAGTTTGCTATTTGATTCCCTTTACCTCTAATATTGGTCTAAGTTTAATCTAAAATGAGGGTGGTGTTTAATTCTCTAGGTGTAAAAAATAAGTAAATGCTTGTTACTTAAACGTTTCTTTATGTAAATTTGTGTTTATCTTTATTTGATTATATCATTAAAGTTTGTGGGACTACCGTACTTCTGGTCTGAGGCTCCAATCCCAGTGAGATTGATTGTGTCTTTGAAAACAAGATAAGCAACACAGGAAAGTTCAAAAGAACATAAATTATCTTAGATAAAAGAGCATTATTTGAAAGTTAAAACCTATTTTACCCTCAGCTCTTTATAGCTCTTCAAATTGTTGCCCGTTTCTTTGGGGATTAGGGTTTAATCAGACAGCTAATATTGTGTCTTATTTCCTTCTGTTTTTGTTGATCACATTCTGAATATAGCAATTTATATCTAAAGCTTAAATGAAAATAACTGGCGAGTTCCCTGACTTTCTTCCTTCTCTCTATGTGTATGCCGGTCCTTGAGAGGAGGTTGGTAACATTTTATAAAAGGTCTTGGCATTTGCCTCAGCTCCAGCTGCTATAGCAAATTCCCATAGACTGGGAGGCTTAAAGAACAGACATTTCTCACATATCTAGACTGAGAATTGTGAGATCAGGGGCCAGCATGGCTGAGCTCTGGTGGGGGCCCTCTACCAGCTTTCCTCACATGGGGTGGTGGGGAGGGGCTCCAGTCCCTTCCTCTTCCTAAAAGGACACTAATCCCATCAGAGGGTGCCACCCTCATGACCTCATCTAAACCAAATCACCTTCCTAAGTCCCCACCTCCATCATGGGAATTGGGGCTTCCACATATGAATTTTGAGGAGACACAAACAGTCCATAGTGGGATGTTATAGTCCTTTTTTGATGGTTGCTTATTAGAAGAAATGCCCTCTAAAAAGCTTAACAAACAAGGCACAGAGGGATCAGTTTCAAAGAGAGCAGCAGGAGGGAAGGGGACTGCAATGTAAACAACGCAATGCCAGGAGCTTTTCTGTAATATTAGAGACCTACAAGAGGGGCTATAGTACAGCAGGTAAGAGCTCAGGTTCTAGAGACCTGGCTTGAAAACTCCACTTCACCATTTATTAACCATGTGACCTTGGACCTCTCTATAGATCAGTTTATGTATCTATAAAATGAGGATAATAATAGTACTTACCTCATAGGGTTGTTAAGAGAGTTAGATGACATATAAGCACAACAGCTGGTACATATTAAGAGATAGTACCAAAACAAAGACTTTAAGATTGCCAAATTAAGATGGCATCCAGAAATGGGGTAAGATAATCATTCGCTGAAGGAGAAATGAAGCAGGAAAGAGAATGTTCTTTGGTTTCCTTTTTCTGTATAAAAACCACCCCGAAGGTAGTAGCTTAATGTATTATAACAACAGTAATTTATTTTGCTCATGGATCTACAACTTGGGCATGGCCTGATGGGGAGTGCTCCTCTCTGCTCCATGCACAGCCAGCTAGGGCTGCTCAACTGGGAGCTGAAAGACCCACTCTCAAGATGGTCCACTCAAATACTGGCTATTATCTGGGAGCTCAGATGGCCTGAGGGCTGGAAGTCTGGTTCTGTCCTGGTAGGTCTCTCCACAGGCTACTTGGGCTTCCTTACAACATGGTGACAAGGCTCTAGAATGAGCATCCCAAGAGAAATGGAAGATACCAGTTGCTTAGGCCTTGGCCTTAAGAAACAGGTACAGCATCATTTCCACTGTATTCTATTAGTTAAGTAGTCCTAGAGCCCAGAATCAAGGAAGAACACATAGACTCCACCTCTAAGTGGAAAGAGTGTTGAAGAGTTTGTAGACTTATTTGAAACCTGCCACAACAGGTAACCCCAAAGCTTGCCCAGGCTCGGATTATTTCCTGAGTCTTCTGTACCTTCAGAGGGGAAAGAATGGCACACGATACATCATTGTTGTCCACATCCTTTGATCTATGAATGATTCTCATATCAATGAGCAGTTGACAATGGAAAAGTCCTACTAAATTGACTTAACCCTAAAATGAGATCACTGGGCCTATTAACTCCAAGCTTCACTTGGTAGTGATACCACCACATGTTATTGTCTATGTTATAGCTTACCTTATCCATACATCTCTGTGTGAAGGCTTTCTTTTATCTTGATGTTTCCCTCAAATTTCATACAAGTATAATAACTAATGGCTAATTTATTGTGCCCTCTGAACCTAGTCATCGTGGAAAAAGTTAGCATTTGTCATGCTTGTTGTCAGTTAACCTTCTTTTTCCAGAAAAGAAGCCAAATCCTATTATGGTAAACTAGCCTCTTCACCCCCCTCTCTAGATATCGGGAATTTTTAGTTAGAGTATATTTTTAATTAGACAGTATATTTGATTTTATGTTAAAGTAAGTTCAAGATCATTTGTTCTAGAGAAAGGACAAGAAAGAAATTTGAATTTCTATTAAGTCATTTTATTATATTTGCTTTCTGTAAGGCAAATTTTGCTTTCTTCTAATAGGCATAAAATTTCCACATGATTGTAATATAAAAGTCTACCATTTAAAAGGTTTGAGTTCAATTTTATTCAAATAAGGGATAATTATTTTAAAGTACTTAATATATTTCTATGTATAGCCTTAGCATAATTGATAAAATGTTTAAATAATAAGGTAAGAGGGATAAAAGTTGTAGTTACTTCCAAAAGCACTAACATGTACTTGCCTTAATATTTTAGTTGCCTGATTCCTCTAAGTTACAGAAGAGCTCTAATTCAGTATCCTACTCACTTCTCAGAAATAACAGGCACGAGATATATATATATACATATATATATGTTTCTTCATTGTATATCAGATTTAATGGTATTTAACAATGAGAATTTAGTTTAAAATGTAAAATTCCACCCAGACTCTAATAGGATTCTGTCTCTTTAAATATGAAGAACTTCTAAATAAACTTCATATTAGCCAAAATTCCTTTTGACTCAAATTCATCTGGACTGTCTTTGATTTATGATTATGGTGGCCATGCAAACTAATTTGACATGCATAATATGCACAGCAGTAGTGAAAGCAAAAGTTCAGCAATTCCACTGAAAACTGTACTACTTGCACTGCTATATCTGCTTCTGAATTATGGTACTTGGAATTTTGTGCCCTTAAGGAACTGTTTGTTTTTCCAGACTGGCTAATGCATCAGGAACTTGGCTTCAAATAATTATTATTAAACAAATACCCTGACACCTTTTCTATGGGACTTATCAGAGCTGTGAAATTAATTGAAAATTGAGTATATGTAACAAATGGGAAAAGCTCCAGGAGTTTTTGTTTGTTTCAATTCAGGAAAATGCAAACATGCAGCTTTTAGCAGAGGAGCCCTGAGTATCAGACTTTGCTTTGCCGGGACAGCTTTGAGCAGACTCCTGGGTTACTGACCTAGGGCAACACAGCCTGTGTGGCTGCGTGAGTCCACTGGCGTCATCTTCAAAGACCATATTTGGGCCTTTCAACACTTCACATCGCGCATTACCCAAGGCCTGCTTAGGTTCTGAGGGTCAGAAATACCTCACACGCATGTGTAACTAACTTGTAATGTTAGTTTTATCTACCCAGCGCTGGTAGAATAGCTGACACTCAGTGGGGCCTGAGCACCTGTTAGCATGAATTGCCTTACCTTCATATATTCTGTTTTTCAGAATTAGGAAACATCTCACAGAGTGAAGATTGACTGCATACCTCTAACAGAGCCTGATTTAAGACAGGATTTGTGAGTTTGGTAGACAATCCTATGAAGTTTTCATTTTACTGTTGACTGAAGACCATACACTGTACGGTGACCCTTATTCAGAATTTTTATCAGAAACCTAGGGCCCCTGAACATGAGTATATAAAGTCTGATGCAGGCCTATACCCTATTGGGGATCTCATGTGCTCACAGTACAGCTACGCTCCTCTCAAAGAGACATCATAGCTAAGGAACAATGTTTTAAAAACAAGTACCAGTGCAAATTAATTAGAAACAGGGCACTGCCTGACGTTAGGAACTCTGCATTCAGAGTGTAGATCTCTCAAAAGTACAGTTAGAGACATCTGGTCAGGATGAAGCAGTGTGCGCAAACTGCAATGAACCTTTTTTGTGCAAAATTACTAGTTAGTGACAAACAAAATATAAAGAGACCTCCAAAAAGACACACTCAGGCTCAGAAACAAGCTGAACAACTCCACAGAGCAGGAACAGCATAGAAATGCTGAGTGGGTTGCAGGGTGGAGCCACAGGCTTGCAGGCTCCAGGTTTTGAAGCAGTCAGGCAGTGTTGGAGACCACTCCATGGGGTAAAGGAGACTGCAAGTGTCTCACTGATTCAGGGGATCCGCACTTGGCCTGCAGCCAGGAGAAGAGGTAAGCTGCCCCACCTTTGCACTTCCCACGAAAGGAAGCTGGAAACCCTCTGCTGACCTGTTGCCTGGGCCTGGGGCCTCGTCCCTGGTTGTGGACAGAGGACAGTGTAAGGGACAGTACTAACCAGCTTGTGGTGCAGAGGTGAGCCATGTTACCTGCTGGCCCAGTGACTGAGTTCACTGTAGCACTAAAATAGCTGGCTGGCAGGAACCCCAATATGCAATTATAAAATTGAATATAGATTAAATCCTTTTACTCAAAATGAGCCTGCAAATCCAAATTCCAAAACACACGAATAAATCTTGTGCTAAGAAAGCCAAAACCCAACAATCAGAATATAATTGAATGAAATTAATTATTAAAAACAGTTTAATAAAACTTTAAAATAGATACACTTAGGATTCTTAATGAGATGATTGAGGCAAACTTCCATTTTAAAATGTCAAGAAATTATGAAACAAAAATAGATGGACATTGTTTTAAAGATCAGATAGATAAAAAGAACCATTTAGAAATCTTAAAAATTCAAAATATAGTCACCGAAAACTTAAATCTCAATAGACTGAATAAACTCTATACTGGACACAATTGAAGAAAAGATTAATAGATTGGAAGATAGTAATAATACAGGAATTCACCCAGTATAGAGTACATAGAGGTTACATTTTACATGAAGGGAAATTAGGGGGTACGGAAGCTAGACTGAAAAGCTCCAAGATATATGTGTCTAATAAATTGGAGTTCTGTCAGGAGAGAGTGGAGGGAATGGTATAGAATAATACCAAGCTTTTCAGAATTAAAGATAATTATGAAGATTTGGTAAGTGCATTCAAATATGAATATCTAGCAGGATAAAGATAAATTTCTACCTAGACACGTAAGAGTCAAGCTGCAGAGCATCAAGAATAACGAGAAATCTTGCCTGTAATTCCAGCACTCTGGGAGGCCAAGGCAGGAGAATCACTTGAACCCAGGAGTTTGAGACCAGCCTGGGCAACAAAGTGAGATCCCATCTCTATAAAAAATAAATAAATAAATAAGAAAAAAAAGAGAAACCTTAAAAAGCTGCCAGAGAGAAAAGAGTGATAATCTACAAAAAAGTGACAGCAGTTCTTCATCAGCAACAAACAATTAAGGAAAGATGTGGAGTAAATATTTTCAGAATGCCAGGGGAAAATAAACAGTCAACCTAAAATTTTTCCCAAGGAAGAAAATAAAAAATAAGTTTATTTACGTAAGAATTTCCCACACACAATCCTCACTAAAAGAAAATTTAAAAGGAATATGCCAGCAAGAAGAAAAACATATTTGGAAAGTAGCCATGGGAATGGAAGGAGAATGGCAAACACCAAAATTAATTACATATGTTGGTAAATTTAACTAATTAACCATTTTTAAAAGTCAGTACTTTTTGTTGTTTAAGCTAAAACTACAACTCAACATAGCATATACAAGATGGAGGGGTAAGAAAGAGTCTTCAATAGGCAGGTAGGGCTGACCACACTGTATTTGGGAGGATAGAAATACTAGGTATGTTTAGACTTTGTTGGGAATTTTCAATAAGTAAGACATATCTTTTTTTTTTTTTTTTTGACAGGGCCTGTGCTCTGTCACCCAGGCTGGAGTGCAGTGATGCGCTCTCGGCTCACTAGAACCTCCGCGTTCCAGGCTTCAGCCATCAGCCCATCTCAGCCTCCCGAGCAGCTGGGACTACAGGCACACGCAACTGTGCCCAGCTAATTTTTGTATTTTATGTAGAGATGGGGTTTTGTTACATTGCCCAGGCTGGTCTTGAAGTCCTAAGCTCAAGTGGTCTGCCCACCTCGGCCTCCCAAAGTGCTTGGATTACAGGCGTGAGCCACAGCACCCAGCTGTCAATAAGACATATCTTTAAAAAATTTAGAGTAATAATTAAAATTATAGAAATGCAATCTATAGCTGCCAAGTCATAGGAGGAAAAAAGTAGAAATATAAAAGCAATCAGTCCAGCAAGAGGCAAAAGAACAAAAATGAAGCAAAGTTGTTTTTTAGAAAATACAAAACAAGGTGGTAGAAATAAGTTCAAATATATCTATTATTAATTGTAACAAATGAAAACCTATTAAACTCACCTATTAAAGGAAAAGATTATCCTACCTGCTAAACATTTTTTAATCCAGCTATATCCTGCTTTCTGGAGACACACCTAAAATAAAACTTTTCAGGAAGCTTGAAAATGAAGGAATGGAAGAGGTATGTATACCAAGCAAATTTTAACGAAAAGAAAACTCATTAATTGGGAAAAAAAAGCTTAGAAATAGACAAAAATTTCCTTGACCTGATAAAGGCTATCACAAACTTTCTAGAAACATCATTCTTAGTGGTAAAAAATTAAAGTATTTCCAGTAAAGTCAAAATAAGAAAAAGATGCTCTCTTCACTTCCATTCAGTATTATACTAGAAGTCTTCAATGCAATGATCAGAAAAAAATACATGAATTACAACAGTTGGGAAAGTAAATAGGAAATAGTCTCTTTTTTTTTTTTTTTTTTTTAGATTTTATGACTCACACTGGGATTATAGGCACAAGCCACTGTGCCTGGCCTAGACTGTACAATTTTTTACATAGAAAATCTAAGGAAATCTACAGATAAACTTTTACAACCCATAAAAGACTTTAGCAGGGTTTTAGATCAAAATCCAAAAGTAGCATTGCAATACACTAGTAATAAAGAATTGTAAAAGACAAACATTCCATTCACTATGATACAGAAGCTATAAGATACCTGGTGCTATGGTCTGAATGTTTGTTTCCCCCTCAAAATGTATGTGTTTAAATCTAACCCCCAAGGTGATCTATTAGGAGGTGGGGCCTTTGGGAGGTGATGAGGCCATGAGGGCAAAGCCCTCATGAACAGGATTAGTGTCCTTATAAAAGAGATCTGGAGAGCTTCGTAGCCCCTTCCATTATGCGAAGACACAGTGAAAAGATGGTCATCTATGAACCAGGAAGTGGGCCTGCACCAGACACCAAATCTGCCAGCACCTTGATCTTGGACTTCCCAGCCTCCAGAACTGTGAGGAATAAATTTCTGTTGTTCATAAGCCACCCAGTCTGTGGTATTCTGTGACAGCAACCCAAACATACCAAAACACCTAGGGAAAAACTTAACCAAAATGTATAAGCTCATTATGGAGACACTTATAAAATTTGATTGAGGACATAAAATTAAACCTTAATAAATTAGAGACATACCATGTTTATAGTTTAGAGCAGATTTCAATTTTCTCCAAAACAATGATTGATAAAACTGACTACCTTAAAATTAAAAATTTATGTCCAACAAAAAACACCATAAATAAATCAAAAAATAAACTATGGCTTGGAAAAGATACTTGCAATGCATATAATTAACTAAATTAATATTAGAATTTACAAATGAGGCCAGTCATGATGTCTCATGCATGTAATCCCAGCACTTTTGGTGGCCAAGGCAAGAGGATCACTTGAGCCCAGGAGTTCGAGACAAGCCTGGGCAACATAGTGGGAACTCATCTCTACAAAAAATTTAAAAACTAGCTAGGTATGGTGATGCACACCTGTGGTCCCAGCTACTCAGGAGACTGAGGTGGGAGGATCACTTCAGCCCAGAACATCAAGGCTGCAGTGAGCTATGATTATGCCACTGCACCCCAGACTGGGTGACAAAGTGAGACTGTGTCTCAAAAAAAAAAAAGAAGAATTTACAAATGAATAAGAGAACAAAACCAATGAATAGAGAAATGGGCAAAGGATATGCACAGGCAATTCACAGGAGAGGGAACCCAAATGAATACACAGGAATAGAAACTCAACCTCAAAAGAATGAGAATGAAAGTGAAATGAGATGCCATTTCATCTCCATCAGGTTGACAGAAGTTAAAATGCCTGAGAATCCTAAATGTTGGTAAGCAATAGAAACTCTCCTATTCTGCTAGTAAAGGTGTAAATTGGTAAAGGGCTTTGAAAAATATTTTAGTCGTATCTAGTAAATTTAATATTTTTACTTTGCTACTAACCAGAAGTCCCATTTGGGGTTATTCCTAAAGTAGCTCTACTGCAGGTGCATGTGGAGTCATGCAGTAGGATCTTCACTGCCACATTGCAATAGTGAAAAAATGCAAACAACCTAAATGCCCATCAACAGGAGAGTGGCTGAATAAAGTGTGGTATAATTATATAACAGAATACTCTTCACTCGTTAAAATGAATGCACAGAGCTTTACATATATCCATGGATAAATCTCAAAAACATAGTTTGAGCAAAAATAGCAAGTTTCAGAGCAATATTGTTAAAAAACAAACAACATACTATATATTTTATACATACCACATATTTTTATGCATACATATGTAAGTAGTAATATTACTAGAATGCATGAGAATGGTAGAACAGTGAATACAGGGTAGGGGTCACTTATAAAATTTGATTGAGGACATAAAATTAAACTTGAATAAATTAGAGACATGCCATGTTCATAGTTTGGAACAGATTTCAATTTTCTCCGAAATAAAGGTTGATAAACCTGACTATCTTAAAGCAGGGAGGAAGAGGGAGAGAATTGGGGAAGGAGCTACAAGGAGCTTCAACTCTTTTGCAATGTTTTATTTCTTTAAAAACATCATGCTGATATACCCAAAGCAAAAGATTTGTTAGAGCTCAGTAGTAGATAAAGGGGTCGTTATTTTATTGTTCTTTACATTTTTCTTTATATTTGAAATATTTCACAGATTTTTTAAAGATAATAAATTTTAAAGCCAAATAAAAATGTTTTGGGCATAATTTTAAAAGCCACATGTGAGTTATGTCATATCCCCAAAATTGCTACTGAAAAAAGGGTTATTTCGCTTCACACCAACAAATATTTATTGAGCCTTTGGTCCATGCGACACTCTGGGATACACTGGAGACCCAAATGGACTTGGTCTTTGCCTTCATAGGACTCTGAATCTCCAGGGAAGACAGACACTGGGCAGGTAGGGAAGCCTGTCATTATTGGAGAAGTCCACAGACAGATGGGTTCGGATGGGTCCTGCCCAGAAGGTAGAGCCCAGCTGGTCTGGCAGCTCTGCTCAAACCAGATTACAACTGTGTTCTCCTGGGAGTATGAACTGGAAAATGAGAGGGGATGGGCTGTTGGCAGGGAGACCAGAAGCTAAAAGGATAAGAGGCAGGGCCAGCCTCGAGGCAGGAGGGCTGTGATGGGGTGAGGGCTCAGAAGGTATGGGGTAGAGAAGAGATGTACAGAGTCAAAGATGAAGCTGGCTGGTGGCTTAACGAGAAGGGAGGGGTGCAAAAATATCAGGAATGCAGGGAGTGGCTGGGTCACTTGAAAGGAAGCACTTGACTTCCTGCTGCTGCAAGGGGACCCAATAACCTGCCCCCAGCACTGCACAGGATGTAGAATTACCCTGGAGAGCTCTGCTCCCCCAGGCAGTCAACTCTGGCTGACTTGGATTGCCCTGATTGAAGGAGAGGACATTATGGGAAGCATGGGGCACTCCAAGAAATGCCACTGCTGCCACAGCTCCTGGGGTGCTGTAAGCAACAGCTTCAAGCTAGCTTAGAGGTCCGCCTTGTCTTGGGGTGACAGACCATTTCTGAATACATAGACCTCCTCCACGTTCTCTAATGGTTGCTGGACTTCTGACCAAATAAAGAGTACCTAGCTTATTTCAATCAAACACAGCCCAAAGTGTGGTTTCTTCCACACTGTCCCGTCCAGGCTCTGTGAAAGGCCAGGGGTCTCCCAGGCTTTCTATAAGCCCATCTATTTGGCCTTTCCTTGGTTCGGTGAGGCCGAGCTCTGTGGTAGAGACTGCCTTTTCCCTATCGCTGCAACTCTGGAAAATAAACTTAACAGTACTCGAGAGGTAGCAAGGACAGTGGGGTGAGGAGTATGGATACCCAGCACAATCGACTACATTAAATCATGGTTCTGCCACTAACTATGTCACCTTGTGTGGAACACTTACCCTCTCTTGTGCCTCAGTTTCCTCTTCTGTAAGTGGGGATAATCACGGCACCACCTCATAGGATTAAAATAGTTAATACATGGGAAATGCATGGGGTTACTCCTGGCACACAGGAAGTGCCAGATCAGCATTGGCAGTCATCATTGTTTATTACGTAACTTGAGTCTCCATTCCTTGCTACCAAAAGAACCAGTTATAAAGAAAAATAATATTTTTATTTTCTTTTTTGTTTGTTTTGCAGCAAAACTTATGTTATTCCTTTGCAGTGCAGCTGCCCTGTAGATTTTGAGTTTTATATCACCTTGATTCAGTCTCATCAAGCCTTTGCTATTGAGCCAACATCAGGTAAGGAGTGTCAAGATTTCAAGTTCTAAAAACAAGAATAAGCTGCATTCAAACGTTATATTTTCAAACACATATCAGTGATGAATTTTACACATAACTGACCTGATGTAAAATGGAATTGGACACGTCAGAATAACGACACTTTGGGATCATTTGTATCATGCAGATAATTTTTAATAATGTTCAGGTAAGTTTCTTCCATGATCGAAACTTGAAATCAGAAATTGATCCATTCCAATGCTAAGTTTGGCTCCTGGTACATCCTTGGTTTTGTATCCACCTTATAATTCAATTTCAGATAAAATAGGAATCTTCTTTCTTCCAGAGCTTTCAGAATCTTAGTGAAGGGTCTGATGAATTTGTCTCATTTGTGGTGTAGACAGTATGTTTTTGCATGCCCCAGAGGACATAGATCACTAGGCTGCTAAGGACATTTGAAAGTGAGATTTTACACCTAAAGTAATCTCTGCTTCCCAGTTCCTGTCTCTTGATATTTAGGTTTGGGATTTAAGTATCTGTCCACAGTGGTCTACTGTGGTCTACTGTGGACAGATATTTAAAATTGTTAAATTTAAACAATTTAACAATTGCTAAAATGGTTTTAAGTCCGGGTATTCATTTGTTTACAACTCTTTCAGTACTGCAAGTACATATTTTGTCCAACAAATGAGTGTTTAAAGCAGAAACTGTGAATTAATTCTCAATTATGAAATGTACTTAGATTATTTTCTAGAGGACCAGGAGCCATTCTGAGATTTTGTAAAATATAGGGTAACCACTGTTTATATTGCAAAAAACAGGACTTGATTCTCTTTTCAGAGAGAAGAGGTTTATTGTTTTCAGCTGTGTGGGCCTAAAAATGAAGGGAAAATAAATGGTCACTAAAATTATACTAAACAAGATAATATTTCAGATGTTAAGTATAGTTGATATTCTCACAGTAGGTCTTTCTGTGGGTCCCTGCCCCTCTGATGGTCCATAATTCTATTAAGTTCCATGGGCTGAAGGGACCACTACAATTTCTGAGCAGTCATGATGGGAGCCGTTTTAGACAGGTCAGCGTGCAGGTTTACAGGTATGACTGAGGTGGGTACAGACAGGAGTCCAGGAATTCGTAGTGTTGGAATGAACTCACATGGGACTTGAGATCTTGAAATGAGCTGACATCAGTAGCCAGGAAAAGGAAGAAAAGCTCAATAGCTTATGGCCTAGCCATACTTCTCTAAAAAACTGTGACCTAAGACTCAGAATATTAATTTACCCAGTGGGTTTTGAAACACAACCTATTCAAAATCAGGGTACTATATAGATAATAAAATACAGCATTAAGCAGAATTGACTGACAACTATGTATGACACACTTAAAAAAATCATGCAGGCCTTTCCCTCCGTGCTCAGATTATAAAATGCAGGGCCACATAATTCAGACAAATGCATGATACATGAGATACTTTGTCTGATTCATCAGGTAAGAGATTGTGGTTGTTTTGGTACTTTGTTTATTACTTAATATTTTAAATTTGTCCTTTAAGTGAAATTAAATTGAATATACCAGTTTGGAGTTGAGAGAGAGGGGAGTGCTAGGGACATACACTTGGATGTCACTGGGTGTTATACATTTGTACAGCCATGGGACTGGACACGAGGTCACCTTGGGAGTGAGTGTGGATAGAGAAGTGGACCGAGGGCCACTCAGACACTCAGACGATAGCAAGGGGAGGTGGATCCAGGAACAAAGAAAGACCAAGGAAGAAAATCAGGAAAGTGCAGTGCAGAAGAGGAGAATGAAGGAGAGAGGGAAGCCCTGCAAGCCAGGGCTCTTGGACTTTGGGACCCGTCTTTTGCTGGTTTGAATGACCTGCATTGTGTGGATGGTGTTGCAGATGTGGCATTCCAAACTGGTCTCATGGGCTCTGCCCTTCAGCCTCCTCGGTAGCTATTTTGTGAATCTCAGGTCATCGTTGCTCCACCAGTCTCAGGAACGTTCTTGGTTTGGTTTCCCACTTTGATGGTGTATCAGTACATTGTTGGCTGTTATACTTTTGAGGTTCCAGAATTCCACCTGCAGTGAAGAAAGCCTTGGCTGCATGGAGAGTGAGTGCAGCTCAGGCAATCTTTGTGCTTACTGGTCTCCTGACTTGCCAGGCATCTGGCTTGACTTGGAGGCCATACAGCTGGACAGTCTTGGATGGCTTTTTGGCCACAAGGCATTATTGCCTCCGTTTTACAAACTGGGTTCAGATAGACTAAGAAACTGGGCTAATTTTACACAGTTAGCATGTGTATTTGTAGACACTGTTTCAAGCACGTGTTTGGTAACTTATTTCTAAAAGACTTGGGACATCCCTAGTCTGTTAGGTTATGAAGCCATATCTTCTCTAGGAACTAGAAGCATCATCTACGCACACCTTCCAGGCATTTTATGCTGAAGTTTGCCAAATGAAAAAACAATTTGAATCAAGCTATTAATAATTCTATTTATAAGGTATGCCCTCAACTTTAACTCAACTGGCCATCCTTAAGATGCAGGTGGGCTCTGTAGCCGTCAAAAGCTGGACCTGCTGTTGTTGGGGGCCAAGATATTCCTGAGGCTGGAGAAAATGAATAAAGGATTTTATGACCTTCCTGTACTGCTGACAAGAAATCATATGCAACCAAAACTTCAAGAACACTCTGTTGATAATTTTGGAAGAGCCAGCAATGCACGACTTTGGCCAAGATATTTTTTTTTCCGTGAAATCTGAAGAGAAGTATTGACCAAGATCTTATTAGCATCGGAGATCAGGCAAATGCCACAAAAAAATTGTTGAACTTGTCTACTTGTCACTATTTTGTGATCCTGGACATTCCCTTGTTGTCACAAATGCTAGGGAAGAATGCATCTAACTCATATAAATGGTAAATTATAGCATTAAGTGGCTGGCTAAGCAAGAGTTCCTTGGGGGCTGTTGCTTAGAGTTCTTATATAAAGTTTCAATAAGTTCATTCTCTTTTTTTAATTATAAGAAAAATATAAGCCACTTACAAATAATTTTATATTTTGCATTTTCTTCTGAAAGGCACATTTTTTACAACTTTATATCAGTTTGGGAGTAAACCCAGAACCTCTGCCCTTGCCTTGGCCTCAAACCACTTTTTGGTTCTAGACATTACCTGGGGGCCACCAATCCAGCAGGAAGCACCTTCTAGCAAAGAATGAATCCCCATCCTCCAGCATGAGCACAAGGACACCAAGCGCACTGTACCCTGCCTGTTGAGGTTCAAGGCACTTTCATGCAGCACCTGCTCTGGGCAGCCTGTCTGGACTTGCCGCTAGTCCAATCATCCCATCTCAGCTGGGCTCAGCCATACTCTTGGCCATACCTGCCACTGTGCTGTCCACACACCAGCATTCACCCACTTACATTTCAAAAGGGAGCATATGCTGGTTCCTTTTTGCATCTTTTTTCTCCAAAGGCCCCTTGGCCCCTGGCTGAGGTAGTTTATCACATAATAAGCCCTACCTGCAGGGTCCAGCAGCCTTTGGGATTCCAGAGCAGAGCCATTACATCCACAAGGGAAAATAATGAGGGGAGGTTTCCCCTACTTCTCCTCCCTGCCTCACTGTACTCCTGCGGACAGGTGAGACAGAAGACCCCCAAACCCCAGCACAAACTGTGCGGGGTACAGATCAGGATTGTCAAAGGGAGGGTGAGACCAGATCTCCAGCACACAGCGCAGGCCCCCATAAAATGCTTCTTGCTGGTAGTTAAGACCATGATGAACAGCCTTATCTCAGAAAACACATAGTGGCTATATGACTGCTTACAGAAATGAAAACATGCAGGCCTTTGGCAAGGTTCACTTCCAAGAAGTGATGGAAATTAGTGAGATAACCGGCAGAGGGCCTCTGATAATGATAAACTTCCAGGTCAGCAAATGGAGGAACAGCTGGGGGCCATATGCAGGGTTGGAAAAGAGTCCTTACCAGAGGTAAAATAGAGAGATCAAACCTTTAAAAGATTTTCCAAAGCACCAAACCCAATAGTGAGGAAGGGAGAATAATTAGGGATAGTTAATATATGAGATGCAAATGAGTTCCCTAGCTTTTAGAGGACGTAGGTAATTAATAATGACACACTGAAGAAGTCAGGAAAAGCTGGACAGACAGGTGGCAATTTTCTGTCACATTGGTAGCAATGGTCAGTTTTACCTGGTGCTCAATATACCCTTGATGGGTGGCAGTGGTTGCACACAGCGTGGCTGGCATGATGTTCATAATTGCTTCTATTTACTAATTGTTAGCCGCATGCCAGGTGCTGTGCTAAGCACATCACATGCACCATCTCATTGAATTCTATAACCCTGTCCAAGAGGACCATTTGATGGGCTGTCATTCTGGGCTGCTTGAGCTCAGTTGACCACAGCAGCAGTCAGTGAACTTGACCCAGAGGACAATGCCTGTATCTTAATGAAACTCTTACCTCACACCTCTACTGCCCATACAGAAGTGCTTGTTCCAGCAAGGCCAGGAAGAAGTCAGATGGTTTGGCTCAGCCTCTCACCCTGCTGGGAAAGCCAGTCTTCCAGGAGGCTGGAAGAGAATGTGGCTTTCGTGATCGACAGCAGGCACTTCTGCGGGTCCCACAACACTGGTCTGGGGTAGGTGCTGTGCCAGAAAACAGGCAACAGCAACAATGGGAAAAAAAGAGCCACTCCAGGTGTAAAGTATAGAAGAAATGAGGTTCAGCAAATAAAAATATTTCTTTAAAAATGGCTTTATAAAAAATGAAATGTGTTTATTATATAAATATTAAAACACTGAAGAAAAGTACCAAATCCAAGTTGAAAAAACATTACCGAGAATCTCATCACTCCAGAAATATCATGAACATTTATCCCTGCAGACACCTCTCTGTGCCTATGTACAAAGAGGAGAAAGAGGGAGGCTGGAGGCATACGATGATGCAGAGACACGGAAAACTACAAGAAAACTTGGATCATATGATATGTAAAAATGATGTTACTTGATATTGACTGAAGAAAAACAAGTGAAGCTAAAAGGAATTGGTGAACTTCCTTGGTATATGCAATATTCATTCCTAAAATTTGTTGCTAAAATTAAGAAAAGAGATAATGAAGGCATTAAGAGGTCAGAGCCACTGTCTTCTTCAACTGTGTGCCTCACCTTCAGCTGGAATCTTGGCCATGGAAAATGGGAAACAGCATGCATGTACTTTCTCCCTCCCCTCTTAGAACTCCCGGCTTTGTCGTACCCTTCTATGTTGTCTATAGCATTTATATTCTCTTTTGTGACCATGAATGCTGTAGCTATTTAGTTCCTATTGAAATGGAGCCACAGATTTCACCTCTGTTCTTTATTCCATGTTCCCTACATTCACAAATTCTTCACTTCAGTTTTTCTGGCTGTCTGGATGCTGTCACCTAGTGGCTTGTTAACCAGAGGCTCCTGGGGCTGCATGCCTCCATGCTCGCATGTTTGACAGTGTCTCTCTGCTGTCTGCAATCTTGAAAGACAACCTGGTGAGGTCTAACAGTCTTGGTTTCCAACTTGGTCTATCTCAGAACTTAGTAGACCTTGCTGATCGTCCCCGGCTTTGGCTTTGCTAGGAATTTGGAGGCTGGGCTGAGTTGTTCCCCACTGAAGGTGAATTCTGGATGCCCTCAGAAATTTTCTTTTTAGTCTTGAGGTTAAGCAGTTCACCAGGATATGTATTGGTGTTGTTCTGCATCATTTTTGTCCCCTGGAAAATGGCATGTCCTTTTGATCTGGAGAAAAATGACTTGTTATTTTGGGAAATGTTTCAACTAGTAAAACCTTGAATGTTTTCATGTTCTATTTGCTTTGTTCTCTTCCTCAGGAATACCAATTATGTGTGTATGTTGGTTCTCCTTTGCCTTCAGTATCTATTATCTGCTTTAAAATAATTTCATTTTGTGTGGATTTCTCATTCCTACCTGCCACATCCTTACCTGTGTTTTCAGTGTGTGTGTATGTGTGTGCATGTATGTGGTATTTGCATGAGTGTGGTGTATACATATGAGTGTGTGTTTATTGTTGTTCCTTTGCTGATGTTTCCACCTCAGTGCTTGTGTTAGTCTGTGTCTTGCTATAAAGGAATATCTGAAGCTTGGTAATTTATTTTTTAAAAAAGAGGTTTAATTGGGTCTGTAGGATGTACAGGAAGCATGGTGCTGGCATCTGCTCCTAGTGAGGCCTCAGGAAGCTTCCAACTATGGTAGAAGGCAAAGGGAGAGTAGGCGGTATCAGATGGTGAGAGAGGGAGCAAGAGAGAGGTGGGGAGGTGCCAGGTTCTTTAAACACCAGCTCTCTTGGCCGGGCATGGTGGCTTACGCCTGTAATCCCAGCACTTTGGGAGGCCGAGGAGGGCGGATCACGAGGTCAGGAGATCGAGACCATCCTGGCTAACACAGTGAAACCCTGTCTCTACTAAAAATACAAAAAATTAGCCAGGCGTAGTGACGGGCGCCTATAGTCCCAGCTACCGGGAGGCTGAGGCAGGAGAATGGCGTGAACCTGGGAGGCGGAGCTTGCAGTGAGCTGAGATGGCACCACTGCACTCCTGCCTGGGCAACAGAGCGAGACTCAGTCTCAAAAAAAAAACAAAACGAAACAACAACAACAAAAAAAACCCCACCAGCTCTCATGTGAACTCAGTGCAAGAACTCACTCATCAGTAAGAGATGGTGCTCAGCCATTCATAAGGCATCCACCCACATGACCCAACACCTTCCACCAGGCCCCACCTCCAACAGTGGGAACCACATTTCAACATGAGATTTGCAGGGGACAAACATCCAAACCATAGCATACAGTTCCTTTTCTTTTTCCATGTGTCTCCTGAGCTCCACCAGTTCTCTTTTCGTCTCCTTTGAGTGTGTTCTTACATTGCTTTCTTGAATTCTGGTGACTATTCCTGTGATGAGGCATACTGTCTGTTTTCTTTAAGACTCTGATGAACTACTTGTGTCCTGAGGTTGTCCTCTTTTTCATGTGTATTTTTTTTTTTTGAAACAGAGTCTTGCTCTGTTGCCAGGCTGGAGTGCAGTGGCATGATCTTGGCTCACTGCAACCTCTGCCTCCCAGGTTCAAGCGATCCTCCTGCCTCAGCCCCCTGAGTAGCTGAGACCACAGGTGTGCACCAACACGCCCGGCTAATTTTTTTTTGTTATTGTATATTTAGTAGAGATGGGGTTTCACCATATTGTTCAGGCTGGTCTTGAACTTCTGACCTCATGATCCACCCTCGTCAGCCTCCCAAAGTGCTGGGATTACAGGTGTGAGCCACTGCACCCAGTCATCATGTGTATTCTTTATGTGATTTTCTTTCTGTTCCTCTCCTCCTTCAAAAAGTATTAATTTTTAGTTTTGCAGTTTATATGCACAGCACCTGTGGTGTTCTATTCAGCACTCTACTCAATGTTGAATACAGTCTGCCACCAGCAAAAGAATAATGTGGAAGAAGGGATAATAATTTGAATAGCTAATGCTTACATCGTGCTTACCATGTGCCAGACACTACACTGGATGCATAAACTCATTTAATACCCCAGCAACTCTTATGAAGTAGATTCCATTATTCTGTCCACTTTGCTGATGAGGAAGCTGAGGCATGGAGTGTTATGTAGGTTGCATGAGGGCACAAAGTTGGGAAGCAGCAGAGCTGGGGTTGCAATGCAGAGAACCCAGCCCCACAGTCTGTGTATTCAAGCCCTCTGAGAGAACATCTCCCATCTCTGCTCAGTGGTCACAAGGGCTGGTGGCTCCCAGGAGAGTCACCTGTCCTGTGTGCTGCTGTACAGTGGTCACGACTCTCCTCCCTCCCTACCAGGTCACTTTCAGCGCCTTCTGAACTGGGTCCAAGGTCACAGACAGTGGGCATGGTGTGGCAGCCTAGCTGCTTCTTCAGCCCCCTCCCCTGCTGGTCTGTGATGCTGGGGTTTGGTCTCTTTTATCTCTGTCCCTGCTCAAGGCCCAGGCAGACTCCTACATTTTGTCACTTTAACCAAAGAGTAGTTAGAGACTTTTCCAGGGCTGTGACTCTTACTTTAGGAGAAATCTGCACCTCTTGGTTCTCGGCATGCTCCCATGTCTCAGTTTACAGGACTTGGTAGTCAGGCTTTTTGTTTGTGCTTTAGGATTATAGCCACTTCCCTATTTAATAGATTTTTTTTCCTTACCATTTTTACCCTTCTTTTCCTTATTGTTTTGTGATTTTTGAAGAAGGGTAGTTGAGCTGAAGCTTTACTTCACTATCTTTTGCCAGAAATGCTCTGCGCTTGGTTTCTGCCGGGCTCACCTCCTCCCTGTGGTCTTACATACTTCATCTGTCCATTCATTCCATAAGTAACTACTGAGCGCCTGCTGGGCATCAGACACTGGTATAGGCATTGGGTACTGCAGAGAGCAAGACAGACCTGGTCCCTGCTGTGTTGGAGCAGAGATGCCAGTCGGGGGAGACAGGCAGGCCTGCAAACAAAAGACATTGTCCAGAGCAAAAATGGTGGTGAGAAAAATAAGACATGGTGATGTGACCAGGTGACTGCTCTCAACTTGGTGGTCGAGAAGAGCTTCTTGGAGGAAAAGTCATGTCAGCTTAGACCCAGTTAACAAAAAGGCACCAGACTTGGGAAGAGGGTTTCAAGCAGAGGAAGCAACCCACACAGGGCTGCAAGGCTGGAACAGGCTCGGCAATGGTCACATTCAAGGGAAAGACGAGAGCCCATTGTGGCCAGGGTGTGTGAGCAAGGGGAGCAGTGTGCAAGGCCTATTGGAGAGGCCTGCAGGGGTTCGAGGAGGGTGGGTATTAGGATTGGGTTCTGAGTGGGATGGGAGTCTACTGGAGAGTTTGAAGCAGAGGGTGACATGGCCTGATGCATATTTTAAAAAGTCTCTTTGGCTCCTGAGGGGAATGCAGGTTGGAGTAGCACAAGGTGGGCACAGGCCTCCCCCTCAGGAAGGAGCTGAGGTTGGCTCGGATGGGTGGTGACCTTGGAGATGGTGAGGGACAGATGATGGAGTGAATGGGCTCCAGCAGTGGGTGGCTAGGGGGTGCGCTGCACTTCCTGCAGCTCCTAGAGCAGGCTCTGAAGCCCCTCCAGTCGCCCTGCCCTCCATGGGTGCTGTCTCCGCGATGTTAGGCACCAATGCCTGTGTGCTGCACACATTGCTCCTGGCCAGCAGCTTATATACTTGATGGAAAAGGAATTCCTGGCCTGGGATCCTCCCCAGCATCCTCTACTCAGACTCCTTCTCCACATCCCCCCATCAGTACAGGCACAGCCCTCAGGTTGTCTGGTGTTGCAGCTGAGGTCTGCATTTTGGATATTTGATGAACAGGGATGAAACAGAAAGTTAGTAGATTCCAAAAGACTTAATTTTACCACTTATTTCGAGTTCCAGTCAAAAAAGCTTGCGGGAGGGAGAAAGGAATAAAAGATTAAAATAAGTACTAGGGATTGTTAGCGTCTCAGTATGCACACCACACGTGTCTTCATCTGCTATGGCTGAGCAGGGGTTGTTCTTCCTGGGAAATTTAGACATGAACAGTATCCAAAAGCCCTCAGGGCTTCTCTTTCACCTCTTCATGATAATGTCCAGGCCTGTGTTTTAAAATAGACCTTGTAGAGGCCACTGAGTCCTTGTCTTCTGAGCTGTGGATCGCCTGCACTTGGCACTTTTGTGGAGCAAAAGGAAGACCTAGTGCTTTGGGACGCTCATCCCAGTGATTTGGCATCATGAGGCAATTGCCTCTTCCTGTGTAAGAACTCAAGCGGGTCAAGTGTAAGTTTTTCAAAGAAATATTTCTTCTTTCTGATATTTTAAAGACAATTTAATACACAATAAATTGTTTCTTGTTTTATTTAGCATAAGGATTGAGAAGGCCACATTTATAGGACACACACTATGTACCAAGCACTATCCCAGACCCTGTACATTATTTTCTCCTTTAAGCCTTGTCTCATTTTACAGATGAGAAAACTGAGCCTCAGCTAAGGTAGCCAAGCGGAGTTACACAATTCATGTATAATCAAGCAAGGTCTAAGTCAGGGTCTGTGTGGTCCTGGGGCCTCTCTGTTGCCCACACTCCCTGGGCAGCAGCAGAGGCTGGGGAGTGTTGCCACTGTGAGTGGGATGGTAGCCCTCCTTTCTATAATCCAGTGAATCGAAAGCATTGCTAGAATGTGGATGATTTTAAAGCTAAATAGCTATTAATTTCCCAACATTAGCTTTGAGAGATCGAGTTGTTTACCCAAAGTCACCAAGCTAGAGGAACCCTAAATCTTGGAATATTAAAACCAATACTTAGAATGTTACCAGTAGAGGGTGTCCAGGTTCTTGGCGTTTTGAACAAGGAATTGGACAAAATACACAAAGCAAGGAAATAATGAGCCAAGAAAAGCAGAAATTTACCGAAAAACGAAAGCGTACTCCACAGGGTGGGAGCCGGTGAGCATAGGGCCTCAAGAGCTCTGTTATAGAATTTTCTGGGGTTTAAATACCCTCTAGAGGTTTCCCATTGGTTACTTGATGTACACCCTATGTAAATGAAGGAGTGACCCCCAATCAGAGGCTGAAGTTACAAACTTAGACTCCTATGCTTTGGTTGCTTTCTGCAATCAATCAGAGATACTTTCAATTTTCCATCTAACGCACAGAAAATGTGGGGGTTTTACAAAGGGAGTAGCCTCCAGTCCTTCTGTTGCTTAGGTGTGGAGAGTTGGGGTTTTCTTTCTGATTTAGTTCTAGGAGGTCAGCGTGAATCGGCCTTAGGTTCCTTGTCTCCAGACTCTTTTCTGCCTCAATAACACCTTAAGTATGTGGCTCGAATGGCTCTATGACAATTTAGGGAGAGTGATCTGTACTTTTTGAGATCTTTGAAGAAAAAATTATTTTAAAATTAAATAATTTTACAGTGTTAGTACAATGTTGTAGTAACACTGTCTGGACATGGGAAAGAAGAAATTTTTTTTAATGTTCCCCATCCTGGGCCTCACTGCCATAACAAGTAATGTGCTTTTGTTTTTCTGTCTCCTTTTAATAACTTTTCATACTTTTGCACATGCTTTATATAATTGTAGTCCAAGTGAAGACACAGTGGTATTTCCTCATGACTTCATTTATTTCACTATATTATTTTTCAGTGCTGTTACTTTTTCTTTATGATACCCATCGTATTGATAAACTAGGGTGTTCTTAGCCTTCAGTTGATTTCTGAGTTTTTTCCTCTTCTCTTTGTCTCTGCTCACCACCCTCCATGTCCTGTGATTCCACATTACCCCTGGTTATGTTAAGGGTGGTGATCTGAAATTGACCAGATGAAATTGGCCTGGAGCATAAGAGAGCAATTTGGGGTGGGGGTTGCCCTTCTCACTTTAAAAGCATGAAACATACTCTCCTTTGTGCCACTGTTAGTTTTGGCTGAGCAGTAAGCTGTAACTCCTTGGCACGCCTTTTACAGCTGCTAACATTTGACGATCTGCTGCTCCCTGTGTTAACTGGCATCCCTGTTAATGGAAAAAGCAGTGTACTCTGGTTGCCTAGACTACACCTTCACAGTGTGCTTTATGTATTAGGTCTGAGCTGGCAGCACTTAAAAATAAATCAGCCGGGTCAAGGCAAACATTAATCCTTGCTTCCAGAGCTTGTCTTTATTTTTTTAAGTTAATGAGCTAGAGCAGAAGCAATAGAATGCTTTTATTTTAGAGCCCCGGGTCAATTTATGGGTTAAAGGGGGCTATTTTCTGACCAAGTGGGTGGTCAAAGTATTGAAGCCCCACACATGATGGAGAGTCACAGTTTCTATCCAGCTGGTCTTAGGTTGGCTGATGGACCCAAGGTCTTTTGCTGATTCCCTCCTCCCTGCAGTGGATTCTAAGGTCACTAGTGGGTATCATTGAAAGAGTTTGACTTCTGCTCTCAGGAAATTGACGAAGACCTATTTCTAAAGCACTGTGCTGGGGATCCAGGAAGATATAAAAGGTATGGGGCTGGTGTCTGCCTTATGAGCTTGATACCTAGTTGGGAGACAGGGAAATTTTGAAAGGTAACACATCAAGGGAACGCGAGTTCAGTAGGGCTGACTGAAGGTTCCTGTGGAGGGAGAGGCATAGGGAGTTTGGTGTAATATATAGGTTGATATAGGCTTTTAAGTTTGGGTTCATTCACTCATTCAACAAGAATTTATTGTGCTGGGAATGCAGTAATGAGCAGGTGCCTGCTTTCCTAAAATTTACACTCTAACTAGGAGAAGGCAGATGGTAAATGCAATAATTTCCGGGAGTAGGATGAAGCTAAAAGAAAATCTGGAGAGAGTTCTTCAGGCCTAGGGAATTGCAAGTGCTGAGCCAGTGCACAGTGCAGAGCCAGCAGGAGCCAATGAAAAGGGATTAGAGCCAAGGCCCTTTCGTTCTCATACTCCTGCTCCCACCTCTCCTCACAAGGGGGGCCTTTCCTTTCCACCCACTTGCTTCCCCCTGCCTGTTGGTATTCATGTCTTGACTTTGTATTTTATGTTCATTTGTTTATTTATTTATGTTTTGCTGTCCCCCACTAGAATGTAAACTGTGAGATCTGGGATTTGTTTTGTTTATTGCTCTAACTTTAGTGCCTAAAACAGTGCCTGGCACACTTATTAAGTGCTTATTAAGTAAGCACTTAATAAGCACATGAATGGGTGAAGGAAAGGCCCATGTGGTTGGGCGCAGGGAGAAGGGAGGGTAGCACAAGATTCAGGAAGTGAATGGATGCAAAGGAGGGCATGTTTGGGGGGACTGTGCGAGGCCTCTGCAGGGACAGTGGGAGGACCAGATGCACAAGGGCAGACGGTCTCATCTAGAAAGCAAACCTAAGAGCCTTCAGTGGAAGTCAGAACATTCGTCCTCCAGTTTACATTCTAGTTGGGGACAGCAATAAGTAAATAAATAAATAACATTGATCCTCCCTTTCTTCGCTTTTTCTCTCCACATTTGTTAGCACTTACTATGTTCCAAGCCCTGTTGGCACCAGAGATACAAAAGAGGAATTAGGCACAGTGTGATATTTGACTCTGGGGAGAATAACAGTCCATCCTAAAGATTTGAAAAGAAAGAATCAAATTATACAAAGAAAGAACTGAATTATTTGAACACAAACTTGTATGTGCGTTCCTAGCTTTTCCTGTTGCTTACAGCATTAATATTGACATCTGGTAATTTGCTTACAGATGATAGTTCTGGGAATTCATGTCTGAATCGCTAATGCAGATTGATGTGTATATATTTGTAGAAGTGACACAATCAAATAATTATTGTAAAGGATTAATATAGTAATTAATAAATAAGATCAATGTAAACATGCAGAAGTTGATTCACATGTATTTAATGAAAAAGCTACATAAGGATAATAGAAAGACTGTGTTTGTGCTTAGCATGGGAAGAATGTACAGTTGACCCTTGAACAGCATGGATTTGAATTTCATGAGCCCACTTATATTCAGATTTTTTTCAGTAAAAGTTAAACCGACTGTGCCTGCCTCTTCTTCCACCTCTTCCACCTCTTCTGCCTCTACCACCCTTGAGACAGCAAGATCAATCCCTCCTCTTCCTCCTCCTCAGCCTATTCAACACGAAGACAAAGAGAATGAAGACCTTTGTGATGATCCACTTCCACTTAATGAATAACAAATATATTTTCTCTTCCTTATCATTTCCATAATGACATTTTCTTTTATCTGGTTTATAGTAAATAATACATATAACATATACAATATGTGTTAATTGACTGTTTATGTTATCTTTAAGGCTTCTGGTCAACTGTAGGCTATTAAGTTTTTGGGAAGCCAAAAGTTATGTGTGGATTTTCAATTGTGTGGGGAGTCAGTGCCCCTAATCTCCACATTGTCAGAGGGTCAGCCATATTTGTGTGTGTGTCAGCATGTGACTGGACTTGGCAAGAAGAGAGGGTATCACATTTTCTCATTTCTTTCCTCTCAGGAATAATTCCGGCTAATGGGAAGATGACTGTGACTATTAAGTTTACACCCTTTCAGTATGGGACTGCACAAATAAAAATGCAGTTATGGATTTCGCAGTTCAACTCTCAACCATACGAATGTGTCTTCACCGGAACATGCTATCCCAACATGGCCTTACCGTATGGCGTCTTTGCAGTGTTTTTGTTTATTTTTAACCCTTTTTTGAAAATCCAAGTCTTCCTTTCTTCCATTCTGTCTTTCTTGTAAAAGAATGTCATCAAAAACTTATTTAAAATGATGAGCCAACATAAGATATACTGTAAAACATAACAGAAATATAGAATATATCTATGCTAGTAGCAAGAGTTGCTTCTGACAAGAAGGGAAGAAACAAGAAAAAGGGATTTTTGAAGGACATGTTTTTTCACTGATCACTACTGGTGCACTGTTGGAATTTTTTTACCATATGCATGTCTTATTGCCTAGTCGAAAATTTAAACAATAGGGCCAGAACAACATAACTGTTTTTAAGGTTTCCATATAGCATTTTAATTAATTGAGTCCCTGCTGTTTGCAGTGCCCATTGCAAAGCTCAGTGGGAAATGGCCCACAACCTCAAGAGACCAAAATAAGTCATATAACAAGTGATTTCACATGAGGCAGTGACAGAAATGTCTGAAAAACAGAAATGTTTGAAAAACACGGGAGGTTTTCAAAGCACCATCAGACTTCAAGTCAGAGTAAAGATGTGAAATGGGATTAAGTTGTGCTTCATAACAAATCCTTTCTGAACTTCCATTTCCATTTGAATATGAGCTTGTACTTTTACATGTCAGTACCTCTGGTTAACATCATGATTTTTTTCTTATACCCAAGATTTTTATATAAACGTTAAAAGTTGCTGGGTATGGTGACTCGCGCCTATAATCCCAGCACTTTGGGAGGCTGAGACGGGTGGATCACCTGAGGTCAGGCTTTCAAGACCAGCCTGGCCAACAGGGTGAAACCCTGTCTCTACTAAAAATACAAAAATTACCTTGACGTGGCATCCTGTCTGTAATCCCAGCTACTTGGGAGGCTGAAGCAGAATCGCTTGAACCTGGGAGGCAGAGGTTGCAGTGAGCCGAGATCACGCCACGGCACTCCAGCCTGGGTGCCAGAGCGAGACATCATCTCAAACAAACAAACAAACAAAAAAGTTGTCACAGTATAAATACCAATCTTAGAAGATTCTGACAATTATTTTGAAAATGATAGGGAAATATCTTGGTTTTCCTCTTCTTTGCGCATGGATACACATCACATATTCACATCATTAAGCATATTACAAGTGGAGTAGCAACCTTATATCAAAATATGAACTCACTCCATGATATCTTAGATATTTATATCATGATTTTTCTTCCTAAAAATTCAAAGCAGCCTAAGTCAACTGTAGGATATTAGTGTGGCCTGCTGAACCCAAATCCTGCAAATAACCATCATTGAAATCACTCGGGCAACAAACAAGTAGAACTGAACACAAATTTTAAAACTGCTGATTTTTCTGGTGGCAAATAAGCAGGTGAGCAAAATGGTGTTTGCCACTTCACATCAGGTGCTACAATACTCAAATGACTTTCTTAAAGACATAACATGAGTGCGATTTTTATTTGTATATCCTTCCATGGCTGTGCTTTTACATGCACGACAGCATTGTATGACAGAAGCACCATACAAATGCAGGTGTACGCTATTTCTAAATTATTATGTTAGTATCTTATCTGGTATACTCTTGACATTGTCAAGGACTATGTCTTAAGATCTGCATGTCTCTCCAAAACTGCAAATAATATTATAACATATAAATTCTATCATGAAGGGAAAAAAACTAGCTGTAGTTTCTGAACAGGAAAAAATACTGGCTGTAGTGCTCTCTGAAATTTTCATAGATTGCTTTCTTCATTTCATTATAGGGTGTGTGATAGACTTACTCATGTCTAAATTTGGCCCTGCCAAATTCCACATGTAACTGATTTATCATTTTCTTAGACCTCTTCATTTCCGTCATCGACGTTGAGGATATTGTTTAGGAGGCTGCTTTTTAATGCCCCCAGGTTTAGTTGCTCCCCAATATTTAACAGCAGAGGTGGTGTCAAGGCTCCACTGAGACAGGGATGCTGAACCTCAGTTCGCTACCTGGCTAAACACCTCACCCTTCACATCAGAGCATGTCGGTGGGTGGGAGTCTCACCAAGGGACACGTTCTCCCATGCCCTGGGTTGTAAGGATGCTCTTACATGAGAGACATTAAATTTGAGGTTGCTAACATAAGTTCCATACAATGCAACCAGGCCTGTTCAGTGGGTGGTCAGCAAATACATATTAACTGTCAGAGTGAGTGAATGTTCACCTATTTTTATCTTATTTTTGTACTGTCATGGAAAACAAATGTTTATCCTATAAAACAATTGTCCACACATCGTTGCTTAAAGAAATGCTTCCCCTAAGCTATTATGCCAAATTGGTACTGAACAAATAAATTTTAAAATGGTTATTTTCAAAATCGTAACTTTGCCTTGTGTTGCAGAAAAATATAACTATTTAGATAAAAATAATTTCTAAAAAAAGAAAAAAGAAATGCTTCAAAGGTAGCATTTCTGAATAGAACACAGTTCTACTGCATCTCATAACAGATAACCTGAATAGCTTCTGCGGGCTATTAGCTGCACTACCTCTAACTACCATGTCCAAAGTCAGTTTCTAATTACAGAAAAGATCCCAAACATTAGTCTGAGTCTCTTTTTGAAACATCTTGCTACAAACAATTGGCATAATCATTCTTTTACTAGGAAGATAAATCAAGGTAAGATTTTTTTAAATGTAATAAATCTAGCTATTGAAAACCAACAGGCTAGAAATTGATTATGCTAGACCTTGAGAGCATTTTTCAGCATGTCATGTTTTCAGTCAGTATGTTCTTTAAGAATGTAAAGCAATGTAATCCCAGCACTTTGGGAGGCAGAGGCTGGTGGATCACAAGGTCAAGAGATCGAGACCATCCTGGCCAACATGGTGAAACCCCGTCTCTACTAAAAATACAAAAATTAGCTGGGTGTAGTGGTGCACGCATGTAGTCCCAGGTATGCGGGAGGCTGAGGCAGGAGAATCACTTGAACCCGGGAGGCAGAGGTTGCAGTGAGTCATGATCATGCCACTGCATTCCAGCCTGGTGACAGAGTGAGACTCCATCTCAAAAAAAAAGAATGTAAGGCAAAAAAAAACCGTTGGTGGGCAATTTTGATATCGCTGATTATACTCTAATGCACTGACATCACATTTATTTTAGTAGACCACTGTTGGGGCACACATTTATTTTCAGTTTAGGTATAATAAGGGACTTCAAGTTGTGGTGTTATCAGAAGGAACATAAAACATTAGGAACCTTGAGTTAATGGCTTATTTACTAATTTAACACTTGTTTTAACCTATAGATTAGAAGAGTTTGAAAGGTTGAATACCCTTTCTAAGAAAGTAAACGTTCCTCCAGAAAAAGCAATGATGCATATAAATTTTCACCGACCGCCAGCGAAGCCGAAGCCTCAGAAGGTGAAGGTACGGTGGGCCTTGTCCTTGGTGCGATGAAAGGGTGACAGAGGGGCAGACTAACTGATTTCCCTATTGATTTGGTCTCTTAGGAAATTGAGTACCAGAACCTCAGATTTCCAGTAGATTTATCGAATCCATTTGCTGTGGCAACTGTTTTAAACCAAGAACCAGGAAAATTGAAGATTAAAGAATTAAGAGAAGGTAACCAGTTGATTGGCCATAAAGCAGCCCCTGAGCAGAATATGAAAGAGTCATTGCTGGTCACACTGATTACCTATGAACAACAAAATTCAGTTAGATTGCTGTTATGCCTCGCCATTAGAAATGTGTTTTTCTCTCCGCACATGATTTTAATCTGATTACTGGTATAAACATTGTCTGCTCCTGCCTTCAGTTTTGGACCAGGGCACTGAAATTTCAAAAACGAGACAGATGAAGGAGGCACTCTTTGAACAGAAAGTCAGACAGGACATTCACGAAGAGATGGAAAATCATCTTAAGTGGTAAATATTGAGCAATTGTTTGTATCAAGTGTCAGTACAGTTATTTTTAGGTGATGATCTTTTATAAATGAGAGACAGTAAAATGTAATAACCTTTTAGGTACTTTGGAGAATTTAATGATTGTTTCACTGCCAGTGGTCCTTCAGTAGGAAGTTTCTATTAGGAATAAATATATGTGACCAAACCACACTGTTTGCTAAGTGTGACCAGTGGCAGGACCAGAGTGAATTGTGGGAGATGCTCCCTGCTGCTGCTGGCACCCCCTCACCCCCGGACAGATCTGGGTGCCTTGGGCACCCCCAATCTCACCCCCATCATCCTCCACCTCACCAGGAGCCCCTGTGCCTTGGGCTGTGTGCCCCAGAGGCCTTCTGGGTAGCCCAGTGGGGTGAGGCTCTGGGGGGCTCCTAATGGAGGTTTTAAAACTGAGATGTGAGAATTCTTGTGCTTCTGTGCCCAAATTAGAAACTTTTTCACAATTTTTTTTTTACCAGATCAGACCAAGCATATGCATGTGTACAGATTTAGCTGAAAAGTAAACTCTTTTTTTTGAGAAAGGGTGTCACTCTGTCACCCCAGCTGGAGTGGTCACATAAAAAAGATATGGTCACATAAAAAAGTGCATATAAATGTTCATAGCAGCATTATTCATAATAGCCAAAAAGTGGAAACTACTGAAATGTCTAGTAACTGATAAATGAACAAGCAAAATGTTGCATATCCAGTGTTATGGATATGCAACATTTGCATATTTCAATGTTGCATATTTCAGTGTCACATCATGGCCGGCTGCACCCCCAGCCTCCCAGCCTAAAGTGATCCTCCCTCTTCAGCCTCCCAAGTAGCTGGGAGCACAGGTGCGTGCCACCATGCCCAGCAAATTTTTTTTTTTTTTAGAGATGGGGTCTCACTATGTTGCCCAGGTGGGACCCAAACCCCTGGGCTCAAGTATTCTCCTGCTTGACCTCCCAAAGTGCTGAGATTACAGGTACGAGTCCCCATGCCTGAGCTAAAGTAAACTGGGCTGAAAAAGAGACTCTTGGAGAGTGTCATTGAGAGGCTGCCTACTCCATGACCCAGCCTCCACCCTTCCCGACACATGAGAACACGCCCTCACCTGAAGCCCTCTGAAGGTGCCCACCGGGCTGCTCCCCTGTCTCTGGGGAATGGCCCTTGTTTCCATCAGAAATCCCTTCTGTCTCAGCTTAAGTCTATAGTTATGGTCCCGCCTCAGTTAACGGGAAGTACTCCAAGGAACTGAAAATTTTATGTTTATAAACACCTTTTCCCTATTATGAAAAACAGGTAGGTCATCATTGTAGGAAACCTGAAAACATGTTTTTTTACATATAGAGAAGGAAAAAAAATCACGGTGATGCCCCCAGTCAGCAGTGACCAGTGACCACTGTCAGTGCTGGTGTTTTTGTTCTTTCTATGCATCTCTGTATCAGACTTGAAGTCACATCCCAAATCCCATTCTGAATGCTGTGTTGTTCCTTTAATATTTTTCCCAACTTTTTATGTTGAAAGATCTTAAACTGACATACACTTGACCTCGGTTCACTAATTGTTGACATTATGACACATACACTTCCCCTCACTCCACACACATGCACACACACACCTGCATGCACCTTTTTCCCCTGAGCCATTTACAGATAAATTGCAAATATCAGGAAGCTTCACCCCAAAATACTTCAGTATGTAGCTCCTAAGAACAAAGACATTCTCCAACATTATTATAATCACTTCCAAGAGATTTCACACTGATAGAATAATATTATCTAATAATCAGTCTTATGGGCAAATTTAGCCAGTTGTCCCAAAATGTACTGTATACCTAGTCTTTTTAAAAGTATTTATTTTAAATTTTATAAAAATGAAATAGAGACAGGGTTTTGCCACATTGCCCAGGCTGGTCTCGAACTCCTGACCTCAAGCAATCCACTAGCCCTGGCCTCCAAAGTGCTGGGATTACAAGTGTGAGTCCCCACACCCGGCCCATACCTGGTTTGTTTTTGTTTTGTTTTTGAAGAGAGGTGTCTGGGGTCCAGTCAAAGATCATACCATTTGTATTTAGCTTGCATGTCCCTTTAGTCTCCTCTAACCTAAAACAGTTCTCTAGAACATCCTTCCACCTCCACTTTAAAAATCATAACTATTATTTATTTAAGATATGTGCTGGGTTTCGTGATGAATACATTGCATATTAGTTTCTTTAAATTGTGATAAAATTCATCATTTTAACCAGTTTAAAGTATATTGTGCAGAGGTTTTTAGTAAATCCACAATGTTGCATGACCATCACCACTACCCAATTCCAGAACATAGGCATCACTAGAAAAAGAAACCTCATACCCATTATCAATCACTCCCCACTCCCCACCCCCTGGAGCCCCTGGCAACCACAATCTACTTTCAGTCTCTATGGATTTGCCCACTCTGGACATTTCATATAAAGGGAATCACAGAATACATAGTCTTTTGTGACTGGCCTCTTCCACTTAACATGTTTTTAAGATTCATCCACATCATAACATGTGTTAGTACTGCATTCCTTTTTATGGCTGAATAATCTCATTGAATGGATATGCAACATTTTGCTTGTTCATTCATCAGTTACTGGACATTTCAGTAGTTTCCACTTTTTGACTATTATGAATAATGCTGCTATGAACATTTATATGCACTTTTTTATGTGACCATATCTTTTCAGTTCTCTTAGGTACATACCTAGGCGTGGAACTGCTAGGTCATATGGTAACTCTATGTTTAACTTTTTGTGGTGCCACCAAACTGTTTTCCATGGTGGCCAAACCATTTTACATTCCCACTAGCAACATATGAGGGTTTCTCCACTTGCTCAGCAATACCCGTTATTTTCCATTATTATCATCATCATCATAGCCATCCCAGTGGGTGTAAAGGGGTATATTTTTGTGGCTTTGATTTGTATTTCCCTAATGATTTAGAAGGTTGAGCATCCAGATGTTGTTATTCATAACTATTTAAGATAAGCTTAACTTTGTAGAACACATTATTCATCTTAGTTATGTTGCTGAAGCCTCTATAACTAACTTCTCTATCCCATGTGTCTCCTCCAGCATCTCAGGGTTCCTTTTCAGTTTTGGAATATAGTGAAATATTCCATCCTAAAGTTGACTCTGGTATTCTGATGGGTTCTGGACACAGTTTTTTTTTTTTCTCCCCAGGCAGGTGCACCTTGGTAAAGATCCTATGTCTTTTAAACTTAAAAAAGAGCTTACTGAAGAGTGGCAAAAAGCATGTGCCAAATATAAGGTCAGAGTTACTGCTAATTTGCTATCATTTGTTTCGCTAGATGTTTTTAAATTCCTACTATATGCAAGATGCCAGGTGGAGGAAAACCCACAGTTAAGTTGGGAGTGGGAAAGGCTGACGACAAGTAAATTGTCAACCATAAATCAAGACTGGCTATAAATGTCACCAGAGACCTATACTAAGTTTTGTGGGGATTCAGAAGCCAGAGAGGAGAGAGAATTCATCTGATTGGAATGCTTCCTGGAAGACATTGTATAATTTTTTGAAAAGTAGCAAAGAGGACAAAGGCATTCACATGGAGGGAATGGCTCAAATTCGAGCTGGAATTTTGAGTTGGGGTCCCCTGTCCCATGATCTACAGAGCATGAAGACAAAAGAGACCCAAAGTTGGTAACCAGGACCCACATCAGAGACAGATGCAAATGATAGTCCCAAGTCAGAGACCCTCAAAGGGGCTGAGCAGAAAAAGGGAAAGTGGGCTGAGGGGAGTGGGACCACACCTGGGGTGCCAAGATAGCCCCTGTAGGTTCAGGGATGGGAACTGTGGGACTGTCCAGCACCCATGGCCTCACCATGCTTTGAAGATGGTTGTTACCTACACACAGGTGCAGAGAACACTGAGGACAAGTCCACAGTGGCTAAAACACAGGATACACATGGGCCAGAGGAGACAGGAGTCTGCTGGGGCTCTGTGTCTGAATTTAATTGGTAGGACTTGCAGAATGATCACATATTATATTAATTGGCTCAGACTGCCATAACAAAGTACCACAGGCTGGGTGGCTTAAAACAGCAGAAATTTATTTTCTCATAGTTCTGGAGGCTGGAAGTCCAAAATCAAGTTCTCAGCATGGTTGATTCCTTCTGAGAGCCATGAGTGAAGGATCCATTCCAGACCTCTCTCCTTGGCTTATTGGTGGCCACCTTCTCCTCATATCTTCATGTGGTCTTCCTCTGTGTCTGTGTCCTAATCTCCTCTGATATAAGGGCACCAGTCATATTGGATTAAGACCGACTCTCACAGCCTCATTTTAACTTGGTCACTTCTTTAAAGACTCCATTTCTAAATACCATCACATGCTGAGTTCTAGGGGTTAAGGCTTCAATACAGGAATTTCGAAGGGACACAATTCAACCCATAACACAGATTTTTGAGCTGGGTAATGTGAGGTTCAGGTAGACTGACTTGGCAGCAGTGGATGGGTGGGATTGGGGAAAAACATTTCTTGTCAGATATGAATATGTTTCTCATAGAGAATGTACTTTTCTTTCCAGATTTGGAGTCCAACTAGATATTTAAATAAATTTGTCTTATTTTTCTTCATTTTTCATAAGACAAAAGAATATAAAATCATTACATTGGTAAATCTTTGCATTTAGGAAAAGCACATATTAGATGTGCATTTAAATTTAGTTCCACATGTTCAGATTCTTTGCATGCTTTCTTAAAAACAAAACATCAAGTATTGTCTGTCAACCCAACAGTGGAATGCTGTTTTCTAACCTTTTTAAAGGTGAAGTTGGCACAGACATGCCCAGATCAGTCATTGTGGGCATTGAGGCTGTGGCTGCGGGCAGTGACAGCCAAGGAGCAGTCCCATCCTTAGCATGGCTCCTGGGGCAAGGAGGATGAGCAGGCAGCCCAGACGCCCTGGAATATGGGAGATCAAACGTCTCAGGGACCCCATTCTGTGTGTCCAGGGGATTTTATCTGAGAGCTGAGTCCTGGCAGGTGACCCAGTGGCACGGAACTCCTGGAGGCCCCAGGCATGTGGTGGAAACAAAGAGGAGAAATGGTGGGGGAAGGAAGGAGATGGCCTGAGAGTGAGATGGCACAGCCCTCAAGGATGATGAGCTTTTACTCATCATCAAGTCAGCAGTGTCTTAATAAAGATATAATAAATCTCCCTTGCCATTATTCTAGCTAGTGATCTATTTGCCAGTCCCTTCTTTATATTGCCTATTTTATTTTACTCCTAATGCTGGTGGGGGTCTGGGTCTCCCCACGAAATCTGTACTTTGAACTTAATGTGTTCAGTCTCAAACTCAACTTCCCAATATGTGCCAATCAGAGCTAGGCAGCTCACCACCCTGGTGACAATAACACACCTCTCTTATTTCTGATTAGGGTGTTAATGTGATGATCAGAATAGATTTATTCCAAATAAGTCTTTTAAAATTTTTATAAACAGTATACTTAAGAGCCAAGCTGGTTTTTGAAGTTACCCAACAAACAATTAATAGAACACACAGATAGGCAAAAACTAACACCATCTGCGGAGTACGCAGTCCCCTTTCCCACCTGGGCAGACACATATAGACACTGAACCCAGCCCAGCCAGCCTACCCCAGGAGTCACTGTTGGCTCCTGGGAATAAGAAAAAGGGCCCAGGCGTCATCAGGGAAGCAGGCAGGTGAAGGAAGGAGAGCAGTCTGGGGTCACTCACCTCCGGGGAACCGCAGGTTGCTTTCCAGCCCAGGAAGACCTGTCAGCTTCCACCACCCAGGAGAAGGAAGGAATCCCCACATGCCTTCCTTAAAACCTGACACCTGGATAATCGACTCTGAGGAGCTTAAAACTTTACAGGGATGTTAAATGTCTTTTTAATGAAATTTGTATAGTCCCATAGTTACAGTTTCCTAAAATTCTTTCTATGAATGTTAAGTGTCTTGGAAATAATTTCCAAAGACACTATCTTTTAGTTATAAAAAGAAGGTATCTACTTGGGAGGCTGAGGCAGGAGAATGGCGTGAACCCGGGAGGCGGAGCTTGCAGTGAGCCGAGATTGTGCCACTGCACTCCAGCCTGGGTGACAGAGCGAGACAACGTCAAAAAAAAAAAAAAAAAAAAGGAGGTATCGAATCTGTGCTTCGATAAGAGCTCCCTATGTTTAAACAGTGTAATCATACTGATCTTTTTTACCCACTTGTGTTTCACCACTTCCAATGGGAACGTCGTGGGTGGATTTGGCCAATTGCTTAATGGGTTTCTACAAGTTTTAAAGACAAATTGTTTTACGCATTTATATTCAACTTAAATTATTTTGATGATTAAAAACCCAGCTAGACAGAGGAGATCCTATTTTGGATGAGGAATTTCAGCGACTTAAAACAGAAGTTAGCCATAAACGGGTTGTTCGCAATCAAGAAGAGGTGGGTAACTTTCCTTTATTTAGAATCTGATTATTGGCAGCTCTTTAAATGCTTATTTTTTTGAATGCTAAACAATTTTATAGAAATCCTTTACCAAGAGATATTTAATACTTTTTAATTTGCATACATTTTCAGAATGTTACCATGTTTTTGCAAGTAAAGCATCAAAACTTGTAATTCATGTTTCTCTTGAAATGAACAGCACTACATACTTTGGCCACTCCTTTTCATCCCACTACTTTCTCATTTTAGGTCTCCTTTTTTGTTTTCCTTCATTCTCCAAGCCCCTGTCCACAGGTCCTCAAGGTGGGTCCCTTGGCCTCTATTCATTATCCTCCTTCCCTTGGTAGAAAGGATACAAAGTCAGAAGTCAGAAGCCAGAGTCCTAGTTACAACTCTATGACAGATTTGGGACCTTGGCAAGCCTCTTGGCTGTGGTGCCTTACTGTTCTCAAATCTAAAATGAGTACTGTGGCCCCATCCACCTGATTATCTCTGTCTTGTAATATTAGTTCATTGTCACACTGCTATGAAGAAATACCCAAGGCTTGGTAATTTATAAAGGAAAAAGGTTTAATTGACTCATAGTTCTGAATGGCTGGAGAAGCCTCAGGAAACGTACAATCATGGCAGAAGAAGAAGCAAATACTTCCTTCTTTACATGGTGGCAGGAATGAGAAGAATGAAAACCAAGCCAAGGGGGAAGCTCCTTATAAAACCATCAGATCTTTTGAAAACTAAGTCGCTATCATGAGAACAGGATGGGGGAAACTGCCCCCATGATTCAGTTATCTCTACCTGGTCACTCCCATGACATGGGGATTATGGGAACTACAATTCAAGATGAGATTTAGATGGGGACATGGCCAAACCATATCATTCTGCCTCTGGCCCCTCCCAAGTCTCATGTCCTCACAATTTAAAACACAATCATGCCCTTCTATGAGGGTCATGTCTTGAATTATGGAAACTACAATTCAAGACGGGATTTGGGTGGGAACACAGCCAAACCATATCATTCCACCACTGGTCCTCCAAATCTCATGTCCTCACAATTTAAAACACAATCATGCCCTTCCAACAGTCCTCCAAAGCCTTAACTTATTCCAGCATTAACTCAAAAGTCTCAGTCCAAAGTCCTATCTGAGACAGGGCAAGTCCCTTCCACCTATGAGCCTGTAAAATCAAAAGCAAGTTAGTTACTTCCTAGATACAATGGGGGTACAGGCATTGGGTAAATATACCCATTCCAAATGGGAGAAATTGGCCAAAACAAAGGGGCTACAAGGCCCCATGCAAGTCAGAAATTCAATAGGGCAGTCATTAAACCTTAAAGATCCAAAATTATCTCCTTTGACTCCATGTCTCACATCCACGTCATGCTGATGCAAGGGATGGGCTCCCATAGCCTTGGACTGCTTTGCTCCTGTGGCTTTGCAGGGTACAGCCTCCCTCCCAGCTGCTTTCACAGACTGGCATTGAGTGTCTGTGGGTTTTCCAGGTGCACAGTGCAAGCTGTCAGTGGATCTACCATTCTGGGGTCTGGAGGATGGTGGCCCTCTTCTTACAGCTCCAGTAGGCAGTGCCCCAGTGGGGATTCCGTGTGGGGGCTCCAACCCTACATTTCCCTTTGTACTGCTCTAGCAGAGGTTCTACATGAGGGCTCTACTCCTGCAACAAACTTCTGCCTGCACATCCAGGTGTTTCCATACATCCTCTGAAATCCAGACAGAGTTTCCCAAACCTAATTTCTGGACTTCTGTGCACCTACAGGCTCAACACCATGTGGAAGCTGCCAAGGTTTGGGGCTTTCACCCTCTGCAGCCATGGCCTGAGCTGTACCTTGGCCCCTTTTAGTTATGGCTGGGACACAGGGCACTGAATCCCAAGACTGCATAAAGCAGCAAGGCCCTGGGCCCAGCCCACAAAACCATTTTTCCCTCCTAGGTCTCCAGACCTGTGATGGGAGGGGCTGCCATGAAGACCTCTGACATGTCCTGGAGACATTTTCCCCATTGTCTTAGTGATTAACATTTGGCACCTCATTACTTATGTAAATTTCTGCAGCTGGCTTGAATTTCTTCTCAGAAAATGGATTTTTCTTTTCTATTACATCATCATGCTGCTAATTTTCCAAACTTTTATGCTCTGCTTCCCTTTTCAGCATAAGTTCAATTCCAAACCATATCTTCGTGAATACATAAAACTGAATGCTTTTGACAGCACCCAAGTCACCTCTTGAACACTCTGCTGTTTAGAAATTACTTCTGCCAGATACCTAAATCATCTCTCTCAAGTTCAAAGTTCCACAGATCTCTAGGGCAGGGGCAAAATGCCCCCAGTCTCTTTGCTAAAACAAAGAAAGAGTCACCTTCATTCCAGTTCCCAACAAGTTCCTCATCTCCACCTGAGACCACCTCAGCCTGGACTTCATTGTCCATATTACAATCAGCATTTTGGGCAAAGCCATTCAACAAGTCTCTAGGAAGCTCCAAACTTTCCCACATTTTCCTTCTTCTGATCCCTGCAAACTGTTCCAATCTCTGCTTGTTACCCAGTTCCAAAGTTGCTTCCACATTTTTGAGTATTTTTATAGTAGCACCCCACTCCTGGTACCAATTTAGTGTATTAATTAGTTTTCACTCTGCTATGAAGAAATACCTGAGGCTGGGTAATTTATAAAGGAAAGAGGTTTAATTGACTCACAGTTCCACATGGCTGGGGAGGCCTCAGGAAACTTACAGTCATAGCAGAAGGAGACACAAACACATCCTTCTTCTCATGGCTGCAGAAGCAAGAAGAATGAGAACCAAGTGAAGGGAGAAGCCCCTTACAAAAACCATCAGATCTCTTGAGAACTAACTCACTATCACGAGAACAGGATGGGGAAAACTGCCCTCACGATTCAATTATCTCTATCTGGTCCCTCCCACAACACCTGGGGATAATGAGAACTACAATTCAAGATGAGATTTGGGTGGGGACACAGCCAAACCATATCACTGGTTAAAAGTCCAACTTTTAATTTCAACGATGATAAAATTCTAATCTCCCACCTCCATCATTCTCACTTTTCTTTGCTAGGTTTGCCATATCTGAATTATTTTTACCACATTTCTCCCTGCCCTCCTCCTCACTAGATTTATTCTGGCCACAAAGTCTTGCCAATGGCGCTTCCATGGGCCATATCAGAGTCCAACCTTTGGGTGTCCCCGATGACTAATCCAACAGGTTTTTCTGTCTGTATAACTGATCTTCTTCCCTCTCCTCTGCAGCTCATGGCATAAGCCAAAGTAAGACTGATTCCCTTCTGCTGTCTCTTTTTATATAATTTCCTTATTCAAGAACCTACAGTGCCTCAGGCTCTGGCCAGCCTCACTATACCCGCAGACACTCTTTCCTCCTTATTCATTTACTAACTTAGATACACTGGTGCCCAGGACATGCAGGCACATGTGGGACAATACATGTGTCAGCGCTGGGCATGCAGGGCTGAGTAAAGTAGTCCTACCCAGCCAGGGGATCTCACAGCCCATGCCTTTCAATTCTGGATGCACTGTCAGCACCACCACATGGGATTGGTGACTTTATTCTTCCTCAAAGTCACATGTGTTTGCTTGAGCTTTCCTAACTAGACTATAAGTTTCTTAAAACCCTAATCTTGTCCTCCACTTTTGGCCCCCAACTCAAGAAGTGTTCCTTATAATGCTGTGTACACTAAAAGTGCTTAATAAATAAATGCTCACTAAGCAATACAACAAATAAATAACAACTTGATTTGGGATCAAACTCTAAAATGTTTTTATTAGATGTTTATGACAGGAGTTAAAATTTAAATGTAAGATGTGCCTATATTTTATATTCACAGAAAATCAAGGAATTTCATCCTACTTTTGATCCACTCATTAATAACACTTGGCTCAGCAGGTCCAGGGCACAAAAACGGTTTCAACAAGTAGCACGCAAGGTAAGTCTCAGCACCAGCTGGAAATGTTGATTTGTTTACTCATCAGCATAAGGAAATCAAGCAATGGTGGTTTGATAACACCTTTATTGAGATACAATTTACACACCATAAAATTCACCCTTGTAAAATGTACATCAGTCATTTTTAGTATATTTATAGAGCTGGGCAGCCATCACCCCTATCTAATTTTAGAACATTTTTATCACCTCAAAAGGAAACTTGGTGCCATTTTCAGTCACTCTCCACTCCCTCCTCCCCACAGCCCCTGGCAACCAATAATCTACTCTCTGTCTCTACGGATTTGCCTTTTCTGGGCATTTCATATAAATGGAATCATACAATATGCAGCCTTTTAAAAAATCAATTTATAAATTTATAATTGACACATAATAGTTGTACATATTTGTGGGGCACAGTGTAATGTTTCAATGCATGTATACATTATATAAGAATCAAATCAAGATAATTACCATATCCATCACTTTAAACATTCAATACATGGCTTTTGGTAACTGCTTCTTTCATATAACTTATTTCCTAGGCTTGTACATATTTTAGCATGTATCAATACTTCATTCTTTTTATGGCTGAATAATATTCCATTGTATGGATAGACCACATTTTCTTTACCCATTCATCAGTTGATGAAAGTTTCAGTTGTTTTCACCTTTTGGCTATTATGAGTAAAAATGGGATATTGATCAGTTACTTCTAGGGAGAACAATTGAGAATGTCTGAGGGATCGTACCTCTAGCATCCAGGCTTAATGCATGCCTTTCAGAGTTGCCATCTCCCTTCTGTGGCTTCCTCACCCTCATGCTGGTCCTCCAGTGGCTTCCTGTTATCAGGATAAAACGAAGACTTCTGAGCCTCATATGCCAGTAAAGGGTGTCATGTGACCCCTGGTCTGGCCGCAGCCACACCCCTCTAGCAGCCACTGTCCTCTCGTTGTCCCAGTCTGGTCTGCCACACACATCGTACTCATTCCCTGCTACTACCCCTGTGAATCTGCTCTCAGCTCTGACTATAGTGCCTCCCCAGCTCTGCTCCATGGGACTGCACCTGTCCTTTGGGCCAGCCTGAGTCCACTTTTCCTACAAGAGGCCGTCCTTGTGCACTTTAGTATTTAGGGATCTCCTCGGTGCCATGTGCTTCTTGTGCTGCCTGTAAATCTCTCATCTCTGTCACTTGTGTGTGACTTCCCTGGTGGGCAGGGCCACACTTGAAGCCAGGGAGAGCAGTGGATAAAGCCTGGGCTGTGGAGCAGACTGCCTGCACTAATTCCTGGTGCTGCTTCCTTGCACTTTCTGATCCTGGACAAGTTATATAACCACTGTGCCTTAGTTTCCTCACCTGAACACTGAGGACAATAATGAGACCTGTCTCAAAGTGTTGTTGTGAGGATCAAATGAATGAATATATATAAGGGACTTCAAATGTTGTGTTACAGCTTGTCTTCCAGGCAGTCTTCTCAGCCTGGACTTGTGGCAGTCTAGGTAGAGGAAGGCAGAGATCACTGCCTTGGGGACCTACTCACCAGCTTCCAAGGCCCCATGACCCTCACCTATTTACCAGCCTCCAAGGCCCAAGAGCCAGTGTCCCTGGTAAGGCTTTCCCTGGGTGGTCTCTGCATATGTGCAAACAGAGTCCACCATGACATGCTCAGGGCAGGGAGCACAGTGGTAAGAAGAGGCAGCACAAAGCTGTGCTCCCAGGGAGGAAAGCACAGCCATTGACAATAGAAAAACAACAGCAAGAGACTGGCCAGGCTGGCTTGTTGCTAATGGGACCACCTTGGTCCTTCTGCACTGAGCCTTCCAGCCTGAAAAAGGGTATCAGCAATGATGGGCTTTGTTCTGAGTAATGGCTCAGACAGTTCCAAAGCAAGCCCTGTCAGTTCTATGTGCCAATGTGTCGCCAGCCAATTCTTTGCCTAATCTCCTCAACTACAGCCACAGACCAGGCTCCCAGCATCTCTTGCCTGGACCATGGCCACAGGTTCCCCTACATCCAGTGCCATATGGCAGCCAGAGTTGTGTTTGCAAAACTAAAAGGTGACAGTGTCTCTCCCCTGCTGAAACCCTCCGAAGATGTTCTGTAACAGTTGAAATAAAATACACAATTTTTATCAAGGCTACCAGGTCACATCGGATTTCTCTGTCCTTTAAACATGTCTCCTTTGTTCCGGCATCAGGACCTCTGCACTGGCTACCTCCTCTGCTCAGAGCTCTCTTGCAAACATCTTTCCATTGTTGTCCTCTCACCATTCAAGCCTTGCATCACATCTCACCTCTGCAGAGGCCTTCCCTCATTATCCTTGCATAAGTGGGCAGGCATCCCACCTCCAGCCCCTCCAGTCATGGCCTCAGGCATTATCCTCTTATTTTCTTCAGGGTATTTATCTTGGTTTTTTCTCTTGGTATTTATTGTCATCCCACTTTGCCTCCTATACACACGTGGAATATCAGCTCCTTGTGGGCAGGACATTTATTTGCTCCTTACTGTATCTCCAGTGCCTTGCACAGGACAGGGCACTGAGTAGCCACTTTATAATATTTGTTAAATAAAAGAGCCATTTGGGCTGGCAATATGGCTGAATAGGAACAGCTCCTGTCTGCAGCTCCCAGTGAGACCAATGCAGAAGGCAGGTGATTTCTGCATTTCCAACTGAGATACTTGGCCCATCTCACTGGGACTGTTTAGACAGTGGGTACAGCCCATGGAGGGTGAGCCGAAGCAGGGTGGAGCATCACCTCACCCAGGAAATGCAAGGGGTTGGGGAACTCCCTCCCCTAGCCAAGGGAAGCCATGAGGGACTGTGCCATGAGGAACAGTGCACTCCAGCCCAGATACTACACTTTTCCCATGGTCTTCACAACCCGCAGACCAGGAGATTCCTTCGGGTGCCTACACCACCAGAGCTCTAGGTTTCAATCACAAAACTGGGTGGCCATTTGGGCAGACACCAAGCCAGCTGCAGAAGTTTTTTTCATACCCCAGTGGTGCCTAGAATGCCAGTGAGACAGAACCACTCACTCCCCTGGAAAGGGGACTGAAGCCAGGGAGCCAAGTCATCTAGCTCGGCGAATCCCACCCCCATGGAGCCCAGCAAGCTAAGATCCATTGGCTTGAAATTCTCGCTGCCAGCACAGCAGTCTGAAGTCCACCTGGGACACTTGAGCTTGGTGGGGGGAGGGGCGTCTGCCATTACTGAGGCTTGAGTAGGCGATTTTCCCCTCACAGTGTAAACAAAGCCACCAGCAAGTTCAAAATGGGCAGAGCCCACTGTAGCTCGGCAAAACCACGGTAGCCAGACTGCCTCTCTAGATTCCTCCTCTCTGGGCAGGGCATCTCTGAAAGAAAGGCAGCAGCCCCAGTCAGGGCCTTACAGATAAGACTCCCATCTCCCTGGGACAGAGCACCTGGGGAAAGGGGCAGCTTTGGTGCAGCTTCAGCAGACTTAAACATTCCTGCCTGCTGGCTCTGAAGAGAGCAGCAAATCTCCCAGCACAGTGCTCAAGCTCTGCTAAGGGACAGACTGCCTCCTCAAGTGGGTCTCTGATCCCTGTGCCTCCTGACTGGGAGACACCTCCCAGCAGGGGTCTACAAATACCTCATACGGGAGAGCTCCAGCTGGCATCTGGTGGGTGCCCCTCTGGGATGAAGCTTCCAGAGGAAGAAACAGGCAGCAATCTTTGCTGTTCTGCAGCCTCTGCTGGTGATACCCAGGCAAATAGGGTCTGGAGTAGACCTCCAGCAAACTCCAGCAGACCTGCAGCAGAGGGGCCTGACTGTTAGAAGGAAAACTAACAAACAGAAAGGAATAGCATCAACATCAACAAGAAGGATGTCCAAACAATAACCCCATCCGAAGGTCACCAACATCCAAGACCAAAGGTAGATAAATCCACGAAGATGAGGAAAAACCAGTGCAAAAAGGCTGAAAATTCCAAAAACCAGAATACCTCCTCTCCTCCAAAGGATCACAATTCCTCGACAGCAAGGGAACAAAACTGGATGGAGAATGAGTTTGACAAATTGACAGAATTAGGCCTCAGAAGGTGGGTAATAACAAACTCCTCCAAGCTAAAGGAGCATGTACCAACCCAATGAAAGAAAGCTAAGAACCTTGAAAAAAGGTTAGAGGAATTGCTAATTAGAATAACCAGTTTAGAGAAGAACATAAATAACCTGATAGAGCTGAAAAACACAGCACGAGAACTTCATGAAGAATACACAAGTATCAAGAGCCAAATCGATCAAGTGGAAGAAAGGATATCAGAGATTGAAGATCAACTTGATGAAATAAAGCGTGAAGACAAGATTAGAGAAAAAAGAATGAAAAGGAATGAACAAAGCCCCCAAGAAATGTGGGACTATATGAAAAGACCAAACCTACGTTTGACTGGTGTACCTAAAAGTGATGGGGAGAATGGAACCAAGTTGGAAAACACTCTTCAGGATATTATCCAGGAGAACTTCCCCAACCTAGCAAGACAGGCCAATATTCAAATTCAGGAAATACAGAGAACACCACAAAGATACTCCTCGAGAAGAGCAACCCCAAGACACATAATCATCAGATTCACCAAGGTTGAAATGAAGGAAAAAATGTTAAGGGTAGCCAGAGAGAAAGGTCATGTTACCCACAAAGGGAAGCCCATCAGACCAACAGCGGACCTCTCTGCAGAAACCCTACAAGACCGAAGAGAGTGGGGGCCAATATTCAACATTCTCACAGAAAAGCATTTTCAACCCACAATTTCATATCCAGCCAAACTAAGCTTCATAAGTGAAGGAGAAATAAAATCCTTTACAGACAAGCAAATGCTGAGAGATTTTGTCACCACCAGGCCAGCCTTACAAGAGCTCCTGAAGGAAGCAATAAATTTGGAAAGGAAAATCCGGTAACAGCCACTGCAAAAAACATACCAAATTGTAAAGACCATCAACACTATGAGGAAACTGCATCAATTAATGGGCAAAACAACCAGCTAGCATCATAATGACAGGATCCAATTCACACATAACAATATTAATCTTAAATGTAAACAGGTTAAGTGCCCCAATTAAAAGATACAGACTGGCAAATTGGATAGAGAGTCAAGACCCATCAGTGTGGCGTATTCAGGAGACCCATCTCACATGCAGAGACACACATAGGCTCAAAATAAAGGGATGGAGGAATATTTACCCAGCAAATGGAAAGTTAAAAAAAAAAAAAGCAGGGGTTGGCTGGGCATGGTGGCTCATGCCTGTAATCCCAGCACATTGGGAGGTCAAGGCAGGCGGATCACCTCAGGTCGGGAGTTCGAGACCAGTCTGACCAACATGGAGAAACCCCGTCTCTACTAAAAATTCAAAAATTAGCCGGGTGTGCTTGTGCATGCCTGGAATCCCAGCTACTCAGGAGGCTGAGGCAAGAAAATCGCTTGAACCCGGGAGGCGGAGACTGTGGTGAGCTGAGATTGTGCCATCGCACTCCAGCCTGGGCAACAAGAGTGAAACTGTGTCAAAAAAAAAAAAAAAGCAGGGGTTGCAATCCTAGGCTCTGATAAAACAGACTTTAAACCGACAAAGATCAAAAAAGACAAAGAAGGGCATGGTAAAGGGATCAACACAAGAAGAGTTAACCATCCTAAATATATATGCACCCAATACAGGAGCACACAGATTCATAAAGCAAGCTCTCAGAGACTACAAAGTGACTCAGACTCCCACACAATAATAGTGGGAGACTTTAACGCCCCACTTTCAATATTAGAAAGATCAATGGGACAGAAAATTAACAAGGATATTCAGGACTTGAACTCAGCTCTGGACCAAGTGGACCTAATAAATATCTACGGAACTCTCCACCCCAAATCAACAAAATACACATTCTTCTCAGCACCACATTGCACTTATTCTAAAAGTGACCACATAATTGGGAGTAAAACACTCCTCAGCAAATGCAAAAGAACAGAAATCATAAGAGTCTCTCAGACGACAGTGCAATCAAATTAGAACTCAGGATTAAGAAACTCACTCAAAACCGCACAACTACATGGAAACTGAACAACCTGCTCCTGAATGACTCTGGGTAAATAACGAAATGAAGACAGAAATAAATAAGTTATTTGAAACCAATGAGAACAAAGACACAACATACCAGAATCTCTGGGACACAGCTGAAGTAATGTTTAGAGGGAAATTTATAGCACTAAATGCCCACAGGAGAAAGCAGGAAAGAACTAAAATCGACACCCTAACATTATAATGAAAATAACTAGACAAGCTAGCAGCAGACAAAAAAATAACTAAGATCAGAGCAGAACTGAAGGAGATAGAGACACAAAGAACCCTTCAAAAAATCAATGAATCCAAGAGCTGGTTTTTTGAAAAGGTTAACAAAATAGATAGACTGCCAGCCGGACTAATATAGAAGAAAAGAGAGAAGAATCAAATAGACACAATAAAAAATTATAAAGAGGTTATCACCACTGATCCCACAGAAATACAAACTACCATCAGAGAATACTATAAACATCTCTATGCAAATAAACTAGAAAATCTAGAATAAATGGATAAATTCCTGGACACATACACCCTCCCAAGACTAAATCAGGAAGAAGCCAAATCCCTGAATAGACCAATAACAAGTTCTGAAATTGAGACAGTAATTAATAGCCTACCAACCAAAAAAAAGCCCAGGACCAGACAGATTCACAGCCGAATTATACCAGAGTTACAAAGAGGAGCTGGTACCATTCCTTCTGAAACTATTCCAAACCATAGAAAAAGAGGGACTCCTCCCTAACTCATTTTATGAGGACAGCATCATCCTGATACCAAAACCTGACAGAGACACAACAAAAAAAGAAAATTTCAGGCCAATATCCCTGATGAATATTGATGCAAAAATCCTCAATAAAATACTGGCAAACCAAATCCAGGAGCACATCAAAAAGGTTATCCATCACGATCAAGTCAGCTTCATCCCTGGGATGCAAGGCTGCTTCAACATATGCAAATCAATAAACATAATCCATCACATAAACAGAACCAATGACAAAAACCACATGATTATCTTAATAGATGCAGAAAAGGCCCTTGATAAAATTGAACACCCCTTCATGCTCAAAACTCTCAATAAACTAGGTATTGATGGAACGTATCTCAAAATAATAAGAACTATTTATGACAAACCCACAGCCAATATCATACTGAATGGGCAAAAGCTGGAAGCATTCTCTTTGAAAACTGGCACAAGACAAGGATGCCCTCTCTCACCACTCCTATTCAACATAGCGTTGGAGGTTCTGGCCAGGGCAATCACACAAGAGAAGAAATAAAGGGTATTCAAATAGGAAGAGAGGAAGTCAAATTGTCTCTTTGCAGATGACATGATTGTATATTTAGAAAACCCCATTGTCTCAGCCCCAAATCTCCTTAAGCTGATAAGCAACTTCAGCAAAGTCTCAGGATACAAAATCAATATGCAAAAATCACAAGCATTCCTATACACCAATAATAGACAAACAGAGAAACAAATCATGAGTGAACTCCCATTCACAATTGCAACAAAGAGAATAAAATACCTAGGAATACAACTTACAAGGGATATGAAGGACCTCTTCAAGGAGAACTACAAACCACTGCTCAAGGAAATAAGAGAGGACACAAACAAATGGAAAAACATTCCATGCTCATGGATAGGAAGAATCAATATTGTGAAAATGGCCATACTGCCCAAAGTAATTTATAGATTCAATGCTATTCCCATCAAGCTGCCATTGACTTTCTTCACAGAATTAGAAAAAAACTACTTTAAATTTCATTTGGAACCAAAAAAGAGCCAGTATCGCCAAGACAATCCTAAGCAAAAAGAACAAAGCTGGAGGCATCATGCTACCTGACTTCAAACTATACTACAAGGCTACAGTAACCAAAACAGCATGGTACTGGTACCAAAACACATATATAAACCAATGGAACAGAACAGAAGCCTCAGAAATTATGCCACACATCTACAACCATCTGATATTTGACAAACCTGACAAAAACAAGCAATGGGGAAAGGATTCTCTATTTAATAAATGGTGTTGGGAAAACTGGGTAGCCATATGCAGAAAACTGAAACTGGACCCCTTCCTTAACACTTTATACAAAAATTAACTCAAGATGGATTAAAGACTTAAATGTTAGACCTAAAACCATAAAAACCCTGGAAGAAAACCTAGGCAATACCATTCAGGACCTAGGCACAGGCAAAGACTTCATGACTAAAACACCAAAAGCAATGGCAACAAAAGACAAAATTGACAAATGGGACCTAATTAAACTAAAGAGCTTCTGCACAGCAAAAGAAACTATCATCAGAGTGAACAGGCAACCTATAGAATGGGAGAAGATTTTTGCAATCTATCCATTTGACAAAAGGCTAATATCCAGAATATACAAGGAACTCAAACAAATTTATAAGAACAAAACAAACAACCCCATCAAAAAATGGGTGAAGTATATGAACGGACACTTCTCAAAAGAAGATGTTTATGTGGCCAACAAACATATGAAAAACAGCTCATCATCACTGGTCATTAGGGAAATGCAAATCAAAACCACAATGAGATACCATCTCACGCCAGTTAGAATGGCAATCATTAAAAAGTCGGGAAACAACAGATGCTGGAGAGGATGTGGAGAAATAGGAAAGCTTTTACACTGTTGGTGGGCCTGTAAATTAGTTCAACCATTGTGGAAGACAGTGTGGCAATTCCTCAAGGATCTGGAACCAGAAATACTGTTTGACCCAGCAGTCCCATTACTGGGTATATACCCAAAAGATTATAAATCATTCTACTATAAAGACACATGCACATGTATGTTTATTGCAGCACTATTCACAATAGCAAAGACTTGGAACCAACCCAAATGCCCATCAATGATAGACTGAATAAAGAAAATGTGGCACATATACACCATGGAATACTATGCAGCCATAAGAAAGGATGAGTTCATGTCCTTTGCAGGGACATGGATGAAGCTAGAAATCATCATTCTTAGCAAACTAACACAGGAACAGAAAACCAAACACCGCATGTTCTCCCTCATAAGTGGGAGTTGAAGAATGAGAACACATGGACACAGGGAGGGGAACATCACACACCAGGGCCTGTCAGAGGGTGGGTGACTAGGGGAGGGATATCATTAGGAGAAATACCTAATGTAGATGGCGGGTTGATGGGTGTAGCAAACTACCATGGCACGTTTATACTTATGTAACAAACCTGCATGTTCTGCACATGTATCCCAGAACTTACAGTATATATTAAAAAAAAAAAAGAGCTGCTTACAGAATGGAAAGTGATGTAAATAAATTATGGAATGAACAATACCCTCAGCCACAGCTCTGGGCTCAGGTAGCACTCACCTGCAGTAGCATCAGCTCTGAAGGCAAAGCTCATTGGTAGGCAGTTAGCATTGCCCATAACCCACAGTGCTATTGCTGCAGAATCACCCGTGCCATTTGTCCTTCAACTCTGAAAATAGCACAGTGGTAGCATTACTATTCAGACATATCCAGAAGAAACAACAAAGAACTAGTCATTCTTTCCACACTGGAAATATGAGAAAATCAAGGCTCATAAATTGAGTGGGACAAGGCCAGATGACAACTTGATCTTTTTTGTATTCAGGCAAGTCAGTATTGCCCAGACTTTGAAGTCCCTGTGGCCGCAGCCTAGGGAGAGTAGCATGCCACACTCCCTGTGGACTCTGACTTGCAGTGGCAGTCTCAGCTCTTAGTGTGGTTGGGGAAAGTGAATTAGGTTGAATGCCAAAATGAGCGTGTGTTGATTAATAATTTGAAATCATTATCCACTCCAATTTCAGGTCATGATTCAGGGACGATTATTCAATATGCTGAGTGCTGTTCGTGAAATGGACAAAGAGAGTATACTGAGAAAGATTGGCCAAGCAAAACAATCGATAGCACAAGGTGAAGTATGGCTGCAAAGCACAGAGATGCCGAGACTGATCATGCCTCTGAGCGTGAACTTTCCTTAGAATGAAGTTAGCTCTATGCAAATAAAAAATTTTCACCAGTCACAAATGTTAGTTTCCTATCCTTGCTATAACAAATCACTTGTGCCTTCTGCTTCCTCTTGTCACCAGAGACTAGGTTAGTCATCATTTATACTTGCTGATTGACTGGCTGAATATGGTATTTTCTCAACCTAGCATTCACACATTAAGCCTTTTAAACTTAATGGCTTAAAAGAATGCAAATTTATCATCTCACAGTTCTGGAGGTCAGAAGTCTAAAACCAAGGTGCTGGTAGGGCTGCGCTCCCCCCAGGGGTTTCAGGGGAGCCCAAGTCGTTGCCTTTTCCAGCTCCTGGAGTCCACCTGCATTCCTTGGCTTATGGCCCCTTCCCCACATGACTCTAACCTCTTGCTTCTGTCCTCACATCTCCTTGTGTGAGTCTGACTCCCCTGTTTCCTTCCTATGCAGACTCTGATTATATAAGGCCCACCTGTCTAGTGCAGAATAATCCCCCATCACAGAGCCCCATCTGCAGAGTGCCTTTTACCATGGAAGATAACACATTCACAGGCCCCTGGGAATGGGATGTGGGTACCTCTGAGTGCCATTATTCAGCCTATCTGATGATATAAAGTGGATCTCTGTGCCAGGTTTGGCTGAAATACCTACCCACTTGATAATGAACAAGGTCCCCCAACCCCATACCAAGTTGTAATGTCTGTGAAGTTTGGCTGTGACTAGACCTCCTGTTTTGTGCCCTCTGCTTCTTCTTGTCACCAGAGACTAGGGTAGTCATCATTTATACTTGCTGATTGACTGGCTGAATTTGGTATTTTCTCAACCTAGCATTTGCACATTAAGCCTTTTAATCTTGTATGGTCTTTCCCTAAGTTAAGGAAATTTCCATGCTGGCCACTGTGGCCACTGTAGTACATGCCTGTAATCCCAATACTTTGAGAGTCCAAGGTGGGAGGATCACTTGAGCCCAGGAGTTCGAGACAAGCCTGGGCAACATACATAGTGAGACCCCTGGATAATTAAAAATTATCCAGGACCGGTGGCATATGCCTGTAGTCCCAGCTACTCAGGAAGCTGAGGTGGGAGGATCAGCTAAGCCCAGGAGTTCAAGGTTGCAGTAAGCTATGATCGCACCACTGCACTCAAGCCCAGGTGATAGAGCAAGACCCTGTCTCTGAAAAAAAAAAAAAGAAAGGAATTCCAATCCTCTGATGCCCAGCTTGGCTGGGACTGTTGGAGGCCCACTCTCGGTAGCTTCTGGGAGCCCAAACACCATATCGCCATCTTCTCCCAATACATATATTCCCAATCCACAGTTTGTTTGCCAGCCCACAAGCAGGCCCTAATCTTTCCAGACTCTTCCTCCCTTCCTGGCCTGAGCCTCTGAGCCTGGCTCAGCCTTCCCCATCCTCCCTAGGCACAACCACACTCCCGTCTGCCACTCCACTGAGACCCAAATGTGTATTTTGTTTTTCAAAATATTGTACAACATTTTAATGATTCTTTCTTCCTCCTATATTAATTTTTATCTCTGATGTTGAAGTTTCTAATAAAGAAACTCTTTTTTCTAAAAAATTATAAAATTTACTTGTGAATTCCATGGGTCTGTGTAGAAAATGTCTTCATTTACTTCTTTAATCTTTTTCTTTGCTTAATTCATCAGAAATATTTTAATTATGAATTATAGTTTTTTGGAAATAAAGATAAAATTTTTTTAACCAGAAAGGAGGTTGAGGTAAGGAACCAATGGGACAGTAAAAGTGGATATATATATATATATATATATATATACACACCCACCCACTAATTGGTATATGGAAAATATGCAAATATATATGGTGATTTCCCATAAAAATACCTTTAGTACCCCCTAAAAGTGCCCTTTTTTTCACCCATAGAGGCGAATTTCTTCAAATTCTTCCTGAGGCGGATCAGTCAGGATGATTATACCAGCCGGTTCTCTGTGTCGCCCAAGGAGGTGCTGCCCTTCGCTTTCCCAGACTGCAGCCCACCCCAGGACTCCAACGAGTTGGTAGGTGCCGTCAGGCTTGGGGGCGGGGAGTGGACATGATCATGATCGTGTTGGGCAGATACAAGGCAAGCCCTACCTCAGTCTCAGTCCCTTCACCTCCTCCCAGAGGCTCCAAAGGAAGATGAGGAGAGTATTACCAGTGGAAAACCAGGGATCATCTCCTGCCATCTGCCTTGCTCCTGATACACCTGCACAGAGCTCCCTGGTAACCTGGACTGGGTCCTTCCCAGCCTGAAATGCAGCATGAGCACTGACCCCCGCCCAACTGCCCTGGAACTGCGCCTGAGTGCAGAAGGGCAGAGAGAGGAACCGAGAGGGCCCCACCTGGCCCAGGGAGGCAGGCTCTGCTCAGCTTGGCCCTTCTGCTGCCTGGGCAAATGGTAGAAGTCAGGGAAGGGCAGCCCTCAAGTCTGGGCCTGACCTCATAAGAAGGGAATGTGGCCCCAGAAACTGACAATCTAACCCATCAGACTCACAACCCACTTCTCTCTCTCTCTCTCTCTGGGGGGTGTGTGTGTGTGTGTGTGTGTGTGTGTGTGTGTGTGTGTATCTTTCTCTCTTGGGGTAGCAGGAGGTATAATGGCTCATCCTTCTTCCCTTCGGGCACAATGGTGCATTATTGAAAAAGTGAGAGTTAACCCTTAGGTTGTATTTACTATACATCAGGCAGTGTCTTAAGTCCTTCCGGTTCATCTCATTTAATCTTCAACAAATCTACCTGATAGGTTTACCATTTTTCAAATGAGGAAACTGAAGCACAAATTCACATAGCCAGTAACAAAATGTTGCTCGAGTTCACATCGTTAGTAATAAAAAGTATACTCAAATCAATATTGCAAGTGCATGTGCAAAATATTTTGTCAATTTCAAAGAATAAACTTGTCATTCACATTCTAAAATATTTGTTAAGCATTGCAGGTAATCTACTCAAGAATTACGGGACTGAATTTAGAAATTCCACATGTTTTCTGCTTTTGATAATTGTGTGACTTAAAAGAGCAGAATAATTAGTTCCTAAAGAATAAAAATCCTGTGATTTTCAAGCAACAATAAATGTCTGACACTCGATAATTAATGGGGTGAAGAGGTTGATGGGGTGGAAAGAGATCCTCACTGTGCAGTGGAGCCCCCCTCATTATTTTTGAATAATTTGAAGCTGATATGTTTCATTTGATATTTTAGTGCTACAAAGACTTCTCTGCTGCTCAGGGTTATTGAAAAATAGAGCGCTCAGCATTCCTGTCTATAAAAAAGAATGAATTAATTTATTTTATAAATACTGTATTTCATCAATTGTAAGATGCCTTTTTCTTACATTTAGCATCTCAAAATTGGGAAATGGTGTCATTGTGGCATATTAACGTTTCATCATATTAGTTTAGTGATGGTGTATTAGATTAGGGGTTGTATGCTATTTTTTGAGTGCCTGTCATATTCAGGCACCATCCAGATCCTCTGGGTGTTTGAGGCAGACTAGCATGCAGGAAGTGTATTAGGCAGTTCTTCGGGGGTTCACACCTGTGGAAGGCAGATAGAGGGGACAGGATTGGGTGGAGAGAGAAGTAGGACTGGGGTCCACCTCAACAAAGGCCTCAGCTGGGCCTGTGAGAACTCTGAGGCTGGCACAGGGTGAGAGGACACAGCATGTTTCCCGTGGCTTCAACCTGCCATGGAGGTGAGCTGCCTGGGAGGAGCGCTTGACTCTGACTGATGCAGTGCCGTTCAGATGAGGCAGCCCCTGAAGAGGGCTCCCCTGCCCCCAAGAGGTGTTTCTATCCCTACACTCCTGGCAGCTAGGGACTGAGTCCTTCAAGCCTGAGTCCTTCAAGCCTGAGGAAGTTTCTGAGTGACACGTTGCAGCCTCCGCAACCACAGAAAATAAGAGACTCACATCCACTAGGAGACATGGAGGAGGGGGTGATCAGGGCTGCCTTCCTGCCCTACAGATCAAGTGGCAACTGTGGTTGCAGGAGGAGTTGCTCTGAGAGTAGAACTGGTCACTAATGTTTCAAAATGTAGTGGAAACAGAAGCATAGCCACTCTTGCTCAGTGGTGATTGTTCTCTTTTTTTCTCCTTTCACATTTTAGGCTCCTGATGGCCTTGGACTGGTCCCAATTAAGTCTTCAGAAGTTCAAATCAAGCAGAGTTATTCCTTCTTCAATCTGCAGGTCAGACCTGTCACATAAATTAATTAATTGAGTTTCTTATTAAGTAAACAAAATATTCTTGAATTTGAATTGCAGTGTTTTATAGTTTTGCTTTATGGTAGATTAGACTGTGTGGCACACTCTACTGTTTTTGGATGGCATATGGGAGGTACAGCAGATTCTTTTCTCATAGTGTGGCTTAGGCAAACCAGGATTTCTACTCTGTGGATATACCTATATCATGCATATATGAAGCTATCTGAACTACGTATGTTAGAAACTTCAAGAAAAAATATAAGATAAAGTGAGCAAAAATTAGTCAGCCTTTCTTGAGGTATATGACCACTTCTGTTTTTTAAAATGAAAATATTTTGGTGTGCTTCTACACTTAAGCCGTGTAGTATGGTTGAGTAATCATGAACACTCATGTGTGCTGAAACCCAGAACAGGGCTCAGGACTTTCACTAAAGTCTGTGCAGTCTGGTCCAAACCAACAATAGCCACAATCCGATGACTACAACATGGTGCTTGTCTTACTTTTACCACCAGGAAGCTCGGAAATGCTGTTGTTGAGAAGTAGATCCCACCAAATGGTAACAGGTTTTTAAGGATTTTCAATCTTCTTTCACCTTCAGGTTCCTCAACTGTACAAAATTAAGAGATATCAGCCATTCTCTGTCCACAAGTCTTCAACAAGTTACAGACCTCAAAAGCTTGCCCGAGCCCTAAAGCAAGGAGCTGAGGTAACACACCCCCATCTTCCAGAATCTCTCTCATCTTTTCCCTCTTATCCTGGCATCAAAACTAACGTGCTGTCCTTGCTCCTTGTTAGGATGAAGTCACCACCATCACAGCCCTTCCGAAACAGGACTCCACAACTCAGCTCTCTGGCAAAACATCAGTCTTGAGCATGAAACCACCTGAGGCCTTAGCCATGTCTCTAGATTATGATCCTCTGTATGTTTTTGTAAGTGACAACTGGCAGAAGCCTTGTTTTCTGTGTTCCTTTATTTCAGCAATTACTCTATAGGAAACAGAGCACTCATTGGGAATATTTTTTCTCTTTGGAATTTCAAGTGTTAAACAATATCTGACCTTTAATATTGTTTGCCAACCTTTATTTTTTGGAGAATATCAGTGATTCCGTCTTTTAGCAATTCCTGCATTTTTAATGAAAATAATTTTATGATCTTTTCTAAATATCTATAATATGTACATATAGGCCAAAGAAGAAATTGAAAAAGAAATTAGCAAGTATTTTTAAGTGAATGAAAATGAAAACAAACAAAAAATCTGTGGGAAATTAACAGCACTACACACCTACATTGGAAAAGAAGAAAAGTTTCAAGTTAATGTCCTAAGCTACCCCTTTAAAAAATTAGAAAAAGGAGGGCAGATGAAACCAAACTAAGCAGAAAAAAGAAATAATAAAGGTCAGATTGAAAATCAATGAAATAGGCCGGGCACAGTGGCTCATGCCTGTAATCCCAACACTTTAGGAAGCCAAGCCGGCAGATCATTTGAGGTCAGGAGTTTGAGACCAGCCTGGCCAACATGGTGAAACCCTGTCTCTACTAAAAGTACAAAAAAATTAGCCAAACGCGGTGGCACCTGCCTATAATCCCAGCTATTCAGGAGGCTGAGGCAGGAGAATTGCTTGAACCCAGGAGGAGGAGGTTGCAGTGAGCTGAGATCACGCCAGTGCACTCCAGCCTGGGTGACAGAGCAAGACTCCATCTCAAAAGAAAATCAAATGAAATAGAAAGCAGAAAAACAATAGAGAGAAAAACTGGTCCTTTGAGAAGATCAATAAAATGAATAAACCTGTAACCTAACTGATCAGGAAAAAAGGCAAAAGGCACAAATTACCAATGTCAGGAATGAGGAAGATGACATCACTACATATTCTACAGATTTTAAAAAGATAAGAAGTTAATATTATGAAAAACTTTATGCCAGTAAATTTGATGACTTAAGTTAAATGTGCAAATTCATTAAAAGGCACAAACTGTAAAATCTTATTTAAGAGGAGATAAATAGCCAAAATAGCTTTATATCTGTTAAAGAAATTGAATTTTTGGTTGAAAACTTTCCCACAAAGAAACCTCCAGGCCCAGAGGCCTTCACTAGGGAATTCTGCCAAATATTTAAGGAAGGAATAATACAAAATCTACACGAGCTCTTCCAGGAAATGGAAGAGAAGAGACTAATTCCCAAATCATTCTGGAGGCTAGTATTACTCTGATACCAAAGCCAGACAGAGATATTACAGGAAAAAAAAGAAAAGATCAATATCCTTGATGAACATAGATGAAAATATTTTTAACAAAATTTTGATAAATCAAATTAATTGCTATATAAAAAGGATAATGTATCATAACCAAATAGGGGCTTGAACCAGGAATACAAGATTAATTTAACATTACAAACTCACTGTAGTTTACATATAACACACCAAAAAGGAAAAACATCTCAATAGTAACAGAAAAATTATCTAACATCCATTCCTGATGAACACTATCAGCAAGTGCGGGATAGAAGGGAACTTCCTCAACCAAATAATGGTCATCTATTTAAAACCTAGAGCCAACATCAAACGGAGTAGTAAATCACTGAATGCCTTCCTCCTAAGATCAAGTATAGGGCAAGGATGTCTGCTCTCACTAATTCTATTCAGGATTATAAGTATAGCCAAGGTAACAAGACAAGAAAAATAAATAAAAGGTACCCAGATTTGAAAAGAAGACATAAAGCTGTCTTTATTTACAAAAAAAAAAAAAAAAAGATTGTCTATCTAGAAAATACAATGAAATCTACAAAAAAAACTACTAAAATTAATAAGGGAATTTAACAAGATTGCAGGATGCAGAATCACCATATAAAAATCAATTATATTTCTGTATACTAGCAACAAACATTCTGAAACTTAAGTTTCAAAAGCCATATCATTTAACAATAGCATCAAAACATGAAATATTTAGAGATAAATATGACAAAAATGTATAAGACCAGTACACTGAAAATTATAAAACATTACTGAGAGAACTCAAAGAAAGCCTAAATAAATGGAGAAATAAACAGATTAATGGAACAGAATAGAGGATCCAGAAATATATTCATTCATACATTATGGTCAACTGATTTTTGACAAAGGTCAGAGGTAATTCATTAGAGAAAAGATAATCTTTCAACAAATAATGTTAGAACATTTGGATATCTATTTACCAAAAACAAAAATAAAAATTTCAATTAGTACCTCACACCATCTACATAAATTAATACAACATGGATCATAGACCTAAATAGAAAACCTGAAACTATAAAACTACTAGAAAACACATAGAAAATCTTTGTGATCTTCAATTAGACAAAGATTTCTTAGATAAAACACCAAAAAACCACAATCCATAAATGAAAAAAAAATGGATTAATTGGACTTTGTCCAAATTAAGAATTTCTGTTAATGTTAAGAAAATAAAAATATAAATTACAGACTTGGAGAAAATATTTGGAAATTGCATATCTGATAAGAACTTGTATCCAGAATATATAAGGAACTGTCAAAACTCACAAAGGAAACAGTCAACAGAATGAAAAAGTGACCTACAGAATAAATAAATATATAGTCAGCAAACTATATATTTGATAAGGAGTTAATACCAAAATATATAAGAAACTTCTACAAATCAATAGTAAAAAAAAAAACCTAATAACTCAGTTTAAAAAGTGGGTTAAAACTTGAATAGACATTTCTCCAAAGAAGACTTATAAATGGCCAACAGCTATATGAAAAAAATACCACCAATCCTCAGAAAAAAAATGAAAGCCACAATGAGATATTACCTAACATCTGTTAAGAAGGCTATTATCAAAAAAATAAAACACAGTAAGTGTTAAGGAAGATGTAGAGAAATTGGAATCCTTACACACTATTGGTAGAAATCCAAAATGGTGCATCCACTGTAGAAAATAGTATGGAGGTTCCTCAAAAAATTAAATACAGAACTGCCATATGATCCAGCAATCTGCTGGGTGTGGTGGCACATGCCTATAGTCCTAGCTACTTGGGAGGCTGAGGCAGGAGGACCTCTTGAGTTCAGGAGTTCAAGGCTGCAGTAAGCTGTGATTTCACTACTGCACTTCTGCCTGGGCAACAGAGTGAGACCCTGTCTCGAATAATAATAATAATAACAGTAATAATAATAATGTGATCCAGCAATCCCACTTCTGGATATGTTTCCAGAAGTATTAAAATCAGGGCTAGGCATGGTAGTTCATGCCTGTACTCTTAACACTTTGGGAGGCTAAGGCAGGAGGATCAGTTGAGCCCAGGAGTTTGAGACCAGCCTAGGCAACATAACAAGACACTGTTTCTACAAAAAATTAGTCAGGTGTGATGGCAGAAGCCTGTAGTCCCAGCTATTTGGGAGGCTGAGGTGGGAGGATCATTCGAGCCCAGGAGGTCGAGGTTGCAGTGAGCCATGATGGCACCACTGCACTCCGGCCTGGGTGACAAAACAAGACCGTGTTTCAAAAAATAAAGACAGAGAAAGAAAACAGGATATCAAAGAGATATTAGCACTCCTATGTTCATTGCAGCACTATTCACAATAGCTAAGATGTGGAAACAATCTAAAAATCTATCAACAGATGAATGGAATAAAAAAAGTGGCATATTCAGACAGTGGAATACTATTCAGCCTTAAAAAAGGAAGGAAATACTGTAATATGCAACAGCATTGATAAACCTTGAGGACATTATGCTAAGCTAAATAAGCCAGCCACAGAAAGACAAATACTGTATGATTCTGCTTATATGAGATATTGATAATAGCCAGATTGACATAATCAAGAGTGAATGATGGTTATCAGAGGCTGAGAGAGGGGAAAACGGGGAGTTACTAGGCAATAGGCATAAAGTTGCAGTCAAGAAAGACAAATCTGCTCTCACAATCTGCGGTACAACATCGCACTTATAGCCAATAATGCACATTTAAAAATTTGTTAAAAGGGTAGTTCTCATGGTAAGTGTTGTTACCACCATATAATAAATAATTTTTAAAAGAATTATCAGAACTCAATAATAAGAAAGCAAACAATCCAATTTTAAAATGGGCAAAAGATTTGAACACATACTTCACCAAAGAAGATATACAGATGGCAAATATGCACACGAGAAGATGCACAGAATAATACATCATTAACAATGCAAATTAAAACGTCAATGAGATCTCTCTGTTAGAACACCTACAATTTGAAAAACTGCTGGTGGGAATGTAAAATGGTACAACTACTTTGGAAAACTGTTTGGCAGTTTCTTACAAAGTTAGCAGTTAACATACACCCACCATATGTCCAACCATTCCATTCCTAGCTATTCACCCAAGATAAATAGAAGCATTAAACTTGTGCAAGAATATTCATAGCAGATTTATATGTTCCCAAACATATAAATCTTGGGTAAAAGAAATCAGACAAAAAAGATTACATGCTGTTTTGTTCAATTTAGTTAAAAGTCTAGAACATCTGAAGTAATCTACAGAGACAGAAAGATTGGTGGCTGCCTGTGGATGGGTTGGGTGGATGGTGTGGAGGGGCAGGAAGTGAGGATGGGGGAATGATGAAGGGCATGAAATAACTCTTGGGGGTGATGGAAATGTTCATTATGTTTATGACGGCAATGGTTTTGCAGGTGAAACAAATGTTATATCAAACTATGTAATTTAAATGTGTCATTTATTATACATCAACTATACATCAGTACAGCAGTAAAAGTAGGAATTAGGAGACCCTAAGGAAGGAAAAGAAATACTGTAGTGGTTACAACCGGTGAAGCATTATAGTGAAGTCTTGGGCTGATCTCTGGTCATTCAGTCTGGAGGAGGGAGGGTAAAGGGCTCTGAGAAAGAGGTGTCTAGGAAAGGGTAGGCTCCAAGCACTAACAGTGCAGTTGAGAGTCTCGAAGACTCAAGGATTGCATAAAGGCACATCAAGAAAAGAAGAAGCAATTATAATCTACAAGGGGGGAAATCAACTGAACATCAGTATGTGCTCCAAATAGGAAACCAAACTAAAATTTGACATGATTTTTAAGAGCTGATGGAAAAATCTAAAAATATAATCCATTTGGCCTTGATACCAGAACTCTTCTCTAACGGTGGCCCAGAGGTCATGATATTGAACCTTTAGCCAAAATATAAATAAGTAAATAAGCCAAACCCGTAATCCAAGCCTCTACTTGGCCTGGAAGAGAAACATATTTACATAGCTGAGAGTAAATGCTACTTATTAGTTTTCAACTTTTAGAGACAACCCATGAGCAAAGCATGAAGGTCTTGGCTGTAGTTCCGGAAGGCAAATGTTAAGAATCTCAACAATATCAAAGGAAAATTGTGAAAGCAAGAAGAAAAGGTACAGAAAAGCAGAAGAATGATGTTTTGATTTCACCTGAAGGGGAGTTGAAATACTCAACTAAAGATGATGTACAAGAAATAGGGGTATGTGTGTACCATTTCAAGTCACAATGGTGAGCAAAAGCAGAATAATGTAATCTTCAAAATAGGAAAGAAGTTTGGAAGGGGCATTTGTGTACCTAAGCGAAGTCCTTGTCTTGCATAGTAATGAGTCAGTAGATACTGCCTGAGGTTGACAATCAAGAAGTGGAAGAATAAGCATGATGTTTAGAGTTAGGGTGGTGACCACCAGAGTCACAAAAGCCAGAAACAAGGGAAAGAAGCAGCCTCTGGGATGTGGGCCTGGGAACAGGAAGGGCCTGCGGAACCACTGCTTTTCCTCACAAATCCTTGCAGCCGAGGTGAGTCGCTACCACATGCATGCGTTAGTTTAGGAAAATTAAAATTAAAAGCATCATGGGGTGACCACTGAGACCAGTTACTCTGGGAGCAATGGGGATCTGAAGGATGACAACTATGGGAGACAGTGCCATTGCCATTTCCACAAAGACTGCATTCATGAACGCCTGGCCCAAGGCAGACCAAGAGAGGCGGCCACATGGCAGCTTCACATGCCCTCAGTCAACCAGAGTAGAAGACACTCCTGAAGCCCACACAGGTCATTTCCCCTCCCCTGGTGTTGTGTACCTTTGCCCTCACACTATCCCCATAGGGTGGGCCCAGCCCCACTCCCCATCACACTGCCTCCCTAAATCCTGCCTCAACCACAAGTGCTTACCAAGGTGTATGCTTGTTTCCACATTACTGTGGGCATCTCAGATCCCCTCAGTGGTCATCGTTGCCTTCCTGCCCTCCCCACTCGTTTATATCCAGGAGTTGAGCCCAGAGCCCTCTCCCTACCTTTGCCCCAGGCCCTCATCCTGGCCCTCAAGTGGCATAGCAGCCTCTGCACCAACGCTTACCTCCTTTCCAGCCTTCTTGACTCACCACCGCTGGGCCCTCCCCTACCTTGCATCTGGGTGCCGGAATGCATTCAGGTCTAGCTGCATGTCACTTAAGTTTGGGGGGACATTTGTTTCTTGGCAGTGAGATTGAGTTTCCATAAGCTAAGTGGTTTTGTGGGGCGTTTTTAACTTGTTTTTAAAAGTTAGACAAACAAACAACAGAATCTCAGTGTAGTGGTTATTAAACATCAAACATCTGAGGTTAAACAGCTGGCAGGGAGGGGCGCTACGTTGTTTGGGACAAGAATAGGGTTTTTGTTTTACGAGCCTCTGAGAGAACAGTAAAAGGCTCTATATTTTAGTATTTTGATATAATTGCTCTGTGCCTCCATTAGTTCTGCTGGAAAATTAATAAAAAACAGGATCTCCCTTAAAACCAGATACTACTTCCAAATGGAGCCTTCCTGAATCAAACACATTACCAAAACAATGTTAAATGTTGACATTTCCTGATACATCGAATGTCATCCTCTTTTTTGTCATCTCTTTAAAGTAGCTTTTAAAAGCCTATTTTTGTTTTCAAAAGCAGAAGCTTATTTGCTTTTTTAAACCAGTGTGCTCATTTAATAACTCCCCCTAATTCATCAGCATTAGCAACAAATACTCAAAGCTGTTTTAAGCTGTGATTTCGGTTGTACTTATTTTCATGGGAGTTTAGTAAACCCATATGGTTTGTAATGAAGCTCTTAAGCCAGAAAAGTGACATTTATGAATGACTATGATTTTTTAAACGCTGCCGACTTGAAGACACCTCTGCTCTCCTGCTTCTCTTTTCCAGACAAGCTGACATGGAGTCACAGAGTGTTAGTGCTAGTGGGAGCCACAGACAGCATTAGCTGATGCCTGTCCTATGCCTGGCTTAGAAACTGGTAAACAGAAAAGAATATTTTTTCCCTGTCTTCGGCAGAATCCCAACCCAGGATTATTTGCTGTAATGCATCCTCTGACCTATGCAGAAACGTTGATAGATTACCATCTATGCTCTCACCCCAAGTACAAATTCACCAAAGAGTCCCGCCACGGGTCCAGCATTCCTGTCACCCAAAAGCAGTTTCTCCATCACACGGTAATGTCATCACCAGGCTCACTGGCAGAGTGACCCTGGGCTGCAGGGAGGGGCAGGGGACAAGGACAGGGTCACAGCTGGAATTGCGACAAAGGTTTGCCGCCACAGCTGCAGAACAAGAATGGTAACACCGCCCCTCATACCGCCAGCCCTAAAGGGGTACAGGTGGAGACCCCGCACCGCCTTGTCCTGACCACACCTGCCTCTCGGGCTGCCTGCTACCCTTTGTCAACATTCCTCTGGAAGGCTGCACCTAATGTTCACGTGTTTGTATTTCAATCATGTAAAAACAGCCACACGGTATGCACAACCGTTGGTCTGACCTCCTCTCTCTTTGGCCCCAAGTGTAGAAACCAGAATGGACAAAGTAGTGGAGTGACACATGCAAAGAAGTGGCTCCAAGGAATTACTTCCCCCCCAGGGAACCACCCTGACCTGAATATCCCCTGACACCCCTTGAGGATTATCCTCAGGCCCTTCAAGCTCAATTAACCCTTAACTCAGATTATGAGCTCTCTCCCCACTTCTACCAGCCACACCCTCAACTGCCTCCTCTTCCTGTGTCACCTACTTGCCTTTCTGTTTTATGGACTTTGTGTAGTTACCCATGAGATCCTTTCCCTCCTTCTCCCCCATTCCCCTCATCTAACCACCCCGGGGGGGTGGGGGGGCGGGCACCGGTGTGCCACTGACACACTGATGTGCAGACCTCCCTCTAGTCTAGCCCTTGGCCCACTGCTGCTGCAGTCAGCCTTCCCTTCAGAGAAATCTTCCTTATGCACGAGTTGATCCTGTCATTTCCTGCTCGAAAGCCCTCCGTGGGTCCCCGCTGCCTGCTGTAGCAGCTCCAAGCTCATTAGCTTGGCCCACAATGCCCTCGTGACCTGCCTGGCTCTCCAGCCACATTCCCTTCTGCCTCTATCATGCACCCTGCACTCAGCCCAGCCGGGGGTCTCCTTGCAGCGCTCGCCTCCCACGTGGCGCGCGTGTGCAGCTCTCCTGCCTGGAGTGCTGCTGGATGAACTGCCATCCTCTCCAAGTGTTGCATTAGCATCACATTCACAATAAACAAAATAGATTCTAAGGCCGCAGCTGCCCTCCATCCCGAGGACATGTTGCTTGTGCAAGTGCCTAATGAAGCAAGGGAAGCAAACCTCGCCTTTGTCTCTAATTCTGTGTTGCACTGTTTAATGTGCTTTGCTGAAGCAATTGCCTTTTTGCTTCAGAAAAATTCAAACTGAATGAAATTACAGATTTTGGTGCTTAGCCTTTTAAGTCTGAAAAATAGTTGAATAAAACAAAAGTCCTTCAGAAACTTTACCTCACCAAACAGTTGCTTCCCATGTGCTGACTTTCCTTACAGGACATTATTCCCGGAATAATGCACTGGAAAAGCTTCCAGTCCCTGGTTCTCTCCTCCCTGCCGGACCCCTCCAAGATGGAGACCACAAAGAGGTAAGCACAGCTCATCTGTTTGCTCACGAGTATGTGTGCCCCATGTATTACAGAGGCAATGATCCCCAAAAGTTAAATGCCAATAATATGTCAAACCATACTTTTAAAGCATGAGAGAAGTTTGCTAGTCAAAGAAATTTGATGATGTGTAACTGATTTTCATATTTGGAATTTATCTTGAGATACACTTCTTTGAAAAGTAATGTCCTAGGTGACGAATTGGCAATGCTTGAGTACAAGTAGACAACCATTCCATATAATTCAACTGAAATATTCATGGTCAATCTTTTTAAAATTCATAAATTGCGGCCTGGGTGACAGAGAGAGACTCCATCTCAAAACAAAAAAAAAAAAGGAAAAAAAATCATAAATTGCCAAGATTAGCCTTCCGCAGTCTCTGTATCCAGTTCCAAAGGATCCATGGCCCTCTTGTGCCACAGGCTGGCATTCACTGTGAGACCATGGCAATCCCCACACAGAAAACAGCCCTGCTCCAGATACACAATGGGTAGATCAGAATATTGTTGGATGATGAAAGAAGAAACTTAGAGTGACTACATTTTTGCTAATTTGCTTATTTAATAGCTCTTCAAAACCATAAGATATCAAAGAAGTAGCCTGGTGCCTTTTCATTAGACTCTGCCTGGCCAATCGCTGACTCCTGAGCCCTTGAATTCGCTTCTTCAGTTCACTATCCTTATAAATACAGCTAAGTGAGTGATTGGTGAACAGATGTGACTGGTGTCCCAAAATGATTATCATCAGCTGTCAAACAAAGTTCCAATCCTCTGATCCAGAATGAGGCCCACCCCAAGGTGGCAGAGCCCTGGCATGGCTCCAAGAGTGGCCAAGAAACCTGAGCTCTGCCACCAACCAAGATCAGTAGGTGATCTTTACACACACCCCAGCTCCCACTCGGGTAACCTGGATCCTCTGACTCAGAAACTCACCAGGGAGGCTACATGACCTCCAGGAGTCATGTGACCTCAGCCATGCCCCTTGGCCAACTCTCTGGGCCCAGTCCTCTTGTCAGTAAGACAAGGGGATTGGACTTGTTGCAAAGGCCATTCTCAGCGTTGATGTTTTAATTTTAGTAAGAGTACAAGAGCTCACCCAACTTGTAGTGTACAAGTGCAGCCGTCCCATCCACCCACATCCACCCACACCTCCCCAGGTATTTGAGGAGATAGTTGGAATCTGGGTTGTGACCCCAGAACACTGAATTTGACTTCCTCCTTCATCATCTTCATTGAAGGGCTTCATTGGTAAGCTCTTCCTGAACTAAGCCAAATGCAGCTGTACGTCATCTACGTCAAGGCTTTCCCATGTGCCGTCCCCTTGGGGTCACTTCCTTAGGGCTTCTCTACTCCTCTCCTTTGCCTGAAGATTAGCATGCGGTAAACAAAAAGCACCCAGCATAGGATTTGGGACATGGCAAGAGCTCAAAAATATGCTTCTTTCCAATTATTATACTTCATCCTTTCCTCAACCACCCTATTGCCATCTGAAAACCAGCATCCTTGTTCTACATTTTTAGCATATTTCTAGAATGTCAAATCTCCAGAACTGGCGGGAACAATGGCATGGAAGAGAGAAGGAAAGCTTTGGCATGGGAGAGACCTGCCTCCATTGTACACTGGATGTATCACCAGTTCAGTCCTTGGGCGAGCTACGTACTAATGAAGCCCTTCGAGCAATAATCTCCTCCTCTCTGAGGGAGAGGCAGTGATGGCATCCTCACATTTGTGTGTGTGTGAGGATAAAAGTGCAATGATCTTGTGAAGCATCTAGCATCATGCCTGGTGCATGCTTAGTAACTCTTCTCTCACTTCTACCCTCCTTCCCCGCCCACTAAGCGGCGCAGTCACTCCATCGCCACCAGATGGCGATAGTCCGTCACCACATTGACAGACTGCCTCATTTTGCTGCGGGGTGAGGATGCTTCAGAACTGACCTATGCAGTCAGTAAACCGGGTCTGGGGTGCTGTCAGCACACTGAATAAGAAAAATGAGGAATGGTGAGAAGTGGCGACCCGCTGACCATGTCCACCCGTTGTCAGCGTGTACCGTTCTTGAGAATCAAGAAAAAGCATCCTATTTTCTTTCCAAAGCAATGTCCTTGGAAAAAAATCTCCCGAGGCTGTTCTTTCAACAAGCAGTGAGAATGCAGTTACCTTGGGCTTGAATAACCATGAATTAAACATGAACTCTCCATGAATTAAAGAAAACTCTCGAACCATGAGTTGTTACTTTCAGCTTATGTGCCTGAGTGCTCTTGTTGGGCCAGTTTGTTTCTAAATAAACTGCAGTTGCATAACAGCTCATAAAATCAAGGGAGGATTCTGTATCTATCTTCTTAGCATGGATTTCCACGGGATGTAAGACTCTAGGTCATGTTTTTATTTCTGAAAACAGGTACAAAATAAGAAGTGTAATTCCTTTTTTAAGTTCTGTCTTAGTTCGTTTGGGCAGCTATAATAAAATACCATAGATGTAATTTATGAACAACTGAAATTTATTTCTCAGTTCTGGAGACTGGGAAGTCCGAGATCAAGGTGCCAGTAGACTTGGTGTCTGGTGAGGGCCAGCTTCCTGGTTCCTACATGGTTGTCTTCTCACTGTGTCCAAACATGGCAGAAAGGGGAAGGGAGCTCTCAGGCCTTTTTTTTTTTTTTTTTTTTTTTTTTAGATGAGATATCACTATCTTCCACGCTGGAGTGCAGTGGCATAATCATAGCTCACTGCAGCTTCAAACTCCTGGGCTCAACTGATTATCCTTCCTCAACCTCCCAAGTAGCTGGGATTATAGGTGTGCATCATCATGCTCAGCCAATTTTATTTATTTATTGTAGAGATATGGTTTTGCTACATTGCCCAGGCTGGTGTTGAACTCCTGGCCTCAAGCAATCCTCCCACCTCAGCCTCCCAAAGTGCTGGGATTACAGAAGTGGAGCCACTGCACCCAGCTTCTCAGGCCTCTTTGATAGGCACTAATCCTATTCATGAGGGCTCCACCCCTATGACCTAACCCACCTCCCAAAGGCTCCATCTCCAAATACCATCACATTGGGGGTTAAGTTCTTGTTATTTTTAATGTAAATAGGGATAGGGTCTTGCTATGTTGCCCGGGCTGATCTCAAACTCCTGGCCTCAAGTGATCCTCCCACCTCGGCCTCCCAAAGTGTTGGGATTACAGGTGTGAGCCACTGCACCTGGCCTGGGAGTTATGTTTCAACGTGAATTTGGGGAGAACACAAAATTCAGTCCATAGCAACTTCCTATAAATCCATTAATGATATTCCAACTTTGCAGCCATTTTGCTTGAATAAATTAGCTCCTATTACTTACGAGGTTTGCCTTGTATCTTTTGCCCCTGACAACTGTTTGTTGTTAAACCATGCAATATAGTTAGTGTTTATTTATTCCAAGTCATTTTTGTATTCGTAATAATCGAAGCAGCTCATTTATTTCTTTACTCTTCAGTAAATTCAGAGATAACTTGTTAAATCTCTTTGGACTTCCATAAAATCAGAGAGTCAGTGACAACTGAAGAAATTATCTAACCCAATAGTTCCCAGACTTTCTGATTTCATAGATGAGTGAAATGTCCAGAAGAACTTTGGGAACTGTCTTGGCATTGTCAGGGTTTTACTTTGTCAAGTAAGGACATTAAATATATATATGATTTTTTAGATGGAGTCTCACTCTGTCACCCAGGCTGGAGTGCAGTGGCACGATCTCAGCTCACTGCAACCTCCGCCTCCCAGGTTCAAGCGATTCTCTGCCTCAGCCTCCTGAGTAGCTAGGACTACAGGCGTGGGCCACCACACCTGGCTAACTTTTTGTATTTTTAGTAGAGACAGGGTTTCACTATGTTGGCCAGGTTGGTCTCGAACTCCTGACCTCAAGCAATCCGCCCACCTCAGCCTCCCAAAGTGCTGGGATTACAGGCGTGAGCCACCGTGACTGGCCAGGACATTAAAATTAAACAAAGCAACAGCCAGAAACATTGGTTTATGCCTATAATCCCAGCACTTTGGGAGGCCAAGGCAGGAGGATCACTTGAGGTCAGGAGTTCAAGACCAGCCTGGACAACATGGTGAAACCTCGTCTCTACTAAAAATACAAAAATTAGTTAGGTATGGTGGCGGGCACCTGTAATCCCAGGTATTCAGGAGGCTGAAGCAGGAGAATCGCTTCAACCCGGGAGGCAGAGCTTGCAGTGAACCAATATTATGCCACTGCACTCCCGCCTGGGCAGTGAAACAAGACTCCATCTCAAAAGAAAATAAACAAAAATTTAAAAAATAAATAAAAGCAAAACAAATTTTAAAAATGCCCAACCACCATCTACTGTCATCACTATTTCAATTTTAAATGAATATATTTAACACACACAAAAAAAGTGAGAGGAACTGGTCTCAGAATTTAAAAACTGGGTAAGTTTTGCTTCATGAAAAGCTCTTGGTTGCTGCCATTCCATTGTGCTAGACCAGCCTGGTCCCTGGCGAGCGGCCCAGACCCTGAACTTCTCAGTCACTCTTCTTAGTGGGAATTCCCTCTGACTATACATGTTCTAAAGTAAAGTTTTGGTAGAATTTTCTAATATAACCTGGATTCTTTATCATGAAGTCAGTTACTAACAAGGATAAGCTCTATGTCTCCGGGCCCAGGTTTGTTTTGGTGGGAAATGGGATTAAAGACCAAAATCTGGGTGCTATGTATACACATTGCTTCTGGGGTGGGGCAGGGTTTGCTTCTTGGCCTATTCAGCAGACAAAGTCAGGGATACACACAAACACACACACACAATGTACACACAAAGATATATGCAACATACATATATATGTAATGTATGTGCATATAAACACACATATACATATCCATATTTTAGAAAGCATGAATTCACACCAATGCCTACAGTTCCAGTCCATATCCATAGAGTTATTGCTTGCTTTCCACCATTCCATATTTGTATCTCCCTTCTTCCACTGTGAGAAACCTGGCTTCTAATACATTTACTTACTCAATCTTATAATACATCAAAAATCATTTCAGAATTGCTTGATCCATAACCACCTTAATAAACATGCAAAATAAGTTCAGATTGGTTTCCAGGTCCCCCCCCCCACCCCCTCCCACCCAAGTCTTTGGGTATGTAGTCAAATAACTTGTAGTAAGTTACTTGGGTAATTTCTTTTTCTTTTCTCTTTCTTTTCTCATTCCTTTAGCTCTCTCTCTCTCTCTGTCTCTGTCTGTCTCTCTCTCTCTCTCTGTCTTTCTTTCCTTCCAGTGTGTTTATGGAATTTCTGTGAAGTATTATGATTTGTTTCAGTTTGCTTTCAGCCTTTGTTTTTTATTTCACTTTCTTATTGATTTAATTTTATTTTTTCAATATTTTGAACATTAACGTTTTCCAAACTCAAAACTACATTAAAGGCATATTCAGGGAAGTGTCCCTCCCACCTCCCTCCAGCCCCTGGCAGGTAGCCAGCTTGGTCTTCTAATGTATCCTTCCTGTGTTTCTCTTTATAATGGTAAGCAGAATATATACATTTTTCTTTTTTTCCCTTCTGTCTTATACAAAAAGTGGCATTCTAGATATGCTTTTCTGCATTTGTTTTTTTCACTTACTATCTCCAGAAAGTCATTCTATATCAGCTCACAGATGCTTTCCTCATTCTCTTCCCATTAGTCAAAACCATGGTGCTATAATTTTTTTTTCAGCCAGTCTTCATACTTGACAAGGGGGTGCATTTTTGCACAATAACAAAACAAAGATAAGAATCTTATCACAAAGACATATGTGCACACACAAAGGAGCCATCAATTAATCCCTGCTTTCCATTGCTGCCTCCTGCCCTACCTTCAGCCTCAGCCTTTCCAGCATCTGTGAGGAGGTCTGTTTCCTTCCGAGTGGGCTCCAGGCTCTGTCATTCTTCGCTGTTTTTCATGAGACAGCATTCTCTAGGGTTCTAGAAATTTATTCCAGAAAATGATTGAAAACTTTTATCCATTGATTTCTTTTCTGTTGTTCTCTTTGCTGTTGTGTGTTCGGTTTTTATTCCTTCTATATCATCTGAAATGTGTGTATGGAAGGAGTCGAGACCCCAAAAAAGTGCTCATTCCATCCACTTGAAACAAAGAGCTGTTGCCAAGTTTAAAAATAACAATGTATTTTCCACCCTATCTCAATTCCTTTAACATTCTCAATAGCCAGGAATTTTTATATAAAGCTCTAAAGTTATAATACTAAACAATACACAAGGAGGTGGGGAGGAAGATATGAAATGGAATAGAATGTCTAAGAAGGAGTATAAAGGTGGAGGGAAAATACTAGGACCAAAAGTAAACTACCTGTATTAGCCTGTTCTCTCATTGCTATAAACAAATGCCTGAAACTGAGTAATTTATAAAGAAAAGAGGTTTAATTGGCTCATAGTTCCATAAGCTGTACAGGAAGCAGGACAGCTTCTGCTTGGCTTCTGCGGAGGCCTCTGGAGACTTACAATCATGGCGGAAGGCAAAGGGGAAGCCAGCACCTCACATGGCCAGAGCAGGAGGAAGAGTGACGAGGAGGTGCCACACACTTTTAAACAACCAGATCTCAAGATAACTCACTCACTCACCATCATGAGAACAGCACCAAGGAGATGGTGCTAACCCATTCCTGAGAACTCCACCCCCGCGATCCAATCACCTCCCACCAGGCTCCACCTCCAACACTGGGGATTACTATTCAACCTGAGATTTGGTGGGGACAGGACCAAACCATATCAGTATCTAACTACACTCACCCCAGGAGATAATACAATTTTAAACACTACAAACTGAAAAATTCTATGATTCTCTTTTTAAACTCCAGGAAGTGTCTTACTTGGCAACATTCTCCCAGGTTTGCCTGGGGCCTATTGCATCCCCTGCCTTTGCCTCTGGGAACCATAAATGGCTTTTCAAGAGTGAGGGAGGACAGAGTAGTAGAGGCCTCGCCAGCAGTAAAATAAAAATTCTTTAGAAAATTATGTAAAGACCCCAAGACTTCTAGTGTGACTCTATCTTTGACTGCTTGTGTGGTTTTTCCACAGCTGCGATTCCTTCAATTCATTTATGCTTCCGATAGACGTCCCTGCCATCCTTGATGCCTTACCAGAAGAGGACAGACTAGAAACAGTAGAACGGTATTTTTTTTTTTTTTAATCTTTGGCCTCTAATGTGGTCTGTTTTCCAAAAATATGTGAGGTGCTGTGAGGAACTTCAGAATAGCACACAGTTCCTGAGCTTGCAACTCAAATGAGAAGATAAGGCTAACACCCATCCATACCATCACCTAGATAAGATGTTAAATTCGTGGTGGAGAATCGACAGTCTCTAAGCTCTATGGCTTCCTGATCTTTAGCTCTTCCAGGAGCTCAAGGGAGAGATCTGAGGTGGTGCCAAATGGCCTTGGAAGGCTTCAGTGGTCACATGGACTTGGGTTAGTATGTGAAAGATAGGTAGGACTTGGATGGGCATAAAGAAATACAAGTCCAGAAGTAAGGCACTTACATTTGATTTTACTGATCAGCACGCAACAGCCAGTGAAATGGTTTTGAATCTCCTATCCGTATGCTCATTTACAATTGATGGCTACAGACACAGCAGCAGAGCTGAGAATGGGAAACCTGAGCCAAGCAAAGCCTGTGCCCTTGTCCCAGGGCAGCTTCTCCATCATGAGCACCACAGCATACAGCATTCGTACGTCCAGCTCACACGTGTACGTCCAGCTGGCTCACCTGGCATTGCCCCATTTGCAAATGCCTCTAGATCTGAGTCATTACTTCCTCTTTTTTAAAAATATACTTAGCTACTTATTATATCACCACATAATTTCAGGGAGAAAATTAGAAGTTCCATATGTTTTAAAGCAGATACTTTCTACCAGGCAAAAGTAAAATTCATTTAAGTTTTCTAGTTTAATTAACCAACATAGCATAAGGTTGTATACAAACTCATCTCTCATTAAAATTAGATTCCATTAGAAGATTATAGAGCACCCGAAATGTTGTATAGAATAGTGTGATGAAGGGGTAGGCTGTGGGTTCAACACCACCACCACCACCACCGCCACTCACTCACAGTACACCTTGGGCCACTGACTTCACCTCTCAGTGCCCCAATGTCCTCATTTTCAAATGGAATGATCCCAGGACCCATCTCATGGGTGGCTATGAAAAGCAAATGAATTACTACATGCCCAATGTTTAGTTCAGTGCCTCACACATAGTAAGGTTTTGATAATTAGATATACTACCATTAATGACCCTGGTATTCCAAACCCCTAGCCCGCTATCTGACACTTGGTAGGCAAGCAACAGCTCACTTTAGAATGAAGTTGTATCACCCAATAGTAACATTATGAGAAAATAAGCATAAGAGAAGATACATGGTTAGATTTCCAAAACATCAGATGAAGAGGTATTCATATCCCAAGAGGTTTTCCTCCATCCAGTGTTATGTCTCAAGTGTAGAAAATGAATACATATTTCTGATATTTTTAAATTTTGATTTTTCATGTCTTTGGGGGTATAAAGGAGCACCTGGATCTGCTGCTGTATCTGTGACGACAGAGTCGGGGTATAGCACAAAGAAGGCCACCAGCCCTGCATGACAAGAGCTCCGGCACATTAGGAAGACTCTTGGTCCCAGAGTTCCTCCCTACCCGCTATTTCCTGAACTCCTGTTACTGAAGACCCATTCCTTTAGCTTTGCGCTTTGTTTCTATTAAACTACCTCTGGGGAGGGAACATTTTAAGTCTCACTTATAACTCAGTATAAAATCACCAGAGCGTTTTTAGAGTTCAGGCTTGAGGGTCAGTGGCAGGAGAGGTGATGGGAATGAGAAGACTCCTGGTCCAGTGGGGAGTTCTGGGAAAACACGAGGAGGGGACAAGTGAAAAGCTGGAAACACAAGAGGCCAACTTAGCTGCTTTACCAAAAGCCAGATGCTCCTGCGTGCTTCTGTTAGACTGGCGTGAAGTACTGGCATGAAAGGTCTGGGCTGTGATCACTGTTCAGGCAAAGCGCCCAGCCCTGTGCCTGCCTGATCATTCTGCATTTGGTTCTGACTCCTGCGCTGGTAGCAGTTACCTGGTACTGCATTGCCTTGAAGTGAGTGAAGGAAGTGTTCTGAAGTATATTTCTGTGGTGAGATGGATGTCTTCATTTTTATTTGAGATGCAGCTCATGAATGAATTGTGCCTATACATGGTCTTTGCTTTCTCACTTCACGAATGAAGCTCTCAGTATTTAACTCCTGTCACTTATCAAAATATTATGGAAACTACAGACGGTACCTGGCTTACATAGGTTTGACTTATGATTTTTCAGCTTTACAGTGGTGTGAAAGTGATTCTCATCCAGTACACTCCTCGACTTATGATGAGGTTCTATCCAGATAAGCCCATTATGAGTAGAAATTATCATAAGTCAAAAATGCACTTTCAACTCACGATATTTACAACTCATGATGGGTCTAATGGGACCTAACCTCATTGTAAGTCAAGGAGCGTCCATATTTATCAACATATTTTTCTGTTTCTTTGACATCTGCAAAGGTTCTTAGGTCTAGTTTAGTGAGACAGAACGCAAGAACAGTAAGTCAGGCAAAGCAGATGTATGACTCATAGATAGGCAGCAAGAATAAACAGAAGCCTAGGATCCAGGGTGAGCCAGTCCACCAAGGCTTAGTGAAGCTGCCCAGCATTGATGCAGTCTCGTCTGCATGTCTCCCACATTGCATCACAGCTGAGAGACCCCAAAAGCACTTTACTTTGGGTTTTATTCCCTGAGTGTCACAGGGATCGCTGAGCCTAAGCATTACAGAACTTTCTGTTCTGAGAGGAACAAGGACACAGCCCTGTTGTTTATCTTAGGATGTTGCATTCTCAGTACATCCTTGTCCAAGAATTGCAAGAAAGAGGGGGAAGAGCTGGGTTGACCGAGGCCATCTGAGGACCTGGCCTCCTGTAGCAACCCTACTGATAGGCACTCCTTAGCTCCATTGTTCAAAAATGTTTTCATTCTTAACACATAAAAACTTTTGCATTCTAAATTACACCATCAGCTGTGATAAAGCAAAGAAATTCTGATAACTCAAGCACTGATAGCAAATTATCACTGTCATGATCAGACTAGGATCACTGCCAGCCTGCTTGTGATTGCAGGAAATGGTTTATTACACATGAGACTACAGCATCTTTCACACCATATATACTCAAAAATAAGTATTTGTTGATTACGGTTTCTATTTTTTCTTTTATAAACACATACTATATTGATAGTTTAAGTATATTTTTACAAGTAAGTAATCAATTAGTGGAACCCTAAATATGTGAGGCAAATAAGACCTGCCCACATGCAATGATACTTGACAATACCTGAGCTTCTAGAGCTTGGACTTCAGTTCCGAAAAGGAATGTTGATTTGCCATCTACTCAAATCACTGCATGACAGCATTTCTTGAGAGGACTGCAGCCAGGGTGGGATGATTCATATTTGCTTCAGCTTCTTTCCGCCAGGCCCACTGGGGAGATGTTCAGCAGATACAAACATACCCAACTCCTCCTCCATTCAGCACTGATGTGCACACTATTTTGACTCCGTTTCCTCATCTTTGAAATGGGAATAGTTGTATCTACTTCATAGAGGGTTGTCAGAATTAAAGGAGATGCTGATGCTGATGAGAATAGTAATTATAATAACCAACACTCACTGAGCATTAAATGTGTGCCAGGGAGTGCTTTGCAAACAGTCTCATTTAATCCTTATGATGAGCTCTTATTATTATGCCCACCTTTGAGACAAAGAAACTGCTAATGGGAAGATAATGTTTGCAAAGCGCCAGCATAGTGATTTGCATATAGCAGCTACTCAGTAAATATTAGCTTTCAATCTAATGAGGCTAGAACAACTTTTGCAGATTTCAAGGGTATTTTTCTTAATAGAAAATTGTCATGCCCACCTCTTTTTACATATGTCACTGCTGAGTAAAGTGTCCCTGTTTGTAATTCCAGACTTCTGAAGCCTTTGTTGCCCTTTGATGATCTTGGAAGCATTTCTCTAATTGAGTGTGGTGGAGATGGGTGCTGTCAAAAAATTAGTTGTCCTGAGAATCACTGAAACTAGAGGCTAAGTTTCCCAGCCTCCCTTGCAGTTAAGTTGTCCATTTTACTAAGTGTTTGCTGATGGAATGTTAGCAGACAAGATACAGCCCATTCCTGAGGTCAGCTCTGAACAGAGTGAGTGTGTCTCCTGCACACCATCCCTCCCTGCTTTGCTCCAGCTGAAACCCAAACATGCAGTGGCCCAGCCTGAACCATCAAACAACAAAGCTCTAGGCCAGAGGTCAGCAGACTATAGCTCGGAACCAAATGTGGCCCACCACCTGTATTTGTAAATAAAGCATTATTGCAACACAACCACACCCATTCACTTACGTATTTTTCTATGATTTCTCTCTTGCTACAACAGCAAGAAAAAAAAAAGTTGTGTAGTTGTAACAAAGACCATATGACCCATTAAGTCCCTAGAGAAAAAGTTTACTGACCCCTGGCTCTAAGGGATAGCAGACCACAAAAAGATCGAAAAAAAAAAAAAAACTAGACTATTTAGCAATATAGTGTTTAATTTTAAAGCCATTGTGGGCTTTCTAGTTGTCTTCTTTGCTGTTGATTTCTATTCTAATTCCATTGTGGAGAGAGAACATATTCCGACTAATTTTAGTCTTTTGAAATCTTTCAGGCTTTCTTTATAGCCCAAGATATGGTCAATTTTGGTAAATGTTCCATGTGCACTGGAAAATAATGTGAATTCTGTAACCCCCATTTTTAAAAATTACTTTTTATTCTCTGGTTATAAATAACTACCATTATGCCTACCATTGTTTGTTGGTGGACAGCAATTTATCAGCCTTATGCTTCTTTTAATGTAAACAACAAAAGTAGATGGAACTAAAGTTGAATACCACAAGAATTGCATAACTCCTAAATGATCACAATATTTCATTCCTATTTTTACACTGGGAAGGAAAAGCAGTGCCCACTAAACATCTTATTACTTTGCAGTGAGCTCTGTGAGCAGAATGTAGAAGTTATGTTGACTCCAGAAATGATCAAAGTGGAATTCCCTATGTTGAACTACAAGGACATCAGGAAGGAGAAGTAAGTGGATGCTTTTATGCCTTATTAAAAGGTAATCTTGGATGAAATTTGTTCTGCATAAAGTACAAAAGTGTCATGTTGTCTGAGTCTAAATAGCTCAGTCTTTGAAAGAGACACATTTCTGGTGCTTCATATATTTAGATGTGTATTTTATTTTAGGCACAATTACACTCCCTGAAATCTTGTTATCAAGTAAGCCTTTAAAAACTGAAATCAATTTTCCATGTGCTTATCAATCAATTTCAGGATGTGTTTGTTTCTCATTAATAGCTGATTGAGTTTCATTCTGTATAAAGAACTGGCTCTGGAGCCAGACCATCTGGAGCTGCACCGTTTGTACATAGAAAATCTCAAGCCAAGTTATTGTCCTTATCAACTCTGAGCCTCAGTTTCCTCATCTGTAGCATGCAGAAAATAAAATCTGTCTGTCACAGGGCAAATGTAAGGATGAAATGAGATGCCAGCCATGGAAGCACCTAACCAGTTGCCTGATGTGAACCAGAGCTCAGTAAATGTTCTCTCCTTCTCTCCATCAGGGGCTAACTAGCCAAGCAAGCATCATCCCTTGAAAAATTGGTTTCAAAAACACAGTAATAAACATATAAAATGTGTTCCTCCTCATTGTAATGAAAGAAATACAAATTAAAACAAAAATTTTGAAGAATACTTTTTAATGTAAACCACCTATAGTTCATATGCTTTATAAGTTTGAAATTCCATGTATAAACTTTATTTTTATTCTTTTTCTTTGAAAAATGCCTTTATATTATGTTAAAAATTAGAAAATATAAAAAATTTTAAATATGATAAAAACAACCATCCAAAGGTAGTAACATACATTTTGTTGTGTGGTCTTCCAAAAATATGGATATATATTTATATTTATATATTTATATTATGTATTTATATATGTACTTATATTTTAAACCATGTATATGGTTTAAATATACATTATATGGTTAAATATATATAGTTAAATATATATTTTCCATATATATGGAAACCATCATATGTGGTTTAAAATATAAATACCGGGCGTGGTGGCTCATGCCTGTAATCCCAGCGCTTTGGGAGGCTGGGGCGGGTGGATCACCTGAGGTCAGCAGTTAGAGACCAGCCTGGCCAAAATGGTGAAACCCCATCTCTACTAAAAATACAAAAATTAGCTGGGCGTGGTGGCAGGTGCCTATAATCCCAGGTGTTTGGGAGGCTGAGGCAGGAGAATCGCTTGAACCTGGGAGGCAAAGGTTTCAGTGAGCCAAGATCGCGCCATTGCACTCCAGCTGGGTGACAAGAGCAAAACTCCATCTCAAAAAAATAAATAAATAAAATATAAATACATATGGTTTTAACAAAATTCAATCATATTATACATATTGTTTTATCTTCTGCACTTTTATTTAACAACATATCATAAGCACATACTTATAAATATACATATGAATTATTATATTTCCGAGTAGATGTACCATAATTTATTTAATCAACAATCTGCCAATGAACGTGTAAACTCTTTGCAGTGTTTTCCGTTATCAATAGTTCTGCAACAAACATCCTTGTGCTATAATTCCTTTCAAACTTATCAGACTGTTTTCTTAGGATAAATTCTAGATCAATGCGCATTTTAAGGTTTTAATATATATTGCTTAATGACCATCCAGATAGTGTGTTACCATCTCTCCTACTGGTAGAGGTTAGAGCTGCCTGCATTCAAATGCCCTGGACAACATGGAATAGTGTCATCTTTTTTTTTCATCTTTATCAATGAGACAGAACTTTTTAAAAGACCATCTCATTATTTTAATTCTTTGTTTACAAGTTATACTAAAAACTTATCTATGCTTTTCAACCATTTCTCTTCTTTTATGAGGGACTTGTTTTGCCTATTTTGCCTATATTTCTTCCTTATTTGCAAGAGTCCCTCATTTATTAAAGATAATTACCCTTTCTTATATATGCTGCAAATTTATTTTCTCAGTTTGTCGTCTACTTTGTTGTGGGGGGCCTGCCTTTTCTGAAAGGAATGCTCACATTTCTTAGAGCTGTATGAGGTCTCTCTGGTTTGTCTGTGATAGTTCCAGAGACCTGCAGCAGCCAACACTGCTCAGAAAACAGATTGGCAGTTTCTGGTAAAAGAAAATGTAAGAAACAAAATTTTAAATGGAATTCCAGTAAGCATCTGTTTTGATCAGTTAATTAATTAATTAATTAGTTAATTAATAGAATATTGTGTTCTGCTACCCAGCACATAAAACCTCTTGCACCTCAACACATAGATGCACTTTGTGTTTTGCTTCAAGTTTCAAAAAACTGACCTAGGGTTTTAAATGAAAACCTTTTTTTTTTTCTACTTCAAATATTACCTCTGGACATAGAATGGCTTGCCCCAGGAGCAAGGTAATATTCAATACCTATCTACTCACTTGCTCTTTTACATGAGTCTTCACTCTTCATACCATGGAGCTAATGTTGAATGGCATTTGGTTATCAAATTATCATTAAACGAAATAGAATTTATTACTTTACATATTCACTCAAAGTGGTATATCATTTTTTACGTATTTTTAGTACTTTACAGAAAAACAAACTAACAATGAACTATAAACATTTTCTGCACACCAAGTCAGCTTCTAATTTTTTCAAAAAACATACATACATTTCACACATTTGCAATAAACATTTCCATGACATTTTTAATTTACCTCTTTGGCAGGTAAAATTATTTTATGTACATTTTTTGTGAACGAAAATTGTCAACATAATTATCATTTTATTGGCTGCATAGTATTTCAGCAAGTTGATATCCCACAGACCATTTTCAAAAGTGATTTGGTTCAGAAACTCTCCTCAGCTCACATCAAGCCTAATCCTGTGCTCAGTTTTTCCTTCTCTGTTCTTACTTTTTCCTCTTCCTCACCTCCTTCTCTCCAGCCAGAAGCCAACAGAGTCCTCCCTGCCAGACACCCAGAGCCTGGACAGACAGGGACGGAACAAAAAGAACACATCAGCAGTGTCCCATTTCCCCCTGAAGACTGTTCTTTATTTGGTTTCTGGCAAACATTTATTTTCATGGATGCAAAGAATCATCTGCTCTCACTCAATGGCTGAAATTCACCAGAGAGATTCTCTGCTGCCTGGACAGCGGTCTTGGCCCTTTCAAGACCCACAGGGGAATCACATTCCCCACAAAATGTTCAAGGAACTGTGAGACTGTGACTTTAGTTGCTGACACATTTTTCAGCACTCCTTAGATCAACACAGTATTACTCAATCATTAGTATCTCTAAGGGGAGACAGGATCTATATATTTTTAGACATGATTCCATAAAATGGTACCAATTAATTTCTTTAATTATGTGCATTAGGGAACATCTTAATTCTCCATTTTCAGGTATTTCTGGTTTTCCAAAACTGTCAGCCATTTGCCAAACATGTCACCCTCTTTTCAAAAATGTCTCAGAAGCACTTTATTTTATATTGGATTTATATTGCCCAAGCAGATTATATAGCTGAGTTCACAGTCTTTGAACAAGACATATGGCCTTTTAACCAAAACACTCGTCATTTCCTCCCACATATCTGGATGCTGGTGAGCACCATGACAGTCTCTGAGCCGAGTCTCCATCTTAACCCTTGGCCCCAGCCCACCAAGAGGCAAGCTGGCCCCTAAGAAGCCCAGGTCCTCCCCATCTCTCCGCCCTTTGTCTACTCCCACTGCACCCATCAATTGATAGCCTCATTTTACACCACGTCCAGTCAAAGTTCTACCCAGCAACCCCCGCCACACCAACATCAGCCTCGGCTCCACTCAGCCACTACTTGGTCCAGGTGCACAACTCTCCCTGAGGTGCTCACTCTTCTGGAGCCATTGCCAGAGTTAGAAATAGTGTGTATCTACCTCATTCATAAAGATGAAAAACCAGCCAGCATTGACTGAGCACTTAGAAGACCTCACACCAGGATCTCTGTGAATAAGATCTCATTTCACCTTTGCTACAATGCTGGGAGATGGGAATTACACCATTCGCACATCAGGAAACAGGGGCTGTGGATTCTTGGGTAACTTGCCCATGCTCAGAAACTGATGCAGCTGAGGCCAGAAGCCAGGTTTGAATCATTCATAAGCTGAGTGTTTTCACTGGTAAGTAAACTATCACTAACTGTGGTGAAAACCTTCTTTGTATATTAAACGAAATGCTCCTCCGACCTTCACCAGCACTGCTGGCGGGGGGTGATTTGCGTGGTTTTATTAAGTGTCCTCATGTTTCCTTCTTGGGTTTTTTGATACTCAGAGAAGTGAAAGATCAAGCACAACCAGCAGAGAAGGCCGGAGAGAAGCTGCTCGAGGAGATGAGGAACCTGCGGGGCAAAGCACTCAACACATACCTGATTCTAGAATGAAAGTCACCAGTAGGTCAGTCCCTTCCATTTGCTTTCCGTGGGCCACTGTGGCCCCTTGCGTCCATTTACATGCCAGCCATCTCTGCAATTAAAGTTTCTGGATAAAAAAATGAAATGTAGAGGATGTATATATCTTTTAAGTGATAATTATAAATCTTATATTTAAAAATAAAATGGAGTTAGGATGATGACAGCGTTGTTAGCTTCTTGGTGCGGTGTTTAGTGCCGGAATGCTTCTGAGCAACATGTGATGAGAGACTAAGAGCCGGGCACTGGCAGCTGTTTCTGGGGGTCTTTTGGAGGTGTGGTGTGGTGGGAGACTGGTTTTGGGGAGGGGATGCTCTCCCACCTCTGCAGAAGCAGCCCCCTCCATCCCTGGGGCATCACTAGATTTGGCTTTGGAAGAGCAATACTGGTATGAATGCTGGCTCCCCACATAGCTGTGCAGGTGGCAGACAGTGGCAGGGGACCTGGACCTGGAGAGGACACTGTGAGGTGACTAGAGCTTGCACCAGTTTCCCAGGAGGAAGCATCCTCCTGGGAACTCACAGAAGCACCTGGAGCAGGAGGTCACTGCAAGGGAGCCAGGAGTTCCAGTGAACACATGTCAGTAAAAACCAGGCCTCAGTATTGTGTTTGTGAACATGACTGCCTTCATATGCACAGGCCAGGAAGGCTGATGACATTTGGGTTGTGTTATAATAACCCAAAATTATCCAAATATATTTGGATGTATTCCCTCCACTCATTTTTCTATGAATACATTTAAATAGCTGGTATCAGACTGTATGTTTGTAGTCTTCATTAACTCATTGATTCTGAATCCCAGTCCTGCTCTTACTCACTATGTGGCCTTCTTAACATTTCTGAACTTCATTTTCCCCTCATGCAAAGACAAGTGCTCACCTTACATGGGGTTGTGAGGATTCAATTAGGAAATGTGCAGAGTATACCTGGCATAAAACAAGAGCTCAAACATGAAAGTTGCCCTTCACTCACAGGGCAGGACATAAGCATCAGTCATTTTTTAAAAACTTTTTATTTAGAAATATTTTTAAACTAAAGGAAAACTTGCAAAATAGTACAGAAAGTTGCCATCTATATTTTACTCAGATTCCTCTAACATTAACATCTCCTGCGTGACAATGATCAGAAACAGGAAATTACAATCGGTACAGCTTTATTGAGTAATGTCCGTTCAGTGTTCCAGGAGTCCACACTGCGATTGGTCAACGTGTCCCCTTCTTCTCCTCATCTGTGACAGTCCCTCAGTCTTTTCTCATCATTTGTGACCTTGACACCTTTGACAGTTGTTTTGTAGACTGGCCTTCAGAGTGTGTGTGTGTCTAATGCTTTCCCAAGACTAGGGTGAGGTTATGCATTTTTGCAAGAATTCCACAGAAGCGTTATGTCCTTCTTGGTGCATCTTATCAAGGGGCTTGTGATGTCGATATGTCTTCTTACTGGTGATGTTTACCTTGGTTGCTTGGCTAAAGTGGTGTCTGCCAAGTTTCTCCACTGGGACATTAATATAATCATGGGGAGAGACTTTGAGATTATGCAAACATCCTGTTTCTCCTCAGCTTTTTTCCCACTCTGTATCTACGTATCTTTATATGAATTCCCACTTTAGCATCCATTGGTGAGTGGGTCTTGTCTGCCACAACCATTACCATGATGTCCACTTAATGATAATGTCCATGAGCTGTCCCTCACCGTCATTTAGTTACTTCTTTATTCAGTAGATTTTTATATCAGCATGGAATCATGGACATTTATTTTATTATATAGGTTATAATCCAACACTACCGTTGTTTATTTTGTTCTCAAATTGTTCCAGCTCTGGCCATTGGGAGCCCCTCAGGTTACACCTCTGACCTTTCAGTGCATCCTCGACCTTTCCTAAGCACATCTTTACCTTCCAGCATCACAGTATATTCCAGACTCATCTGTATCTTTCCCACGTCAGCCCTGGAATCAACCATTTCTCCAAGGAGCCCTGGTTCCTTTCACTGGAGAATGGCATTTAGAAATCAAGACCTGCTACAGCAACTGGTACTTGTTGCTACTGTGGTCCAATTGCTTCCGAGCCCTCTCAGTGGCCAGAGCTAGAAAATACAAGTATTTATACTGAGCCCCCCTCAACACGCACACACACACACACACACACACACATTTTCATCTCTCTATCTTTATGTCTTGTATATATATCAAAAAACATGAATTATGGCCAGGCGTGGTGGCTCACGCCTGTAATGCTAGCACTTTGGAAGGCCAAGGTGAGCAGATCGCTTGAGCCTAGGAGTTTGAGACCAGCCTGGGCAACATGGCAAAACCTCATCTCTACTAAAAATACAAAAATACAGAAAATTTAGCCAGGCATGGTGGCAAACACCTGTAGTCCCAGCTACCTGGGAGGCTGAGGTGGAAAGATCACCTGAGCCCAGGAAGTCGAGGCTGCAGTGAGCCATGATCACACCACTGCACTCCAGCCCTGGTGACAGAATGAGAGCCTGTCTCAAAAAAAAAAAAGAAAAAGAAAAAAAAAAAAACGCATTGATACTGATGCTTCCAATTCCAGTCCAACACCTGGGGTTTGTTTTGGCCTTCCTCCTTTCCTTAATTGTAACTTCTTTCCCCTACAGTGAGCAGCTTAGCTCCCATCATCTACGATGTATTACCTTATGTGTTGCTTGGTGTATCCGTAAAGTAACATCCCATTTGCTAACACATCTCCTTGCGAGAAACACATTTACTAACTACATTACAGTATTGGTGTCCTTTTTACTTTGGCTTTATAGAGTCCAGTTAAAATACTGGTTCCCGAATTGCCTGGGCTGGTTCTGTTGCTTTCTTTGTCTCCTACTCCCATCAGTGTGGTTGTGTTTTCATATGAGTTAGGTTCATGTGTTACTGTTTGTATTTCATCTTGGGTTCCCCTACACGCTAGTTGGGTTTAATTATTTATTTCAGGGTACGTGGAACATTACGATGGCTCTAAATACAAAGATACTCAGAGAAGTATCATTCCTTCTCATTCCCAATCCATCTCCATTCCGCCATCTTGCTGCCCCATGGGTACCCACCCTTCCCACTGTGGGCAACCATCTCTTTAGTTTCTGGTTTATCCTTCTTGTGGGTAATTTTTAAGGCCCCCAAGGGCTCCCATGTGCTCCTCTGCATTCCTCCTCCACATTAACCAGTCACTGGCCTGACCTACTAGCAGTTTCCGAAGCATAACCCACTCGTCCGCACCCCTGGGCCTCTGCACATGCTATTCCCTATGACCTCACCACCTTCTTGCTTAGTGTCCTTCTCACCTAAGGTTTCCCCAGGCCTCTGCCCCTTGGCCCCTGTACTGACCTCTGAGGCAAGGCCTACCTAGTCCCTGCTTCTGTGGAGAGGAAGGGCCCAGGCAATGTTTGTTCAGGGAATTGCTTCCCTCAGCATCCACGCTTAATACCATGCTGTGCACATCACTTCGTTCACCAACATCCAACCAGCAGCTACTGAATCCCTGGCTACTTCCACCTACCCAATCTCCCTTTCTTGCTGGGTGCCCCACATTGCATTGTTGGTGTGAACTTTCTGGCTCCAGACTTTGAGCCTGTTCCCATGTCAGTGCATGTACTTATGTCCATTTCAGTTTCCCCACCTATAAACAAGAGCCAATTTCTCTTATTTCCCTGCTCTCCCCAGGTTGAAAAGGTCGTGGCCCCTTGGAAAGATTGTATTGACTGTGTTGGGGATCTGGTGCCACCTGGTGGTTGCCACAAGAAAGGCCTCTCCTGACTCCCAAGTTGTAACCCGTTTCCACCAAATCGACTTCCAAATAATATTTATCAGATCATCATCTGTGCTTTTCTTCCTTGTTTCAGACCACTTTTAGGTGGAAAAGGCAAAGAAGGCTTATATGTATTTTCTTCCATAATGAGTCCATCAGAAAAAGTTCCTTCGGTGAAATCGTTGACCACGTGATGTTTGGGGACTCCCTATGGGATCAATCATCCGGGTTCCTTAGAGACCATGGCCATAATCAGGGGCTGGCCAAGGGAATGAGTATCCCTGGGTTCAACAGCTGTTTCTGAAGACCTGCCAGTTCCCCTGTCTTGCATTAACTCGGGTTATCATGCCATTCTCCTTCTAAGGCCAAAGATACCTGTAACCGAAGAATCGGGATACTTCACTGCAGTCACTTCATTTTTTTTTCTTTTGAGGCAGAGTCTTGCTCTGTCACCTAGGCTGGAGTGCAGTGGCACAATCTCGGCTCACTGCAACCTCTGCCTCCCAGGTTCCAGCGATTCTCCTGCCTCAGCCTCTCAAGTAGCTGGGATTACAGGGACCCGCCACCACGCCCGGCTAATTTTTCTATTTTTAGTACAGATGGGGTTTCACCATATTGGCCAGGCTTGTCTCAAACTCCTGACTTCAAGTGATCCACCCGCCTCAGCCTCTCAAAGTGCTGGGATTACAGGCATGAGCCACCATGCCTGGCCAAGCAGCTTCATTTTAGAAGTGATTATTATTGCTTTCCTTTCTAGAACTTCCGGTTTGTGAAGTATTTTCTCAATGATCCTCAAAACATTCTAAGACATAAAGTAGCTGTTATTAGTGTGATTTTATGCAGAAACTCAGGCCCAGAAAGCTTCATGGACTTACCCAATTAGCAGAAGAGCCAGGTTTGGGCAGGATCTTGGTTTCCTGCAAAGGTTTCGTTGCCTAGCCAGGCGTGGTGGTGTGTACCTGTAGTCCCAGCTACCTGGGGGGCTGGGGTGGGAGGCTCACCTGAGCCCAGGTAGTCAAGGCTGCAGTGAGCCATGATCCTGGTACCCAGTCCACTCTTCTCTCTACTACATGGTAATCAATGAAAATATTACAGATTTACATTTTTTAACTTTTTATTTAAACTTTCAGCTTTGGAGTCTCTAAGAGTAAAGATATTATGTGATGATATTTGTATTTTACTTAATTGCTTATTCTTTAAAACATGTAATATAGAAAAAAATACAAATTAGCAAATGTCCTTTGCTCTAAAGAAATCAGCTGGCAAGTTTGCCCCACCCAGCAGCAGCCATGTCTTACTCATTTCTGTATCCCCAGCATGCAGCAAGATGTTTGGCACAATGCAGGCTCTCAATAAATGTTTTTTGAGGCTGGGTATGGTGGCTCACACCTGTAGTCCCTGCACTTTGGGAGGCTGAGGCAGGTAGATCCCTTGAGCCCAGGAGTTCAAGACCACCCTGGGCAACATGGTGAAAACCTGCCTCTACAAAAAACACAAAAATTGGCCGGGCATGGTGGCCCATGCCCAGCTACTTGGGAGGCTGAGGTGGAAGGATCACTTGAGCCTGAGAGGTCAAGGCTGCAGTAAGCCGACATTATGCCACCACACTCCAGCCTGGGCAACAGAGCAAGACCCTGTCTCAATTTTTTAAAAATTGGCTAGGTGCAGTGGCTCATGTCTGTAATCCCAGCACCTTAGGAGACCGAGGTGGACGGATTGCTTGAGCTCAGGCATTCAAGACCAGCCTGGGCAACATGGCAAAACCCCATCTCTACAAAAAATACAAAAAAGATTAGCCAGGTGTGTTGGTGCACATCTGTGGTCCCAGCTACTGGGGAGGGTAAGATGGAAGGATCACTTGACCCCAGGAGGCTGAGGCTGCAGTGAGCCAAGATTGTGCCACTGCACTCCAGCCTGGGCAACAGAGCAAGACCCTGTCTCAAAACAATAGCAATAATGTTTGTTGAATTAAGGAATATAAAAGAAATGTGAAAACTATGTATCTAATATTCATTTACATTTTCACGGACAAGTATGTTCATAGAGTCTATTTGCTATAAAAAATATAGGAGTTGGTTCTAATAGATAAAATTTAGAATCCAGAACATCCGAGATGGAAGGACATGGAATGTCGTCTAGCCCCACCCTGGTAAGTATTGGTGGAATCTCTGTAAATTTATCAAGTCCATGCAGTTTCCTTGCTTTTTATTAAAGAAGGGGAAGTAACAGTATTGACGTCATAGAATTGTTGTGAGGTTAAATGAGATCATCCTGGTAGCACAATGCACAATAAATACACAATAAATATTAGCTGTTATTAGGATCACAATATTTATTTGTTAAGGGAGTGAAGCTGAGTCCTCACTCACCACTGCATCTTCTTCAGTTATCCTTTCTACCCTCCACCCATTCATCTCCTGTGCTCCAATAGCTATGTTGGGATCTATGCATGAAAGAGAACTCTCCAGATGGTGAAGGAGATGGAGCATTGCACTAAAGAACACTAGGCCAGGCGTGGTGGCTCACAGTCTGAAGTGCCTTAGCACTTTGGGAGGCTAAGGCAGGAGCATCGCTTGAGCCCAGGAGTTTGAGACCAGCCTGGGCAACATAGTGAGACTTCGTCTCTACAAAAAAATTAATTAGCCAAGCATGGTGGCACGTGCTTGCAGTCCCAGCTACCCAAGAGGCTGAAGTAGAAAAACTGCTTGAACTCACGAGGTCAAGGCTGCAGTGAGCCATTATCGCCACACCACTGCACTCTAGCCTGGGTGACAGAGTTAGACTCTTTCTCAAAACACACACACACACACACACACACACACACACACACAAAGTCTCTCTCTTCCAGCAGGGTTTTGAGGATGGGTTTCGGTAAATGTTTAAAGAGTGGAGATGATTAGAGTATGGACTCCCTGAAGGTAGGGGAATGGACTTGGCCCAGGGCTACTCATGTCTCTTCCAAAGATATGGAGACATCCCTCTCAGGTCTCTTTGCCCAAACCATGCAGCCTTCCCTTTTGGATTAAGACCACTGGCCTCCTGCTCTCTCTCACTAGATGGCATCACAGAGAGGTGTTTCAACATGAAGGCAAGGAGACCTACCTCTCCTGGAGGACATCTTGCAGGAGGCCTGGGAGCACCAAGAAAATGGGCAGCCCCTTACCGTGAGGGAGAGCCACAGCACCCCTCCCCTTCCTCCTCACCATGAGCCCCATCAGAGCAAGCCAGGCAGGCCAGAAACTGATAGTCTGGCATTACAAGACAGGCTGAGCTTACCTTATCCCTTCTTTCAGGAATTTAGACCAGGAAGTAGAGAGAGACCAAGCAAGTTAGCAACAAGGACAGAAGCTGGACAGTTATAAAATGGAGAAATTGGGCGGGGCAGCTGCGATGGGCCATGAGTGACTGAAGTTGTAGGCAAAGAAGAAGTGGGTTTTTGGTGTTTGGAAAACACGAGGAAAAAAGTAGATGCACCAAGAGATAGCAAGAAGCAAGCTGGGATAGAACCCAAGCACACCCATTGCTGAGTTCCTGCCCCCGTTCCCAGCCAGCCCCTGGAACAGGGCCCAACCTGAAAACCACCTCTGTCCTGAAAAAGCTTAAGTGACTCTGCTTCTTACCACCAAAAAGCCTGATCAGATCTTGGCCAAGGCATGGACCCAGGGGTCTGGTGACCCATTCTCTAAAAGTGGTGTGTTCTTAGAAAAGTATTTCATTTCTGATACTCTGTTTACAGGAAGTTTGTTAAAACCACTGTGAAAAGACTTTTCAAGGAAGCAATGCACTTTGAGGTGTATATATAAGGTAGTCAAAGAATGCTTATCCCTCCCACACACCCCCATAACCAATAGTGCAAGCTTTACACATACACACACACACACACACACACACAAATACATATACACACACAGAGTGTGTGCCCTGTCTCAGGTCCAGCTGTCAATATCTCAAAAGCTAGAGGCCCACCAAATGTGGGGTGCTTTTTTTGTGCTTACTGTCCCTGGTGGTGGAAGTTGACCTCATTTGAGGCTGAATCTAGGGACAGGCTACTCCCAAGCTCACCACTGCCTGAAGCTCCAAGCTGGCCATCCTTGGGGTGCCAATGGATCTGTTATGCACCCAAACCTCCCCACCCCCCACCTTCCAGAAGTCCTCACCCCTGCTTCAGGCTGAGGTGCCCTTCTTCTTCAACAAGAAGAGCTAGCTATTCTAAATATATATGCACCCAATACAGGAGCACCCAGATTCATAAAACAAGTTCTTAGAGACCTGTGAAGAGACTTAGACTCCCACGCAATAATAGGGGGAGACATTAACATCTCACTGTCAGTACTAGACAGATCTATGAGACAGAAAATTAACAAGGCTAATCAGGACTTGAACTCAGCTTTGGATCAAGTGGACCTAGTAGACATCTACAGAACTCTCTACTCAAATCAACAGAATATACATTCTTCTCAGTGCCACATGGTACTTATTCTAAAATCGACCACATAACTGGAAGTAAAACCCTCCTCAGCAAATGCGAAAGAACTGAAATCATAACAAACAGTCTCTCAGGCCACAGGGCAATCAAATTAGAACTCAGGATTAAGAAACTCACTCAAAACCACACAATTACCTGGAGATTGAACAACCTGCTCCTGAATGACTCCTGGGTGAATCATGAAATTAAGGCAGATATCAAGAATTTCTTTGAAACCAACGAGAACAAAGAGACAACATACCAGCTTCTCTGGGACACAGCTAAAGCAGTGTGAAGAGGGAAATTTATAGCACTAAATGCTCACATCAGAAAGCTTGAAATATCTCAAATTGACACCCTAATATCACAATTAAAAGAGCTAGAGAGGCAAGAACAAATTAATCCAAAAGCTAGCATAAGACAAGAAATAACTAAGATCGGAGAAAAATTGAAGGAGATAGAGACATGAAAAACCCTCCAAAAAATAAATGAATCCAGTAACTGTTTTTTTTAAATTAACAAAATAGACCACTTTAGACTAACAAAGAAGAAAAGAGAGAAGAATCAAATAGACACAATAAAAAATTACAAAGGGAATATCACCACTGACCCCACAGAAATACAAACTACCATCAGAGAATACTATAAACACCTCCACGCAAATAAACTAGAAAATCTGGAAGAAATGGATAAATTCCTGGACACATACACTCTCCCAAGACTACACTAGGAAGAAGTCGAATCCTTGAATAGACCAATAACAAGTTCTAAAAGTAAGGCAGTAATTAATAGCCTACCAATCAAAAAAAGCCCAGGACCAGATGGATTCACAGCTGTATTCTACCAGAAATACAAAGAGGAGCTGGTACTATCATTCCTTCTGAAACTATTCCAAACAATTGAAAAGGAGGGACTCCTCCCTAACTCATTTTGTGAAGCCTGCATCATCCTGATACCAAAACCAGGGAAAGACACAACAAAAAAAGAAAACTTCAGGCCAATATCCCTGATGAACATTGATGTGAATATCCTCAGTGAAATACTGGCAAACCGAATCCAGCAGCACGTCAAAAAACTTATCCGCACGATCAAATCGGTTTCATCCCTGGGATGCAAGGCTTGTTCAACATACACAAATCAATAAACATAATCCATCACATAAACAGAACCAAAGACAGAAACTCCATGATTATCTCAATAGATGCAGAAAACGCCTTTGAAAAAATTCAACATCCCTTCACGCTAAAAACTCTCAATAAACTAGGTATTGATGGAACATATCTCAAAATAATCAGAGCTATTTATGACAAACCCACAGCCAACATCATATTGAATGGGCAAAAGCTGGAAGCATTCCTTTTGAAAACCGGCACAAGGCCGGTTGCAGTGGTTCACACCTGTAATCCCAACACTTTGGGAGGCTGAGGCGGGTGGATCACCTGAGGTTGGGAGTTCAAGACAAGCCTGACCAACATGCAGAAACCCTGTCTCTACTAAAAATACAAAATTAGCCAGGTGTGGTGGCACATGCCTGTAATCCCAGCTACTCATGAGGCTGAGACAGGAGAATTGCTTGAACTTGGGAGGCGGAGGTTGCAGTGAGCCGAGACTGTATCATTTGCACTCCAGCTTGGGCAACAAGAGTGAAACGCTGTCTCAAAAAAAAAAAAAAAGAAGAAAAGAAAAAGAAAGAAAGAAAACCAGAACATGACAAGGATGCCCTCTCTCACCACTCCTATTCAACATAGTATTGGAAGTTCTGGCCAGGGCAATCAAGCAAGAGAAAGAAATAAAGGGTATTCAAATAGGAAGAGAGGAAGTCAAATTGTCTCTGTTTGCAGATGACATGATGTTATATTTAGAAAACCCTGTCATTGAACTGATAAGCAACTTCAGCAAAGTCTCAGGATACAAAATCAATGTGTAAAAATCACAAGCATTCCTTTATACCAGCAATAGACAAGCAGAGAGCCAAATCATGAATGAACTCCCATTCACAGTCGCTACAAAGAGAAGAAAATACCTAGGAATACAGCCAACAAGGGACTTGAAGGACTTCTTCAAGGAGAACTACAAACCACTTCTCAAGGAAATAAGAGAGGACACAAACAAATGGAAAAACATTCCATCCTCATGGGTAGGAAGAATCAATATCGTGAAAACGATCATGCTACCCAAAGTAATTTATAGATTTAATGCTATTCCTATGGAACTACCATTGACATTCTTCACAGAATTAGAAAAAAAAATTTTAAATTTCATATGGAATCAAAGAAGACCCTGTATAGCCAAGACAAGTCTAAGCAAAAAGAACAAAGCTGGAGGCATCACGCTACCTGACTTCAAACTATACTACAAGGCTACAGTAACCAAGACGGCATGGTACTGGTACCAAAACAGATATATAAAAACCAATGGAGCAGAACAGAAACCTCAGAAATAACACCACACATCTACAACCATCTGATCTTTGACAAACCTGACAAAAACAAGCCATGGGGAAAGGATCGCCTATTCAGTAAATGGTGTTGGGAAAACTGGCTAGCCATATGCAGAAGACTGAAACTGGACCCCTTCCTTACACCTTATACAAAAATTAATTCAAGATGGATTAAAGACTTAAATGTAAAACCCAAAAACCCTGGAAGAAAACCTAGGCAATACCATTCAGGACATAGGCATGGGCAAAGACTTCATGACTAAAACACCAAAAGCAATGGCAACAAAAGCCAAAATTGACAAATGGGATCTAATTAAACTAAAGAGCTTCTACACAGCAAAAGAAACTATCGTCAGTGTGAACAACCTACAGAATGGGAGAAAATGTTTACAATCTACCCATCTGACAAAGGTCTAATATCCAGAATTTACAAGGAACTTAAATTTACAGGAAAATAAACAAATGACCCCATCAAAAAGTGAGCAAAGGATATGAACAGACACTTATCAAAAGAAGACATTTATGCAGCCAACAAACATGAAAAAGAGCTCAACATCACTTATCATCAGAGAAATGCAAATCAAAACCACAATGAGATACCATCTCACACCAATCAGAATGGCGATTATTAAAAGTCAGGAAACAATAGATGCTGACAAGGCTGTGGAGAAATAGGAACGCTTTTACACTGTTAGTGGGAAAGTAAATTAGTTCAACCAATATGGAAGACAGTGTGGTGATTCTGCAAGGATATAGAACCAGAAATACCATTTGACCCAGCAATCCCATTACTGGGTGTATACCCAAAGGAATATAAATCATTCTACTATAAAGACACATGCACACGTATTTTTATTGCGGCACTGTTTACAATAGCAAAGACGTGAAACCAACTTAAATGCCCATAAATGATAGACTGAATAAAGAAAATGTGGTACTATACACCACGGAATACTCTGCAGCCATAAAAAGGAATGAGATCATGTCCTGTGCAGGGACATGGATGAATCTGGAAGCCATCATCCTCAGCAAACTAACACAGGAACAGAAAACCAAATACTCCATGTTCTCACTCATAAGTGGGAGTTGAACAATGAGAACACATGGCCACAGAGAGGGGAACAACACACACCAGGGCCTGTTGGTGGGTGGCGGGTGAGGGGAGGGAACTTAGAGGACAGGTTAATAGGTGCAGCAAACCACCGTGACACATATACCTATGTAACAAACCTGCACATTCTGCACATGTATCCCTTTTTTTTTTTAGAAGAAATAAAAAAAAAGAAGCCCTAGGAAAAGAGCAATCGGTGAGAGAGCACCCCAATCCCACCCCTGGCTCCAAGCCATTGGAACAGCAAGTTTAGTCTACCCTGGGAGTGAGGTGCTGATGTGGTAGGGGCAGCCCTGGGTGAAATATGAGAGTGAAGTTTTAAAGCAGACAATAAGACTGAGTTTTAACCAAAATCAGACTGTGTTAGCAACTGATATTGACTAACAAATTACAGACTGCATCATTGAGGAAAGCTGCTAGTAAGCTGGACATCTGGCAGTTTACAGCAATCACTGGAAAAATAAAGTCATTTCTCCAGTCAGATGAGGTTCACAGGGGAAAAAAGTCATTTTATTTATCACTCAATGAGTCGGTTTTACTCAAACAATTCACACTACAGTCATCACCAGAATTCCCAGCTTCTGATGTCAAAAAGATACTAAGGAATGATAGCTGATGGAAAAATAAGGAGCAAGAGGGTGAAGTGGAGGTACAGCGCAGGCCAGCAAGGAATCCAGGACTGGATTCGGTCTCTGAGGGTCACAATATAGAGCATGGCAGGTTGCAGTTAGTAAAAGGATATTGTGTACTTGGCAATAAGAGAAGCTAGTATCTCAGAGAAGACCAAAAAAATGAAAATCTTTATATATTTGAACAGGTTTGAATTATCAGTTGAGTTAAACTGAAAACAATGATATGATCCCTTGACATTTAAAAAATATATCTTGGGCCAGGTGCGGTGGCTCACGCCGGTAATCCCAGCACTTTGGGAGGCCGAGGTGGGCAGATCACGAGGTCAGGAGTTCAAGACCAGCCTGGCCAATATAGTGAAACCCCATCTCTACTAAAAATATGAAAAATTAGCTGGGCATGGTAGCACATGCTTGCAGTCCCAGTTACTTGGGAGGCTGAGGGAGGAGAATTGTTTGAACCCAGGAGGCAGAGGTTACAGTGAGCTGAGATCACGCCACTGCACTCCAGCCTGGGTGATACAGCAAGACTCTGTCTCAAAAAAAAAATAATAAAAATAAAGATAAATTTATATATATATATTTTTTTCTGGGTCTGCCTCTCATGTGGCCTACTGTGCTGTCACTCACTCCCAGCATCAAATAGAGTGACCTCACATGTGCCCAAAGCACCCAGATTTTGGTCTCAAATGCAGTTCCCCAGTAAAAGGAATTTTGGTCTCAAATGCAGTTCCCCAGTAAAAGGAACGAGGGTTCCTTGAAAAGTATCTGAGCAAGGATAATTTACATCCTAGAGCAAGGATAATTAAGATGGGTCTGAAGCATCAATTTGCTGCCAGAAAGAAAGTATGCTTCCAAAACTATCCAGAGCAGTTTTAAAGGCTAAAGAAGTCGGCTTAAAGGGACTCTCAATCAGCAAAGTATGATGGTTTTCGCATTTGAAAGAAAGCAATAGTTCTCTGCAGAGCCGTATGAGGCATGTTAAAGGAAACAAAAAGAAAGAGAAAAGAAATAAAGAAGAAGAAAGGCATGTACAATATTTTAATGATGTTTACAGTTGATTGACCAAGCTGAACTACACGCATACTATATTCAAGTACTCAAGTTTTGGTCAACTTCACAATTTCATTATTGCAAATCAAGCAGTTAAAAGATTCATTGCAATCCTAGTAGGGGGTCCAGAATCTTAACAGCTCTACTCAGGCAAAGAAAATTTATGGAGGATCCTACTATAACAGAAAAGATAAATAGTCTTGGATAGTCTAATTCTGCCCACAGATACCCAGCCTAATAGAGCCCAGCTTATGATGAATCTCCTGGAAGCCTTTCTGGCCCCCTGTCCTGCGCACGAGGACCCCCCAGCAGCTCAGCTTACTGCACCTCAGCATGAAGCGGCCTGAGATGATGGCTCTGTGACCTTGGGTTAGGAGAGTATGTCTGTAACCCCAGGAAGAATAAAAGAATCTATTCAAATTTTCCATTGATACATTTATGCTGGTTAGTTTATCTGTAATAAGGAGTTCTGTAATCATTCCACCATTTCATATGTACTTCAGTTTTAAGATGTTTGAAACAGTTAAGAGAATCTGGCCTGGCACGGTGGCTCACACCTGTAATCCCAGCACTTTGGGAGGCTGAGGCAGGTGGATCACTTGAGCCCAGGAGTCCGAGACCAGCCTGAGCAACATGGTGAAACCCCGTCTCTACCAAAAAAACAGAACAAAACAAAACAGAACAATTTAGCTGGGTATGGTAGCAGGTGTCTGTAGTCAGGAGGCTGAAGTGGAGGATCCCTGGAGCCTAGGAGGTCAAGGCTGTAGTGAGCTGTCTTAGTGCCAACTGCACTCTAGCCTAGGTGACAAAGCAAGACCCTGCCTCAAAAAAAAAAAAAAAGAGAGAGAGAGAGAGAATCTTAACTGTTACATTTCTGTGTCTATTTTTTTTTTTTTTTTTGGATTTTTGAGAGTTGCTTTAAGGCTTAGGAAGATTTTACTTATTAAATTTGAAACACTACTTTCTGTGGGAGACTTGATGGCTAGTTTTATGTGTCAACTTGACTGGGCCAAGAGACACCCAAATATTTGGTTAAACATTCTGAGCATGACTGTGAGGGTGTTTTGGATGAGGTTAACATTTGAATTGGTGGACTGTGCAAAGCAGGTTGCCTTCCCCAGTGTAGGTGCACCTCCTCCAGTCCATTGAAGGCCAGAATAGAACCAAAGGCACAGTGAGAAGGAATTCTCCTGCTCTGCCTGACTGTCTTAGAACTGGGACATCAGTCTTCTCCTGCCTTCTGACTCAGCCTCAGCCTTGGCTCTCCTGCCTTTTTAGCACTTTGGACTCAGACTGGAACTACACCATCAGCCCTCTTGGGTTTCCAGCTTGCCAGCTGCAAATCTTGAGTCTTCTCAGTGTCCATAATTGCATGAGCCAATTCCTTATAATGTCTCTTTAAATAAACATTTGCACGCACACACACACACTCACACACACACACCCGTGTGCATGCACACATATTCTACTGGTTCTGTTTCTCTGGAGAACCCTGACTAATACAGCAGGTTAACATATTTAAGAGAATCAGCTAAATTAAATTTGAAAGTGTGGTTTGAAATGTCTAAGGAAATTTGATCAATTAAGTACAGAAGTGGTACAGTATAATTAAGAAAGATTTAATCTGTAAACCCTAGGAATTAACTGAATGTTAATCAAAGACAAGTAGAAAAAAATCTCATTTTTTATACAAAAATTACTGGACTTATTAATAAGATGACAATATTTGTAAATTGGCACTTTAGGTTTAAGAGACATAGGGTATTCAAACTTACTGCTTTAATACAGTACTGAAAATGTTAGTAACTCTTAAGTATTCCTTTTATGTCCAAAAGCCCCCCAAGAAATTTTTTAAACCCATCTTATGCTGTGTCAACCATGGTTTCCTGGGGGCTTATCCATGTATTCATTTCCTGTTTATCCCCTAATCTAGCCCCGGTCACTCACCCTTGCAGGCCTCCCAGGGCCGTTTCACTGTGACTTTGGCAGGCTTGGTCCATCATCAGTAAACCCCCGCCCCACCTCCTCTCGTTTGCTTGCTCTCCGCAAAGCTTGGCTGTCTTTGCTGAGGACACCACAGCCCTCTCCAGTGAAGTCACTTTCTTCCCCATATTCCCCTGAAATCAGGGCAGAATGCATGTTCCCTTTTCTCCCCACAGCCATTTCCTCCTATACATACCCCAGCTCCTTTGAAACGCATGCCACCAGACCATTCCAGTACCCCCCATCCTTGCTGCTATCTACCAGCTTCCTGGTTGCTTCCTCTCATTCTTGAATTGTTTCAGTGCTGTGGTGTGATCCCTGATCTTTACCACTCCCCCTTTCCCCAGTGGCCAATGCCACTGAAAGAATAGTTTATTACTTGCAGTTCCTGAGAGGAGGGAGGCACACCATGCCACACAGAGCCACCCACCTGGGGAAACACCAGGTCAGTCAGGAGGGAGGCAGAAGGAGCCAGGGGAAGGCATGGCCCAGAGGCTTCATTGTGGTTTTTTGAAGGAATAGGCAAGGCAGGGTAGTCACACTGAAGCAAGCGTAGGATTGGGTAGTTAAGATGCTTTCAGTGGGCTGTGGAGGATAGGGGTATTCTCCAGTTGTCCAGTACCTAATCCTGGGGATATTTAGAGCCAGGAGAATACTGACTTGGAGTGTGAAAAGTAAATAAAAGAGGTGGTTGGGGTATGGGCTGTGGATTGGTTGGTTTGCATATGAAAGGCGTGCTCATGGGAGAGTCATTCGCCATCACTAGGAACCAGTGCCCTGGGAGGGGCAGTCTTTCCAGGATTAGTAAGGCCTCCCAGATGTCAAAGCTTCATAAAATATAGAAAATAAAAATGATTAATATACCCCCTAACTTTTAATCATCTTCTCTTCCACCTCACCGCAGCTCCCGCAGACATGCCCTTGACCTTGTCATCACCAAATGGATACCACCTCTGAAAGGTCCATTTCAAGACTCCCACCCACCCTGTACTCACCTCCTTATACTTCTACCTGGCTTACTATGGTGACCCCATTAGAACATTCCTTATGTTCCACCAGGCCAATGATCTCGCTATCTCTTCCTTCTGCAAAGTGTCTAGGAACAAAGTGCTTAGGAGCAGCACAGGGCACATGGTGTGTAACATTTAGGTGTTAAGTAAAATAGACACCCCACAGGCCCTCACTGTCCTCCCTGCTGGCTGAGAGTTCATGGTCCATCACTATGTCATCACTTCTTTGCAAACACCCTCACCAACCTTGCCCCTTTCTCTCCACTTTGTACTTGACTGGCAAACCCAGCTCTAATTAAACCCAACTATCCATCTATTTATTCTTGTACCTGAGCATCCCAACATTGTTGGAAAGAATCACACAACCATACTAACTTGTCTCACCAACGTTGTGGTTTTGTCCCAGATCCCAAATGGGCACTCAACGGTACACAACAATCATTTCATTTTCCTGGTAGAAAGGTCTTTCTTTTCCTCACCTAGAAATGTACATCTCTTCTGCTTTCTTCAAACCTTCACCACTCCCTCCCTACTCTGTCCCCACTGCACTTTCACCTGATGACCTCACTCCATAGATCACTGGGAAAAAGAAGCAGCATCCAATAAGGACAACCTCTCTTCCCAGCACGACTTCACCAGCCTGGGCCCATTGACCATAGCTTCCCTCCCGTTACAGTGAGGAAGTGCTCCTGACCCCCCTCCTCCTCCCTACCCCGGACCCATCCCCTCTTACCTACCCATGGAGAACCTTCCTGCAGTGGTCCCTCTCTCTGGCAACAAACAAAACAAACGAAGCCCTCCTTGCACCCCATGTGCACCTTGAACCATCACCCCATCTTTACTCCTCTTCACAGCCAGAAGAGTGGTCCATATTCCTCACTGCCCATTCTCTCTTCAACCATTCGAACATTCCTGCTCACCTCACAGATCAGCTCTCATCTAGGTCACCAGTGACCTGCCATTGCCATTAGAATAACATGCAAGGACCTCACTCCAGCTTACAAGACTGTGGCAGTCCAGCCCCTGCCCACCTCCCCAAAGTCCCCTCCCACCTTCCCCTCAGGCTTCCCTCTCATCCAGCCACACTGGACTTTCTGCCCCCTGGGCCCACAATCCCATTCCTGCCCTTGGGCCTTGGACCTGGCCATTTCCTCTGCTGAGGACATTTTCCACACATACAGCCCTCTCATGCTTCCCCTCACTCAGGTTTCAGCATAGACATACCCTTTTCGGAGAGGCCTTCCCTTACCACCTTAGCTAAGAACCCCCTACCCTACCTTTTTTTTTTTTTTTAACTCTGGTAAGATAAGTCTTTATCCCTGCCAGGCACAGTGGCTCACACCTGTAATTCCAGCACTTTGGAAGGCCGAGGCAGGCGGGTCACCTGAGGTCAGGAGTTCAAGACCAACCTGGCCAACATGGTGAAACCCTGTCTTTACTAACAATACAAAAATTAGCCAGGTGTGGTGATGCTCACCTGTAATCCCAGCTACTTGGGAGGCTGAGGTAGGAGAATCGCTTGAACCTGGGAGGTGGAAACTTCAGTGAGCCAAGATCGCACCACTGCACTCCAGCCTGGGTAACAGCGTGAGACCCTGTCTCAAAAAAAAAAAAAAAAGATAAGACTTTATCCCTAAAGTAAAATATCTTATTTTCTTATGTTTGCAAGTGCTGAATAAATACAAAATATAAAATAAACGAATGAGCAAACACTTACGGGAAGTTTGGCCAAACCCACAAGTAGCAGAGAGGAGGGGGCAAGAAGTCAGACTCCAGCTAGCAGAGCCAGGGCCTGTGTGTGGGTTCTGCCGCTAAGATGCCTGGCTGGCTGGCAGCCCAGGAGCACCATTTATGGGCACAATTGTGGGCCCAATTCACAACCCCCGCAGTGCACTCCTGGGTGTTGTCCCCAGCCAGGGCCACCTGGCAGGGGGAAGACGGGCTCCACAGCAGGAGCAGACCACAGCCAGCCCCAGACCTAGAGTAGGACATTCCTGAAAAGGAGAATCCCAGCAGAGGAGGAGAAGGGACAAGAGATCTGTCACAGCCATTCCTGAATCCCGACAAACAGCAGCAGCTCAGTGCTGCCTCCCACCCAGCTGGCAGCCGGGCAGCCGGGCAGCCTGTGCTGACGGGGCTGGACATTTGCAACACTCTGGCCTCACCTAGAGGGTTGTAAGGAGGTTTTGGAACCATATAAGCTTCAGCTCTGAGAGCCTGCCTCCTAAACCTAAAGTCACCCAAGGTGCTTCCCTCTGGGGCCTTGCCCGTTTTGTTGTGGCTGCTTCTTTCTCAATGCCATCCACTTCTGCACTCAGGAGAGGATCTGGCTGAGAGCTGGGATTGGACCAACTCTCACCTCACCAGTCTCTACAGGAAAAGCACTCCAACCTGCCCCTTTGACCACCCATAAATTCCAAAGAGTCTTCTAGAGTTCAGATACCCGGGAACCACCCTGTGGAGAAGTGGCCGTTACCTCCTTTGTGGCCCTACCAGAGGGAAGAGGGGAGGACTCTTTGCTCCCAGGGGTTCATGTGTCTGCTTTAATGATCAGGGAGCTACGGAGGACTGTGACTTTTTCTTATCGGTGTTTTGCCCCCATCACTTGGCACAGGGTAGGAGCTGAATGAATAAGTGTAAGAACACATAAGTGGGAGCATTTCAGATATTCAGAAAGCGATGAAGGAGGAGCTGTTGGAGATGGTTGTACCTGCAAGCACGGGATGCAGATGACCACACACTCTGACTGGGAAGCCCAGCTTCAGGCAAAACACCTGCCTACCCCATGGGTTCTCACTCCTGACTCCTGAAAAATAACTCTCCCAGGTGCTTCAGTTGAACGGTTGATAAATGTTCTATCAGCTCTGCGGTAGGATTGGCCAACCTACATATATATGCATTTTTTAAATTGAGATTAAATGCACATTACTTAAAATTTACCATTTTAACCATTGTAAAGGGTAAAAATTTACGGGTTTTAGTCTATTCACCATGTTGTGCAACCATCACTACTATCTAATACACAAACATTTCATCACTGCAAAAAGAAGCCCCGTACCTGTTAGCAGTCACTCCCATTTACCCCCTCCCTCATCCCTTAGCAACCACTAACCTGCTCTCTGTCTCAGTGGATTTGCCTATTCCGGACATTTTATATAAATGGAATGATACAGTCTTTGTCCTTTTGTGTCTAGCGTCTTTCACTTAGCATAATGTTTGTAAGGTCATCCATGTTGTAGCATGGCTCAGTATTTATTCTTTTTTATGACTAACTAATATTCCGTTGCATGAACTATGCCATAATTTGTTTATCCATTCATCAGTTGATGAACATTTTGATTTCTACATTTTCACTAGTGTAAATAGCATTGCTATGAACATTTAGGTACAAGTATTTGTTTGAGTGCCTGTTTTCAATTATTTTGGGTATATTTCTAGGAGTGGATAGCTGATTCATATGGTAATTCTAAGTTTAACTTTTTAAAAAAATTACTATTTTTTTTTAGAAAACAGGGTCTCACTATGTTCCCCAGGCTGGCCTCGAACTCTTGGCCTCAAGCAATCCACCTCGGCCTTCTAAGTAGCTGGGACTACAGGCACAAGCCACTGAGCCTAGCTTAGCTTAAGGTTAACTTTTTGAGGAAGCTCTAAACTGTTTTCTACAGTGGCTGCACCATTTTACATTCCCACCAGCAATGTATGAGGGTTTCAGTTTCTCCACATCCTCTCCAACATATATTATTTTCTAGGTTTTCTTTTTCCTTATAGAAATCCAGTGGTTGTGAATAATATCTCATTGTGGTGATTTGCATTTCCCTAGCCGCTCTGTGATCAGCCCTAGTGACTGATACTAGTGAGCACATTTTTATATGCTTTTTGGCATATATTTGTATATATTTTTTGAGAAATGTCTACTCAAGTCATTTGCCCATTTATTAATTGGCTTGTTGAGTTGCTAAGAGTTCTTTATATATTCTGGATACTACACCCTTATCAGATCTATGATTTGTAAATATTTTCTCCTATTGTGGATTGTCTTTCCACTTTTCTTGATAGTATTTTTCATGCACAAAAGTTTTTCATTTTGATGGAGTCCAACTGGCCAGCCTACTTTAAAAAATTTTTTTAAACTTTTTATTATGGAAATTTCCAAACACACACAAAAGTAGAGCATGGTATGATGAAGATCCCTGAACCTGTCATGCAGCTTCACAATAACTAACACTTTGTCAATGTTGTTTCATCTGTGCCCCTGTTTTTTTGTTGTTGTTGTTGTTTGGATTTGGTTTCGTTGGAATATTTTGAATCAAATAGTAGACATTGTGTCATTTCACCTGTAAACACTTCAGTATGCATCTCTAGTAAGAATTTTTTGGTTTATATAAACTCCATGTCATCATCCCATCTGATGAAATAAGCAATAATTCATTAATATCATCTAATATTCAAATCCAAATTCAAATTTCTCCAAGATGCCTTTTGTTTGTTTGTTTGTTCCTTTGTTTGTTTGAGACAGAGTCTCACTTAGCCACCCAGGCTGGAGTGCAGTGGCACAATCTCGGCTTACTGCAACCACCATCTCCCAGGTTTTAGCGATTCTCCCGTCTCAGCCTCCTGAATAGCTAGGATTATAGGCGTGTGCCACCATGCCTGGCTAATTTTTGTATTTTAGTAGAGACGGAGTTTCACCATGTTGGCCAGGCTGGTCTTGAACTCCTGACCTCAGGTGATCTGCCCTCCTTGGCCTCCCAAAGTGCCAGGATTACAGGCGTAAGCCACCGCGCCCAGCCCAAGGTGTCTTTTTTACAGTTAGTTTATTTGGTTCAGGATCCCAATAAAAGTCACATATTGCATTTAACTGCAATGACTCTCAAGTCTCTTTTCTTTTGAGTCCCCCTCCTTCCCTGTTTATGCCATTGATTTGTTGGATAAACCACGTCATTTGCCCTGTAGAATGTCCCACATTCTGGCTTTGGCTGAGGTCACATTGCACTATTTACATACAAACAACTGAGCAGCCAAAATTGGGGGGGGGGGCTCAGAAACAGAACAGACTTTAATAATAATAGCTAATGGCTAGGCGGCACAAACCGTGAGGCACAGGTTACATATACACCAACTCATTTTATCACACAGCTAGTAAGGGGTGGAGCCCGGCTTTAACCCTAGGCAGTCTGTTTTCACCCTCTGTAAAGGATTGGGCATGGCTGTGTTCCAAGAAAACTTTATTTACAAAAGCAGGTGGAGAGCTGGATTTGGTGCACAGATTAGATGATCCCTCATCTACCTCACAGAGCAGCTGGAAAGGAGAAATGACAGATGGCACGCTGCTCTGTGGACTGTACAGTGTGAAGCACCTGGGAGGAGCTTGGGGGGCAGCGAACATGGTAATAAACATAAAGCTCAGAGCTCCCCGCCAAGGGTGAGCGCTTCCAGACGGAGAAGTACACGGGCCGGCCAGTCAGATGGGCATGGGTTCTGATGGGGGCCCTGCCATAGGCCGCCTGGTGACCCACGCGGGGCTGCCGTTCCTTCGGGGGTTCAACGGCATGATCAAAGACACCGGGATGTGTGTGTGTGTGTGTGTGTGTGTGTGTGATGATCAAAGACACCGGGGTGGGTGTGTGTGTGTGTGTGTGTCATGATCAAAGACACCAGGGTATGTGTGTGTGTGTGTGTGTGTGTGGCATGATCAAAGACACCGGGGTGTGTGTGTGTGTGTGTGTGGCATGATCAAAGACACCGGGGTGTGTGTGTGTGTGTGTGTGTGTGACGGAGTCTCGCTCTGTCGCCCAGGTTGGAGTGCAGTGGCGTATTCTCGGCTCACTGCAACCTCTGCCTCCCAGGTTCAAGCGATTCTCCTGCCTCAGCCTCCCCAGCAGCTGGGGACTACAGGCGTGCGCCACCACGCCCAGCTAATTTTTGTATTAATCAAAGACGCATTTCAACGCAGAGGAGGAAGTGCTAGCGGACCCACCCCAAGGTGCACAGTTAGAGAAGGAGCCTCTGCGGCGGCCGGAGCCCCCCACGGACATCCCCTTGAGGCCCCCCCAGCCACACCCCCAAGAGTCCCGCCCCCAGACCCGTCGAGCGAGCTCCCCTCCCTGAAATCCTCGCCCCGAGATCTCCGGCCGGCGAGCTCCGCCCCCTGAAGTCCCCATCCCAAGATCCGGGGCCGGCGAGCTCCGCCTCCCGAAGTCCCCGCCCCCAGATCCCCGGCCGGCGTGCTTTGCGGCCGCCCTGCCGCGCGCACATGTAGGCGTTCCGAGCGGCGGCGGAGGTGAGCGCACGGACGAGCGGGAGGGACCCTTCTCCGGCCTGATGCGACCCGGTAACGCGTTCAGACTGCGGAGTAGCCTAGGGGCCCAGAGTGGAAGCGTAGCGAGGACCCCTCTGCGGGGCTCCTGCAGCCCCTCCTCCCCCAGCCACCGGCGGGCTGCATGGTACTGTGTTCTAGGCCCACCCCGCAGCGCGATGGCCCTAGGGACGTTGGACTTTGGTCCAGACCTTTCCTTTCTTAGCCTCACTTTCCGCATTGGGAAAAAAAAAAAGCCCGAATGATAATGATTCTTATAGGAGTTCTTGATTAAGATAGGCCAAGCGGTACCCTGCGTTTTTGTTTGCGGCAACTCATTCGTTGCTCATTAAGCACTTTTCACGGACAGGAATACAGTAAGTTTCAATCAAAGTGAAATAATTGTGAATTTTTACTGACGTATTCACGGATGAAGTGATAGGATGCCCGGGGATGTTTCAAAATAAACCAGTTGGACGGAAGTGTGGTGGAAAGAGAAATCAAACAAGATTGGCCATGAGTTGATGGGATTGAAGTTGATGGATGTACTATTTTGTCTACTTTGGTATATGCTTGTAATTTGGCATAACAAGTTTTCTAAAACAAAAAGTTTGCTGTGGACACCTGACTATGCCTGTGTTAGCTTGCTAGAGCTGCCATGCCGAAGTACCGGAGACTGGGTGGCCCAACCAGCAGAAATTTGTCCTCTGGGAGTTATGGAGGCTGGAAGTTCAAGACCAGGGTGTTAACAGGGTTGGTGTCTTCTGAGACCTCCCTTCTTGGCTTGTAGGTGGTAGCCTTTTCCCTGGATCCTCACATGATCTTCCTGCTGTGCCTGTTTGCATCCTAATCTCTTCTTATAAGTACACCAGTCAAATTGGATTAGGATCCATACTGATGGCCTCATTTTATCTTAATTATCTCCTTAAAGACCCTGTCTCCAAATACAGCCACAGTCTGAGGTACTGGGGGTTAGGACTTAAATATATGAACTGGGGAGGAGGAGGAGACACAGTGCAGCCCATAACACTGTCACTTCACTAGCTTAGGATTTTGGCCATTTAAGTTTTCACAGCTTTGAAATAGGGTTAGCTGTAGTAATTAGGTCATGGGGTTGTGAGGGTTCAATCGGTAAGAGTGCTCAGAACTGAGTCTAGCATATAGTAAGCACTCAATAAATTGAACACGTTTTTCCTTATAAATTAGTAATCATAGGGCTTTACCATGGGATGAGTGGAATGAGGCAGTTGGAGTGCCGTGCCCAGCGATGGGAATAAAAGTCATTACAGCCATTATTATAAGGAATATCTGCTGCTGTGCCAGACACTAAATGTTTTATGTATGTTTATTCATGTGCTCATCACCGCCACCCTAGAGGTGGGCCATTACGACACACCTGTTTGGCACATGGGGAAATTGACGCACAGAGACGGAGCTGGGATTTGAACACAGGCACTCTGGCTCTAGAGCCCACACTCTTCACCACTATGCTGTGTTACTTTGGTTTAAAAAGGTGGTGTGGACCCTGGAGGATGTTCAGTCTGCAGGCTGACCCAGGGAAACTGGCTGACTTCTCTTTTTCTTGGCCCAGATTGTCCGCAGTGACTACACTCATGGCAGGTCCCCTGTGGCGGACCGCAGCATTTGTGCAGAGACACAGGACAGGCCTCTTGGTGGGTTCCTGTGCAGGCCTGTTTGGAGTTCCAATCTCGTACCACCTCTTCCCGGATCCCGTGGTCCAATGGCTCTACCAGTACTGGCCTCAGGGCCAGCCAGCTCCGCTCCCTCCACAGCTGCAGAGCCTCTTCCAAGAGGTGCTACAGGACATAGGTGTTCCTTCAGGCCATTGCTACAAGCCCTTCACCACCTTCACCTTCCAACCTGTGAGTGCAGGCTTCCCAAGACTCCCTGCTGGGGCTGTGGTGGGCATCCCTGCCAGTTTCTTGGGAGACCTAGTGATCAACACTAACCATCCCGTGGTCATACATGGGCATACAGTGGACTGGCGGAGCCCAGCAGGCGCCCGGCTGAGAGCTTCCCTGACCTTGTCCCGTGAAGCCCAGAAGTTCGCCTTGGCCAGGGAAGTGGTGTACCTGGAAAGCAGTACCACTGCCGTGCACGCCCTGCTGGCCCCAGCTTGCCTGGCAGGGACCTGGGCACTGGGCGTGGGTGCCAAGTACACCCTGGGGCTCCATGCAGGCCCCATGAATTTACGGGCTGCCTTCAGCTTGGTGGCAGCAGTGGCAGGCTTTGTGGCCTACGCCTTCTCCCAGGATTCTCTCACTCATGCCGTGGAGTCCTGGCTGGACCGCCGCACGGCCTCCCTCTCTGCAGCCTATGCCTGTGGTGGAGTGGAGTTCTATGAGAAGCTTCTGTCGGGCAACCTGGCCCTGCGCAGTCTCTTGGGCAAAGACGGGGAGAAGCTGTATACACCCAGCGGGAACATCGTCCCCAGACACTTGTTCCGAATCAAACATTTACCCTACACCACCCGCCGGGACTCTGTGCTGCAGATGTGGAGGGGGATGCTCAATCCGGGCCGCTCCTGATGGGCTCATCACAAGGACACTTCCAGCTTGTGCAGACACCACCCTGCCATTGAGTCTGGAGGGCCCTGTTGGAGCCTTTGGACCTATAGCTCACGGCCAGAAAAATCACTGGCTTTGGAATTAAATAGCTTAGATTGTACTATAACCACTACTTATGAACTCAGGGACTATGAGGGACTATTCAGGGGCTATGAATCTGAGCCTTTGTTTCTTGAACTGTAAAGTGGAGATGATGTAAACCGCCTTGCAAGATTGTAGAGTTGGGTAAGGTCATGAACATAAGGGCCTGGCACAAAGGGTGCACTGTAAATAAACAGACATCCCTCCTTCTTGGTCGTTTTTTTTTTTTTTTTGAGAGCATCTCACTCTGTTGCCCGGGATGGACTGCAGTGGTGACCATAGCTCACTGCAGCCTCAAACTCCTGGGCTCAAGTGATCCACCCTCCTCAGGCTCTCAAAGTGCTGGAATTACAGGCGTGAGCCACCTCGCCCAGCCTCCTTCTTGGTCTTGAGTGCCACCAGGCTGTGGGAGTCAGGGCACACCTCAACACCAGGGTACTAGCAGTTATGTGAACACTTTCCTACAGTGAAGAACCACCCCTCAATTTAAGTGGTGGTCAAATCCCAATTTTCCTCCACTCTGTTAGAGGTTAAAAGACTAGAGAGCCCAAGATGAGAAGTTAGTGTGGTCCTGAGAGGCTGTTTTAAGGTGAGGGGGCCTTAAGAGTGTTGTGTCAGTCAAGGTCCCGTGGATGCAGATGGCACACTCAGGGAGAAGGAGACCAGCACGTGCCAGGAGAGTCCCTGGACCTGAGGGGAGGGGAGGTGTTCCAGAACTCCGAGATCTGTGGCATGGGAGACTTGGCAAGAGCTTCACTCAAATGTAGAGGAAGGAACAAACCATTGTAAGACCGAGGCCCTGCAGGGAGGGAGCCCACTGGCGCCATCCAGAGCTGTCAGCCTCCCCAGGCACAGCGTGGCCAGGGCTTGGAGAGGAGAGGCAGCAAGGTGGGGGTAAGCTTGGCTCGTAGGGGTCAGCAAGGAGAGCAGAGGGGTGGAGGTGGGCAGTGGGTTAGGCCTGGTCCCACTCAGGACCCAGGGGAGACTGCAGCCCTGCCCTGCTTATTTCCCTTGAGCCCTCCGGTGGTGGATGGAGCCGGGCCCCTGGGTTAGATCCTTGGACAGGACCACAGCAGGGCAAGGTGAGGAGAGTTGTGATCAGGGAGCCAGACCCAATTTGGCTTCATGACATCTTTTAGTTGGAGATGAGGTTTTCCCTGGGAAAGTATTTGAACACAGTGGTGGCAGGTCCTGGCAGTAGACCTGGAGAGGAGAGTGAGCCAGTGGGGCTGCAGAATGCAGTGGGAATGGCACACCTCCCTGCTGGGCCCCTCACTGTGGGCTGGAGCTCAGTGTGCTGGGCCAGCTCACGGGTCCTCACACTGGACCTGAACAGGCTGAGTTCCTGAGGGCAGCACATCCTTGCTCATTCCCCAGGCCCTGGTACCTAGGACGGCACTGGGCACGGGCTTGGAATACATAGGTGGATAGATGAGGCAGTGGCTGGGTGAACCAGTCTTCACTCAGGGACACACCATTTCATGGGGCCCCTTGGGGTGTCACCCACCTGCTGCTGCTGTACTTAAAGGGCCACAAGGCCATGTGAGGCCACCTCATTCCTGAGCAGTACGGTCTGGGGCCTGGATTTGATGGGCTCCACTTTCTCACCACTCCCACCCCCAACCCATCTGCTCTCAGTACTGCAGGAGCCATGATGGTTTCAGGCATTCCTGCTGATCTGCCCGAACCATTAGCGAAGGCAGCCTCACGATGGGGAGAAAAGGCTGCTTACTCAGCTCCCTCTGCTCCAAGTCACAGACCTTGTCTCCACTCACAGGCTGTTCCCAGTCCTCACACAAGCCTTACATGCTACCCTCCAACCTTGGCGCACACATCCTCCAGCCGTGTGTATGTGTGTGCGTGTGTGTGCGCGTGCATTGCTCCGCCTTGCTGCACTGTTCGCATCCTCCAGTCCTCCACAGCCCGGCTCAGGCCACCTCAGGCCCTCCCACTGAGAGCCCCCCTGGCAGGTTGGCTGAGCTCCGTGTCCCTTCTTCCCCCTCCCACCCTCCCACTGCATGACTCACCCAGCACCCAGCCTTGGTGCTTTCCCTCCCAGTAGCTCTCGGCTCCATCCCCTTTTCTTCATCTCCACTGGGCCTCCTGACTCTTCTCCCAGTTCTCCCAGCTCCTGGAAGTGCAGGTTTGACTGGGTGACTCTCCTGCCTAAAGCCCTTTAGAGACATCCCCATGCTTTCTGGCGAAAACCGCATCTCCTGCCCATCCGTGTCCCACTTTCCCTTGCTCTGGATCCTAGCCTCACTGCAGTTTGGTTCCTGAACTGCTCTCCCCTCCTGCCCACACAGCTTTCGTGTTCGCTGTGTCCTTGATCTGGGCTGCGGTCTCACAGCCTGCCCGGTGCTCAGTTATTTAGTGTTCCTCCTGCTGGAATGCCCAGGGGAAACTGTTCACTCACACGTTGCTTCTCCCAGGGAAGCCTCCCTGTCTCACGTCAGATGCCCGTTTATACACTGTCATACACCCAATACCTCTTCCTCGCCCTACTGCTGACTAATTAAGTTACCGTGGAGCTAGCGGCTTAGCATCTCCTCCACTGAAATGTAAAATCTGCAGTGGCAGGATCGTGTATCTTGTTTACAGCTCTAAATTGAGGCTCTCCATAATATTTATTTTTTGCAGTTTCAGTAACTAGAAACAATATTTTTTCATAAATGAACAGGGCTCTAAGCTATAACAGACACAGCCCCAGCTTCCTAAAAGCCTCTGAGCAATTACAGCAAGGCTGGTTGCATTCCTTGTATGCGGCCATTCTGAATCCTATCCGACCCTGTCCTGTTTCCCACCTTGGGACTTGCCAAGGACAGAGCCTGGCCCTAGTCATCCATGATTGCTGACATCAGTGGGGAAATCAGGACACTTCTGGGTCACTTCCTGTAGGGCACAGATTACTACCTAGGGCACCAGGGACCCTGGCTTTAGGAAGATTTTTTTATAATATTGCGTCCCTACACACAGGTCAGAGGTTGATCTCAGAAAGGTGAAGAAACATGCTCTAGGGCTTTGTCGCTAAGTTGGGTGGTAGGCAGCTGCCTTGTAACTGTCACCCTGCACTTTTCCTTCTCCCATGCCTGCTGTGTGCTGGAATCATTAGCACTCTGTCCTAGATCCCTTGTGAACATTGTTCTCCTGGCTTAGGCCTCGCCTCTCCCCATCCCAGGTTCATGGTTCTGTGGGTATGAACCTGCAAGGATGCCCGACATCCCAGAGCAACCAAAAACAGACCCAGGACTTGGCTGACTTACAGAAAACTACAACACACAAAGACTCCCCCTCCTCAGCCCGCCCCCCCCCCCCTTTGCAGGCACACACACACACACACAAACACACACACACACATCTGGATACAGCCAGAATACAGGGAGGGGAGTCTCAGAGTCATGGCGCTGATGCTGGCTCTGCTCTTCACTGACCCTCCTAGCCCTGCTGCCTCAGTCCCCACCAGTGTCCACAATGCAAGGTTCCACTCAGCCTTGCCTGGAGCTGGGCGCGCACACACACACACAAACCTGATCCCCATGTGTGTGTAGATCACAGGCTGAGTTCCAGATCAATGCATGGGTCCTCACCCGGCGAGGCCTCCTGCCTGTCTCCTCCCCACCATGTCCCTATAGTAACATAATGGGGCCTTTATTATCCTCCAGACACTGTGCTAGGTTTTTAGAGACATTTTCTCATTTATTCCCAATTGGGGCATGTGGTTGGTAATATTATTATTTCAATTTTACAGGAAAGGGAACATCACAGAAAGGTGAAGAAATTTGCCCTAAATCATAAAACTTTGTAAGTGGCAGAACAAGGATTTGAAGCTGGCAGTCTGGTTCCAGGTATCGTTCTTAAAACACTAAATTTATACTGTCCTATTTAGCCTGAAAGTTTCATGGTGCAGACTTATACTGTGGACTCCATAGCCCTTTTCCTCATGCTGGGTTAGAAGTAACTTTTTCAGGCTCACTATTTTTATTAGGAAAAAATAGTCACTGAGCAGAACTTCCGAGGAGACCCCTCCAGCTAACTGAAGAGAAAGGGACAACCAGCCTACCATGTTTAGTGCAGCAGGGGGAACAGGACGGAAGGGCAGGGTGTCATGGAGCTCTAGGAGGCACCAGCTGAGGAAAGGGGATCTCAGGAGGTAGGGAGAGAGCAGAGTGGGCAGCCAGCTGTGGGTTCAAATCCTGGCCTACCACTTTAACAGGGCGATCTGGAACAAGTGACTTCTGGTCCTGAGTTTCCTGTCTGTAAAATGGGTGCATTCCTATCTATCTTTCAGGATTGTTTTGACGATGAAAGTGAAAGAAAGTTTGCAAAATGTGGAGCCTGGTGAGGGCATATAGTAGGCTTTAAAAAAAAGATTGATTTTCTAAATGTTAGTGCTCCTAAATGGCATAAGGTGTTCAGGTCTTGGAGTTGCTGCCCAAATACCAGCAATTTCCAGAGAACTCGCTGCTGCCTAATACAGCTTTATTTTAAAGCTTTTCAAAGCCCCAGTTCAGTTAGGGCAGTTTTCCCAGTGGCTATCAGTTGGCATCTTCTGGAAGGTACTTGGCAGCAGCTGAAAGCAGAGGACACATGTGGCCTTAGGGGGAAACACCAGGCTGGAGAAGAGGGCATTAGCGTGGACGGTGGTCCTTTACACCTACTCTACAGGGAATGTTTTTCTTTTTCTTTCTCTCTCTTTCTTTTTTTCTTTTCTTTTTCTTTTGAGAAGAGTCTTACTCAGCCTTGGCCTCCTGGACTCAATCAACCCTCCCACCTCATCCCCCTAGTACTGGGAATACAGGTGTGCACCACCATGCCCAGCTAATTTTTTTTTTCTTTGTTGTAGAGATGGGGTTTTACTATGTTACCCAGGCTGGTCTTGAACTTCTGTTCTCAAGAGATCCACACACCTCAGCCTCCCAAAGTGCTGGGATTACAGGCGTGAGTCACTTCACCTGGCCCATACTGGTAATTTTAAAATACTAAAGCATTAAGTGTTAGTAAGGTTGTAGTAAAATTGATACAAGCATATGCCCTTGGTGACATTTGTGTTAGGCAGCTTTTAAGATGACCCTAATGATCCCTGGTCCTAATATTTTTGGCCCTGGTTCATAATCCACTCCCCTTGCTCCTCTTGGTTCTAAACAATAGAATACAGATATACATTGAGGGTATATCACCTCAGTGATTAGATTACAACAGATTATGACTTCTGTCTTGCTAAGAGGCCCTTGTCTTCTTGGCTTCACATGTTTTATCTTGAAGCACGTTGCCATGTTGGAGAGACCCACATGGCGAGGAACTAAAGGCAGCCTCTGAGCAAACAGCCAGCTAACAGCTGGGGCCCTTGGGCCACAAGGCACTGAATCCTACCAAGAACCGTGTGAGCCTGGAATAGAATCCTTCCCTACTCAAGCTTTCAGATGAGACTGCATGTATTAATCCATTCTCATGCTGCTATGAAGAAATACCCAAAACTGTGTGATTTATAAAGAAAAGAGGTTTAATTAACTCACAGTTCCACATGGCTGGGGAGGCCTCAGGAAACTTACAATCATGGCAGAAAGCACCTTTTCACAGGGCAACAGGAGAGAGAATGAGTGTCAGCAGGGAAAATGGAAGTAGAAAATCATCAGATCTCTTGAGAACTCACTCGCTATCATGAGAACAGCATGGGGAAACCATCCCCATGATTCAGTTACCTCCTACCAGGTCCCTCCCGTGATACATAGGGATTATGGGATTACAATTCAAGATGAGATGTGGGTGGGGACACAAAGCCAAATCATAGCACCCCAGCCTCAGCCAGCACCTTCACTGCAGCCTTGAGAGCCCCTGGAGCAGAGAAGCAGCTAACCTGTGCCTGGATTCCTGACCCACAGAAACAAGAAGACAATAAATCCATGTTGTAGTAAGCCATTTGGTGTGGTAACTTGGTATGCAGAAATAGATAACTCATACTCTTTATTAACTGGCATAATGTTTTTGGAAAGCAATTTGGCAAAACTTGATACAATCATAAAAGTTTATCTTTTGACCCAGTAATTTCAAACCTATGTATTTCCTAGGGCTGTAACCCCATAGAAACTGAATACTACATGCCCAAAGAGGTACATAAAAGCATTAGATATAAATACAACAAAATGACAATAATGGAAATGTTGAATAGCAGTGACTTTGGAAGTATCCACTTGTTGAACATTTTCAGCCATTAAAAAGTATAATTATGAAGACTACAGTAGAAGCATGGGGAAATACTAGTTATAAATATCAAATCTTTTTTTAAAAATGAGGTACAATCTGCATGGTGATTGCAATAATGTAAACATGGTAAAACCTAGGAGGAAATTCACAAAATGTAAAGTAGTTGTGTTATAGGGGAATTTTAAGTGATTTTATGAATTCAAATAATAAGGACTTAGCACTATATATATTTACGGTCACGCATCACTTAACGACAGGGATATGTTCTGAGAAATGCCTTGGAAGGCAATTCCATCTTTGTGTGAACATCATAGTGTACTTACACAAACCTGGATGGCACAGCCTCCTACACACCCAGGCTAGATGGTGTCACCTTTGCTACTGGGCCCCAAACCTGTAAAGCACGTTGTTGTGCTGAATACTGTGGGTAGCTGTAACGCAATGGTGAGGATTTGTGTATCAAAACATAGAAAAGTAAAAATACAGTAGTATTAATCTCATGGGACACTGTCATATACGTGGTTCCTCGCCGACTGAATGTCATCATGCAGCGTGTGACTGTGTGTAAGCATGAAGGCCTACTCAGAGGTACCCTGGACCTCCACCCTCTCCCTGCATCAAGGTGACAGATTCTGGCATCCCTGCTTCTGGCCCTGCATTCTTGGGGCATGGCCAGCCTTCTGTCTGTCGGTTACTGTGGTGCCCATGAAAATGTGCCACTCAGACCTGCTGCGGAGCGGATTTGACTGACAGCCCCAGCTGCTGTTTCTCTCCGTCCACCCATGCTTTGCCTCCACAGGCTGCTTTCCACCAGCGATGGAGCGTGGGGACAGTACTGCTGCAAGTGGATCGTGGGACTCCTCCAGTAGGTGACTGTGGCTCGAGAACTCCCCAGTGGCCTGGGCAAGCCTTTCTCAGAACTGCTCTGAAGTCTGAGGCCCATCCTCCCCACTCCTCCACAGATGTCACACCTGTACTGTGGTCTGAAGGATCTCCCTGCCTTCTATCCCCTCCTTCTTTGTCCTTCACAGGCGGTTCCCCCAATATGGCTCTTACTCATGCAATCCTGTCTTTGTGTCTGGTTCTCAGAGGACCTCCACTAACACGGTTACTCCTCACTCAGTCAGGTGCAGTGTGAGGTCCTGGGGACACTTGCTGTGAGTACCCTCAGCCAGCTCAGAGTTCTACCGAAGAGACTGACAAGTACACCTGCAGTGACAACACGTGAGTTCAGTGCTGTGAAGATGTGTGAGGGAGCATAGGAGGAGGGCAGCCAACTCAGCTGGGATGGGAGGTAGTCAGGGAGGACTTCCCAGGAGAGGTGACCCTGTTGCTGAAACCCCTACGAGTGAATGGAAGGAAGTCAACAACAATAATACCAAACACTTATTTAACACTTATTTTGTGCCAAGTGCTTTACATATAAGAACTCATAAAATTTCCACAACAATCCTATTATCCCCATCTTACAGGTAGGGAAATCAAGGCATAAAGAAGTCGAATGGCTTCTCACCAGCCAGTGCTGGGCTTGGGAACTGAACCCAGGCAGTCTGGCTCTAATGCCTGTGCCCTTAACCACTCCACCTTCACTTAGGCAAGTGAAACTGGCCATGGGAACAGCCTGTACCAAGCCAGGAATGAGACAGTTTATGTAGGCTTTATCAGGGTCCAACCAAGAGATTGAAACCACACTGTAATGTGAACAGAGAGAATTTAATATAAAGGATTATTATTCTATAAGGAATATTATTACTATTATAACAACAGAGGGTTGGAGTGATGAGGACTGGCTTGTAAGAAGTCCAGAGCCACCTGGACTCAGAGCCACCCTAGCTTTGGATTTCTTCCAGTCTCAGCCCCCTAGAGCCCTTGCTCCCCAAAGAGCCTTGCTCCCCGCTAGAGGTCAAAGGTAAGTCATAGCAATGGACCCAGACTCTTGTTATTACCCATGACATGGTTTGAATCTGTGTCCCCAACCAAATCTCATGTTGAATTGTAATCCCCAGTGTTGGAGGTGGGGCCTGGTGGGAGGTGATTGGATCGTGGGGGTGGCTTCTAATGGTTTAGCACTGTCCCCCTGGTGCTGTCTCATGAGTTCTCACGAAATCTGGTTATTTAAAAGTATGTGGCACTTTCCCCTTCGCTCTCTCCTTCCTGCTCCAGTCGTGTAGGACGTGCCTGCTTCCCCTTCACCTTCCGCCATGTTTGTAAGTTTCCCGAGGCCTCCCCAGAAGCCGTCATGCTTCCTGTACAGCCTGTGGAACCATGAGCCAGTTAAACCTCTTTTATTTATAAATTTACCCAGTCTCAGGTAGTTCTTTATAACAATGCGAGAATGAACTAATACAGCCCACCCCTACCCCATACCTCTCCTACCCTCTCCCCAGCAGGCTGTGAGGACAGGGTGCTCATGCCAAACCCTGAAAGCATTACAAAGGCTGCAGGGCCTAAGCTGGGGCCTGGGCCTGAGGAGCAAACTGAGGAGCAGAGCCCACGTGGAGAGAGGGAGGGAGCCGGCGTCCACATGCCACACGGACGGCAGTGTCACTGCTCTATCATCACATCCTGCGTGTTTATAGACTTCATTGTCATCATCAAATGAGACCTGCCAGAGTCTTAACCCCTTGACGCTGGCTCGCTAGTTAAGCGCGGACAGCTCACAGCCTGGCTGGAATTATGCTCGCTTTTACCCATCCGCATCAGGTGGACACTTTCAGCTCACTGGCTTGGTTTTCCAAGACCTGAAATCAACGTCAGTGTTGAATTTTCCCTAATTTTATCCACTTGTGAAAGACCAAAGTCCTAGCCCTTTTCCCCCACAGCAGGGACACCCTCACTTTCCCAGGTCCCTGGGCTGGTCCACTTCAGGGTTAAGCACAGCAGATTGGGAAGGCCCTTCTGGTTCCATAGCTGTGAGCAGCTCTGCAGGCCTGAAGCATGCATGTCTTTGTTGATTTTCTGAGGCAGGAAGGATCTGGAATCAGAGTCCTGGAAGCCTGGAGTCCACTGAGGTGCCCTTGCCGGGGGGCAAATCTGTGGGCGCCTCTCCAGGCAGCCTCTGGCCTCAGAGCCAGACCACCCGGGCTAAGATCCCGGCTCTGCAACTCACTGCTGTGGGCACGTTCCTGAGCTTCTCCGTGCCTCAGCTTCCCTCATATGTAAATGGGAATAATGACAGTGCCCAGCCCCTGGGGTTGGTTTGAGTGAATATTTTTAAAGCACCTTGGACAGTGCCTGGCACAGAGTTAAAGCCTGAGGAAACGGAGCATAGTTTCCATTCACCAGTCATTGCCCAAGGTGCAGTTGTCAAGCAGTGACTGAATTAGAGCTGGCCCAGGGTGATACTTTTGGAGATGTCTCAGGTGGCAGGGAGGTGAGTCAGGGTTGGCAGCACTGCCTCACACAACATTCTCAAGCACCCAGTACGGTTTTATTGATGTTGCTGACGCCCCTGCCAGCTGGGACCTCTGTAAGGGGCAGCAGTGGGCCACATCCACCTCTTCTTCCCAGTACTGGACCATGTCGCTGTTCAGGAAGTGTTTGCTGGACACATGACCTGTGTGAGAGAAGGGAAGGGAGTGTGGCGTGTGGGGAGGCCCCAGAGGTCCTGACGTGTCAAGGTCAGTTCAGCACACACTTCTCTGGGGGCCACATGGGAGAGGCTGCTGCGGCAAGGCCTGCAGACCCCAGTCTTGTCCCCTCTGGATTAGGCTCCTCTGAAAGGTCCCCATCACCTGGTGACATTGCTGTGGCAGCAGCTGGAGGCTGCCCTCAGCCACCGATCCCCAGGTCCGGAGCCACGTGCCCACGTCCTGACACCTGATTGTCCTGTGCTGGTCCCTGCAGATGGCCCAGCCTCGCAGTCTGGACTCCACCCCTGCAGAGGAAGCACAACCGATGTCACAGGTGCAAAGACCACTCGGGAGCTGGGCCACAGCTTCCCATCCTGTCCCGTCAGTGCCTCCCTCTCCTAAGCCTGGAGACCCTTCACTTCCTCTACCTCCTAACAACTCCTGTTGGAGCCATTTTGAATGCAGCCCTAAGGCTTTCCTTGTCAGCCAAATGGGTGTCAGAAGCCATCTGTGCCTGAGCTGGTGGCAGCTGGTGGGAAAATGCTTGCATCCATATGAATCGATTTTGTTTTGCCTCCTAAGATCTTCAGTTGAGCAAGAGGAGATTTGCTGAATTTTTCAGAGGTTGCATTAACCTGGGGAAGGCGGAACTGACAGCCCAGCAAAGGGCAGGAGGAAGAAAGCCTGGACACAGCTAGAGAGATCCAGCCAGTGTGAAGGCCTGTGGCCCGAGGAGGGAGCCGTGAGGTGTAGCCCAGGCCATGTCCCCAGGCGAACAGCAGCTCCCACCAACCCCTGACGAGGTCGGCGCTGGGGTGGCCCTCCACAGAGGTGGCAGAGTTGGCTTTTGGTGCCTCACCTGAGGTGAAGCTTCCCTTTGGCCTGTTCTGCCCAGCTCCATGCTGGAACTTCTTTCAGAGAACAACATCCCAGCTCCCACACAGTGCCTCAGGCTGTTTCCTCACCTTCTCATTCAGCCACCATGAATCCTTTAGAGAAAGGCAGGTAGGCTGGGTGTGGTGGCTCACGCCTGTAATCCCAGTACTTTGGGAGGCCAAGGCAGGTGGATCACTTGAGGTCAAGAGTTTGAGACCAGCCTGACCAACATGGTGAAACCCCATTTCTACTAAAAGTACAAAAATTAGCCGGGTGTGGTGGTGGCACCTGTAATCCCAGCTACTCTGAAGGCTGAGGTGGGAGAATCGCTTGAACCCGGGAGGCAGAGGTTGCAGTGAGCCGAGATCACGCCACTGCACTCCAGCCTGAGTGACAAAGCGAGATTGTCTCAAAAAAAAAAAAAAAAAAAAAAAAAAAAGGCAGGGATTTGTCCCCAGGTCCCTGTGGAAAGCAGTGGCTCAGAGAGGTTAGGTCCACTACACAAAGCTGAAGGCAGTGGGGCCGGCATGGGGACCTGTAGCATCCACACGTGAAGCCTGTGCTGTTTCCCTGTCCAGGTTGTGTCCACAGTGAGGAGGTAGGGGGTCACAGGTCAAGGCCGTGGCCGCAGTGAGGAGGTAGGGGCCACAGCAGCACCCTTTTGTGGAGCAGCAAAGCCCCCCTGGAGACCCTGGGGTGCCCCACCCTGTAGTAGGGTGCTTTTGGGGAGTGGGTTTGACGCAGTAGCACACAGGGCACCCAGGAGCCCTGAATGGGCATCTCAGTCATGCGGTCACTGTTCTGTCCTTGTATGACAGAGCTGGCCAGAGGCCTCATTGCTAAAGATCGGTCTCTCCTAAAACTTCCTCCGAGAGGAAGATGCGGAGTGAAGTTGGGTCAGGTTTTGGAGAAGGAGCGTCTGCACCACCTGGCCCTTGTTAAATGCAGTCTCAGGCTGGCCTGGGAGCCACTCAGACCGTCCACAGGCAAGATCCAGAGGCTGCTGTCTGCACAAGCTTCTCTCTGAGCTGACCCGTGTGTGTCCTAGAGGTCAAGATTCACTACTTTTAGGGAAGCCAACACTGAGGCTGACATTCTCTAAATACCTGGGGGCAGAGCCTCTCAAGCCCATGCAGCCTGAGGAAAAAGGCCTCAGCCACACCTGAAGCAAAGGGCTCCTGTGGGTGCCACGTGACCCACCCACATGACCGCTGCCCACCAGCTGCAGTCACAGAAGACACACATACACATCACACATATCACACACAAACATACCACATACACATCACACCACACACATCACATGCCACAAACACAACACACAAACATACCACATACACCACACATCACATACACATCACACATGCCACACACATCACACAAGCCACACACACATGCAACATACCACACACAAACACATACCACATACACCACACACCACATACGCATACACATTACACATACCACACATATGACACATACCACACACATCACGCACATGCAACATACACACACAACATACACACCACACACATGGCACACACAAACACATACCACATGCACCACATGCCACGCACATTGCACGTACCACACACATGCAACGTGCCACACAACACACAAACACACCACACACAACATACCATGCACACACAACACAAACACATACCACATACATATCACACTTACCACACATGTGCAACATACTACACCTGTGTGGTATACCACACACACACACACACACACACTATACCTCCACACACACCACTCACCTCACCTCACACACACACACCCACACACACACACCCCTCAGGCAGCATTTGGAAGTCCAGCCTAAATAAGGGTGATGTTAACTCACTGCCCCCACCAGATTCTCAGCATATCTGAAGCAGAGGTGTGGGGAGAGTGGGTCAGCTCTTAGTAGGGCCTTAGGGCCCCTCAGAGACAGCAGGGCTGGAGTTTAGTGCAGGAGCGGGCTCTGCCCTGGACCCTGTGTGTGCAACAGTGCTGTTGGCCGGGCACTGTCCCCATCCTCCTCCTGGCCCCTTTGAAGGTAGGTGTGGCCACATGACTGCTCTGGCCGGTGGATTTCATATGCGCAGGGTCACTTCCCCGCGAAAGCATTTGAGAGCCAAGGTGCCCTTCTCTGTCGTACACGCCCCTGATGGGGCCCCAGACCTTGGGCCCCCGGTGAGGGTGGCGGGGAGCAGAGCCCACTGCATCATGTGCTTGTGTCAGGGCAATAAATAAGCCTCTGTACTTTTAAGGCCCAGATTTGGGAGTTGCTACCACAGCATCACCTACCCCAGCCTGCTTATATGCCACACTTAGGAGCCAAACCACCACAAGGGCTCACTCACTCTATTTGGACAATTCATGTCATTTGGGCACTAAGCTAGAAGGACGTGTGGAGTGGCTCATTAAGCAGAGGTGAGAATTCTGCTCCTGGGAGGCAGCGCTGCAAATTTTTAATGCTTGGGTCTTTACAGCTCAGTGTCAGCGGATACGGCAAAGCCCTTCTGAAAAACAAACATCGGGCAATGATTGTGCAACACAGCTGCTAAAAATCCTTCATTTCTGGGTAGGAAAGAGTCTCTCTGTGTCCTTTCCATTGAAAGAGCATAAGCTCAACGAAGGTGACAGCCCCGGAATGTGGACAAATGGGACTGGGAAAACGCCATGTCTTCATTCTCTATCCCTCCCCCACCTTTCACACCCAGCCCTTTGAAAAGCAGAAAGCAATGCACAGATGTAAGGAGCTGTTTTCATTCTTGTGGTTACGAGCCCTCCCCTCTGTTCCCATGGCAGCCTGGCACACTCTGCCATGCACTTTTCACACTGCATTTTGTCTGCTTCCTTGTCTGTCTCTCCCAACTGGGCTGTGAATGTCTCACAGGCAGGGCCTGGCCTTCCTTCTTGCATCCTGGGCACCTGGCTGGGCACCTGGTCCGCTGGAGTGCTCAGTGACTGGTGAGTGGGTGGGGGATATGGGAGATGGAGCAAGGGCAGAGAGGTGGGGAGGAAGCGCCATGGAGGGAGGCCTGCGGGCTGAGAATCCAACCCAAAAGCATTTTGTGAGCACCCGCTATGTACAAGCCACAGCGCAAGGCTCTGGGGAAAAGTCCAGATTTGTAAGACATATTTATCAGTTTGTAAACACTCTCATATATGTTATTTTTTTGAACTTCACAGCACCCTGGGGTGGTAAATTGTACACAGTTGATCCTCTTTTGAGAGTGGATTTACAGAGTTGATGTGGTGTATAGCACAAATGGCAGTGGCCTTGACCGTGCATCTTGCTTTGAGTCCTGGCATTGCCCCCATCCAGCTGTGTGGCCTTGGGAAGCCTCAGCAGCAAAAGAAGGGGACTGGCTCTGCAGGGGCCCACTGCAAGCATGGCCCAGCCTGGCCTGAAACCTAGGACTGTTTGATTTACCCAACAAAAGGTGTGCAGCTGCCCTGAGTCTGTGGGCAAGCTCAGACCTCAGGGGTGAGCCACACTAGGGAGAGGCGCAAGGGGCTGTGACCATCTCATCTCTGTGGCTGCAGACCATCCTACAGGGCCTGGCCCAGGAGGCATGCAGTGAATTAATGCATGAGTGAGGTATAGGCAGCCTGAATGGGGACAGTGTTCAGAAATCCCAGCTGTTCAAAAGCATGAGGGCAGAGCTCAGTCCTCAGGGATTAAACTAGAACCAAGGGAAGAGTGTAGCTGGGTGGCAGCTGTTGAGGTCATTATTGAGGGTACTGTAAACCCCAGTAGGACTAGACCTGGGGAGAAGGTCTGTTGCTGGTATTATCATTTGTCACGGACCTCATGGTGACCACGGTGTGGGGGCAGTGCTTCACACAAACCTGCCACATCCCTACCACCAACCCTTCATTTATTAGCACACATTTATTGAACATCTGATATGTGCCAGGCTCTGTTCTGGGCCCTAGAGAAATCACAATGGATAAAAATGCCTGCTCTTATATTCTAGTGAGAGGCACAGCCAATAAACAAGGAATAAGTCATTATAGAGCATCCAGGATGATAAGCAGGGCAGCAGTGGGACAAGGGATGGGAAGGGCTGGGTATAGGGGGCAGATGCATTTCTCAACAGTGTGGCCAAGGACAGCCTACACTGAGAAGGTGACGATGGAGCAAAGAGGAAGTGAACCAAGTGGAAATCCGGGGAAAGAGCATTCCAGGCAGAGGGGAGACAAGGGCAGAGGCCCTGAGGCAGGAGCGGGCCTGGCACATTTGAAGTTGGAGCAGGGAGGTCGGGGAGGCAGGGAGAAGTGGAAATGACGTTGGGGAGGTGGGGGAAGGGGCCAGATTGTATAGGGTCTTGTGAAGGATGGACAGGAGTTTTCCCCACCTGTGTCTGGAAGCTTTTGTTCTAGCTTCACTCTGTTGTTGAAATCCATTGTCTCTCCAGCTACTCCGGTCTCTGAGGGAAGCACCCTGCCCTGGGGAAATTCTCACATGGCCAGACACAGACCTGGCTGACCAGCTGCAGGCTGGTGCTGACAGTTCCAGCACACCTTGGCTTCCTCAAGAGATCCAAAGGTACAGTTCCCAGAGGTGCTGGTCACACTCAACTTGCCTTGAATTGAACCACAACAAAACACGGAACCAAACTCCTAAACAGGACTGCAGGGTCAGGGTCTGCCTCCACTTCCCGTCTCCACATGTGCCTGCTTTAGGGATCCAGCTCTGTAGAAGTACAGGCTATTTGGTCAGGTGCTGTGGCTCATGCCTGCAATCCCAGCACTTTGGGAGGCCAAGGCTTGTGGGTCACTTGAGCCTAGGAATTTGAGATCAGCCCAGGCAACATGGTGAAACCCCATCTCTACTAAAAATATAAAAATTACCCGGGCTTGGTGGTGTGTGCCTGCTCAGGAGGCTGAGGCGGGAGAATCACTTGAACCTAGGAGGCGGAGGTCACAGTGAGCTGAGATGGAGCCACTGCACTCCAGCCAGGGCAACAGAGAGACTCTATCTCAAAACAAAACAAAACGAAGTCCAGGCTATTCTTTCTTACCTCCAGATATTTGCACATGTTGTTCCCTCTGCCTAAAGCACTGCAGGCCCCCCTTCCCAGAAAACTACTCGATTCCTCACCCCTCCCCTCTGTCTGTGCTGTCGTGGCTCCCTCAGCTTCCTCTCTCTCTCTCACTCTGGATTCCTTGCTTTCTGTCTCCCTCCTCTTCACAGCAACCTCGCTGAGGGCTTCCCCTCCACCCTCTGAAGGTTCACTGAAATGAACCGATACTAGACAGATTAAAGGCATGCAAATGTATGAATGTGCAAGTATGCACAGGAGCCATACAAAATATGAGGCTCAAAGAAGGGCCAGATGGCTGGAGCTTAAATAGCACCCTCTTCATAGGGGAGAGGGAGGTGGGGGAACATAGGCAATTTTGAGGCATAATAAATTATTTTTAGGGGAAATGAATGAGCCTAAAAAGCAGACAATAGCCTGGGATGAAGTTCCTCTGAGCTCCAGGGGAGGCAATGCCAACTTGCAGGAAGGTGAGGGCAGAACTTCACGGTGAACAAAGGTTGCCTTATTTTGCAGGCAAAGTCTCCCCGGTAATCTCTTGGAGTGGCCCTCAGAAGAACAGATGAAAAGTCTGCCTGGGTGTGGTAGCAACTTTTATTCTTTTCTCTTCTCCCGTGGTTAATCTTTCCGCTTATTTGATGAGATTCCTAGGAAGGGGGTCAAAGTGTTCCTTCTGGAGGGAACTTCAGAGAGATCCCCTCCCTGCACAGTTGGGGGAAGAAACAAGAGAAGGCTAGAAAGTCTTTGGTTCTGAGACCGCTTCTAAGGCCTTCCAACTTCCTTTCATTTAAAAGTGCTCAGCACACCGAAGCACCATACTTTGAGGTATAATTTTCTGAGCCCCAGCAGCTTGCACACAGGTGCCAAGACATCCTGGCTGAACAACAGGAGGTAAGGAAGCAAGTTATTGGCTCACTGGTTCTAATGACCAAACTTCAGGGTGAAGAGGAACCTAGGATGGAAGTGAAACAGCAGATGGGGGTCTTCTCCTAAGTGGCTTGAGATGATCTGTGAAAATGGTTCGCTATTCATTTGACCCAGAAAACCCTACTAAATCTTGCAAATCAAGGTGTTTCCATCTTTGTGTTCACTTTAAGAACACTCTTGAGACTGGGCGTGGTGGCTCACGCCTGTGATCCCAGCACTTTGGGAGGCCGAAGTGGGTGGATCACCTGAGGTCAGGAGTTCGAGACCAGCCTGGCCAACATGGTGAAACCCCGTCTCTACTAAAAATATAACAATTAGCCAGGCGTGGTGGTGGGCACCTGTAATCCCAGCTACTTGGGAGGCTGAGGCAGGAGAATTGCTTGAACCCAGGAGACGGAGGTTGCAGTGAGCCAACACGATGCCACTGCACTGCAGCTTCGGCGACAGAGTGAGACTCTGTCTCAAAACCAAAAGAAAGGACACTTGTGAAACTGCCCAGGTCATCAAGGGTGTGCTTATATGAAAAGCCACGAAGTGTCTGAACGATGTCACTTTACAGAGACAGTGTGTACCTGTATTAGTTCGTTTTCACACTGCCATAAACAACTGCCCCAGACTCGGTAATTTATAAAGGAAAGTGACTCACACAGTTCAGCATGGCTGGGGAAGCCGCAGGAAACTTACGTTCATGGCAGAAGGCGAAGGGGAAGCAAGGACTTATTCAACAAGATGGCAGGAAGAGAAGTGCCAAGTGAAGGGGGAAGAGCCCCTTATAAAACGATCAGATCTCGTGAGAATTCACTCACTATCACAAGCACGGCACGGGGGAACCGCCCCCATGATCCAATCCCCTCCCACTGTGGCAGGACTTTTCCTTAGTTCAGCTAAAGACAGGGCTCTTTGTCCCACAGCTACGAAAATTCAGGCTCGCAGACAATTTGAATGGTGAGTAAGACAGGGTTCCATTGTCTTGTTAGGCTAGAGTCCCTACTAGGGTGCTTCCCACCCGCAGCTAGAATCCCAGGTTCCACACAGGAAGAGGAGGGGCCAGGCTCCTCCCCACTGCAAAAGGAGTGAATTTCCCAAGGCTCCACCCCAGGGTGCAAGCCGGTTGGAGTTTTTCCAGGGACCCCCTCCCACCTGGCTGTCTCACCAAGAGGTCACTCCCCCAACACATGGGGATTACAATGCAGATTACAATTCAAGATGAGATTTGGATGGGGACACAGAGCCAGACCATATCAGTGCCATTCTGATGTTACAATGGGGGAGTTGGTAGTGCCCAGGCCAAGAAGTGAGGCTGGACACAAGGTCAGTGGTCCAAAAAGAGTGCTGAGTTTTTGTTGCACTAGCTTAAAAATGCAGAGAGCAATGCTGAACTTAAGGGTTTAGATGTAGATTCTTTGGTCATTGAGCACATCCAGGTGAATAAAGCACGTAAAATGCCCCTCCAGACTTAGAGAGCTCATGGTTGATTAACCCACACATGAGCTCTCCCTGCCACATCGAGATCATCCTTACTGAAAAGGAACAAATTGTTCCTAAACCAGAAGAGGAGGTTGCCCAGAAGAAAAAGTTAGCGCAGAAGAAACTAAAGAAACAAAAACGTATGGCTCTGGAATAAATTCAGCATAAAATAAATGCAATTAAAAGGAAACAGAAAGAAAGAAGGAACAGGAAACAGGAATGGGAACAAGAGGTGGGTGTACTTGGGGTATGGATCGTGGGAGGGAACAAGCAGGAAGCTGGGTGCCATGGGAATCTGCAGGCCAGTGACTTTCAAGGTGAGGCCAGTATCATTGTTTCTTTCAGTTTACTCTTGTTGGGAGCCTGAGAGTTCCCGTGGCATTGTCCTTGGCTTTCCGGGACATTTAAAGCAACGGTCAACTCGAGCTTGTCCACATGGAGAGAATGCCCCATCTCCATACGCCAAACAGGTACTATGTTAGGTCTTCTGATATATATTCTCCTTTAATCCTCACAACACTGCAATGGGGAGATTGTCTGCTTTGCAGATGAGAAAAATGAGACTTATGGAAAGGTTAAGGGTTAAGAACTTACCTACAGTTGCACCCACCATCGGGCCATGTTTCAAAAGGCAGCATCAACTGCAAAGGCCATGATCTTTTCTCTTTACTTCTGCCTCCCAGATTCAATGACAAGACCTGGCCTATGGTAAAATGGAAACACCATTTTGTAGGTCTCCTGGCTCCTAGGCAAGTGTCACTTCACTAAAGGCAGTTTTTCCTGCAGATTTCTGTCCTAGGAGATCCACATGGCTTTGTTTTTCTCTGCAGCTGTCCCGGCCTCTTTCATGAATAGGTAACCTTGCTTTTTCTGGCTGTTTTGAGATCTTTACATGCATGCATTTGCAATTCCCTCAGGCCAGGCCTGTGCTGGCAACCGCGATCACAGGGAGGACGCTGTCCCTAAAAGGCTCACAGCCTTCTCTTCTCTGATTCGCCACAGGTCTGACTGATCCTGGGGACAAGAGAGCCAAGGACAGAGCTGGAGGCAGGAGGGCAGGAATGTGTGGTGACCTGGTAGTTCTGAAACAGCAGGTTATTCCTCCCCCATCCCTCCCACCTCCTTTTCCCTTTATTCCTTTTTTCTCCCTATTTAAGGTGCTGTGTCCTTTGCCCCAGGGAAGAGGTATGAGAGCAGAAAGCAGAAAAAAGGAGTTGCTTCCTGGCTTTTGTTTTCCAAGCCTTCCTAGAGCCATAGGGGAACAGAAAGTTACTTGGGCTTGGACAAAAGATCTAGGAGAAAACAACAGGAGCAAAAGAGAGGAAGTTGAGCCAGGCTAAGGTTCCTGGGGCTGGGTGAAGGGAAAAAGGTGAAAAGCGGGTTCTGGGTCCTGCCTCCTAACTGAGGCCCTGGGAGGTGGCAGGACCGCGAGTGGGTTGAGGGGATTGAGAGCAGAGGGAGCCTGGCCCTCATTTCCCTAGGGGGTCGGGGGAGCCCAGTTGGGGGTGGGGTGCGGAGAGCTGAATAGAGCTCTCCTTACCTGTTCTTTCAGAAAGTCCGGTGTCCCAGCGCAGTGACAAGGCCACAGAGGGGTTCCAGTGAATCCCAGTGTAACCGCCCAATGGGTTCACCTTGCTGGCTGCCTAGACAGAGCCGGTTTATCAAGACAGGAGAACTGCAATGGAGAAAGAGGAATTCACGCAGAGCCAGCTGGGCGGGAGACCGGGAGTTTTATTATTACTGAAGTCAGTCTCTATTATTACTAAAATCAGAGTTTTTAAAGATAATTTGGCAGATAGGAAGGCTTGGGAAGTGGGGAGTGCTGATTGGTCAGATTGGAGAGGGAATCAGAGAGGATCAAAGTGAGCTTTTCTTGCTGTCTTCTGTTCCTGGGTGGGACAGCAGAACAGGTTGAGTCAGATTACCGGTCTAGTTTCTCAGCTGATCCATCCAGTGCAGGGTCTGCAGAATATCTCAAGCACGGATCTTAGGTTTTACAGTAGTGATGTTATCCTCAGGAGCAATTTGGGGAAGTTCAGACTCTTGGAGCCGGAGGCTGCATGACCCCTAAACTGTAATTTCTAATCTTGTAGCTAATTTGTTAGTCCTGCAAAGCCAGGCTGGTCCCCAGGCAAGAACTGATTTTGTTTCATAGCCAAACCATGAACTGAATTCCTTCCCAAAGTTAGTTTGGCCTATGCCCAGGAATGAACAAGGACAGCTTAAATGTTAGAAGCAAGATGGAGTCGGTTAGGTCTGATTTCTTTCACTGTCATCATTTCCTCAGTTATAATATTGCAAAGGCAGTTTCACCAATGTAACAAGTGAAGGGGTCCCACCATCAGGAATGTGGGGCCTCTCATGGGGACTCCTTGGCTGCTGGCTGCTGGCTGCTGGCTGCTGCCCAGGAACATCTCAGCAGTGAGTGAGATGGTGCTTATGAGGACAGATGACAAAGAGGATTGGTGGCTCCTATGTCTTGGCACTACATAAGAGTTCCTTTGTTCACCCACCTTGCTCTAGGACATAATCCCAGGGAAAGGGCAGGAGAGAACCCTGAAATGACTAAAATTAAGTTACTACCACTTTTTGATGGAATTGGAGTTCAAAATAAAAATGTAAAAATTAATGCAAAATAAAGTTACTTTTCTTATTCACCTGAGTCAGAGACAAGCAAAAATGCCATGGGATCAGGGGAAAAGGGCATAAAGATTGCACTGGGTGGTTGGGGAGTGTGATTGCAGAAGGCTTCCTGGAGGAGGTGAGGCTGAATTGAACATTTTAAGGTTCTTGATATGTATGCCGATTTAAATTTCCAATAGTGTCAGACCTCCTGCTCTAACCAAAACAGTCCTCTATCCCAGGGATGTCATCCCTTGGATGCTCAAAGCCCTGTGGGAACTTCTCAGGGGGCTGGTACCAGAGCCTGGGTGCATACTATCCTCAGAGTGGCCAATTCCTGTGACCGGGCAGGAGCCCGCTGGGCACTGTTTCCCGCAGATGCCCTATCTGGCCAGCAGGGGGAGCAAGCTCACCGTGGCCCAGGGCGTGGCCGGCTCAGCAGGAGCCCCCGGGAGAAGGGCCGGTGGAAGCCCAGAGAGCTAGGAGCGCCTCCTCGCTTTACTAGCCTGCTAGGGAGTGGCACCTTTGTCACCGTTAGACTTTTATCCCTCAGCCCTCAGCCCTGGGCCCAGCCCTGCATTTTCCTCTAGAACAGTTCTTTTGGGTGCTACTCCTGACTTGTAACTGGACAAAGAAAGTAGGAGTTGATGGCACATCATGGTTTCCAGGGACCTCTTGGGACAGCTGGGAGCGAGGCTGGGCCTCTGGGGTTTCTCGCCTGAACTCTCCAAGCCTGTGGCCTGTGGAGAGGCCCCATCCACTGAGTCATGTAAAATGGCAGATGTTGACAAATAATTATGGGCAAAGATGCCCATCACACTCATTGAGCAGGGGCCATTCCAAATGTCCCTTCATACTACTACTGATAATAACTTGTAGTCCCACCGTATGATGAAATGTCATTTAGCAGTTAAAAACCCTGGCGTCCAGGGATATTTAATGACATGGGATAGTGCTCACATATAATGTGGATGTTTTTCTCCATTCGTTCTTCCAGAATCATGCTCTGCCCTGCCCCGCACCCCAGGAGGTTGGTCCCATGCTCCGGATCACCCCGACTCCCTTCCCCTCTGGCTCCAAGCTGGATTCAGCCCACAGGAGACACCAGCAGAAGATGGAAGGCTGGGAGGAGAGGCTGGGATCTGTCTCCTCCACTCTCTGCCTGTCTCAGGGCCTCCAGGACTGCAGCTTCCACTGGGCAGCCTCCCCTTGATCCTAAGGGTGGTAACAGCTTCCTGCTATTGCCAGCTGCTGGGTGCCTCAACATCCTTTGTTGGTTTCCTTAAACTTGTCCACATCTCTGTAAATCATCCTTTACTAAATAGCCCTTCATCTGAAGCATCAGTATGAATGCCATTCCTGCCAGGACTCTGACCAATGCACATGGTAAGTGAAAAGAGAAAAATACAGAACTTTGTATTTAAAAAAAGGCAGATACTTTATCTGTATTATTTCACTAAACCCTCACAGCAATGCAGTGGAATGCAGCCGAAAGGAGTGTTGACACCAGATTCAAATTTAGAAAGCATTTGAAAGCATGGTCTAATAATGTCTCCATGGAAGAGGAAGAACATGCTGACAAAGGAAGTGAAGAAGGTACTCTAGACATTTATTCCATTTAGAAGCTGCCATAAGTTACTACCAGATTGTATTTTTTTAATGCATAATATTTTAACTCTTAAGAATGTACTTCTGGGCCAGGCATGTTGTCTCACGCCTGTAATCCCAGCAGTTTGGGAGGCTGAGGTGGGTGGATCACGAGGTCAGGAGATTGAGACCATCCTGGCCAACATGGTGAAACCCCGTCTGTACTAAAAATACAAAAATTAGCTGGGCGTGGTAGCGCATGGCTGTAATCCCAGCTACTTGGGAGGCTGAGGCAGGAGAATCGCTTGAACCTGGGAGGTGGAGTTTGCAGTGAGCCAAGATTGTGCCACTGCACTCCAGACTCCGTCTCAAAAAAAAAAGAATGTGCTTCTGATAAAGAAGAAGGGGAGGAAAGGAGGAGGAGGAAGGTAGCTTGATAAAGTAGGACACATTTTCATCGTTGTGCAAACATAAGAAAATAAAGTAGGCCACATGAGCTCAGATGACCTGGTTTTTCCCTAAGCCAAAAACCCAGCTTAGAATGGGAGGAGCTGACTTAATTTCTCAGAATCTCAGCTCTACCACTGTGTGACCTCAGTGTTATAAATCTGTAAAATGGTTATATTAATCCATGCCTTATGAGTCATTGTGTTGATTGATAGAGTCAACATATGGAAAGCATCTGGTTCTGTGCCCAGGTCCTGTGGGAACTCAGTATAATTTGAATTCCCCTTCCTGTCCCTTCAACCACATCTGGAAGGGAAAGTTGCGGCTCTGGCTAAAACTGAAAAAAGGAGTGTGAGACAAAAGCCTCATTTGGTGACCTAGTTCCTGGCACGTATTAGTGGCTCTTTTTAAGCAGCTGACAAATGGATGAATGAACAAATGAATGCTCTGCCCAGATCTCCCCTCCCCAGGCCAGGTCCCAGGCTGACTTTTCAAAGCCTTCTTGTACCAAAGCATCTTTATTCTCTATTCCACTGCTGTGTATGAGGTTTCCACAAACCTAGTGGCTTATTCCAGCACACATTTATTATCTCACAGTTCCTGGGCACAGCCTAGCTGGGTCCTCGGCTCAGGGACTCACAAGGCTGCAATCAAAGGATCAGCTGGGCTGCATTCTCATCTGGAGGCTGGACTGGGGCTGGTCTCAGAGCCTGGGCACACGCTGTTGAGTAGCCTCAAGGTCTCCCAAGTCTTACAGACTCATTCAGATTGTTGGCAGAATCTGTCGCCTTACGGTTGTAGGACTGAAGTCCCTATTTTCTTGCTGGCTGTCAGCAGGAACCCCTCTCAGCTTCTAGAGGTTGTCCATAGTTCCTTGTTATGTGGCATTCTCACAACATGGCAGCTTACTTCCACAAAGTCAGCACATACGAGTTACTCTCTCCCTTCAGCCCACTCAGATCCGTGTGTGTGTGTGTGTGTGTGTGTGTGTGTGTGTGTATAAAACCCCCTTTGCCATATAATGTAACTTAATCAAGGGAGTGACAGTCCATCACATTGGCCAGGCCATATTCTGTTGATGAGAAGCAAGTCCCAGTTTCCTCCCACACTCAAGAATAGACGGTGGGGGTTATACAGGGTGTGACTCATTGGGGGCCATTTTAGGGTGTGTCCACTACACCTATCACCTTAGAGTCCTGTTGGGTGACGAACAAACTTATGTATTTTCCTTCCATGTTATCTACTTGCATTTTTACCATGACATTCAGGAAATAATTCCTTAACCCCTGGTAATTGTGACAATGCCAGGAATTCTGGCTCTCTCTCTCTATATATATATATTATATATTATATATTATATATATTTATATATATATATATTTTTTTGAGGCAGAGTCTCGCTCTGTCACCCAGGCTGGAGTGCAGTGGCGCAATCTTGCTCAGTGCAACCTCTGCCTCCCAGGTTCAAGCAATTCTCCTGTCTCAGACTCCCAAGTAGCTGGGATTACAATTGCGTGCCACCACGCCCGGCTACTTTTTGTGTTTTTTTAGTAGACACGGGGTTTCGCCACGTTGGCCAGGCTGGTCTTGAACTCCTGACCTCAGGTGATCTGCCTGCCTCGGCCTTCCAAAGTGCTGGGATTACAGGCGTGAGCCACAGCGCCTGGCCGAATTCTGGCAGTATTTGTTGCTGGTTTCCTGTGGGGAAATGGAAGGGGTGGCCTCACCACTAGGAGTCTTCACGCTTTCCAGATTCACTGCTCAGATGGCCACTCACTTGTTCACATCTGTTCACCCATCTGTCAGCATATATTTCCTTTGCTGAGTGGCTAGCGCTGGGCCACAGAGGTAATGCTGCTAGTCTCTTCCTTGGTAACTGACTTTGCTTCTTTTATGTTACCTCCTTGAAAAGCTAGCTTCCTTTTTTTTTCTTTTGTTGACTAAAAAACATATTTTTTGCTTTGAATCAGGTATGTATTTACCTGCAAATAACACAAAACCCAAGAAACAGTGGGTTAAATAAGAGATTTATTTTAATTACCTTACAAGAGGTCCAGGGTTAGGCACTCCAGGACCGGTGAAGCTGCTCAAAAATGTCATCATTGTCTCAGCCTTCTTCTTCTCCCAGCATCTAACATTAGCCCTCATGGTCACAAGGTTGCTGCTGCATCACCAGGCATTGCACCCATGTTTCACACAGAAAGATGTGGGAGAGTAAAGAGACTTGCCTTTTTATTTTATTTATTTATTTTATTTTATTTTATTTTATTTTTGAGAAGGAGTCTCGCACTGTCACTCAAGCCAGAGTTCAGTGGTGTGATCTCGGCTCACTGCAACCTCTGCGTCCCAGGTTCAAGCGATTCTCCTGCCTCAGCCTCCCGAGTAGCTGGGACCACAGGCGCCCACCACAACGCCCAGCTAATTTTTTGTATTTTTAGTAGAGACAGGGTTTCGCCATGTTAGCCAGGCTGGTCTCGAACTACTGGCCTCCCAAAGTGTTGGGATTACAGGCATGAGCCACTGCGCCCGGCCTGAGACTTGCCTTTTTATTCTGGAAGGATCACCCACCCCGAGGACTTCCATCTACACCTCATTGGCCAGAACTTGATCACGTGATCATCAGTAACCCCAAGAGCACTGGGGAAGCAAATTCGTTTAGCTGGGCACATTATCAGCCTGAACAAAATCAAGGTTCTGGTGGCAGGAAGACAAGGAAACGGATTTGGGTTAGGTCACCACTGGGACCACTGTGGAGAATTAGGCCAAATCTCCATGGTTCCTCAAAGCTGAAGGTTCTGCAATGACAGCAGTGGATTCTTTCTGGGTCCTTGTCAGCAGGCGAAGCTGACACAGAAACGTTCTTGGTTTCTTTGCCAGAAAGGTGTTATCTGAGCTTCCAGCAGCTGCTGTAAAATGGAAATAATGGCTCTTCTGCCCCAAGGGCCCTGCTGTCCAGAGCTCTCTGGAAGGTGGCAAGAGGCCTCCATGGCAAGCTTGAAGGGATGAGATGCTAATGTGCAAACTATGCTTCAGGGTAGAGATGAGACAAACAAACAAAAATGCACAGAGAGAACAGAGCTTAGGCCCTGGACCTGTCTGGCTTCACATCCATGCCACTCGCCCCTCCCCTCCTCCACTCCGTGTTGCATGGAGCTGCCCCTGATGACTCCATTTTGGTTGGAGATGGGGCTTGGCCAACGGGGAGCACTAGCAGGAGATGGGGAGGTGGGAGGATGGGACAAGCCAAGGTTTTCCCTCTCTGTCTACCTCGGGTAGTGTCCCTGCTGCAGCTGCGGTTCTGCCATGGCTCCGGCGCCTCTCCCAAAAGGCCTGCTGTGGTTTCTGTTTTGCCCCTGTGCTACAGCCCCTGCTCTCCAGCGACAGCACTTTCCTGGCCTTGCCCCCCAGCCCAGGGTTGTCACATCTGACACTAATCTCAGGGTTGTGTGTTTGGCTGCTCAGTCTCCCACCCACTGTGTAACCAATAACCAATACTCTGCCTCAAAGTCCTTCTGTTTTCAAGACTCCAGTGGTCTTTGTCTCCTGGTTAGATCCTGACTCATACAAACCATACAAGAAATACCCAAACACCCATCTCTTAGCTTTAACAATGATTACCATTCTGCCACATTTGTTTCATCTATTTTTATTTTTGTGGAAAAAAAAATCTCAGGCATCATAATGTTGCTAAATGATTTCAGCATGTATCTCTGAAAAATAAGGACATTTTCTTACATAACAGGCATATTTAGTTGTTCACACCCGTGTTCACAAATTAACACACCTAACAACATGAGCAAAACTTCCTTATGGCCATCAAATATGCAATCCATATTCAAATTCCCCCGATTGTTCCAAAGATGTCTATTTTACAGTTGCTTTGTTCAAATCAAGATTTAAACAAGGTTCACACATTGCATTTGGTAGATATGTCTCCTGAGCGTCTTTTAATCTTAAGCAGTCCTCCCCACTAGACAATCACACGCAGACACACACACACACACACACACACACACACATACACACACACACAGTCGCACTGGCACACCCTGCTCATGCCCACTTCTCACATCACTCTTTGTAAAAACTATCCTGTCAGTTTTGGTCCACAGCCCTTCTCTCACAGGGCACACACCCTCTCCTCCCTTCTCTGGACCCCTAGAGACTCCAAGTCACTGAGCCACAGCTTGGTATTGACTCTTATTGTTTTCTACATTTCTTTGTTTTGTTTTCCTCATACTAGGTAATGCCCCACAGAGGCAAGAACTAAGTCTCATAATGACCTTAACATCAAAGAAAACTTAAAGGTTACCTATTCTGAGACTTGATTTTTCTTTTTTATTGTTTTACAATTTGCATAAATAATATGTCATCACTCATCTTATGGATAAAAAAACTGAGGCCCAGGGAAGCTAAGTAATTTGTCTAAGAATGCACAGCAAGTTGGCATCAGAACAGGCATCCACTTTGGGTGGATTTTCCACTGTACCATGCGCGTCTCTTTCCATTTTTCTGTGGCACCCACCACTGTGTTATGACATGCAGACAAGGGTCCTCACTAAGTGCCTGTGGCCTGACAGATTGTGGCTCTGAGGTCAGTGCAGTCGTGGCCATTTAGAGATGGTTACTGAAAGTTAATAATTGGTGGTTCCTGCCTAAAAATCCCACCACATACTACAATCCCTTTGAATTTTCAAGAAATATTTGGTCCATTAGGGATATCAGAAGCCTTTGGTGAGCCAGACATGGTGGCTCATGCCTGTAATCCCAACACTTTGGGAGGCCAAGAGGGAAGGATCACTTGAGCCCAGGAGTCCAAGACCAGCCTGGGCAACATAGTGAGATCCTATATCTACAAAAAATAAAATGAAATAAAAATATTAGGCTGGGCACAGTGGCTTACACCTGTAATCCTAGCTCTTTGGGAGGCCAAGATGGGCGGATCACGAGGTCAGGAGATTGAGACCATCCTGGCTGGCTAACATGGTGAAACCCCGTCTCTACTAAAATACAAAAAAATTAGCCGGGTGTAGTGGTGGGCGCCTGTAGTCCCAGCTACTTGGGAGGCTGAGGCAGGAGAATGGCATGAACCCAGGAGGTGGAGCTTGCAGTGAACCGAGATCGCGCCACTGCGCTCCAGTCTGGGCGACTGAGCAAGACTCCATCTCAAATAAATAAACAAATAAATAAATAAAAAGGAGTTTTTGGTCATGGTTGATAGAGTCATCCAGCTAATCTTAGGGAAAGAAGACCCAAAAGAAAGATGTCAAAATGTACGCACTTGTAAACCCATAGAGATGGAGAGCAGATTGGTGGCCGCCGGGGACTGGGGAAAGGGGAAATGGGGAGTAACTGGTTAATGGGTGCAGAGTTTTCTTTGGGGGTGATTAAAATGTTTTGGAACTAGATAGAAGTGGTGGTTGCACAACATTGTGGAGATACTAAATGCCACTGAATTTTGAGTTTAAGGTGATTAATTTTATTTGATGTGGATTTCACCCCAATAAAAATAAACTGGTTAGAATGTCCCAACTCAGCTCTGCTAGACCCAACCACACCCCAGCCTTGCCATCCCCTCAGACTGTGTAAGCAGAAGATGAGATTCCAGGGGGAAATTCCCCGGAGTTTATAGGAGCAGTGTATTGGGCAGTATTTTGGCTTTCCCCTCCTCAGTCAAGGGAGGCACTGCAAGAGAATTCCAGATCATGGATGCCCGTAAGAAGCACATTTGAGCATCCACGGGGCAGGATGGAGGAGTCTGCAGTGGAGCAGCTCACATGCCCAAGCCCTACCCGCGAGTTTCGTGGGGCAGCAGGTTTCCTGGCCTGTCTACCGGCATTGCCCCCAGGAGCCCACCCCAGACAGAGGGACTCCAGCTGTCAGAGGGAGAGGCTTGAGGGAGGGACCCAAAGTCATCCCCCTTGGGAGATGGCACTTGGACACCTGCCATCTTTTTTTTTTTTTTCTTTTTGAGACAGAGTCTTGCTGTGTCACCCAGGCTGGAGTGCAGTGGCACGATCTCGGCTCACTGCAAGCTCCACCTCCCGGGTTCACGCCTTTCTCCTGCCTCAGCCTCCTGAGTAGCTGGGACTACAGGCGCCCCCACCACCCCCAGCTATTTTTTTTTGTATTTTTAGTAGAGACGGTGTTTCACTGTATTAGCCAGGATGGTCTCGATCTCCTGACCTCATGATCTGCCCACTTCCGCCTCCCAAAGTGCTGGGGTTACAGGCGTGAGCCACCACGCCCGGCCCAACACCTGCCATCTTGAGAACAGCAGTAGAGAACCCACAAAACCTGCAAAGAAGAGGCTACGATCAAATGCCCAGTGAAGCGAAAAGATTATCTTCCCCATTGCACTCCCTCCTCTTCCCCAAGTCCCCAAGCACAGGAAGAGAGAGGCACCAAAAGAGGGAGGAGAGGGATGAAGACCGACCACCCCACCCTCACGATAGGTGCCTGGCTCGAGGCAGGCTGGTCTGAGGGAAGCGCAGGCAGTGGATATGATATCGGATTCAAGATTTGAGGCTTTGAAAAGAAAGTGGACTGGACCATAGGGGTTTTTTAATACCTAAAAACAACCAAAAAGCTATGGAATTATGAAAAGGAGATTTGGTATAAATCTCTAAAAAGATCTGGAGAAAAAATAGAATCATTTCATGTTTGTGCCCCACGGAGTTCAAACAGTTAAGTAAGTTGTTTAATCTCTATTTTCTCATCTGTAAAATAAGGATAATAATGCCTTCTTGCTGGGTATTGGGAATTTCAGTGCGGTAATATTCACAAAGCCCCTGGCACGTAGGCAGTCAATAAAACGAGGAAGAGAACTGCAGCCTTCAGAAAGCAGAAAACGCTTCAGGGCAGAAACACGCAAGTCCTGGGGGCTGACACTCCCAAACAAAGGCTCAGTTTTTCACATCGCCTGGGGCTTGAAATACTGATAGGCTTCTCCCTTCTGAGGCTGTCTTCCTTCCCTAACTAAAAGCCACCTTTGTCATTGCCCAAGAAGACCAAGTATGACCCAAGCCGCACTGAACACAGCAAGACCTGGGACACCCAAGGAAGCTCGACAAGGCGCTGGGGAAAAGCAAACTGAGGACTCTTCGTAGTTACCTGATGACTCCATGGAACAAAGGAGTCCAGGCCTTTCCAGAAGTCACCAGAACAGGCTCCCTGAGATGACAGTCCTGGGGTGGGAAAGGAGCAAGTTACGCCAGATGACCTGGAACACAAATACCCTGTTAGCCTGGCACCCACTGGCAGCTGTCACTGGACACCTGATGGGAGAGTTTATCCCAAAAGTTATGGGCTGGCAGCTCCGGCAGCAGAATTTCCACGTGCATGGTCCTGAGGACAGAGACAGGTCCAGAGCCTGGGGGTTGAGAACAAGAAAAAGGTGGAGCAGCCACGCTCCAGGGCAGCAAAGAGACCTGGATTTGTCTGAGGCGTTGGCGTTAAGGCACCCCTTGATGCGGCTTCCTAGATATGTGGTATGGCCTGGGGCTGGTCTTTGGGCCCGTTTCTTTATCTATAAAAATGGAGATAGCACCTCACTTTGATAGGTGGATTGTTGCTGTCAATTCTGTACTCTCTCCTGCCGCGTGGCTCTGCGGTGCCCAACAGCAGCAGAGTATATTTCACCCCCATGGACACTGAGGCTTGGTGATTGTGATGGGTTGCCTTGTGTCCCCTCTAATTCCTATGTTGAAGCCTGAACCCCCAGTATCTCAAAATGGGGCCGTATTTGGAGGTAAGGCCTTTAAGGATGATTAAGTTAAAATGAGGTCATTTGAGTGGACGCTAATCCAGTGTGACTGGTGTCCTTATAAGAGGAAATTTGGATACACAGAGACACCAGGGATGCATGGGCTCAGAGAAAAGGCCACATGAAGGCACGGCAAGAAGGGGGCATCCACAAGCCAAGAAGAGGGGCCTCAGGAGAAACCAGCCCTGCCAACACCTTGACCTTCGACTTCCAACCTCCACAGCTGTGAGAAAGAAATGTCTATCGCTTAAGCCACCCAGTCCATGGTACTTCGTTAGGGCAGCCTGACACTGAAAGTTGGTCTGCTTTTTATTACCAGCATGCATGCACCAGCAATTCTAAACAATGCCAGTGACAAAATGTTCCTTCCTGCAGCCTGGACTGCTCCCACCACTCCCATCCTTAGAACCTCACTGACTGGCATGACTCTTGTTAAGACTGTAATAAAAAGATTATTATTGGTATCAGCAAGAAAGCAAGAGTTAGCTTGTTGAGCAGGGGGTAAATCTCATAAGGATATGTACATTAAGTCAGCATTTACATAGTCTAAGAACACACAAAACAATGCTATATATTATTTAGGTACATACACACATAAAGCATGAAGATTTGCCTAGAAATATTCGACACCAAACTTATGATAATGGTTTTCTTTTTTTTTTTTTGAGATGGAGTTTTGCTCTTGTTGCCCAGGCTGGAGTGCAATGGCGCAATCTTGGCTCACTGCAACCTCTGCCTCCCGGGTTCAAGTGATTCTCCTGCCTCAGCCTCCTGAGTAGCTGGGATTACAGGCATGTGCCACCAAGCCTGACTAATTTTGTATTTTTAGTAGAGACAGGTTTCTCCGTGTTGGTCAGGCTGGTCTCCAACTCCCGACCTCAGGTGATCTGCCCGCCTCAGCCTCCCAAAGTGCTGGGATCATAGGTGTGAGCCTCTGTGCCTGGCCTGATAATGGTTTTCATTGGTGGGGAGAGCTGGAGGGGTAAAAAGAGGTCCATAGATAATAAAGGTGACTTGTCATATATTAGGCCATTGTGTTGTTCATTGTATGCATTGTATCGTATTATATTCGTTATATTATTCCCCATGAGTTTTTATATGATTTAAATATTTCATTTAAAAACTGTGCACCATCTGGCCTGGCATGATGGCTCAAGCTTATAATCTCAGCACTTTGGGAGCCCGAGGCAGGAGGATCACTCAAGGCCAGTAGTTCCAGACTAGCCTGGGCAGCATTGAGAGACCCCATCTCTTGAAACAAAATTAGCCAAGTGGGATGGCTGGCACTTGTAGTCCCAGCTACTTGAAAGGCAGAGGTGAGAGGATCACTTGAGCCCAGGAGCTTGGATCTGCAGTGAGCCATGATTGTGCCCGTGCACTCCAGCCTGGGTGACAGAGTGAGGCCATGTCTCCAAAAAGCAAAACAAAACATAACTGTGCATCAGTCAAGGAGCCTGCTCTACCCTCCACACCAGGGCAGACCCACCACCAGGCTCCATCTCCATTTTCTATGGACTGTCTTCCCTCCTGGCCTGGAGCCATGACCCGGCCTGCCGCTTCAGGGAACAACAGGTAGTTCAGGATGACTGAGCCCAGAAGTGGCACGAGACCAGGGATGTGGCTGAACAGATGAGTGGTGGCCAAGGCACAGAGGGCCTTGTGTGCCATGTTGGAGAACTTGGGCTGTGTATGAAGAGAGGAGTCACTGGGACAGATCAGTGGCTTGGTGACAGGGAGACAGGGTGGCATTGGAGGCATACAAGAGACAGTGAGGTGGGCTCTGCAACAAAGGGAGGGATGTGCAAAAGGAGTTGGTCAAGAGAAATGGGGACAGATCTAGCCCCATGGCCGATCTGCTGTAGGATGGCAGCCAGTTCCAGCTGGAGGTGGAGTTTTCCTGGGTAAAAATGGAAGCAGCCGGCAATTGCTATTTATAAAAATAACTACAAAGACTTGACAACCCAGAGAGAATGCTGAAAAAGTAAATTGAGGGCTGTTGGGAAAATGCTCAGTGTTTCTCATCTTCAAAGCATTTCCGAGACATGAGCTCATGAATCCTTTCTCCGTGGCCCTGAGAAAAATATAGAAAAAGAAGGTGGGACAAAGCATGGGTGCCTTCCCCAAAGCAGCAGAATCTGGCTGCTGGAGATGTTATCATGGGATGCCCCTCAAATGACCACTCCTTCGATCTGCCCCAACTCTGTTCCTCAGACCCAGCCTGGTTAAGGGCTTGGCTATGAAGCAGCAAAGGGTGAGGCAGGCAGAGTTGGCAGGCTATGACAGCAGCTGTGCTGGGGGTCACTGCAAGCCCCAGGGGGCTGCTTAGATCCTAGTGATGAAGGCAAGAAAATGGCCAGGGGGCAGCCTGGGCTACTGATCAGGGGTCACACTGACCCCACAGCCCTGGCTGAGGCACATGGGACTTAATCGTGAAATTGGTACAGGCAACAGCTGCAATGCAAGCTTGGGCAAGGAAGAGGGTTTGAACCCAGACAAGGCAATAGGGAGGGAATGAAGGGCAGAGAGCAGACAGGAAGTGTATGCCACCTTGTCACCTGGAATAAGAACTACCTGCTACAAGTGCTAGGAACCAGGCACTTGAGCTCCCATTGTCATGACCCCCAAAAGCCCAAAGCATGGAGGCTCTTATCACTCTTTCACAGAGAAAGAAACTGGGAAGGCCAGGTGTGGTGGCTCACACCTGTAATCCCAACACTTTGGGAGGCCAAGGCAGGAGGATCACTTGAGGCCAGGTGTTCAAGACCAGTCTGGGCAACAAAGTGAGACCCTACATCTACAAAAAATAAAAAATAAAAATTAGACAGGCATGGTGGCTTGCACATGTAGTCTTAGCTCCTCTGGAGGGTGAGGTGGGAGAATTGCTTGCCCAAGAGGTCAAGGCTGCAATAAGCTATGTTCTCACCACTGCACTCCAGCCTGGACAGCAGAGCAAGACCCTGCCTCAAAGACAGAGAGAAAAAGAGAGAGAGAGACAGAGACAGACGGAAGATTTCTTTTAGGGAGAGTATCTCGCACAGCAGCAGTAACGGGATTTGCATTCATCTCCTCACCCCCAGCATGCCCCCACTCATTCTTCAAGTTTCGACTCAAGATCCCCGCCTCTGGAAGCCTTCCCAGGCTGCCCTCAGAGGGAAAGAGCAGTTTGCTTTTCTGTGCCCAGCAGTCCAGAGCTGGCCCTGTGAGAGCACCATGGTGCTGAGCTGTAAGGGCTCATTGCTTCTCTCCCACTGGACGGTGCCCTGAGAAGGACCAGCGGAACTTCGGCTTCCCTTGCTGTTGCCCCAGTCCTGGCAGCAATCAGCTTCCTCTGCTTTCTTGTCGTTTCAGCTCCCCAGGACCTGGTGCACCCCATGTCTCCTGCAGGGTGACCGCTGGCTGGCAAAGCCTGTCCCTGTGTTGTTAAGTCGGATTCCCCAGAGGGAGAAGCAGACGGGCCAGCAGCTTGGGTCAGGTAGGCAACCCCGCGTCAGAGGGGAGGGTGGCCCAACCCACAAGTGCAGTGACCCATGGGCCCAGAACAAAGACACACTTTACCCACACCCAGGCATGTGACAGAGTGGACTGGGCATCTAAGTCCACTGGGGAAACAGCAGGAAACAGAACAGATGGTTCGGCTTGCATTCCGGTGGGGAGTTGGACAACACACGAGCAGATCCATAAAGTGATATCCGAGAGTGATCTGTGCCGCCAAGAAAGGAAGACAGGTCCTGCGACAGGGCTGACTGTGGAGCCTCCTTAGCCAGGCTGGACAGGGATGCCTCTCCCAGGAGCCCGCACTGGAGACTAGTGTGTCCCACCAGACTTCCACGTGGCCTGCGAGTGCTCAGCAATAGTGACAACAGGGTCTCTACTCCATGAAAAACCATCCCCAGACCCGAAAGCACTGCTTTCATTTCATGGTTCTGCACATTTTCTCCAGCCTCTGCAGTGAAAGATTATTTCATTGCCTTCAACAGAAGGCGTATTTGTGTGTGTACATATGCTTGAGAGAAATTTACTGAAAAGATGTGGGTACGAGACCAGCTGGCTGCACTTGCCACGCCAGGATCCTCTCTCAGCAATATGCCCAAGAGCTCGTGTTTGCAATGCTCGAGTCCCAGCCAGGGGAGAAATGGGTGTAAGGGACCCACAGGGGAACAATTTGTGTTGACTTGGAGCTCCACATGCTCCTTCAAAGGAAGGGAGAACCTTGGAAGGAGGAAAGGACTGAAGACTTTCCAGGGAAATTCAAGAGTCTCAGGCAATTAGTCAGATCCAGAATATAGATCCAATATTCAGAAGCAGAAGAGGGAAATGCAATTATTTGGGGGTCTCTCTCTTCTAGTCTCCTTCTGAAAAGCCCTTTTCTAAGACCTCAATTCCTATGTCTACTCAATGGGTATGATTCCTATCACTTTCTCGTAAGTACATTTTCCTTCAAAGTTTAAAAATTTTGTAGATCTTCAAGTGCGTAAGGCATAGTAGTGCTAAACAGAGGTGGAAGTAGTGAAGGGAGTTTTGAACGTAAAAACATAAATCGAGAGATGATGAACATGTTTACTTCTTCCTTCACCTCTCTCCCCCCACCCCTTTTTCTCTTCTTTTTTCCGTCAGTTTCTCTTTATGGTTAATACAAAAGGGACAGGCTTTTGCCAAGATCCGATTCTTCATGGGACACCATGGGCCTCAGGGGTGGGGCAGAGGCAAAAGACATCTCCCCTTGCTGGCCATTCTAGCATTCAGGACCAGCTACATAATTTGGGGAGCCCAGTACAAAATGAAAATGCAGGGCCCCTTGTGTAAACTAATTAAGTGGGAGGATCGCTTGAACTCGGGAGGCAGAGGTTACAGTGAGCCAAGATTGCACCACTGCCCTCCAGCCTGGGCAACAGAGTATGACTCCATCTGGAAAAAAAAAAAAGAAAAAGAAAAAAAAGAAAAGGAAAGGAAAGAAAGTCTGAGACAGTGGCAGGGCTCTTGTGAGTGTGGGGCCCCATATGCCTGCACTGGGTGCACCCCCAGGAAGCTGGCCCTGCCCATAGTTATGAGTGTAGATGTGGGTTACCCAGGAGCTTTTCTGTGGGCCCCTGGGTGGTGGATACACCTTTTGTCTGATTACTAGGCCACAGCTTCTTGGAACCTCTCTCAGTTCCCCCATGGCTGACTTTGCCATTGACTTGAGTCTTTTTTTTTTTTTTTTTTTTTGAGACAGAGTCTTGCTCTGTCACCCAGGCTGGAGTGCAGTGGCGCAATCTTGGCTCACTGCAACCTCCACCTCCCGGGTTCAAGCAATTCTCCTGCCTCAGCCTCCCGAGTAGCTGAGATTACAGGCGTGCGCCACCATACCCAGCTAATTTTGTTGTTGTTGTTGTATTTTTAGTAGAGATGGAGTTTTGCCATGTTGCCCAGCCTGGTCTCGAACTCCTGACCTAAGGTGATCCACCTGTCTCGGCCTCCCAAAGTGCTGGGATTATAGGCATGAGCCACCGCACCTGGCCAACTTGAGTCTTTAAAAGGAGGATGTGCCTGATACGTATTAGCTGATACCTCTTCCCGGCTCCTGCTTCCCGGTCCCTTCTCCGAGCTGGTTCGTTCTGCTCTCCCTAGGGGGTCTTCAGCACCAAGGGAGTGGGGGCACAAATAGGGGTCTGAGTAAGCTGAAATTGCAGGCAGGAATCAGAAGCAGAATTTTTATCTTAAATCAGAGCAAAAGGAATAAAGCGGACAGTTCCTAAAATGCCTGTGTTTCTAGAGTTTAGAATCTCAGTTTATGTTCCTTCTGGCAAACCATATACAAAGGATTCTTGCAGAACCACTGTTCCTTACCAAGCTGTGTCAGGCTGAAATCACCATTACGCTCATGTATATTTTAAGTCATTTCCCCCACTAAGGAGCACCACACACCCCACCTCCGTGAACATCCCATCCTCACTGCCCAGGGCTGACCTCTTTAAATGGGGACTGGGGGTTTGTTTTCAATCTAATGTCTCCAGCTGAGGTGGGCGAGTGCTTGGTTTCAGGCAATGGAGCAGGTGAAGGGAGGCCTTTGGCATTCACTCTTTCTCAATAGAGGTAAGATTTTCTTACTATTTTCCCAACGCCTCTGGATAATTATTTGCTACTTTCAAAGGAATGAGGCTCATATTTCAGAGGAAATCGCCATCTCACTCTTACTTCATGTGGCTGTCCTTACCACGTGACTAGGTCCGCATCCAGTGTGTTTTGAGCCCCCAGGTGCTGCCTGAGCCCCTGTTTTATGAAAAACAAATTGTTGAAAGGAGAGAAAGTGAAGAACAGTTGAAGAGAGGAAGAGCGGCAGAAACAGCTGCCACTGAGTAGGGATTGGTGAGTAGCTACTTCATAAACCCTGTAACAGGCTTTCGAGTCAGCACTGTTCCTGCTCTACCCAAACCCAGTCTCCCCACCTTCATTGCTGGGAAAGCCCCGATGTTTCCTATGAAAGCAGTTTTTTAAAATTGAAGTATAGTATTGTGTTTCTCGAACTTTAACGTGTGAGTGTATTGCCTGGCAATGTTGTTAAAGTGCAGCTTCTGATTCAGTAGGTGCTGGGACCTCGGTTCTGCATTTCTAACAAGCTCCTGGGTGATGTTAATGCTGCTGGGCCGTGGACCACACTTTGAGCCTCAAATATACCTACAGAAAAGTTCACGAATCATGCCCACAGCTTAATGGTCAACACACCCAAGTACCCATGACTCAGATTAAGAAACAGAGAACATTCCTTGTATCCCAGAAGCTGCCCTCCTGCCCCTTTCCAATCACTACCCTCATCCACCTCCCCTAAGGTGACAACACTCCTGAGCTCTATGCCATAGACTAGTATGGCTTGTTTTTGCACTTAATCTTAGCCAAAAGGCTGAGAAGTGAGATGTGTGGCTTCTTTCTAAACTTTACATAGTATGTGTTCTTTGGGGTAAAGTCTTGAACTTGATCAGCTGTCCAACCTCCCCAAGGCCAGGGGCTCAAGGAAAGCCACATCCTCCCCAGGCTCAGAGTGTGATTGCTGTAAGCCAAGCGTGGGTGCTGCCCCGGCCTCGTCAGTGACTGGTTTAGACATGGCATGAGGTGCAATTCTGGCTAGTGAGGAAAGTCTGCTGGGAGCTTTTGGGAAAGTTTTCCTTGTTGATGAAAAGATGCACAGAACAAAACACTCTTTGGTTTTTGTTTGAGGTTGTTGTTCCCAGAATAGTGGCAGTCAGCTTACAATCATGAAGGGAAACAGCTGAGGTCTCCAGTCAACATCTGAGGATGGGAAGGTGAAATGGAGTGGGAATGGGCCCAGGTCAGGGAGGCACTCACCTAGGGCACAAAGTTTGAGGGGTGCCCAAAATCTCAATCTCAGTAGTCAAGATTTTCTATATATATATTAGAGACAGTATCTCACTCTGTCACCCAGGCTGGTGTACAGTGGTGCAATCATAGCTCACTGCAGATTCGAACTCCAGGGCTCCAGAAATCTTCCCACCTTGGCCTCCCAAATAGCTGGGACTATAGGTGTGCACTACCACACCTGGCTAATTTTTTATCTTTTTTGTAAAGATGGGGGTTTCCCTATGATGCCCAGGCCAGTCTCAAACTCCTGACCTCAAGCAATCCTCCCACCACAGCCTCCCAAAGTGCTAGGATTATAGGTATGAACCACCGTGCCCAGCCTAGAATTAACAGTTTTAAAAATAAAATAATGCAAATATCCAAAATTTTTAAAAATATCAAAATTTTAAATAAACACAGGGTTACTAACAGTGCCATGCTGAGTGATACTGAAGCCCAGTGCAAAAAAAGAAAATCAGTAATGCTGATTGTCTTTACTTAAAATTTTGATATTTTATTCCCAACTTTTTTTTTTTTTGAGACGGAGTTTCCCTCTTGTTACCCAGGCTGGAGTACAATGGCGCAATCTCGGCTCACCGCAACCTCTGCCTCCCAGGTTCAAGTGATTCTCCTGCCTCAGCCTCCCTAGTAGCTGGGATTACAGACATGTGCCACCACGCCCAGCTAATTTTGTATTTTTGAGACAGGGTTTCTCCATGTTGGTCAGGCTGGTCTTGAACTCCTGACCTCAGATGATCCGCCCACCTCGGCCTCCCAAAGTGCTGGGATTACAGGCATGAGCCACCATGCCCAGCCTATTCCCAGTCAACTTTTTGCATTAATTTTCATTTTTAAAATATTGTCATAAATATTATTTATCTTGCTGACTGAATTTTTTTGGACGCCTGAAATTTCGTGCCAGCCTTGTCCCAACCCTGAGTGAAAAAGTGAAAACTCTGGAACTATTTTACCTCCAGATTTTCATTTTGTGAAATAATAGTTCTTATTGTTTAAGTTATTTTTTGTTGGGTTTTCTGTTTCTTGCAGTTCAAAGTATAATAGTCAATGTAAGATCAATTATCTACAAGTGCAGAAACCCAATTCAAACTGGCTTAAATAATGAGGAAAGTACTAGCTCATATTTCAGAGAATGCAGAGTAGTATGGGCTCTGGCTTTGTCTCCCTTCTGTTCTATCAGTATTTTCTCCATAACCTTCAGGTTTGTCTGAAGGTCAGGGTTGTATAATAAAGAATTTGTCTGGTCCTGTCTCAGGTTCCTGGCCCAGAGCTTCTTAAAATCTTTAGAATTTCCCAGGGGATAGGAGTGTTTTTGTTATTCATGAGCTCCATGGATTACACCTGAGTTTATGCTGAGATGGCTCAGGATTAAGACTGGTCACCAGAAAGACCAACCACGTAATTAGAGGGTTGGGGTTTTGAACCAGCCCTGCCTCCAAGGAGGGAAGGACAGCTGGAGATTGAGTTCCACCACATGGCCAATGTTCAGTCATGCCAATGGAATGGCACTCTGATAAAAACTCTGGATGTTGAAGCTCAGTGGATCTCCTGGTTAATGAACACACTGATGCACTGGGAGAGTGATATGGCCCAATTCCATGGGGAGAGAGCCCAGAAGCTCTGCATTCTAGAAGCTCTTAGGTCTTGTCCTATGCTCTTGATTGATATTCTTTATTATAAAACTATAATCATAATGTAGGCTTTCCTGAGTTCTGTGAGTCATTCTAGTAAATTATTGAACCTGAGAGGGATTGTGGGAACACCCAGATTTGTAGCCAGCTGGTCAGAAATGCTGGTGGTCTGAGACCCCACCTTGTGGTTGGCATTTGAAGTGAAACAGTCTTGTAGGGGACCGTGCCCTTTAACGTGTGGAGTCTCCACTAACGCCGGGTATTTGTATTTGCATCTGGGGAATCATATTACAGTACACCAGTTGGTGTCAGAACAGTTGGTATCAGAAGAGTCAGCCTCGTCCAGAGTCACAGAAGGGCTGCCAGCAGCAACATACCTACTAGTCTATTTCCAGCAAGAGAGATAGAAGAGCCTTTCCCCAAAATATGGAATTGATGACCATTCCTTCAGTCTTATTGTGCCCGCTTATGTCATCCTAGACCTAAGACAATCACCAGGAGAATGTCACATAATGATTGGTTTAAGCCCAGATTCTTAAACCAAGCACAGGGGATTATTGTGATTGGCTAATCAATCTTCCCATCCTGCCCACAAGAACCTAGAAATGGGGTCATTGACCCTTGGCCCATGTTAGCTATTTTGAGGAGTGGTAAATAATTAAACAAAGCTGACGTTCTGTTAGAAAGGGAACTGGGGGCCAGCTGTGGTGGCTCAAGCCTGTAATCCCAACACTTTGGGAGGCCACGTTGGGAGGATTGTTTCAGGCCAGGAATTGAGACCAGCCTGGGCGACATAGCAAGACCCCATTTCTACAAAAAGTTAGAAAAAATAAGCCAGTATAGTGGCACACACCAGTAGTCCCAGTTACCTAGGAGGGGATACGTGGACATATCACTTGAAAACAGGAGGTAAAGGCTGTAGTGAGCTATGATCGTACCACAGCACTCCAGCCTGGGCAACAGAGCAAGATCCTGTTTCTAAAAAAAAAAAAGGAAAAGGAAAAGAAGAAAAGAAAGGGAAGGGAAAATAAATAATGGAAGTTAGAAAGACCACCAACAGTCTAGCACCATATATAAGAGAGAATGGCCTTGATTTGAATCCTAAGTTCAATACTTACCAGCTGCGGGAAGAGACTCTGTTTTCTCATCTGTAAAAAAGAGGTAACAGTGTCTACTTGATGTAAGTGCTTATGAGGGTTAAATGAAAATGCATGGTGTCTGATATACAGCAGGTAAATAATTAAATGCATAGTGTCTAACATACAGTAACTGCATAACTAAATGCATAGTATTTGACACATCATAGGCACACAAATATAGTTCTTTCACCCAGTCTCCTTTAGACACTGAGTTCCTGGGGGGTGAGTGCAGTGCTTGCCGGGCATGGTGCTTGGCACATGGTGGGCCTTTAACAGATACTTATTAAAGGAATAAGGCAAGAGAACATCCCTCTGAATAACTGGAACCTTTTCCTTCTCCCTAATACTAAGGATTATGCAACTGTGTGGCCCATTCTTCCTTTGACACTAGGAACATTTTAGCTAACTGAATTTGAATTTCAGCTATAACAATTAGTTGGCCTTCCTAGACTACACATCTATGCTCCTCTGTATCTAATCGTGACTCTCTACTCCTAGTTTTCTCAGGCCTAATTCTCTACTTCTTTGTTTTTGTTTTCCCAGCATCATTTTGTTGTAAGTATCCCTGCTATAAGCCATCTTTGTGGAAAGAGATGGCGCAAAAACAGACGAGTAGACAAACCAAATGCTTTATAAAAAAGCCATCGAAGACACGTCAAGGAAGCCACTTTCCACCATTTATTAAATAAATTCTTTCCCAGGCCGGTCTGAGTCGCACCCAGACTTTACATCAGGCTTTGTTCCAGGTGGGTGGGGGTGCCAAAGGGAATACTGCGGCCTGAAAGACATCCAAGGAAAAAGGCTTCTTTTAGAGGCAAGTCCACATTACACAGTTGGCAATGCTAAGCTGAACGTCCTCCCAGCTTCCAGGGGGAAATGAAAGACATTCCCCCCATAGCTTTGCTTTCAAGCTCTTACAGCTGGCAGGGCAGGAGAGCCAAGTTCCGCCTTTTCAATGCAGGTTGTCACTTGGGTGCCAGGATCTGCTGATCAATTAGCCAAACATCCAACGTGAGAAAAAGGCCCAGCACACATCTTTTTGCTTAACTGTCATTAAATGCTCCATTTAACCCCAAAGAACCTGACTTTCTCTTTTTTTCATCTGCTATAGCCCAAGAACACCATTACTAAAGAATTTTTCTTGAAAAATTACAAAGGGAAGCAAAAGAAAGAAACATGATTTCTGAGCAGACCTCTCCTTCGCAGTTCTGCACCTGAGGCTCTTTGTTCTTCATGGGATCTGAGGTCTGGGAGGGAACTTGGGGATTCTCGAGAGTCACCTCATTGTACAGATTGAGAAGCAGATGCCCTGAGAGGTACAGTGACTCACCCAAAGTCACACAGCTGGTTAAGGGCAAGGGGAGGGCTAGACCCACATCTCCTGACTTTTAATTCACTCACTAAACCACATGCTTCTCCAGTACCGTACACTTAGCCACAAACTCTTTGAAGAGATTGAATAATTCAAACAGATGACGCCCTTGTAGAAGGACAAAGTGCGGGGCAGCCTCACTTCTATGTAAACCAACAACCCAAATAGCATAATGAAAGAGCCCAGTTTATTTTTCTTGTCACTCAAATTAAAATCATTTACAGGCAGACATTCCCTAACTCACAAATAAGCTGTGTCCTAACAGTGTGTTTGGAATTTGCTATTTAGAACCCAGGATGTGTTTTCTTCCTGGGAAATCACATGATCGAGTGTGGTCAGAACCCCAGGCCAGGTCACAAAGGGCGACTTAACCAATAAGTAACCACCGTGGAGTCGAAGGAACCCTTCATCATATTGTCTCCATGAAAAAACACATTCCAGGTTTCAAGTAGGAATAGTGGAAACGCAGCTATCCCACCAAGGTCCCAGTGCAAAGATGTCCCTCCCAGGCGCCTGGTGGGGAGCTGGGAGGTTAGGCTAGGTAAGAGCTAGGAAGCCGTGCAGAATTGTGAACTGGACATGCGCTTTGGGTGGAGACAGAACAGGTTTCCACTCCACTACTTAATAGCTGGGCAAGTTCCTTAACCTCTCTGATCCTCTGAAAAATGAGGATGGCAACAATACCTCACTGGTAAATTATAAGGACAAAAGAAGACAATGTCTGTTAAGAACCTATTTCCGTGTCTCGCATGTGTCAACAGGCTATCATTTATTATTGTGGTTGCTTGGGAGGAGAAGGACGGGCTCTGGTGGTTTGGAGAGCTGGGATGCTCCATTTGAGGAGGCAGCATCTGGGGTGAGGAAAGGCTCTTGCCATAGCCTGATGGGCAGGGGGCAGTGAGGGGACCCTGGGTTCTTACCCCCCATCCCTGCGCCTTAGGCAGTAGAAGTGGCAGCAGCTGTGGTTCCACCCCTGTCTGGGAGGAGGCGGCAAGGCCCTGGTGGGGCCCACAGTGGCCACTCCAAGCAGCCTGGTTGTTGAGAGGGTCGCCCTTGGCAGTGCTGGCTCATAAGCAGCTTCAGCCTTCCCCTGCCCTCTGTCATCATTCCTCCCCATCCCCGGGGGACGTCCCTGGCAGCTCCCACAGTGCTTCTCGGCCCTTTCAAGTCTCATTTCAGTGACTTAAAATGTCCAAGACAGTGTAACATCAAACTTTAAATTTTGTTAAGTTCAGTCTCCTCCCACAATCTGAGGCTTGCTCCAGGCTTAGAAGCGGCCTGAGGAGGAGTCGGGGGTCTGTGTTGCTAGTCTCTTCTCTCTCCTGGCTCTACTTCCAGCCCCCATTCTCACTAGCTGGGTTTCAGACCATCTGAGGCTAGGCCCAGAGGGAGAAGGGAGGGAGTTGAGCACAGCAGTGTGATCTGGCATGGGTCCTCTGGGTGTCTGATGCATGGGTGTTAGCTCTGTCCCCAGGCCCATGGCTCCAGAGCCCCTCAAAGCCCCTCACACCTGTCTTGAGGTAGGAAGGAAGTGCCAGAATCTTCCCCCAGAAATATGGTGCTCACCTGACCCAGTTTGCCTGGGACTAAGGGGTTTCCCGGGATGCAAGACTTCCATTGCTAAAGCCGGGAGAGTCCCAGGCAAACCAGCAGGAAACAGTCACCTGACCCAAGGGCGGCGGGCACATCATGACACTCAGCTCTCTCCCAAATAACCCTTTTCTCATGACTCTTCGGCCCAAGTGACCAGTGGGCTAGAGCTGGCAGGCCAGGTTTACACCTTCCTGGCAGGTCCTGCACAGGCAGCCTACCTCATGCTAGTAGGCAGATTCTCGGAATCTTCTAAATGGTTGTCTCTGGGGCCCCTGCCTAAAGTAAGACTCATCCTCGAATATGGACTAGAGGGATTTGCAGTGCCGTGGAGAATCCTGAGCTGAAAGGTTCACTGCATGCTTAGGAACATCTCAGCAGGGACTGAGATGCTGTACAGTATGGTGTAGGCTGTGGCCTGGGTTGAAATCTTAGTTCAGCCCCTCATTACCTTGGACTTTGTTACCTTTAACACCCCTGCGTCTCATTTCCTCACATATGAAATGGATGGATGATGGCCCCTACCTCACAGAGTTATCTGCAGCACTATGAGAATTAACTCATGTCACACATTGCCTGGGACATGGTAACTCCGCAATAGATGTTAACTCCTAGCAACGTTTTTATAGCAAGCCAGGATTGTGTAATAAAGACTTGAATATATTTAATAAGTTTCAAATCTACTGCAGGCATATTTTCTTAAGTTATTTTCTTCGTTTTAAAGCACATTGAAGAGCCAGTGTTGGCAAAGGCACCAGAGACAGGCCATGCACTCATGCTGATGGTGGGAGCGTAAATTTATAGTCTCTCTGGAAGGTCATTTAGCGATAGGTTTCAAAAGCCCTAAAAATGCTTTTGACCCAGCAATTCCACTTCTAGGAATTTATCCTGAGGAAATAATTGGAAAACTGGCTAAAGATTAATGTGCAAGATGGTTCATTGCAGTATACTTAAAACAGAAAAACATTTGAAGCTGTCTGAATGTCTTAGACGATCAGAAAAATTTTTGTTCATGCGTATAGTGAAATACTATGCAACTATTAAAAATTATGTCACGATCTATATTTGTCGACATGGGAGGGTGTTTATGATATATATAGTATACTTATATAGAGAGTGTACATTTTAAAATCATGTATATTCCAGGATTTTTTCTGAGCATGCGATTTAGTATTTAGCTGAGATCAAAATGTATATACAATACTGTATTTTGCTTTTGTTTTGCTTAATGTTATGTAAGAGTCATTTTGTACCATATATCAAACCTTCTATAAACTTCAATAGTAATAATATCCATCAAGTTGATGTTCCCAATTTAAATAACCAATCATTTATTGTTGGAGCAACTTATTCCAAAAATGTTTTAAGAGGTCGGGTGCGGTGGCTCACCCGTAATCCTAGCACTTTGGGAGGCCAACATGAGCAGATCACTTGAGGTCAGGAGTTCGAAACCAGCCTGGCCAACATGGTGAAACTCCGTCTCTACTAAAAATACAAAAAAATTAGCCGGGCATGGTGGTGCCTATAATCCCAGCTACTCGGGAGGCTGAGGCAGGAGAATTGCTTGAACCTTGGAGGTGGAGGTTGCAGTGAGCTGAGATCGCATCACTGCACTCCAGCCTGGGCGACAGAGCAAGACTGTCTCAAAAAAAAAACAAACTAAAAATGTTTTAAGGAATATATTGTTAACACCATCTTTGTGCCTAATACCTTTTTCATTTTCAGGAGCATTTTCTTAAAATTAATATATGTAAATTAAATTACTCAAACTATAGGAATATGCATGTATTTGAGGGGGACATAAATATTTTTAGGGCTTGCAATACATATTGACAAACTGCTTTCCAACAAGTTATACCAATTTATCCCAAGAATTGATTTGGAAATTGGATGCTTGTCCACTTTTCTCTGCAAAGAAAGAAGATTCCACTGTACATATGATGTCTTCCACAGATTTATTGTGCAAACTGAACGGATCACCCTTAGAGTATCTATCTGATCCTCTTGCCCTTATGAAGTCTCACACTTCCTGATGAAACTGTTCACCAAATTGCCACAGAAATGGAAAGAAAGGGGAAAAAAAGCAAAGAAAAAGGACTCCAGGGTAATGAAACCCCTACACATACTCACCAATAGATCAGTCTATGTGGCAAAAAAGTAATTTGATTATGCAATATGCAACTCAATACATTTCAGCAATTTTCAAGTGCATTTGAACTGCTCTTGAGAATGCCTTTATTTCAAAATTATTAACTATACAAAAATCAAGCGTGTTGAGAAGAAAACATCCTAGTAGAAGTCTCAGACAAAAACTGAAAGATAAAAGACTGGAAGAAGTTACAAAATGTCAAAAACTCTTTTGTTCTATCACAACAGAAGCTAAAAAGCCTGATAGACAAAAGCATGAAATTGAGAAGAAGAATCATAATAGCTAAGAAAATATAAATAATAAAGATGAGAAGAGAGAATAATTATAAAAATCAGATCATGCCAAAGTAGTACTTGATTAAGAGGAAGAGATAAATTTGGAGCATAATTGTTTGAATAACCCAATTTAATGAAGGGGAGTGAATCATATGAATATGTTGAAAGAAGGATTTGCAGTCTTGGTGATTTGATCACAAAATACAGACATCGACAACAATAACATGAACCCTACTACTAGGATTAGTTACTACTAGGGTTAGTGCCTACTAACATGTAGCCACTACTACAAGGACATCAACCAAAAAGAATAGGAAAAAAATATAGCCCAAAATGTAGAAAAAAAGCATACTATAGTGATATGTCCAAGTTAACCAATACAAATATTGTTATGCTTCTAGATTCTGCGATGTATGCAGTATTTGTTAGCTTTTCAGGATGTGCGATTTGTTGTGATTTCTCCTAAATTAATATTCACATTGATGCCTAATTTTGTCTTCATAATTTGATATTCTTTTTCTTACAATGAACTCCAGTTCCTATAAGCCTCAGGTTCCCAGAAACCTACATCTGCCCTGCTGTTAACACTGAGTGCCTGTAAATGTTCTTAGAGAAGATTCTAAGTCCAGCTCAGCTGATCTCCATCATCATACCTGGCATGTTTTATAACAAGAAGGGTTACCACAGCTAAAGTACTCTTGGGAAGGATTATGCAATGCCAGAAAGATTCTCTCTTCATAAGTCCCATAGGTGAAAGAGGGGTCAATTCACTGAAGCTGTCAACATTCAACATTCAGACATGGCCAGGCACAGTGGCTCACACCTATAATCCCAACACTTTGGAAGGACAAGCTGGGAGGATCACTTGAGGCCAGGAGTTGGAGACCAGCCTGGGCAACATAACAAGACCCAATTTTCTTCTTTTTTGTCTGTACAAAGAAAAAAATAAAAATTAGCCAGGTGTGGTGGTATGCACCTGTAGTCCCAGCTACTTGGGAGGCTGAGGCAGGAGGGATCACATGACCTCAAGAGTTTGAGGCTGCAGTGGGCTATGATCACACCACTGCACTCCAGCCTGGGCACCTGAGACCCTGTCTCAAAAAAACAACACAGTCAGATATTTACTGAGCATCTACTATATATGCCATGAACTGGGGACACAAACAAATGCTAAGATGCTAGTGAGAAAGACAGCTCTGCAAAGAAGCCATCAGTTTGGGAACCACTGCTACTCAGCTGAGCACACTCTTGAAGCAACTCTCCTTTCACCCACTGTCTTTTCCACCTAGCTCCAGGACCTGCTTCCTTCCCCATCTAAGACATGCCGTCTTAGGCAGACATCATAGGTCTCTTTAAGTCACAAGAAGAGTAGTTGTATGTCTGTGTCTGATCCAAGTAATAATCAAAATGTTCAATTTCATTTAAAGTTAAAGCGTCTCGTCTCTGGCTCGGAAGCCTGAAGTGATGGAGATGGTCATCTCCTCCTCCTGTCCCCTCCCTTCTTCCACCTCCCACTCCCTATCCTGATGAGGCATTGAGGTGGGGGACCAGGATGACAGAGCAGAAATGATCTTACTTGACTGCTTCAGTTGTGAGCTGCCATTGGGGTTTCTAGGGCTGACTTTTCTTTGGGGTGCTTTTGTGGGTTTCTTGGAGAAGCCACTTGAATTTCTGCTATAAAGCTCCCAACTTAGGGTTGCCAGATAAAAATACAGAATGTCCAATTAAATTTGAAGTTTAGATAGATAAAAATAAAAAAAGATCTAGTGTATGTCCCAAATATTTCATTTAACATATACTAAAAACATACATGTTGTTTACCTGACATTCAAATTTAAACGAGTATCTTGTATATTTATTTGTAAAATCTGGCAACCCTATCTCAACTACACTTTTCATTATGAGGTTGGGATGTGTGTAGTTGTGGGGCAGGGTCTCAGCAGCCCTTGGGTCTCTGGTTTTCCAGTGGCCCACATCTCTGTTGGGTCCCTTTGCCCTTCCAGGCAGCCCACTTGGGTGGAGTCCTATTCAAAAGGGCCCCCATCTGGTCCCTGGGAGCCACACACCTTCACCCCACTGCCCTCTGGGGCAGGGCACCACTGGCCACGGCAGCCCTGACTTCTCAGACCAGTCCTCACGTTTCCCCAAACACTGAAAGGTGTGGGGAGAGCTCTCCGTGCAACCCTTGTCACTTCCTTGAGGTGAGGGGAAGCACTTGCTGCCCCACCCCATGGAAGGGCAACAGGGGTGGTGGGAACACACAGCCCTCAGCCCACCCTCTTCAAGGAAACCCTCCCTGATGCCTCGATCTGAGGCTGGAAGTGCGCGAAGGGCTGACAAAGGAAGTTTTCCACTCACCAAGCTTGTCCTGGGCAGGGTCTCAGCACTGTGCGGATGTGCGGCTCCTTGCACTATTTTGTTCTGCCTTTGAGGCCTCTGCTGAAATGTCTAGATAACAGGAAAAGTCCCTTTTACCATCCAGTTATACTCCCTTGTTACGAGTGAAGTCCAAATGGGGCACAAGGGAGCAGGAAGAAGAGTTTATTTGGCTGGGCCTAGGGGTAATCAGGAAGGGGTGCAGCGAAGAGGAGCCGCCCCTCACTCCGTGCTGCACAGACAACATGCTTATGAATCTCCAGGGATCACGTTAAACAGCAGATTTGGCTTCAGTAGGTTTGGGGTGGGGCCTGAGATCCTGCATCTCCTACAGCTCTCAGGTGATGTCCTCAGATGCACTTTGAGCACAGAGGGGCTAGAGGGCTGTGTAGGAGGGGCTGCTAGGCCCTCGGGGGAGGTGGGAAGGAAGGGGCATTGCAGGCCAGGGAACAGCAAATGAAATGCAGAGGAAGACCTCAGGTCTGGTAACACTGCCTCCGCAGGTTCCAGTATGCGGTCAGAGGCTAAGAGGGCCACCCACACTCGTGGGAGGGGAATGGGGGAGCTGGCAGTAGATGAAGTTCCAGGGGGGTCCTGACTGTGCGTGAAAAAGCTGGAACAGGAAAAGCAAGCTGAGTGGGTTCCACTGGCGTCAGCTCTTGTAAAAACACTTGACGAGCTAGCCTACATAGTTGTATTTCACAAAGCCATGTGAACATTAATTACTCAGGGCATCTGATGGCTCGACCACAGAGTGCATGTGATGGACACATTCAAGTCCTGCTTTGCACAATGCCCAGCTGGCACTGGCAACAGCTGTAGTTCACATGACTGTCTCCTGATGTGCACAGGTGGTATGAGTCACCTGGAAAAGGTTTACTGCCTCAGTGTAACATCTGCAGAGGGTCAGCAAATCACATGGCCTAATCTGCCTGTGGGTGGCAAGCTAGCGGCCTCCTAAAGATGTCCACTTTCTAATGCCCAGAACTAGTGAATAGGTGACCTTACATGGCAAACAAAAGGGCCTTTCCAGATGTGACTCAGTTAAAGACTTTGAGATGGGGGGACTACTCGGGGTTGTTCAGGTGGGTCCAATCTAATCACACGAGTCCTTAAAAGTAGAGAACCAGCCAGGCGCGTGGCTCATGCCTGTAATCCCAGCACTTTGGGAGGCCAAGGCGGGTGGCTTGCTTGCTGGTCATGTAGACCAGCCTGGCCAACATGGTGAAACCCCATCTCTACTAAAATACACAAATTAGCTGGGCGTGGTGGCGGGTGCCTGTAGTCCCAGCTACTAGGGAGGCTGAGGCAGGAGAACTGCTTGAACCCAGGAGGCGGAGGTTGCAGTGAGCCCAGATGACGTGACTGCACTCCAGCCTGGGCGACAGAGCAAGACTCCGTTCCAAAACAAACAAAAAAAAGTAGAGAACCTTCCCCACTCATGGTCTGAGAGAGAGAGAGAGGTGAAAACTGAGGAAAGGTAGAGAGGTGGCAGCATGAGGAGGAGCCCTGCTGCTGGTTCTGGGATATCAGGGTTCATAGACAAGGATAAGAGAGAGGCCTCCAGGGGGGAGCTAAGGGATCCCCCCCAGTGACAGCCAACAAGGAAATGGGGACTTCAGTCCCACAACCTTGTCGAACTGAATTCTGCCAACTGACAAGAAAATGCATTCTCCCCTAGAATCTCCAGAAAAGAATGCATTCTTGTGTCCAAGTGAGGCTCATGTCTGACCTGCAGAACTGTATAATGATAAATTATGTTGTTTGAAACCGCTACATTTGCGGTAATTTGTTACAGCAGCAATAGAAAACGAATCCCCTGCCCAGAATGACTTCCTCCTTTCCTGTCGGACGAAGGCTCAGGCCTTCTGCTGAAAGCTCGCTCCCCTAAGTAGTCACACCCAATGCCGAATACTCCCCAGAAGCAGCTGCTATTTTCTGAGGACAATGAGTTGCTTGTAAGCCTGAGAACAGGACGAAAACCCACTTTGCAAGCAGCCCTGCGTGTGACGGGCATGCCCTCGGAGGGCAGGTTGGTTTTGCTATCTGCTTTCTGTCCTGCCTTTTTCCCCCCATGGGTCCTGTCTGGCTCTTTTGCTTTCTCACTTTGTGCAGAAAGCCATCTCAACTCTTCTCACAGGAGAATAGCTGTATGGACGTAGCAGGGGGAGTTACCACATGCCTACCTCCATGGTTTTCGAGAGGGGCCCCTGCCCAAATGTCTCAGTGGCCACCTTCATCAGACCATGGAGCAGTCAGAGCGGGAAGGGATTCTAGAGTTGGTCCAGTCCAACCATCTCATCTTACATGTGAAGGAGGAAAGGAAGAAAGGGAGAAAAATAAGAAAGCTGAGGTCAACCCTCCTACAGGGATGGGCCTGGCCAACAGGATCCCAAGGGATGACATAACATTGAAATTAAGAAACCAAGGAAAGTTGAGAACTAAAGAAAACAGAACCCAGTCAGCCAAGAGGCATCCTTGAGGGCCAACCAAGCCGTCAAACCTGGATGCCCCCGACAAGTCAGAAAGTCGGGTGCCTCAAGAGCCAAGCAGCCAAGAAATGGGGTCTGGAACTGGCACTTTGGTCCGCCTCTGTGCACTCACCCAGAAAGGGTGGAAGGGACCCTGGGACCAAGTGCCAAGGTCACACAACGGATGAATAGAGCTGCTGGACTTCAAACTGAACCATGCCATTTTGCCAAAGCAGTCATCACCTTCCGTGAATCATAAATGTTTGTTCAAAGCCACAAATGTATATACTCTTTGTATGTATACAGATTTTTTCTAAAGGTTAACATCTAAACAGATCAATTAAGGTCAGCCTTAATTTGTCTGAGCTTTTTGGTTAAAGTTTCCTGAGTAATTGAGCGAATTCAAGTTTCTGGCTTTCTCCTTTTTCTTTCTCCATTTAAAACATGATCTCATGAAATTTTTGTCCCAAGAAAGGCAGGATTACATTTTCTTTTAACAGTTTGAGTTGGTGTAGTGTATTCTTGGTTATCAGAATACTCATATAGCTTTAGGATTTTGAATTGGTAAATATTCATGATGTGTGAAAAATCATGATACATACTGTACAATCTCAGTGCCATAAAATTGGATGTTGTGCCTACACACGCACAGGACCTAGAAGAGCATGTCAAACTATAAACTGCCTGTGATTGTGAATGACTTTGTTCTTTGCTTCTTGCGTTTTTCAGTTTCCTATAATGCACATCTTAACTTTTAAAAAATAAAGGTTATTTTAAAAGCCAAAAAGAAAAAAAAAGATCTCTAACCTGTTGGCTGGTTAAAATTTGAGAAAATTAGACAAATGCTTACTTTTCCCTTTTTGGCTGACAAACAAAAGCCCAGTGAGGTATCCTCATCTGTAGAGATTTATGTCCTTTGTGGGGGGCCTGCTTCTCCCTCAAGATAGAGTAAAAAAAAAATCAGTGGTGTCACTTGGGCTCAAAAGGACAGAAGACTTGACACTGGAGTTTGAGGGTCCCAGAGGGGCTCAGCCACATAGACCTTCCTGCCCCACCCTTCCTACCACAGCCCTTTTTAGGAGCTGCCCCTACCCCCACAAGACTGTCCTTTGTTGCTGAACTATTAATTACTTAAATAGTCATTGATCACCTACCCTTTGCTAGGCCCAGGAGTCCTGTGAGATGGGCTCTTCCCTTAGTCCTCATTCCCACTGGCTATTGACACCATCCCCCGCTACACCCCCAATTCTACTATCCCCTTCCAGCCCGACACAGGACTTGCCTCTCTGAGCCTCTGACCTCTGCTTTCTCCCAGCATCTATTTTGGTTCTTCCTCCTTGGCTCAGTAAGTACATGGACAATCCCAGACCAGCCTTAAAGGCAGCCACCCCCCATGTTGGCCTCAGCCTCAGGGGCAGGGGAGGATCCTGGCCTACAAATCATGCACTCAGAGCTACAGTCCAGTCTCTGCAAGGACTGGCAGCAGACGGCGCTCACCCTGGGAGACCGAGTCCAGACACCTGTTCCCTGGCACAGCAGAAGCCCTCCACCCAGGCCCTGGAATGACAGCCCTGACTGATCTCCTGAAAGTGAGCTCTCCTGAAAGTGAGCTCAGGCTGTCCATCTTCCCTGAAGTCCAGTCCATCCCTTGCAAAGCCAGTTTCCGCTATCCCATCATGATTAATGCTGAAGCTCTCTTTCCAACCTTTGAAATGCCTTTTCATGCCATGCATTTAGAGAAAGGGCTCTGCCATCTGCAGAGGACCTGTGCGGAAATGTGGGGAAATGACCGTGTGTTTATTTATGTCATCCATTGTTAGCTAAGAATATCCAGGTGTTCTAATAATGGAGGTACCAAGAAAGGAAACAGTGTTGGATGGTGGGAAGGACGCTGGGCTCGGGGCAGGAAAACAAGTCCCACAGCCCAAGCTGAGTGACCTTCAGCAAGTTTTTGTTCTTTAGCCTCAGTTTCTTCCTCTGCAGAAAAAAAAAAAAATGAGTCTACAGTACTTGCTATGCTGACCTCAAAGGGATATAACAAGAATCCAATGAAAGGATGTATGTGCATCCCAAATTTGCTCAGGCCCAGCACCAGAGGGACAAATGAATCCACATTAACAGATGTCACTGGGGCCTCCCACCTGCTGACACAGGCCTCCAGCACTTCCCCATAGAAGTTTCACTGAAATATTTTTCAGAGTGCCTAGGTGTGTCTCAGGAGGACCCCATGCAACCTTCTTTCTCGGTTCACTGCCTGAGAAGACTCTCCCTATAGCCACTATGTCCCAAGCAGGGGCTGAATCTCAGGGCTCTCAAAGCTGCAAAAGACAAGAGGTGTCAAAATGGTCTGTCCCCTCTCGGAATGCACCCCCACCTCCTGACAGAGGGACACCTGGAGGCTGGGTCATGCTCGGGAATGTCCACGCTGCAGGTTAGTTCAGGAGAACATCCCTACGCAGAGGGCAGGGCCCAGGCTGAGGGGTTTATTCAGGTTGCCACTGGATCCACCCAGCTGCCTGGAGACAGGGATTGTCCTCATTTGACCAAGTCACACAGCTAGTAGTAGTAGGTGGTGGAACCCTGTGGTGGACATTGGTCATTCTGGCTGCTTAGCATCTAGGTATACTTATTCTATGCTTTCTTGCAGAAGTTGTGCAGTTTTCAATCTTATATTTAGGTCTATGGTCCAACCTGAGTTAATCTTTGTATATGATGTCAGGTTAGCATCAAGGTTCTTTTTCTTTGTATTGGATGTCCACTTGTGGATATACAGTACTTCTTATTTGGGAGGAACATCAGGGTAAGTGTTCCATTTGCCCGCTACAGAAGATTCCATTGCCCAGTACAGAAACCAAGCTGAAGGGGAAGCTTTCCGCTCTCTAGTTGCTTAAAGGTTTCACCCTTTAGGCAGACAAGCCAAAGCACATGGTCATTTAGGGATTAGATGAGGTGGCTGTGAACAGCAGTGACAAGTGCCCCTCCCAAGTCGGTGGCTCTCAAGGTGGCCTCTGGACTGTGCCTGTCCTCCTCTACGTCTTGCCCCCGCCAAGGCCTCCCAGCGGCCCCATGATGCCATGCGCTTCCCACTGCTCCTCACGTAAATTCCTTCTCTGCTAAAGTTAACCAGAAACAGTTTGTGTTTGCAACCAAATTTGCAGCTGCTACAAGGCAGAATTCAAACTCTGACAATGTCTTGCTAAAAAACCCATGTGCTTTCTAAAATACCGTTCTTGGTGCACTGTTAAAGCTTATGTACATATAAGACATAATTATTATTACAATGCATTAAATTGGATGATATCCTAGTGAGATAGGTGGCAGGGTGGTGGTAATCACGGAAAAAAGAAAGCTCAAACCATCAAGGCTAGATGCTGTCAAGCTACAGGCTCACAGAAAGCTTTGGGAGGAAAAGAGCTACACGAGTCAGGAAAACAGCAGATTAAATAGGAAGCACCCAGCTGGGTAATGCGATTCCACCGCCTCTTTTCCAAAGAACTAAATTCAGCTGTGGCTTAAAAAAAAAATTCCTGTATGGTTTGTGGGTGGTCATAGTCATGAAACCTAGAATTTTAAAGCCAGGAAGGACCTTAAAAATCATCTGACCTTCAGACCCGCCTGGGTTTTATAAAAGAAAATCATCTATTGTACTGGCCTCATTTCCTAGATAAGGAGACTGGTTCCCAGTTAGGTTGCAAGACTTAGGAAACATCACATGCAAGGCAGTGACAGAGCCAGACTACAGGGAGGCTTTCTCTTTACCTTCACCCTTCGGAAAAGGGTGGTGAACACAGTCCAAAAAGTCAGAGGGGAACCGCTCTTACACAGTGGGAAACTAGACATTAGTTTAAGTAAGAAATCAAATTGCATGTTATGCCAGTCTTGTCATCTCTGTGAAGTCACTGATTCATTCTCAAAACCATCACCCTGAGATATACCCACTCTTTCCTGTGTTTCTACTGGGGAACTATCCAGGTAAACCTCTCCTCCCAAGGTCCTCTAGAGTGTTCCTGAGGCCCATACTTAAATAAAGCATTTGAGGGCCAGGATGTACTTGAAGTTCTTCTTCAAAGTATGTGTTTTTCTGCAGTTTACACAGGCTGTCGTACATGTATCACCTGGGAGGAGTGATAGGCTGTGGCGTTATCTCAGTGCTATGGTTTTAGCTTATAGACAGTCATTCCCATTAGCCCCTAGGGAAAAGGGATGCTGAAGAAATTCAACAGAAGACCTAAAGTTTCTATCGAGGCATTTTCACACAATCAGCCTACACTCTGAGTACAATTTAGGGAAAAGCTTTCCTTCTCCAAAATGCATTTTCTTAAGAGGCTCTGGAAGTTAGGGGAGATGTTAGAGACAGCTGACCACCTTCCCCTGTGAAGGGGCCTCCTCTCCAGCCGATCCTCCCCAGCAGCCTGAGCTTCCTAGTCAATCAGAGAGCTGTGGCCCCCCACAGCAGCAAAGTGATGTAAGCCTCAGGGAGAATGAGATCGCTCAGTTTGTAGTGATGTGGAAAGTTCTCCAAGGTTCATTGGGGATGCAAAAGTGTGATAATTTGATCACATAGGTGTAAAAAATAAACATATATGATTTAGCAAAATACATAGACAACTTCCAAAAGGAGACACATGAAACCATTAACAGTGTTTGCTCCTGAAGAGCAGGACTGGAATATCAAGGAGGGAGGGGATATTTTTGCTTTTTGCTTAAAACATTTCTGTAATGTTTACCTTAATGGCAATAACAAGAACGATGAATACAGGTTACCTTTATAATTAAAAGTAGAAACTATTTTTTTTAATCCGGTTTCCAGTTTCCAGAGCATTAGCCCTCAGACCTGGGTGGGTGGGGCTCAAACATCCATATCTCAGTAAGTTCTTCTGATGATTCTAGTGTGCGGCCAGAGTTGAAAACCACCGGGTCAAGGCATTGAGGGTCCCTGGTAATGTAGGAAGTGGGAAAGGAGGTAATGTATGAAGTGTTATGGTGTTATCTTAATATGAATCTCTCTGTCAGGTTAGCTTCTGGGGAGAAAGAGGTGCTGGCAAAATTCAGCAGAAGAGCTAAGCAGTGTGTTTCCTGGGATAGAAGTGGGTTCCTCAGGTAGGCATCTCAGGGGGCAGCCAGAGGGCACTTGGGTTGATGCCCAGGAAGCGGAGAAGAGAAAGCAAGAGAAGGCAGTTCAGGCCCACGGAGCAGGCCTCCGAGGCCCCCTATGTCCCCAGAACCATTGGCTCCATAGCCTCTGTTCTCCCCACCACAAAGCAAGGACTTGTAATGTAGGAACCCACAGGCAGTTTGAATATTTGTTGTATTTGGAAGCCTCCAAATTCTGTTTAAAAATAATTCTGGGTTTCTTTCAAAAGGCAGGTTGGGGAGAAACATCTGGAATAAAATAAACCCGCAGACCACTTGCACAGACCAAAAGGGAAAGAAAAAACATCCCACTCCAAATTACGTTATTCCCAAAAGAGCCAGGAAAGACATGAATGGGGGAAGGAAGAGTAAAAAACAAACCTCTAAATGATGTTAAGAGAGGGTGGGGAAAACCAGGGTGGAGGTCGGTCTGACAGTACTTTGCTCTCACATTTTGGAAAGAAAGAAGTTCCATTTTAGTAATTTTGAGTCTTTCTCAAAAAAGTAATTTTTCTGTACAGTTCTAAATGATACACTTGAGTCAATTCTGAGGAGCTTCACACACAACTGGTATCTACATTCCCCTCATCCCCATAGACCTGGCTAAAGAGTCAGTGTCCTGGCAGGGCACGGTGGCTCACACCTGTAATCCCAGCACTTTGGGAGGCCCAGGCGGGCGGATCACGAGGTCAGGAGATCGAGACCATCCTGGCTAACACTGTGAAACCCCGTCTCTATTAAGAAATACAAAAAATTAGCCGGGCATGGTGGTGGGCGCCTGTAGTCCCAGCTACTCGGGAGGCTAAGGCAGCAGAATGGTGTGAACCCGGGAGGCGGAGCTTGCAGTGAGCTGAGATGGCGCCACTGCACTCCAGCCTGGGCAACAGAGCAAGACTCTGTCTCAAAAAAGAGTCTGTGTCCTACCCCACTAATAATGGTTGTCCTCTCAGGGAAAGCATGTTTCTGACAGACATTGTTCTCAGCAGCAGGGCTGGTGTCTGCATGTTCCATGTACTGAGTTGAAAAGGAGCTGGCATCCGCAAGATCTCTTTCAGAAGGGCTGATGAAGGCCTTCCAGATCATCAGCTGCAATTCCCATTGCAAATCAGTTCATCTTAGGAAATGTCTGCCGTGGGGACAAATCTTTACTGAGAGCCAACATCTCAATGGCTCATGTTGACTCCTTTAGGATAGCTAGGGGAGCCGAGCATTGCTCCCCTAGCATTGCTAAGCATCTAGTAGGGACCCTGTAGAAGTGATGTCTCTTATTCTTGCTCAGTCCTGTGAAGTCATTTTTACTGTCCACATTTCACAGATGAGGAAGTTGAGTCCTCTATGATAGCTAGGGGAGCCGGGCATTGCTCCCCTAGCATTGCTGAGCATCTAGTAGGGACCCTGTAGAAGTGATGTCTCTTATTCTTGCTCAGTCCTGTGAAGTCATTTTTAATGTCCACATTTCACAGATGAGGAAGTTGAGTCCCAGGGAGTCTGGGCTCCAGAATCAGGCAAATCTAGCTCCTCTACTCAGCAGTAGTGACTTCAGGCAAGTTACTTAACTCTCTGTGTCTCGGGTCCCTCCTCTTTAAAGTGGAGAGAACAATGAAACCTCTCTCATAGTAACAGAGAAGATTGAGAGAATGCCTCTCAAAGCATTTAGCAGACAAATATGCAACCAATAAATATTAGGTGCTATTGTTATTGATGTTGTAATGATTTAAAGGGTTAAATAGCTCACTTGAATTAAGTAATTCAGCACTGTAATAAAGTGCTGAAGCTGGGATTTTTGTTGTTGTCTTAGCCCCAGCACAAACTCTCATTACTCAGCACTGTGTCTCTAAGCTGAGGATGAAAGACAGAGACACAGACGTCAGACAGAGGCACCTGTCCTCTTCCCTCAAGGGACAGCAAAGTAGCTAAGGGTATAGATTAGGTAGATGTTGCCTTCTGGACACAAGGTTTATTTTGTGGCTTATTAGAGAGTGGGACTGACTGTCTGTCACCTGCTGTAACACAGGTCTAGGATGAGGCCCAGGAGAATTCTGCTGACCATGCAGCAGGCAGGGCCAGAAGCTGGGAACAGGCTGGCAAGGGCTGGAGAAACTGGGCACCACAGGCACTGGTGCAGGGAGGGGACACAAGGTCTGGGCACCGTGTCTGTGGGCTCAAAAGGCTGACAGTTTGGAACCATCTGGGGGATGTGGTCAGCCAAGCAGGCTGTTGGGGGAAGTGCCCAAGTCAGCAGGCTGCAGCTGAACTCAAAGGAACCTGACATGGATCTGGCAGCCAACGGGTGACCTGCAGGTGTGGAAAGTGGGATCCTGGGTTCTAGGGTCCCTTGGGGAGGTCACTGGCTATCAGTAATTTACTGGTAGCCCTGGCCATTCCTAGTCTTTCCTAGTGAGGGTGTGTGTAAAGAACCCACAGGAAGGCCGGGCGCGGTGGCTCATGCCTATAATCCCAGCACTTTGGGAGGCCGATGTGGGTGGATCACCTGAGGTCAGGAGTTCAAGACTAGCCTGGCCAATATGGTGAAACCCTGTCTCTACTAAAAATACAAAAAAATTAGCCAGGCATGGTGGTGCATGCCTGTAATCCCAGCTACTTGGGAGGCTGAGGCAGGAGAATTACTTGAACCCAGGAGGTGGAGGTTGCAGTGAGCTGAGATTGCGCCACTGCACTCTAGCCTGGCAACAGAGTGAGACTCCATCTCAAAGGAAAAAAAAGAACTCACAGGAAAATAGGAGTCAAGCACTATCATTGCTATGCTAGGCACTTTGCACGTCCCATCTCAGTTCCCACAACAGGCCCATGTGGTAGCTATTCTCATTCCCCAGGTTATCAAGGAGGAAACTGAGGCTCATACAAGTTAAGAAATTTGCTCAAGGTCAGCGTTAGAGTGTCTAATAAGCTAAATAAATGTCTGCTTAGGATACCTGCAAAGCAAGAGCACCTAAAAATTTGCTTCTGAAATAATTTTAAAATTGATTTTTCTAAGACTGCATCAAGGGAATCATTGCTGGAAAAAGAACTTTGTTGAATTTCCTTACAATTATTTTTATGCCCTAAACAGAATGGAAAGGGATAGGTGGAAAAAAGCTTTCTCCTCACTTTTCTCTCTTTTTATAGTGAGGGAATGAGGTGATTGGGAGGAAGAGGGAGGATTCTTTTCAAGAAGTCCTCAGAAAATGTCCTCCAACATCCCATTGGCTAGGACTGGGTCGCACACACCCCTAGACCAGTCACTGGCAAAGAGAAACCACATTGTGTTGATTGTCTTACAACAAGCACAGTGTGTACTGTGGTGCTGGGCAAATGGCCACATCAACAACACTGGGTTCTGTTAGCAAGAAGAAAGGGCCAACATAATGGTGGTTGAGTAGGCTATGGATGGAGCTATCGCAACCCTTCAGGTGCTCCCAAATCCCAGAGAAGCTAGGAAAGCACAGACGTTTCATTTACCAAATGGTTACCTTGGGTTTGGGATTTATTTACTACAGGTTTTCAAGAAGAGAATATCAATTGACCCTTATGGAGACTTGAATCCCATGACACAGTATTATTATTATTATTATTGTTTTGAGGTAGGGTCTCACTCCTGTCACCCAGGCTGGAGTGCAGTGGTGTGATCATGGCTCACTGCAGCCTCAACCCCCCAGGCTCAGGTGATCACCTCAGGTGATCAGCTTCTTAAGTAGCTGGGACTACAGGCATGTGCCACTATGCTTGGATAATTTTTTGTATTTTTAACGAAAATACATTGGTTTTGCCATGTTGCCCAGGCTGGTCTCGAACTCCTCAGCTCAAGCAGTCTGCCCGCCTCAGCCTCCCAAAGTGCTGGGATTACAGGCATGAGCCACTGCACCTGGCCAGACACAGTATTATTAGAACTATGTATGTTCTAACCAAAGCTTCCCCCCAATTCTGTCCCCTCTTTCTATTTCTCTCACCTTCTTTAATCAGCTAAGTGCCTTGTCACCTGTCTTCATTTAAAGTCCCCACTTCCCACTCCCTCCTCGACTCCCTGACATCTGGCTTCCACCTCAGTTTCTCCCTTGAAACTGTCTGGCAAAGGTCATGAATGAATATTAAGTTCCCCACTCCCTTGCACACTTTTACACTCACCGCTTACTCAGCTTTGTGACACATGGCACTGTCAACCCCTTCACAGTCTTCCAAGACTCTCCCCCTTGGTGCCTGGGGCCCTACTCTCTCCTCACCTTCTTCTGAGCTCTCTGGCTGCTCAGTCTCCAGGCTGGTTTACCACAGGGGCCTATTCCCAAATGTTGGGGCTTATTCCCAGGGTTCTTCCCTTTACTTCCTTTCTTCTCTCTCCAGACACTATCCTTACGACATGCACTACCATCTCAGATCTCTAATTCCAGTGCAGGCTGGAGACCTGAGCTGCAGATCTGTATGTTTAATTGACTTTTGGATAGAATTTCACAGGCTTCTCAAGTTCAATTACTTGTATTTATTTATTTAGAAACAGGGTCTTGCTCTGTTGCCAGGCTGGAGTGTAGTGGCACCATCATAGCCCACTGCAGCCTCAAATCCTCAGGCAGTCCTCTAACTTCTGCCTCCCAAGTAGCTAGGACTGGAAGCACATACTACCATGCCTGGTTATTTTTTTTTTTTTTTGTAGAGATGGTTTTTATATGTTTCCCAGACTGGTTTCATATTCCTGATCCTCCTGTCTCGGACTCCCAAAATGCTGGGATTGCTGGTGTTAGTCACTACGCCCGGCTCAACTTCTGCTAAATGGACTAATCATACTCTCTTACTTGCCTTTTCTCTTGTGCCTCCTCATCTTGGTGACTGGCACTACCAGCTAACCAGCCACTTGGCCAAGCCAGAAACCTGGGTTCCGCCATGCAATAGATAGATCAAGTCATATTGTTTCTATTTACCTGGTGTCTCAGGTATCTCTGTTCTCTTGTATATCCACAACTTCCACCCAGACTCAAACATATATCATAACTCTCTGGGTCATTACAAGGGTCTGAAACTGATCCTCCACCTTTATGTTCACCCTAGCCCCCAGCCTATGTGTCACCATCATGATGGTGGTCTTTATAAAATATGGAGATGATCATTTCTCCACTCTTTAGAAGCCTTCTATGGCTCTTCTCTGATGCCAACACATAATTCATGACATAGAAATGCAAAGGCAGCCCGTCTTTTCAGCCATATTGGCTTAGGCTCTCTCCACTCTAGCTGGAGACAGAAAGACATTACATTGCATTTTAATAGGTAAAATGTTTTACCTTTAATAACTTGGGTTGCTTGCATTTTTATAACTCTCTTTGATTTGTCCAGCTCCATTTTGGGAGACCATTATGTAATGATGTGACTAAGCTTCAGTCTGAAACACTGTGTGTCTGATTTGAATTGTTGAAACCTCTAAATTCAAGTTTCCTTATATGCTAAATGGGGATACTAATACTTGCTCAGAGGGGAGTTGGGAGGTGTAAATTCAGTGATATATATAACAGGCATGGCATATGGTAAGTGTCCAATCAATGATAACAGCTACTACTTATAGAGCAGATCTTACTCTGTGCCAGGATGGTTCTAGGTGCTTTTTGTTGTTAGTTCCTTTGATCTTCATAAAAATCTTATGAGGTAGATACCGTTATTCTTATTCTATGGATGGAGAAACAAGCACGGGGGTTTGCATAGCCCATCCAAAATCGCACAGATAGTAAGTGGCAAAGGGAGATTTGAATCCTTGCAGAGTAGGGCCAGAAACTATACTCTTTTGGTTTTGTTTTGTATTTTGAGACAGAGTCTTGCTCTGTCACCCAGGCTGGAGTGCAGTGGTGCGGTCTCGGCTCACTGCAAACTCTGCCTCCCAAGTTCAAGCGATTCTCCTGCCTCAGCTTCCCAAGTACCTGGGATTACAGGAGCGTGCCACCATGCCTGGATAATTTTTGTATTTTTAGTAGAGATGGAGATTCACCATGTTGGCCAGGCTGGTCTTGAACTCCTGACCTCAAGTGATCCACCTGCCTGGGGCTTCTAAAGTGCTGGGATTATAGGCGTGAGCCACCACGCCTGGCCCAGAAACTATACTCTTACCCACTAAGGGACCCTGCCTCTTCATAACTGTTGATCATTTAAATTAGTGCATTTATTTTAACTGTATGTACCAGAAAGTACACTTGGAGTTTTTAATAAATATGTTACAAATGATTTGGAGGAAACATAAAATATAAGGACTAATTTCTAGAATGTTAGTATAAAAGCAATAGAATGTCCTCTACCACACACAAAAAAACCAACCTCTTGATACATTGAAGATGCTTTTTCTTCACTGAATTGATCCAGGGACAAATTGCTTTGACATCATTGATACCAAAATAATTCAGACCAAAATTAAATCTATCATTCTGTAAATTAAGGAGTTTAGAAATTACTTCAAAGAGATTGACATTTTTGCCTTTTTCAAAATTCCCATTTCACAATGCCTTCATTTTGGAAGAGCTTCAAGCCAGAGGCACTTGTGGCTGCCCTTCAGGTAAACTTGACTTTTAGCTGGAGCAAAGTGCTCCACAGTCACAGCATTTACCTAGTTCTTCTTGGTTTGGATTTTTGCCAATCTGGCAACAACCATAGGTGCCCCAGGATGACTGTAGTGGTGCCCCAGGATGACTCAGGGACTGGAGTGTGTGCTTTATGTCAATACAGACAGTTCTCTCACTGCTTGGTCTCAACTCCATGAACACTTGGAAATTTTACCCCTCGCAAAGAGAGGGAGAATAAGTGTACAGGCTTTTAGATCATCCCTTCTCTGGTCTCCAAAATCCTTTAGGGCAGGGACTGTGTTATATTTACCTCTGCAAACCCAGATCCTGGCATGATGCCTGGCACAGAGAAGGCACTTAACTAAGCCAAGTGCTGGTGGGTTTAGAAGTCCTAGTTTATCTTCTTCTTCAACCAGAATTGGTTAAGAATACGGGTTGGGATGACAGAGTACCTACAAGGGACAGATATTGGTACCCTCTCATACAGGAACCTGGATGGTAGTGATAAAATGAGATATCAGTTGATAATATTTGAGAAATTGTCAAGTTGTTGGAAACACATATAACTTCCCCAAATAACTAAGTTGGAAGACTGTACTAGTTTGAATGTGTAGATTCTGGAATTCTTATAACAACAACAACAAAAAAGGCACACCATAATGATCACACTTTATAGTGGCACATGCTTCCTCTTCCCTATAAACCAAATGAAGATATAGTTCCAATTCTCTCCTCTTTTGGTTGATATTTCTCTTGCTCTTTTCCCATTAAGACTACATCTGTGATTCTGTAAAATCTTTCCTTCCCTTTCTTATTACCTAAGCATATAAAACATTCATATGTGGAAAGATTCTGATATGCACGATAATTCCAAATGCTGCAAGCCCAAACAGACTTAGAAAAATTCTCGATCTCCTACCAAAGCATGCTTAAATCAGAAATGTCTTAAAGCACTAAAAGAAAAAGGGAAAAATTTTAGGGCAAAGACCCAATTGTAGTAGCAAGGAAAACCAGTGGTTGAAGAGAGAGTACATGGAAGGGTATTTCCTCCCCACCCCAGGCACTCTGCAGTGACTTGATGGAGCATTGGGCAGGATCTTAAAATAATCCACTCTCCCATCAGACACTATTGAATTACTTATTATCTTCATAAACAAGTACTGCCATTAATTAATAACACTATGTACCAGGCGCTAGGCTAAGTGCTTTGTATGCCATCTCTTTTAATGTTCCTCACACTTTGCAGGTGTCAATAATCCATTTTTAGAGGTTGAGTAATTTGCCTAAGAACCTACAGCAAATAAATCTGTTGTACTCCACAGTCCAACTTCCTTCCACAGAACCAGTATTTCCAAGACAGGCCCAGAGCCTGGCATTGTTAGCAAAGCTGTGCTTATTAGCTGTGTGGGTGAGAGGAGCAAAGGAGTTAAGACCTTCAAAGTGCAGACAGCAGTGCCTGGTAGGGGGCAAGCACTCAATAACGGTTGCCAGTGTGCAGATGCTGTCCTTGATGAGGAGGGCAACCCAGTTTGTCCAGGTCGAAAGGGAGGCTCAGAGCACAGGTTAAGATGGGGCCAGGGCATGTGTTATCCTGACAGTTGCCTGGTAAAAGACCTGATCCAAGAAGGAGAAATGAAAATTAAGGGGAGAGCCTGCTTCAACCAGAGCAACTGGCCCAGATCTCCAAGCTCGTGGGGCCACGTGAGGATTCAATGAAGACCAGGAGGGTTGAGAGAAGGCAGCAAGGAACAGGTAGGGGGATGTTGTCTGGTGGTTTAAGTAACTGTCTTTGGATGCTAGGCACAGGGTGTAGAGCCCCTTCTGTGGAGACCTCAGACCTCTCCCCAATGCTAGCAGCAGCTCTTCAAGGTGTGCCTGATAGAAAGAGCCTGGGAAGAACACATGCCAACCTGACCACAGCAGTCAACTCATGGCCAATGAGGAGGGCCCAAGCTTGGGAGCAGTTGCCAATGGACATGCTTGCCTTGTATGTAATCAATTTTAATATGTTAATAAAATCAAAATGCAGTACCTTTAAAATGGGTCTCATACATGACAGCTCTCTGTCAACTGTGACACACAGTGGAAATGCTGTGTGTGAGAGGGAGATAGAGATGTGCTGGAACGGGGAGGGGCCAGAGGTCTGGATTGCTGGCGATTCGTCCTTCTCCACTGTGGCAGATGCTGCTACGGATCTTCCAGTTTCCAGTCTCCCCTCTCCCTCAGTATTAGAAGTGCAGAAGCCTCACATTTCAGCTGGGAACACTGCAGCCCTGCAGTGGAGGCCACACTTCTCAGGCTCCCTTGCATCAAGGTGTGGCCACATGACTGAGCCCTGGCCAGTGATGAAGTGACATGTGCCAGCTTCAGGAAACTCTCCTTTGAGCTGCAGGCACCTGCCTTTGCCCCCATTTCTTTGTCTCTTCCTCCAGTGGCCGCCTAGAATATGGATGCATTGGAGACCTAATCACCAACTTAGACCATAAAGATGGGAGCCACACCCTAGGGATCGCAGAGCAGGAGCTGGAAAGAGCCTGGGTCCCTGAGGACATCACAGAGCAGGGCCACTATGCCAGCCCAGGAGCGCCTCCCTCAATTATTCACAGGACAGGGACACGAACCTCTCCTTGTATGAGTCACTGTAGTTTAGGTTTTCTGCCAAATGCGGAAGGGACTATCTCAGTCTCTTGGATTCTTTTGTTAATTTTTGCTTCTTCTCTGCCTATGTGCAGGTCTCTTAGGAGCCCCCCTGCTGAACTGAGGAGGCTGAGGCTGACCCGTGTGTCTCAGCCGTTCCCCTTTGTGAGCCCCTAAGTGCCTTACAGACCATGTATTTATTAGTGGTCTATTGTTAATAATCATAGTAAGCTATCCAAGCTGACTTTTTACTGAGCTTCGGAGTTTCATGGTTATAAGAGAATGAAAACCTCAGAATAAAATATTAGGCTCTTTGATCTGTGTGAATAGTCACTCTTGAGCTGTTCTGGGTGTGTTTTTCTGTGATTTCCCAGCTATCGTGCTAAGCGTCGCACTCAGTCTCAGCTGCCTGTTAACGGCAATAGGAGGACTGATGCATTAGCATAACAAGGGATCTGCAGCTAGCCTAGGCGCTCTGAGTACTCCATGCACAGATGGGGTGGACGGTGGGCAGGGACCAGAGCTGGGTGGGGAGGGTGGAAGGGCATCTGAGAACAGGCAGGCATAGAAGGCAAGCGCAGGAGAGGTAGAGTCAGAGGGGTGGACAGAGATGGCTCACTGCCACTTAATAGGTATACAATGAGCATCTCTTGAAGAAAGAAAGGGAGGAGGATGAGAGGGAAAGAAGGAAGGAAAGAAAGAAAGAGGCTGCTAAGACCAAGTGCTAGGCAGCCAAAAAAGCTTTGGGGGTTGCTTCAATAGAATACACAGGACAAGAATGTACATGCAGGTGCACTGGGATAATGCTTCAGCAGGGTGACAAATACACACACACACATGGACACAGGCATATACAGACACATTGACTTATACAGATATACACATAGGTACATGTATGGTAGCCAGCCTCCACGATGGTCCTAATCCTTGCCTCCTGGTATTTACACCCTTATGTCATTCTCTCCTACAATGTATATGTCTGACTTGTGTAACAAATAGAATATTGTAGGCATGATGGTGAGTTCCAAGGCTAGGGCGTAAAAACTTATGGAGGCTTCCACCTTGCCCTCTCCGGGATCACCTTCTCTGCAGGAAGCCAGCCCTCATGTTGTGAGAACACTCAAACAGCACTATGGAGAATTTCACCTTCCAACTGGCCAGCCATGCGGTGAGCCATCTCAAAAACAGATCCTCCAGCCCCATTCTGGCCTTCAGCTCCAGATGATAGCAGCCCTGGCCACAACTTTACAGCAGACCTTAAGCCAGAACCGCCCAGCTAAGCTACTCTCGCTTTCCCAACCCACAGAAGCTGTGAGGTAACAGTTTACTGGGGTTTTATGCCAAAGGAACTTGCTAAGCAGCAATAGACAACTAATATAAACTATATACACACATAACTTTCCATATATATAATTTATAATACAATGCATATATAGTTTTTCATAATTATCAAAATAATGTGGATTTCCTGGAGAAATTTATGAGATAAGTACTATCATGATTCCCATTTTAATTGACAGGGAAACTGAAACACAGACAGTTCAAGTACTTAATCTAAGCAGTAAGTAGAGGAGACAGAATTTGATCTCAGGAAATCTGAGCTTATCACTATCTTATAGGATGGCACACTCTGGCTGACATTTTGTTGTATTTCCCTTCAGTCTTTTAAAAATACAGTTTAAAAAAATTACTAGACTTTATTTTCTAGAGCACTTTTAGGTTTGCAGAAAAATTGAGCAGAAAGTACAAAGAGTTCCCATACATTCCCTCTCCCCTCCCCTTTCACCTGGTTTCCCCTGTTGTTAACATCAGGCATTAGTGTGGTGTGTTTGTTACAACTGAGGAGCTGATATTGATGCATTAAGTTTGAGCTGGCATTAGGTTTCACTGTGTTGTACATTCAATGGGTTTTAACAAATGCATACGGATGTGTATCCACTATTATTGTATCATACAGAATAATTTCCTGCCTTCAAAATCCCGTGCTGCACCTGTTCATCCCTCCCTATGCATGCCATTCTTAAGCAGAGCTAATACTACATATACTAATTTTGCAGTTTTTAAATTAATATTGCATAAGTATTTTTTCATGTCAGTAAAACTTATAAGCATTATTTGTAATACTTGAATACCATTCTATGTGTGCATGGCTAAACCATAGCTCAATTTATTTATTCCCTTTTGTTGGGCATCAGAATTGTTCTCCCAGGACTCTTTTTTTTAAGTCCTGGGATGGAGGACCCTTGACAATTCAACTCAGCATCCTTAATGTAAGTGTGCATTTGTCTAAGGATGTATGTGTCAGCTTTAGCAAGTAGGTACAACTGCTGCAATTCCAACATCCTTAACCTGGCTCTGTCAGAAACTTGGAAACTATTGATTCTGTAAGTTATTTCTAGCCTGCCAGAGCACTTGTACTTATTCTCTCTCCCCCCAACCCCAACTTGGCTTTTAGAATAAGTTTTCATCAGTTCCCAAGAAATGAATCATTGTGAATACAAAATGACTAAGAGCATTTCTTTGGACCCTACACCCCACAACAGACACAGGCTGACCCCCTTGATGCGCTTCCAGGATTAACAAGGATCTGAGAACAAGCAGTATAGAAGTAGGGGCAATAAAGGAAATTGATGTTCTCTGAGATTGATTTGTCAAATATTATGTATATCTTTTGCCTGTTCCCAAATTCCTTCACTTAATTCTAAATTTGATTTTAACAGCCTACAAATTCCTGTTGGATTAAATCTTTATGACTCATCTGTACTTTCAAGTTCCTGTAATTGAAAATTCCATTTATATGTGATTTTCTTATTATTATAGTATCTTCTTTTGCACACCAGAGGACACCTGGGTGTGTATTTCAGGAAGGTATATAGACCTGTTTGGACTGGCCTAATAGTCAGATTGTCATCAATAAGAAGGAATGAGGCACACAAAATTTAAGCCTCACATTTAAGCCTTGCCCTGCCCTCCACCTACAACTCTCTCTCTGTCTCTCTTTCTCTCTCTCTCTCTCTGAAACCTGATGCTCAGATAGAAAGTTGGGTTCTAGGCCAGACGCGGTGGCTCACGCCTGTAATCCCAGCACTTTGGGAGGCCAAGATGTGCAGATCACGAGGTCAGGAGATCGAGACCATCCTGGCTAACATGGTGAAACCTCATCTCTACTAAAAATACAAAAAAATTAGCCAGGCGTGGTGGCGGGTGCCTGTAGTCCCAGCTACTTGGGAGGCTGAGGCAGGAGAATCGCTTGAACCTGGGAGGCAGAGCTTGCAGTGAGCCGAGATCGCGCCACTGCACTCCAGCCTGGCAGCAGAGTGCGACTCTGTCTCAAAAAAAAAAAAAAGTTGGGTTCGAAACTGTGTGACTTCGATAATCCTTAGTGCTAGTATTGACAGGAGAAGAACCTAAAGTAGTTAGAAACTAGAAGTGGTAAACTTGAACCAGCAACTGCAAGACTTTGTAAGTCACTGATTTTGATGAAAGAGACATTTGTCTCACTCATAATGGGCAGTTTGTCTTTTAATTCTGAGAAAGTTAACCTAAAAAGAGTGAAGCACAACCTTAATTTTTGTTTTAATGTGTTCCCGGAAATTCAGATTGAAGAATAAAAATGTATATAACTTGCTGAATGCCTACAATATAATTTAGATAACTTAGTTGGTTTTTCCAGTGAAAATTATTAGGCCACAGTAAAATGCTGGGTTAACCTGTCAACATTCAGTAGAAAATTCAGGAACTATAATAAATAGGGGGCCCAACAGCCTTTACTGAAAATTAATACAAATTTTAGTCAAGTGACTAGCAATAAGCTTTTAAGATCACCATTTGTTATAATCTATTATAAGTTTTGCTTTACCTCCAGCAAAAGTTCTCATATAAAATTGGAAACATTATTTAAACTGTTTAAATATATGATGATAACACATCAAATCTCTAGTATCTCACATCTACAAGATTACAACAGACTTTTGAATTTCCTTCCCCTACACCTCAGGCATAGAACAGACTCCCCTCAGTGCAAAGGTTCCCACGGCAGTGATTACTAACTAGGGATGGGACCTAGAAGGGTGTGGGTGACACATCGAAACTGGGTGGGGAAAGGAAGGGTATTGATGTAGCATCTCAGGTGATTCTGAGATGCCCCTCATGGGGAGATACTACCACTGTTTTAACCAGTGTGCCAGGTTCAATCCTTGCCCAAATGTAATCTCTCCTTCCTCAATACCATGACATTAATTTTTCTTAAATCATTCACTTTATCATCCTACTCCCTTTCTTACACACCTTCATCATCTATCAGTTAATGTTCATACTCTTCAGCTTGACTTTCAAGAAACACTGCACCTCTCCCTCCTACCGTCATCACAAAGCTTCATAAGATTAGAAGTTGGCTGTATCTCCTGTACTACCCCTTGCCATTACATTACCCTTTGAGAATGGTGCAGGAAAAATCAGTTTATTTCAACAATTTTTTTTTTTTTTTAATTTTAGGCTCTAACATGTATGGCTACGGGGGACCCAAGAGTAAACAAAAGCCAGGATCACTGTTCTAAGGAGCACAAAAGTCAACTGGAGAGAAGAGAGGAAACTGGCCATTGCAGCCTCACAGGCTGTGTGCTTTACTTGGGCACAGGGAATTGAGCCTTGAGTGATGGGAGGTCAAGGTGGCTTCTGGGAGGATCCAATCTGAGAGCTGAAATCCAAAAGGTGAGAAGGAATTTGGCAAAGAAAGGGAAGGCAGGACATTAAAGGCAGAAGGAAAAGACTGCATATAAAAGGTGAGAAGGAGTGACCAGCTCAGGATGGATGAGTCATCTGTGGACCAAATCTGTGCGGGAGATAGTTGACATATCTATTGCTGAAAATAATCTGGGGATCACTGAAGTCCAATCACGGTAATGTGGGATATACTTAGAAGTGCTAAAACCAGAGAAATTGTTGACTCAAACCAGTACATTGAACATGCCTGCTTGGTGGCAATGGACAGAAGGGAACATCCTAGAAGTGTGACAGGCTGTCAGAGTCTGTCTGTGCTTATTAAGCACTGTCCAAGGGACAGACACATGCATCAGTTGGGCATGAGTATTGTCATCACTAGAGGGAGATGCTCCATGGTGGGGCTGGGAGAGATCTCTATTCTATGTTCCCTAAATAACCTTCTCATGCCTGGAGACCTCCATATTGGAAAGAGGCTGTCATTATAGCAAACATCAGTATCTGGTCCCTTCCAAAGGCATATTTGCTTTAAAAAAGAGAGTGATTTTACTTTATAACCAGTTTCTTAAAAACAGTTTAGCATATGGACAGTGCCAAGTACCTGATTAATGTGTGTGTTCTGAGAAGATCAAAATTTGGGCTCTGTAAAGCCAAGGACTAGGCTCTGGGCCCTGGTGGCTCCATGGGGCTCTGCCACATGGAAGGCACTAACTAAGAGGTCAGCAGGCCTCCTCTTTAAATGCAATAAGAATGATTTGTGTGTCCTGCTACTACGGTTACTTGTGTGTTTTGCATCTCCTCTGTCTTCTCCTTGCCCCCATCTCCATCTAGAATGTAACATGGAGCAGTGTGACTCAAAGTGCCATGCTGTAAATGGTTTGTCACTGGTCCAAAACAAGATAAATCCAGAAACTGAGAGTAAGAGTTAGAACATTTTAGAGAAATTTGACAGAGTAATTAATTTCTGTTGAATCTGATAAAATATTGGAGTTTGCTTTTTATTATGCTGTATGTCTTTGTTTTTTCATTTCATTTTATAGTAATTCATTTCTACAAAAATATTGGTCCATGGTGAATTGGTCTTTCACCCCAGATAGTTTGAGAAGTACCAATATAGAGGGTAGGGATCCCTGTTTTACATTGATGGTGTATGACATTCAGTGCCTTTCCAAATGTTAACCTGGCTGCACAGTAGAATCACCTTGAGAGCTGAAAAAAATAAATCTTTATATCCCTCTATAGAGAGAAGCTTCAGCTCCACCCTCACCAATTAAATGAGAAGTGAGGTGGGATTAGGGTGTGTCAAGGGCATCTGCATTTACTAAAAACTTCCTTGGTGTTTCTAACTTCCAGCCAGGAATGAAATCCTTAATGTGGGTGGTATCCAATCAATGACCACAGGTTGAATGAATGACTAAAACATGTCAGCCAGCCAACAACAGGTGTTTATTACACAGCTGACGGTGCTGTACCAGGTGCTGAGTAACACATTATAAAGTCATGAAGCTTAATCAAGATTTTCCAATCTGATGATAAAGCTCCTATTACAAAACCAATACAAAACAAAGGGCACAGATTAATAAACCTACAATATTCACCCACAAATAAAGTAACATTTATGCACTATGGATGGATGAAGCCCAACTCTCTCTCTGTCTCTCAAAAGCAAACAGCATATTCAATAACATGTCACCTAATGGGAAAGAGATTTCCTTAGGCTGGTGTCTCCCCGTTGGTCAAAGAATCCACTAGATGTCACTCAAGGTCCCTCAAGGTTCCCTTTCACAGACTGCGTGGTCTTTAATTTTACATCAGATCATTTTCCTCACCAAACTTTGTCCCCACAGTCCAAGGCTCCTAATGGAAACCATGCAAAATGTAAGGCACAGAACATGCTGGTTGTTTGATCTCCTTCCATGGCTTTCCGTAGTACTCTAGGGCCACACCATTCATGCATCTATTCAAGAACAGTAACTGAGGGCTGATGTTCTACGACACATTAGTTTAAGCTGCGGTGGAATCATGATGAGTGAAAATAGCCTTGGTTCTGTCCTCACGGAGTTTACAGTTTAATCTATGAAAGCACTCTTCATTCTAATTTGTGTTGTTTATTTATTTATTAGTTCTCCCTTCAGACCAGAAGCTCTCAAACTTTTTTGGCCGCCACATCCAAGTAAGAAAGAGATTTTATATTGCAATTTATATTCACACAAATGCTCAAACACATAACCAAAGTTAAAGTTTCACAGTACAATGCTTATCTTCATGTTGTGTGATACACTCTGATATTTTCTAGTCTATTCCAGTTCCTTTTTTTTTTCAAAATGCTAGTCATGATCCACCAAATTGATTTCACAATCCACTAATAAGTCACAATCCTAAGAATAAAAAATACTTGACTAGAGGGCAATGGTAACCTCTTGTGCCTAGCAAATAGTAAATGAGCAATATATTTTTTTAAATGAATGAAAATTATGAGGACTAATTTGCATTAATGTTTACATTAAGAAGAAATAGATACAGATTAAGTGGTTTATAATATGTATAATCAGTGTCCTAAGAACACATTTCTATATACACATTACATTCTATATACGCAATTATAATGGATAATTTTTTTCAGATAATCTATACCAGCTATACTAGGTACACTATATATGCTGTCAATGTAATTTATTATTTCAGTCACAATCAAGGACTCACATATTTTAAATTCACATAATTAAAAATATGTTCATCTTGGAAAAAGAAGTCATAAGCAGCAATGAACTCTTTCAGATATTAAAACTCATTATAAATTCCAATAGTAAAAGAGCCTGGGATTAGAGACCACAGCAACAGAATAATGGCCTCCAAAGATCCCTAATCCATAGAACCTGTGAATGTTAGCTTGCATGGTAAAAGGGATTTTGCAGATGTGGTTAAGTTAAAGATTTTGAGATGTGGATATTATCCTGGATTATATGAGTAGACACAATGCAATCACAAAGATCCTTATAAAAGGGAGGCAAGAGGGAGAAAAAAAGGCAGAAAAGATGATGAGAGAGAGACTTGATGCCATGCTACTAGGTTTGAAGATGGTGGAAGGAGCCATGAGCCAAAGAATGCAGGTGGCTTCCAGGAGCTGGAAAAGGCATGGAAACAGATTCTCCCCTAGAGCCTGCCTCCTCAAGGAACACAGCTTGGCAACCTGTTTTGGACTTTTGATGTCCAGAACTGTAAGATAATAAATTTGTGCTCTTTTAAGCCACTAAAGTTATGGTAATTTTCTTGTTTTTTGGGAGTTTGTTTTTTTTTTTTTTTTTTGAGACGGAGTCTCACTCTGTCACCCAGGCGGAGTCCAGTGGTGTGATCTCAGCTCACAGCAACCTCTGCCTCCCAGGTTTAAGTGAATCTCCTGTCTCAGCATCCCGAGTAGCTGGGACTACAGGTGTGTGTCACCACGTCTGGCTAATTTTTTGTATTTTTTTAGTATAGATGGAACCCCACCTATACTATAACTGGCCACCATGTTGGCCAGGCTGGTCTCGAACTCCTGACCTCAAGTGATCCACCCGCCTCGGCCTCCTAAAGTGCTGGGATTACAGGCATGAGCCACCACGTGTGGCCAAATTTATGGTAATTTGTTACAGCAGCAACAAGAAATGAAAATAGAGATGGAGTAAATAAATAGTTCAATGGCATAAAGTAAAAAAAACAGTCTAGATCCAACAAAAACTTCGAGAATTTCATATCTGATGAAAGCAATTTGGTGTGTGTGTGTGTGTGCGTGTATGTGTGTGGGTGTGTGTTTATTCCATAAGGTGGTATTAGGACAACTGGATAGTTATTTAAAAAAAAAAAAAAAGCTACATCTCTATCCCCTTACACCAAAATTATTTCCCAGATAGCAGCAGAAGACCCATTAGCAATCCTGAGATCAGGATCATGGATTTTTAAGTATTTTAAAAACACAACTAAAAGTACTAGAAGAAAATGTGGGATTTTTTTAATGTGAAAAATACAAAACCCAGAATGATAAGGAAGAGGTGGATTATAGCAGTAATAACTCTCACACAGTGAGGCAATCAGTAGTCAATTTGGCAGCATTTATCAAAGTTAAACATGGCCATACACTTCAACCCAGCAATTGCATTTCCACGAATTTGTCTTAAAGAAATGCTTCATTATGTGTACAAAGCTTTATGATGAAAATGTTCTTTAGAGCATTATTTGTAACAGCAAAGTACTAGAAACAGCCTGATGCCCATTAATTAGAGAAAGTTAAATATATTATGGCTCAGCCCTTAGATGACATGTATCTACATGTTTTGTTAAGGAATGATTTCCACACACATTTGTAAGTGAAATATGGTATGATCCCTTGTGTGTGGGGAAAAGAGATGTAGGTTTAGCTTATATATTCAGAGAAAATTCTGGAAGTGTACACAAGAACTGTCAATAGTGCCTATCTTTTGGGAGTGGGACTGACAGTAGGAAGAAGTCTTAGATTTTTAAAATTTTACACTTTTTTGTAGAGTTCCTGATATCAGGATTGCTAATGGGTCTTCTGCTGCTATTCAGCAAGAAAGGAAAAAAAGGAAAGAATTGCTGAAAATGAAGAGGGAGAGCCATGCTCACATGGTGACAAATCTGGGCCAGCTGCCTCAGAGGTATATGGTATAGGATTTTGAATTTTTTTAAGTATATTTAACACAGCTCTGTGATTAAAGGAAGCCCAAGTCACAGAATCCTGAACTTATTGGAAACATGTGTGACACCTCTTTAAAGGTTTAAATTATTTAAATTTGCTTGCTTTTGCTTTTAAGTTATGCATGAAGATTCCAGGCAGGTAAAAAGATGAAATTCTCCCTTAACTGACTAGCTAAGGCAGACAGGTACCTAACCAAGGTCTCCTGTTGGGGACCAGGTTAGATAGGACTCACATTTCACTGAAAGCCTGTATACCTTTGTATGTCCCACCTCACCAGCGTAGGCAACAAAATCAAGTCAGTTTAAGTCATGTGCTTTTTTGAAGTTAAAATTCATACCACTCTGAGCTCTACCTAGCGAGTAGAGTCCAACCTTCTGTTGAGGTTCTTCTCCCTAGGTATCCCCAGTGATCCTACGGTTACTCATTTCTTCCAAAGAAGTCCTCTCCAGTTACTGATAGTGGGTGGCTGGTGAGTCAGCCACAGTGCCTAGTCAAAGTTTCTTCTTCACGGCTGCTGCCTGGGGTCACTGCCAAGGCCCATACAGGCAAGAACAAATGCTTGTTCCCTTCTGGCTGTAGCTACCCAGGGTTAAGAGAGGTCCTACCATTGACCACACAGTGCAAAACGGCCAGTCCTCGCCTGCCAACATCCTCCAAGTGTGGATACAACCTTTGCTCTTACTCTCCCAAAGCACAGTCAAGGGCAGACTGCAGACAAGGAAAAAAAAACAGTCAATAGCAGTGTCTGCCAATATCCAGTAATGTTTGAGGCCACTTTTGAATGAAAAAAAAAATTCTTGCTAACTTCCAACTGTTAAGTCATTTTAATTATGTCTCTTAATTATACATAAACTTTAGGTAATAATTTCTTATTCTTATAGCTCACGTCTATAAAACTAAAACAATTTTAGAAATTAAATTCACAAATTTAAAAAATTCAATTAATATGATGTATGTAATGTGTGGTGAATTATATTTGTTGTTTTGCTGAAATTAAATTGTCCTTTGATATGAGAATATGGAACTCACTGCTATGGTATGTACTTTTTTGTTTGGCATGCTTATAATTGACTTAATTATCTCAACATTCTTCTCTATTTGAATTTCTGTTAAACTTCTGTGCAGTGTGCCGTAAAGGACGTATGACCTTCACTTAGCCAGAATGCTGTCCTTTCCACAAGAAGTATTCTATTCTTTTCCCATTAGCCCCAGAAAATTAAATTTGTGGTTGGTGCCAAATACAAAATCAAGTGCAGGGTTTCGTTACAAGGTGGTCATCAAATGATCCAATATAGTGACTAGAATATATTAACTTTTAAAAGAACATAATTTAAGTAAGAGCAAAATATTTACATATTTTATAGATAATTTGCATATATTTTTTCTTAGACTCCAGTTTAAGGAACAGTAGTCTACACCCCTGCTACTCCAGGGTGGTCCAAAAGCCAGGGAGCTTGTTAGAAAGAGTCTCTAGGCCAGGTGCAGTGGCTCACTCCTGTGATCCTAGCACTTTGGGAGGCCAAGGCAGGAAGATTGCTTGAGGTCAGGAGGGTTCAAGATCAGCCTGGGCAACACAGTGAGAGCCTGTCTCTATTGAAAAAAAAAAAAAAAGAAAGAAATGCAGAATTTCAGGGCCCACTCTAGACCTAATGGATTAGACCATGCCATTTAATAAGAACTCCAGGTGATCAGCATGTATATTAAAGTGTGAGATATACTAATTTATTATTTCCCAATTCAATTTTCAGTGGGCCCATGTGAGCCTGGGGCACAGTCTAAAGCTCTCTCTCTCTTTTTTTTAAGGACAATAATTGCTTCTTCTCTTTCCAGGGTTGCAGGCAGGTAGATTTAAGGTGAACTCAGATTTTTCAAGGAATAATGGTGAGTATTGGTAACTTCAAAGGGTCCATCCTGGTGACTTGCAGGGGAAGTTCCACTCAGGAACTTTTGTGTCTTGCTTAACACCAGACACAAGACTACATGTAAGCCATGTGGCTCACATGTGTAATCCCAGCTACTCCGAAGGTTAAGGTAAGATGATCTCTTGAGCCCAGGAGTTGGAGACCAGCCTGACAACATAGCGAGACCTTGCCTCTAAACAAAAATTACATATTGTATGATTCTATTTATATGAAACATTCAATTTCTGGTGGAAGTCTCATATGATCTTTGGTTGGAGGATGACTGGATGTTGACAGATGACAATGAGGTGAAGAGCATTTTAGCAGAGGGAATGGCATGATCAAAGACAAAATGGAGAGTCAGAGGCAGGAATGCATATTTAGGGAGGAATGAATGAGCACTGGCTACAACAGAGATCTGGGAAGAAAAGCAAGTGAAGGAAGTAAAGCTGGAAACATGGATTGACAAGTTGCCTTTTTCAAATGGAAAAACTAACAGGTGTGAGGGAGAAGAGAGTCAATAGAAATTTCTGTCTTTTCCAGATTTGTTCACATTCCCCTGATTTGTAGTCATTTTGTCGGCTTGGGAAAGTGGTTTTTGAAAGATCGTCTTTATAAAGGTAGGCTCTGATAGGATGCTCAAGCTAAGAGCAAGGAAGGACAAAGAAGGCGCCTGGCGACAGAAAAGGGCACTAACAAAAATTGGGCAAAAAGGAAGTGTGGCGGTCCCCAAATCCCTTCTTCCTCCATTTCAGCTGAGATCATTCGCCAGTAGGCAACTGTGGTATTACCAATAAGTTTGTATCACCAATAAAATATTATAATGCACCTGGCTAAAAACCCTGGCGTGATAACACCAAATTCATGTTATTAGAAGGAATTAAATTTTAAAAAGCACACCGTTCCAGGCACACAGAAGGAGCCCCCGAACGTTTGTTTTATAAACGCAGGTTGGTTGCTGAGGCTTTGTTTTGGAGCCTACGTTTAGGAGAGGAAATGATTCAAAACTGCCCCCCAAAACCTATATCCTCCAGGAGCACTGAGGTTGGGGCGACCTGCTGCCAACTGGTCTGGTTTTCCCTTTTAACACACGCTTCTTGCCCACTATCCGGTCCCTGCGGTCAGTGGGTGCAGCAGGGGTCGCAGTCCAAACAACCAATCGCGACGCGGCTGCGGGGCGGGGGCCACAGCGCTCCGCCTCCCCCCTCCAATCCGCCCTCCCAATCCTCCTAGGCCGCTCTCTCTCGCACCTGCGTGTCCCTCTGCGCTCCGACTGGTGCGACTTCTCCCTGCGCTAGCGAGGCAGGGTTTTGGCCTCGCCTCTCGCGAGATCGCCTCCTGTTGCTGCCGCCGCCGCTCCTGGCCACTGACTGGCGGCGCCTGCGCAGCCGCCATGTTCGGTTGCTATGCTGCGGCCTAGGAGAGGGGGTGTGCTTGAGGGAGGAGGAAGAGATAGAGGAGGAGGAGGGGGAGGAAGAGGAGGTGGAGAAGGAGGGGGGTGACTGAGCTCCTCTTGCACTCTCACACACAAACGCTGCCCAGGATTACCCGCCAGCTCACGCCGCGCAGTGCGCTTTTCCGCTCCTCGCGCCCCACCACCAACATTGTTCTCTCAGGACTCCTGGGTCCCAGGGGCCGGAATTGGGCCTGAGCGGGAGAGGAAAGAGACTTGGCTTTGGCCGCGGGGTCGGAGGATTGGGGCCAGGCCCCCTCCCCCACGCACTTTTGGGGGTGTGGATTATCTCATCCCTGCAGGGAGGTAGGAGAGGTCGCCGGCTGCCCGCCTCCCTGCCACCTCCCCAGCGGCGCCGGCCCGCGGCTGCCCAGCAGCATGAGGTGGTGCTGGCGGCTCCGGGTCGTGGCGCGACCGCTGCGGCGGCGGCTGCTCGGGGGGCGCTGAGGTAGCCCCCCGGAGCGGCACGGAGGACGCGCTTCTCCTCTGCGCGCCGGGGCCTCGAGGCTTTTTTTCTCCAGCCGAGAGGACGCGGCTGTGATATACGAAGGTAAGAGGTTCTCCGGTCCCCGCCGGCCTCTCGGCCCTGCACGTTGAACGGGAGGCTCTTACCTGCATGTGTGGCTCCTGGGAGGTGAGCCAGGTGGGGCAAGCCGGAGGTACGAGGATGATTTGAAAGGAAGGAAAAAAGGACAAAAACAAACAAACAAACAAACAAAAAAACGCTTTCTTTCCTTTCTTCCTGGGACCTCTGCTTTTGCGGGGGTTATAGTTGGAATCTCTGTTATGGGTCAGCGAAGGGCCAAGGGATGGAATAGGTGCGGAGATGGAATGTTCCCAGTACCTAAACTCTAGGTAAAGCTTTGGAATCTTGAGTTTTCCATTGCTGGTAGAATTCCTTTTTTTTTTTTTTTTTTTTTTGGCTCATATGAGCGCTTCTTGCACGCTGCATGAGCCAACTATTCCTACCATTGAAGTTTTAAGCCTGTTATGATTCTACCAGTATATACCTGTATTTGGGAATCTGTAGTTGAGCCAAAAAAAAAAAAAAAAAAAAAGTTGAGATGTGGGTAAACAGTGATGCATTTCGCAGGGTTTCCATAAAATGGAACAGCTTACAGTTGCACAGGTGATGTGTGGATGTTTCTGCAAAACTTAGGGTGGAAGATTTTATGTCTGGGCTTGCATCATGTAGTGACATCAGTATGTACAAGGACGATTTGTAGGATTTTTCAAAACGCCTGTTCTAGGATAACTTGTTATGCATCTGCAATATGCCAGCTGCTTTTCGAATAAGAGGTTTCAGTAATACTAAGTTTCTGTGTCCAGATCTTGGGCCCAGTTGAAACAGTACAGCTGATTGGTCACATTTAAAACATATTTATGGAGAAAGATAAAAGGCCAATGTGTCCGACTTGCAAAAGACAATTAGAGTAGAAAGAAGACTGGAACAGTAAAAGCCAGGGCATTTTTAAATCTTGGTTTTCTGAACTTTAACGTGCCAGAGGAAAAAAATTTTTTTTCAATTTTAAGGGGGAAGGAGATGGCCTTAAAATAAAGGATTGTTCAGAGCCTAAACTGTGCTTAATGGAATAGAGCTAGGTATATCATCTAAATCTTGAATTTGACTAATATAAATTCAGCTTTCTTTTAAAGAAAAAACTCGTAAGCAGAAGTTTGTGTATTCTACAGAACCTCTTCACTAGCTCGTAAGTGTGATCATTTTGTGGACATCACTGTTTTTTTGTTAGAATAAATTTATGCTCCAATTACCACAAAAGCAATTTTTATGTCTCTTCGCATTTTTTATGGTACACATATCTTTGTTACATTTTGCATTGAAACACGCACGGTCCCATAGTATCATAATCTTCAGTGATTTATAAGAGAAACAGTCTATTTTGTACATGGGAATGTTTGTCATGTTGCCAGTCTGTTTTAAAAATTTGGCAAGAGGTTTTTAAAATCCAAGGAGGCACCACTATTTTGTAGTTTTTAAAAATATTAATTGAGTAGGTCCATGTTTATTAAGTTAGAAAATCACGAGTTCCTCAAAAGTAGTAATAGACGAGGATGTGATTTTTCTTACTGCCCATTTTCTAACATCTTAGCTTCAGAGCTGTAGGTATTGAATTGAGTCAAACTTGTGTTTTTTTCTTATGTTCTAATTAAATATCTTTTAAAATGTCCCTAGTAACATTGTTACTTTAAATTTATAACACCCAATTTCTAATTTAGGCTAGGCATAAAACCAGCATTGATTGAACGTACTTGCTAAAAATACTTTCTGGGTCGGATGTACTTAGAATGCAGCCTCAGGAAATTTCATTTGAACTATTCTGTGACCAGTGTACACTTCATTATTGTTGAAGGACTTTTAAAAAAAGTATAGATCTCTCATACTCGATTTAATCAGTTTGAGCATAGATGCCTAACTTTAAAAAAAAAGTATAATAAAGTGGGATAGTAATACAATTTACGTGAGATGGTAATAAAAACTTTTCAGCTTTTTTTTTTAACTTGTATGACTTCGTTAGGTTGTTATTAAACTGTGATTTGTATTTTTAAAATAGTTTTGTCTGTTAAACATAATTGAGGTGTACAGTACAGTATCCATTGTTATCTGTTTAGTATTTATTTATGACTTACAAACTCTAAAAGCGGGATCAGTGATCATGGTTTTTAGTAAGTTGTCTTTAAGGAGCAAAGTAAGAGACTAGCAGAAAATTGCAAGGAGGTTTGTTATTGAGAGTACTTCTGCCCCCCGCTTGAGAGTTAATATGGCCACTTTTAAACAAGAAAAGTTTTCCAGAAACGTGGAAATCTTGTTTGGTGTATGTTTAGGGGCAAATGTTTTAAAGTTTTGCCTAAATTCTTAGTTAGAATGCAAAATTGATCAACTCCCTAGGAATGGTTATTGTGGCTAAATATGAATTGTTGCTCCTATGTAAAATTTAGTTATTGGTAGAAGTTTACTAACTGAGTTGAATTTTGTTGTTTTCCTGGGTTATTGCATGTTATGAAGTTTTTTATGTACTATAATCCAGATTTGTTAAATTTGCCAGTTTACTAGAATAAGCTGTGAAGCCTTGAAGTTTGGCTTAGCATTCTGAAAATCCTTTTTATTGTTTGCCAGGAAAGCACTGTAGGAAGGAGGTGTTATCTCTTCATTTAATATTTAATGAGTAGTATAGATGATGAGATAGGATATAATGTAGAAATACCGTAGAATCTTCTTTATTGATATGAAAGTACCATTGTCTAGGAACAGCATAATTTCTTATCTTTTGCATGAATGGGGAAAAAGAGGAGGGGAAATTTATTAGACTCTTTCATTTCATTAGAGATATCTTCCCTCACATTCATTCTTCATTTCATTATTCTTAAGTAGAAACTTTGGAAGAGAGATGCAAGTATTTGAATTAATTAGTAAGAACAAAATGAAAATTACATCGTATAGACTATCATGAGGAAAATATCAATTTGGGTTGGTTATTGTGTTTGTATTTTTTAACAAGGAGGTTATATAGAGTAGTAGAAAGAAAAAAGGACCCAGAGGGGAAGAGTGTTAATATTTATTGTCTGTTAAGTGTCAGATCCTGTATAAGGGGCTTTTCATGTTGTCCCACTCACCAAGTATGCTTTATGAGGTAGGTATTATTAATCCCCTGTCCTCTCCCTGCCAAATAGAAGCTAAGGGAAATGAAATAACTTGTCTAGGCTCATACTTCTAGTAAGTGGAATTCTCTAAAACTTATTCTTTAGATCGGTTCTGTCCAATTAAACTTTCTGCAATGATGGAAATATTCTTTTTTCCTTCAACTTTATTGAAGTATAATTGACAAATATCATAGAAATATTTTTTGCACTGTTAGTTATGGTAGCCATTAATCATGTGTGGCTATGGAGCACTTAAAATGTGACGAGTGTGTCTGAGAAACTCAATTTAAAATTGTATTTAATTTAAATCAATTTAAATTTATAGCCAGATGTGGCTAGTAGCTATAGTATTGGAGAGCATAGCTTTAGGTCTGACTGCTTAGAAAATCTGAGTTGTAGTATTTAATCTTCCACTGGTTTATGCATGGCATTGGGCAAGTTGTTTAGTTCTGGGCTTCAGTCTAATCTGGTGTGAAAATGAAGGGGTCGCCACTAAGAGATTATCTCCAAGGTTCCTTCTTGCCTGAAGTTCTGTGACTGTTATTAAAACATACAGTAGCATTCAATATTCACAAGCATTATGTCTGAAAGGATCCCCTCCCCAATATGCTCACCCATTACCTAAAGATTTCTGTTTAGTCAGTTTCTCTTTTTGAGAAGCGTATGTATAAAGCACACATAAAGGATAGTGGATTATTCCCCACCTCCCCAACTGTTCGGCAAAAACATTGTGTAACTCAAGGCAGTACTTTATGATGGAACAAAGTTTGAATCTTTAAAGGCCATATTTTAACATGCCACCTTCCCGTTTAAAAATATATAGGAGTTCCCCGGTGCTTATCAAATTAATCCCAAATTTACCTGCTTGACCTTGAAGACTTTCTACCAACTTCATCTCATTAACCTTGTTTCTCATTCGTGCTTAAAAAGAAAATAGTCTTGTTTTTTCCTTTGTCCTCGTTTCCATAATTTAAACATCTCTGTCTCCAATTCATGTGCCTCCTCTTTAAACCTTTTTCAAAATTCACCTGTTTCTGGAAGAATGCTGCTTAATCCACTCACAAGGATCAGTTAATGAATCCTGGTAATAAGTACCCTAAGGTTAATATATGCTTGTTTAGATATAGTTTAATATCTTCTTAAGCTTTTTTTTTTTCTTAAGTTTTTATGTTACCTACTCTGTTTCCTTAATTTTCTTAGGTTAAAAAAATTAAAATAGGAATAGCGTCTTTTGTATTGTCTTATGAATTTAGTTCATTTTTCAACAATGCTACTTTTAAAAGTTGCTAATTTTTAAAAAGGATAAATACTGTAACAACGTTTACCCTTGATCACCACCATAATAGCTATTTTTTGTTTCTTTCCAGGTAATTGTTCATATTTAAAAAATAAAGTTGTGTGGTAGAGAGAATTTTGAGAGGAATATAATGGGAACATTGTATGGTGGAGGCTGTGCAATGTAGGGGAAAGATCACAGACTTTGGAGTCAAATCTGGTGTGGAATCTAGCGTCAAAAACCTCGGGCAAACTGTCTGATTTCTGAGTCAGGAGTCAAATCTGGTGTGGAATCTAGCGTCAAAAGCCTTGGGCAAAGTGTCTCATTTCTGAGTCAGGTGGTCTTGAATTGTGGGGATTAAGATACTATATGTAAGGCATCTAGCGCTGTGCTTTAAATACAAGAGATGATCAGTCAGTGATAGTTGGTATTATTTTTTCATTTTTCTATTCCCATCTTCATGAATATTATTTATTTATTTTAGCTACCCAAAGCCACCAAGGTCAATGAATATAATTTAAGTGATTAGTTAAACATTCAGGTGATATACCATAACTGATTTAGACATTTACATTTTGTTAAGCGGTTTTTTGTTTATTTCCTCAGTTTAAAACCCTAGGACTGGGATAATGGTCAAGTGTCATGAATATTTCTGTGCCAGATCTCTCTCTTACAGAAGTACCTACAGTGGTTGTTCTTGTTTTGGGAAGAAAAAAATGCTAATTTTATAATTGTATTTCATTGTTTTAATTAATGTAATTTGAAAATTTATTTGGTGATGATGTAATGAACATTCCTTTATATGTTAAGCAAACATTTGAAATGCCCATTGTAGTGGGAGCAGTGGTATAAAGGTAAATAAGACATGATTCTTGTCCTTGAGCTCAAATTCTAGGGTGGTAACACATGTCAACAAACAATTAACAATTCATAGTGACAGTGTAATAAGATCTGGGGAAAAGAAGTGGCATTTGAATATGGTCTTGGAGGATCATTTGGAATTGATCTGGGTAGAGAGAACAGCATATAGAAAAAGTCAAAGTATGAAAGAATGTGTGGTGTGTTTGGAGAAATGTAAGTTGTCTTGTTGGATATGTCTGTCTCTGTCTGGGTGGGTGTGGTTGTCTGTTCCTGTGTGTGAATCTGTGTGTGTGTGTGTGTGTGCGCGCGCGCATGTGCGTTGATTGCAGTGGGAAATGAAGTCTTGTGAGGGTCCTTGTGTTTGGGCAATGAGTGGGATCATTTTAAGACCTTTAAAATAGAGCTTCCCAACTGGTGTGCCATGAATGGTTTACCAGTGTTTCGGAGAGCAAGATACCCTTGTTTAATGGGACCTGGGCATATCAGATCCCCCTCCCCACCCTGCCCCAGGATGGTTTCTTTTGGCTTTGAATAGCATTTGTGGCTTATCCCAACGTGCTAAGAAATTATTATTTTCTTTGTTGCCAAGTTGGGAAAAGGATTGGGAAAACCACTGTTTTAGAGACTGTAAGTATTAGAAAGTTTATGGTTCCTACTCACCCTTGGCATCCACTATGGAATCAGAAATAAATATCAAATCCTAAAGTAAGCTTAAGGTAAACTTAAGAATTCTTAAGTCACCTTCCTCTTTCTCTCTCTTTTTCCCTCCCTTTACCCGCTGCCTCCCCCATTTCACTGGTGTATGCGCATGTGCGCGCGTGTGTGTGTGTGTGTGTGTGTGTGTGTGTGTGTCTGTGTGTGTGTGTGTGTGTGTGTGTGAAATATCTCTTTGGTGCCCTTGCGTTACTGGTGCCCTAAACATGCATTTAGTCTGCCTCTTGGGAAATCAGCATTAACATTCAGGAACAATTTAGAGGTATTTAAATAAGGGATGATAAGATTAGATGCAGGTTTTGAAAGGTAACTCCTGACTTCTAGATAATGATGCAAAGTTACAAGGATAATGCAAGGATGAGGTTAGAAATGGAGCAGAGAGACCAGATGCTGTTGCAGTGGTCCAGGGGAGGGATGATAGGAACCAGAAATAGGGCAATATAGATATGAGATTAGAACTGAAAACTGAGTAGTTTCACTAGACCTGAGAGTCCATTTGGACATGGGGGGAAAGAGTTGAAGATGATGCTAGGATTTCTTCTTTGGCAGCTTCCCTTCTTTAGCAAGGGAAGGCCAGATTATTTTTATTGAGCACTTCCAGTGAGCCAGGTATTTTGCTAGACAGCGAAGTTGTCACGAGTTCTCATTTAACATTTTGAAATAATTTCAAACCTAATGAGAAATCTCAAGAAAAGTACAACAAAGAGCTCCTGAATCGCCTTAAACTAATTTTTAACATTGTACTAGCTATGTACCGTGTGTATACACAGCTCAAGATGAGCCTGGAACACCTCGTGCTTGGCTCAGTAAGGCCTTTTCCAGATGCCCCAAGTGGTCACCTTGGAATTGTGTTTAGCCCTTTCCCTTTTTCTACTGTATCTAATTGGATCCTCAAATTTCAGTGAAACAACCTCATCATCTCTCATTTCTGGTCCTACATTTTAATCCTTATTTCTCCATTTCAGGGGAATGCACCATTTCTAATTTCATTTGGCTTTTTTCCTGAATTATTTGAGAGCAAGTTGCAGACATGATCCCTATCACTACTAAATATTTTAGTGTGTATTTAGCAAAACAGGACAATCTCCTACATAACCGCCAAATCAGGAAATCAACGTTGATATAACACTACCTTCAGGTCGAACCTAGATGCCATTCAAATTTTTCCAACTATCCCAGTAGTATCTCTCTTTTCTTTTTGGTCCAGCATCCAATTCAGGTTCACACATTGCATTTAATTGTCACATCTTTTAGTTTCCATCAGTTTGGAATGATTCCTCAATATTTCCCTGTCCTTTATGACCTTGACAGTTTTAATGAGCAGAGTCCTTTTTTTCTGTTACATGTTTTCCTCAACTTAAGTTCATCCAGTGGTTCCTCATGTGCAGACCGAGTGCATTGTTGGCAGGAATGCCATAGAAATAATGTCGTGATATTCTTAGTACATCACTAAGAGACGTGCTGTATAGTCCTGCTACTAGCGATGTTTAACTTTGAACACCTGTTAAATTCAAGTCTGCTGGGTTTCTCTACTGTGAAGTTATCGTTTTTTTCCTTTTGTAATTGGGAATTCTTATGTGAGAAGATATCTGGGAGTGTGTCAATAGAGCTGAAGGCTGTAACCACGAGCCTTCAGGTCTGATGATTGCTACCTGAATCAGCCACAACTGTGAAAGTTGTCACCTACATTTATTAGTTCATATTCTACTGAAAGAAGATTTTCTCCTTCTTCTCCATACATTTATTTATTCATTCATTTATATCAATATATACTCCTGGATTTGTTTCTGTTTAGTGGTTTATATTAGTTACTGTCATTTTAAAATTTCATTTTGTTGGTCAAATTGTCCCAAATTTGGCCTTTAAGTTGGCTCCTCTATCTCCTTGACCTGTCCCCCTCCTTGGTGTATTTCCTTACTTTCTGGCCTAACAAGATGTTCCAGATGATCTTAATACTCTCCTATCCCAGCTCTGAAATCATTTATTTTTCCAAGGAATCCTGATTTTATTTTACTTTTTTAAGTAGAGATGCTATTTAGGAACTGAGATCCGAGTGTTCAGTGTGTTCATTTCTGCTGGCATGTCATCACTTTTAGGGGGATAGAGCTAGGAAATACATATATGTATACACACATCTGAATCTGTTTCTATGCCTATGTACAGGTATTTTATAAGTTCACACTGATACAACCAATTCCAATCTAACATCTCAGGATTCGTCTAGCCTTTTCCCTTTCTGTATTTGTAAATCTCTTCTCCAGCAGTGATAAATTGGTTCCTATTATCTCCTCAGTGTATTTACTTATTTGCTCAATCCCCTTGTATGTGCCAGTCTTCCGACCCCGCATTAGTTGTCTCCTTTCTCCTTGCTTGCCGCCTCTGAGGCCTGTGGCATGGGGTCCTCAGAGCTTGCTGTCAGGTCCATGTAGGAAAGAGAACTTCTCATTTAATCTTTTTCCCCTCATTTAATCAGGACAGAAATTTGTTAGAAAGGTGCTATTCCCAGTTTTAAAAGGAGAACAGAGCTGAAATTCAAAAAGGTCTGTGTCTTTAGGCATGTTACTGTGTAAATAGCTGAGTAAATATTTTGCATTCAGATTCGTCTGATACTGAAGCATCTTTTCTCTCCTGTACTGCATAGCCTCTGAGTATCTGTGGAATCCAAAGTGGCAGGATTTAAGGTTGTATAGATGGTAGCTGAAGCAATGGGTGGGACTGTCACTGCTTATGAAGTATATATAAAGTTAGGAAGAGGCACACTGACAGAGCTCCTAACTACCATCACTGAAAGATTAAGGGCTCTCCGAAATCAAGAAGCCAGTGAAGAAGACTGAAAGAAAGGTTGTGAGAGAGGAGTGTGGTTGTGTGTTAGATGATGGTGAAGTAAGGAATTTCATGAAGCTGCCATGTTGCTGAGAGAAAAAGAGAAGACCAAGAGGCTTTGAATTTGACTGTTGGAAAGTTATTGATAATCTCAGCTAGTTGGTTTTCCAGTGTGTTCAGGCGAGCTGCCTGTATCAGAATTATGGAGATACTAATGAAAAATATGAACTCCCCAGGTCTCATCTCAGACCTTATAGATTCTTAAAAGGGGGAGTGGGGAGCCAGGAAGTGGTAGCCTGGGAAAATCTGCTGAAATGCTAAGGTTCTTCTGAGGTGTACTAGTTTGAGGTTTGTTGCTTTAGCAGAAGAGTTATAGTGGAAGAGTGTAATAAACTAAATTGAGGAAACCAAGTGTACAATGAATATAGATGAGACAGCTCTTCGAGAAGTTTGCCATAGAGGTAAAAGATCTCAGGTCATGGAAGAATAGGGGACAGCATCAAGAAAAATACCTTTGCGTTTCAAGGGTTACATACACCTTAACATTTGTTGGGATTAAGAGAAGGAAACTGTAATGGTTATTTTAAAGTTGGGTAAGCAAAACTAATTAGCAACACCTACTATCAAAAAAATGCCCTGAGTGAACTTTGATATGTATCTGGGATAGCTGCCTGCTCCCATTTTAAATGCCATCTTTTGGTAGGTCTTTGGAGTAATCCAAGGGTCATTGTTTATTTTGTTTTTAGTTAAATTTGTATCTTGTGTTTTTGTTATACAGTTGTGTAAAGAGCTTCTCTTTGCTCATTTTTATACAAACACGAATTCTAAGTATATTCTTGTATATAGACGAGTCACTAGCAATACAATTAAAAATTACGTCCAAAATTGGAGGTGACTTTAGAGGGAAATCCAATCCAGGGCTAATTTAATGTATTCTTTGAGCACCAGCTAGGTACTAGGCACTGTGCTTGGCTGTGGGGATACAGAATTGAATAAGACATGCTCTTTATCATCAAGATTATTGTTCTTTCTTCAGAGGAACTTGAAATCTAGTGTATAGCTAGAAATGGTACAGATAAGTCATAGATAACTATGTTAGTCTACAGTAAAATAAGTACAGATAAGTCAATGTTTAATTAATACAGCAGTGTATATTACCATAATTCTCAGACTTGTCATTTTAAAATTGTATTTAAATTGTATTTTCGTATTTGAATTGGCAATATGGCTACATGGTTCAAGTTTCAAAATAATATAAAAAGGCATATAATGAGAAGTCTTGATACCACTCCTTCTCTTTCCTGTTCTGTATAGGTAACTACTTTTATTTTTTGTATATTCTATGGTATTTATGCAAATAGAAACACATATAAAGATTACTGTTTTCCCCCTACCTTTTTTATGTAGAAGGTATTTACTATATTAATGCTTTGTACCATAATTTTTAAATTTAAAATATACCTTGGAGATCATTTGACTTCAGCATATAAAAAGCTGTCCCTTTCTTCTTCTTTTTAAAAAATATAGTAGTATGTTCTATTGTATAGATATACTATTAAGCTAACTAATTCTAATTATTTAAACTTTAAGTTTTAGACCCTTTTACTTGTGTAACCCATTTCCTTTCACCTCTTTCTGTATGAACTAGTGCTCCCTGAAGCATTTTACATTAATGACCTGCCTGACTTTTCTGTATCTAAAGGGTCTAACTTTTTTTTTTTTTTTTTTTGAGACGGAGTCTCGCTCTGTCGCTCAGGCTGGAGTGCAGTGGCGCAGTCTCTGCTCACTGCAACCGCTGGCTCCTGGGTTCAAGCGATTCTCCTGCCTCAGCCTCCCGAGTGGCTGGGACTACAGGCTTTTAAAAATCTTGTCAGCTTCTGCTTTTACTCAGTAGAAATCAGTTACCATGTAACAAGTCTGATTACCTTGAGACTCCCATGCTGTGAGGAAGCCCAAACTCTCACAGGAGAGACCAGAAGGCCATGTGGATGAGTACTTCAGTGAGGACACATGAAAGTGATGCCTTCTTGGACTTTCCATCCCAGCCCAGCCATCAACTGAATGTAGATGAGTGAATGATCCCAAATGATGCCAGATGACATCCAGTGCAGCAGAAGAGCTGCCTAATCTAGCTTTTACCCAATTCCTGGCCAGGGAATTGTGAGACATATAAATCCTTATTGTCTGAAAATAAATAAATAAATAAAAGTAGGTTTATTTGAGTGCAGATCTGTATCTGTTCTGCTCTGTCCTGGTTTTCTGTGTTAACAATGTCCTATTTTTAAATTCCTGTACTCCAATCTTGTAGCTGGAGCTCTCTGCTATCTACTGTAAGCATTGCCTGCTGCCATGTTTCCTTACTGTGTTTTTCCGTGATTGCTGGGATACCACCTGCTTATCTGACCTCTACAATGCTAAAGACCTGCTTGCCTGGATCACTGCTTATTGTCTGGTACTGTAAGCTCTGGATACTATTTTCTAACTGCCTGTCTCTATTGCCTCTCATCATCATTAGCGAGTTTCCCTCTTCTCCCCTAATTTTCCCTATCACAGCCCTATCAGCCCTTGAGTTTTAGTTTGTCAATGTGAAACTTGGCAAAACTTCTGAAATTATTTGGGATGATTTAAAATCTTCTTGATGTTAGTTGTTATAAGTCCATTATGCCTTGTCTGGACTCTTGTAGTAGTCTTTTTAAGTGCAGTTTGCTATAGTTTTGCCCTTTATAATCTCCTTTACACTGTAGCCAGAGTGATCTGACATTCATATCTGATCAGAATTCTTTTGTTATCTCTCCATCTCTCTATAAAATAAAATGAAGGAGTTTTCCAAGGGGATTAAAGTTATTTGGGAAATATCAGTTTTTAAGATAATATTATTTTTGTGTGTTTCTTTTTTAGATACTTGTTCATGAAAGCAAAATATCATTACAAATGCCAAGGACTTCCAAATTGTTTCATTTGCATTGAAATAAGGGAAATCTTTCTAATTTATCTTACTGTTTCCAGCCTAGCACAAATTGCAGTCAGTTATAGTGGCTTACTACAAGAAGCTGCTAGGGAAAATGGAATGTCTTCTTTGGGAAGGGATCGTGATTTGAAAAAGTTCTCTTAGGTGATTCTGATACTGTGACTCATTTTGTATCTGGCTATTTTTATGGCTTTTGATCTGTGTTATCATAATTGTTTATGAAAAGAATTTCGTAACCAACAGTTTGTTATATGCAATTCTGAAATTCCCACATCCCTAAAAAGCCCAAAAGTTTTGTTAACTAATTTGGCAACCAAACTTGACTTATACTGAGGTGAGACTACTTAGTCTCATTTATTCCACTTACAGTGTACATTCTTCAGATTCTCTAAAGAAATTTTATTTTATTTTTATTTTTTGAGGCGGACTTTTGCTCTGTTGCCCAGGCTGGAGTGCAGTGCCATGATTTTGGCTCACTGCAACCTTTGCCTTCTGGGTTCCAGTGATTCTCCTGCCTCAGCCTTCCAAGTAGCTGGGATTACAGGCTCACGCCACCACACCCAGCTAATTTTTTATATTTTTGGTAGAGACGGGGTTTCACTGTGTTGGCCAGGCTGGTCTTGAACTCCTGACCTCAAGTGATCCACCTGCCTCGGCCTCCCAAAGAGCTGGGATTACAGGCGTGAGCCACCGTGCCTGGCCCTTAAAGAAATTTTAAATAGCAATATGGTTGAATACAGGGTGCTGCCCTAGAATCAAGAATGTTACTTAATGTAAGGTATCTGTGCCGTATCACCTGTCTGTGTCCCAGATACTCTGAAATTCAAAACACTTCTGAAAGTGTTTTGAAGCTAGAGATCTTAGATATGAGATTGTAGAACTGAACCACCAACTTCCTAGCAATGGAAAGAAGTGGTACTTTGTTTTCTTTTGTATTTCTTTTTGGTGGTAATGTAGTTGAACATTTTTTCATGTTTATTAATTTCATTTCTTATATTCTTCAAATTTTTTGTTCATTTATCTGCTAGGGTGAATAGTTTTTCTTACTAATTTATAATATCGTAGATACTAATTGGTTTTCTGTTCATTCTAAGTTTTTGTATCTAGCATATTGGTGGAAAATGCTACAAGTTGAAAACGCACATACAGCTGATGTTTGAACAACATGGATTTGAACTGTGTGGGTCCACTTATACGTGGATTTTTTTTCAATAAATATATCGGAAAAATTTTTGGAGGTTTGGGACGATTTGAAAAAAACACAGATGAACTATATAGCCTAAAAATATCAAGACTTTTTTTCAATTAAGAAAAAAACTGGCTGGGCGCGGTGGCTCATGCCTGTAATCCCAGCTCTTTGGGAGGTCAAGGCAGGTGGATCACGAGGTCAGGAGTTCAAGACCAGCCTGACCTACATGGTGAAACCCTGCATCTACTAAAAATACAAAAATTTGCTGGGCGTGGTGGCGCACGCCTGTAATCCTAACTACTCAGGAGACTGAGGCAGGAGAATCACTTGAACCCAGGAGGCAGAGGTTGCAGTGAGCCGAGATCGCACCACTGCACTCCAGCCTGGGTGACAGAGCAAGACTCTGTCTCAAAAAAAAAAAAAAAAACTAAAAAGGAAAAATTAGATGTCATGAATACATAAAATATATATAGATACTAGTCTACTTTATCATTTACTACCATAAAATATACACAAATCTATTATAAAATGTTAAAATTTAACGAAACTCACACAGACCATACATGGTATCATTTGCAGTTGAGAGAAATGTGAAAAAACATAATGATGCAGTATTAAATCAACTGCACAAAATTAACCATCTTACATAATGTATTACTGTAATAATGTAATAACCACCTCTATTTCTAGTGAGTTCAGGTGTTGGAAGTATCCATTTAAAATGCCATGTGATGCTAATCATCTCCACATGAGTAGTTTGTCTCTCCAGTTAATTGCCTGTCACAATAAAAAGTGATCTTTTGTGGTTCTTGAGTATTTTTTAGCTATGTTTCATCATGTTTAGTGCAAATCATAAACCTTGAATAACACCATGGAACCCATATGAAATGCAGCTAGTGATGCTGGAAGTGCTCCCAAGGAGAGAAATGTCACAACATTACAAGAAAAAGTTGAATGGCTTGATATGTACCATAGATTGAGGTCTGCAGCTTTGGTTGCTTGCCATTTCAAGAGAAATGAATCCAGGATAAAGACCATTTTTTTGTTTTGTTTTTGTTTTGTTTTTAAAAGAAATCTGTGAAGCTGTTGCTACAGCTACACCAGCAGGTGCAAAAATCTTGCACTTTTTGTGAAATACCTTTTTATCTCACATTGAAAATGCAGCTTTTATATTAGTGCAGGATTGCTATTAGAAAGGCACACGTATAGACTCTAATATGATTTGAGTAAAAGCAAAGTCATTATATGATGACTTAAAGCAAAAGAAAGGTGAAGGATCTAAAGCTGGAGAATTTAACCCAATCCAAGGATGGTTTGATAGTTTTAGAGTTTGGCTTAAAAAATGTCAGGATAACAGCAGCTTCTGCCAACCAAGAGGCAACAGATGAGTTCCTAGGCACCCTTAAGAAAATCACTGAGGGCCAGGCATGGTGGCTTATGCCTATAATCCCAGCACTTTGGGAGGCCGAGGCGGGCAGATCACGAGGTCGGGAGTTCGAGACCAGTCTGACCAACAAGGTGAAACCCCGTCTACTAAAAATACAAAAATTAGGCATGGTGGCATGTGCCTTTAATCCCAGCTACTCAGGAGGCTGAGGCAGGAGTCGCATGAACCTGGGAGGTGGTGGTTGCAGTGAGCCAATATCGCGCCACTGCACTCCAGCCTGAGCAACACAGCGAGACTGCTAAAAAAAAAATAAAAAGAAAATCATTGAGGAGAAAAGATATCTGCCTAACAGGTTTTTAATGCAGATGAAGGTGCCCTATTCTGAAAAAAAAAAAAAAAAAAAAAAAAAAAAAGCCACAAAGGACATTTATTAGTAAGAGAGAAGTGAGCATCAAGATTTAAGGGAGGAAAAGATAGGCTAACTCCACTGTTTTGTGCAAATGCAGTCCGGTTTATGATCAGGACTGCCCTTATCTATAAAGCTGCTAACCCCCGAGCCTTGATGGGATAAGGTAAATACCAGCTGCCAGTCTATTGGTCATATAACAAGAAGGCCTGGACAATAACTCTTTTTCTGGATTGGTTTCATTTGTGCTTTGTCCCTGAAGTCAGGAACTACCTTGCCAGTAAGGGACTGCCTTTTAAAGTTCTTTTGATGTTGGACAATGCCGCTGGCCACCCGGAACCCTGTGAGTTTAACCTTATGTTGAAGTGGTCTGCGCGCTCTTCCAAACACAACATTTCTAATTCAGACTCCAGATTGATTAGTCCTAAGGACCTTTAGGGCTCATTACACATGATACTCTATGGAAAGGATTGTCAGCATTATGGAAGAGAACCCTGATAGAACATCATGGAAGTCTGGAGGATTACAGTATTGAAGATGCCATTGTTGTTATAGAAAAAGCTGTGAAAGCCATCAGGCCTGAAACTGTAAATACCTGCTACGGAAGACTTTGTCCAGATGTTGTGCATGACTTCACAGGATTTACAACAGAGTCAGTCAGGGAACTCATAAAAGAGATTGTGGATATCTATATCTATATCTATATCTATATCTATATCTATATATCTATCTATATACTTTTTAAAGGTTGAGGATGAAGGGTTTCAGGTATACATCTTGAAGAAATTCAAGAGCTAATTAGACACCACACCAGAGGAATAAATGGAAAATAACTTGATGGAGATGAGTGCTTCCAAACCAGTACCAGATGATAAGCAAGAAGATGTGGAAGAAACAGTACCAGAAAATAAATTAACTATAGACAGTCTGGCAGAAGGGTTCCACTTATTCAAGACTGCCTTTAACTTCTTTTACAACATGGACCCTTCTAAAATACGGGCACTGAAACTAAAGCAAATGGTAGAAGAACGATTGGTACCATAATATAAAGATTTATTTATTTATTAATTTTTTTGAGACAGAGTCTCAGTCCGTTGCCCAGGCTGGAGTGCAGTGGTGCAATCTTGGCTCACTGCAAGCTACGCCTCCTGGGTTCACGCCATTCTCCTGCCTCAGCCTCCAGAGCAGCTGGGACTACAGGCGCCTGCCACCACGCCCGGCTAATTTTTTGTGTTTTTAGTAGAGACGGGTTTCACCAAGTTAGCCAGGATGGTCTCAATCTCCTGACCTTGTGATCCGCCCTCCTCGGCCTCCCAAAGTGCTGGGATTACAGGCGTAAGCCACCGCACCTGGCCCATAATGTAAACATTTTAAGTGAAAGTTTTAAAAAGCCCAACAGAAATTACTATGTATTTCTGTAAAGTTACGTGGAGTGTGCCTGCCTCTCCTGCTTCCCCTTCCACTTCCTCCACCTCTTCTATCTCTGCCACCCAGAAACAGCAACACCAATCTTTCCTCTTCCTCCTCCTCAGCCTACTTAATGTGAAGACAGTGAGGATGAAGACCTTTGTGATGATCCACTTGCACTTAATGAATAGTAAATATATTTTCTCTTCGTTAGGATTCTTAACATTTTCTTTAGCTTTATGGTAAGAATTCAGTATATATAATGCATGTAACATACAAAATATGTGTTAATTGACTTTGTTATTGGTAAGATTTCCGGTCAACAGTAGGCTGTTAGTAGTGAAGTTTTGGGAAAGTCAAGAGTTACATGGAGAAATTAGACAGTGCAGGGGTCAGTGCCCCTAAACCCTGCATTGTTCAAAGGTCAACTGTATTTATATGGTAAAGGAGATGATCTTGCTCTTTTGCTCAAAATCCTTTAACGGCTTCCATTCTTTCTTAGAGTAAAAGCTAAAGTTTTTACTGTGGCCAAAAAAGCCCTACATGGTCTGTGGACCTGGCTGTCTCTCTGACCTTATCTTTGACCACTCTTCTTTTTCATTTTTCTCAAGGCACACTGGCCTCCTTTTTGTTCCTGGCACTGGCAGACTTGTTCCTACTTCAGGTCTTCATGTTTGTTCTTCCTTCTGCCTTGAACACCCACCTTTCTCCCAAGTGTTCCAGGCAGATGGAGTATGCACATGGCTCACTCTTTTACTTTTTAAGTCTCTGCTCAAAAGCAAATTTCTCAGCCATGGCTTTCCTGAGCACCCTATTTAAAATTGCTTTCCTACTCCTACATGGCTGTTCTCCTTTGCTTACCACCTCACATTATACTATATATATTTTTTTCTTTCCTCATTATAATGGAAGCTCCATGAGGGCAAGGACCTTTATCTTGTTTTGTTTGTCGATATATTCATGTTGCTTCTTCCTGTCTGGCACAATGTGAGGTACTTAATAGATATGTTGAACATGGGAGGGGTTAGGGAAAAGTAGAGGAACATTTATCTAATTGCCTAACACATGGACACTTGATTCGAGCCTTTAGTTATAAATATTCTGCTAATTCTGGTGTAACTAGAGTATTTTATATATATTTATTTTAGAGATAGGGTCTTGCTCTGTCTCCTTAGCTAGAATGCAGTGGCATGCTCACAGCTCACTGCGGTCTCAACCTCCTAGCCTCAAGTGATCCTCCCACCTCAGCCTCCCTAGTAGCTGGGACCATAGGTGTGTTCCACCATGCCCAGCTAATTTTTTTTTTTCCCCTAAGAGATGAGGTCTTGGCATATTGCCCAGGCTGATCTTGGACTCCTGGGCTCAAAGGATGCTCTGGTCTCAGCCTCTCAAAGTGCTGGGATTATAGATGTGAGCTACTGTGACCACTGGAAACAGTTGCTTTCTGAAGGAAGTATAAAAACTCTATAGAGACCGGCATTCTTTTTTTTTTTTCCTCTAAAAAAATGCACTAAACCTCTAACTAATAAAATATTTTTTGCTAGGGAAGAGAGGAACAATAAAGCTTTAAATATAATACCACATACACTATAAGACTGCCTCTTTTTAGACAAAAATAAAAATATTCTCATTGACTGGTAGTACTTATGAAAGATTGGCTTTATTGTTGGAATCTCATAGGGAGGAGACCAAAGGACAGAAATTTAGAAAATGGAGAGGGAGAGAGGGAAAGAACTAGCTGGCTGCTTCTAATGTTTCTAGTACTTAGGTAATGAACTGTAGATAGGAGAAAGAGTAGTTCTTTGACTCACTAAATTAATTAATATACGTCTGTTTTAGTAAATAATTTCACTGAATTATTTAGTTTCCATCCCTAACTAGACTGAGCTTCTTGAGGGCAGAGATCTAGATGTGTGCATATGTGTATCTCTAGCATCTAGCACTGTGTCTAGCAACTAGGAGCTATTCACATACTTACGTGAATAAACAGGTATATTGAAGGCATAGGTTTAGAGAACTCTGTAGGGCCTTAGTGGGTCGGGAGTGTGTTTCTTTCTTGCACGCACAGTACTTTAAATGCTGAAATGTATAAATAGGATATAGTGAGTTGTAAAAGATTAAAATAAGTTAAATAAAAAAGGAAAAGCCTTAGGTAAATCAGTTTGATGCAAGAAATGGCACAAATTAGATTCCTGTATTTAATATATAGTTAATATAAAATCTATTTTGACATTGTAATTCTTTATTCTTATCAGGTCGGTAACAATTGAGTAGAGGACATACAAAGGACATTTTGAAAATGCTGTCTGTACATCAGTGAATCCCAGTGTAGGTCCAGTGTTACGCATTCCTGTTTCAGATGATTGATTTTGCACATGATTACCAGGAATACTTTGTTGTCGTATACCATTTCTTAAATAAGAAGCTTCTTATTTAAGTTGTTGCATAATGACTTCTATATAAATGTGTTTGGTATGTGTAAGTACAGAGAGAGAAATTTTAGAGCAAAACCTGTTGCTACATTTGAATTTTTTTTCCTTCTACAGGGTATCAGTTTTATAGTTCATAGTTTTGGTAGCACTATCCTAAGGGAATCTGGCCCATTCTGTTGCCAAGTTCAGTTCACATGGCTTGAGGGAACCTTCTTTGTATACAGCGTTATAACAATAAGCTAAGTTAGTCCATTATCTTATACTACCAGCATTTGAATTTATAATTACATACAAAACATTGTGTAATAAACTAAGTTGGTAGCAAAGCAGATGGTCCAGTTGGGAATATTCCATTTCAAATAAGTGTAAAGAATTGTCGGCTGGGCGCGGTGGCTCACGCCTGTAATCCCAGCACTTTGGGAGCCCGAGGCAGGCGTATCACGAGGTTAGGAGATTGAGACTGTCCTGGCTAACACGGTGAAACCCCATCTCTACTAAAAATACAAAAAATTAGCCGGGCATAGTTGCAGGCACCTGTAGTCCCAGCTACTCGGGAGGCTGGGGTAGGAGAATGGTGTGAACCCGGGAGGCGGAGCTTGCAGTGAGCCGAGATTGTGCCACTGCACTCCAGCCTGGGCAACAGAGCGAGACTCCGTCTCAAAAAAAAAAAAAAAAAAGATCAGCTATCGAGGATACTTTTTCGGTGGGTAATTGATTGATGATTTTTGATAACTGTGGTTTTATTGTGTATGCATTTGTTAAGTATAAAAGCAGAATTTGAAATAATTCTTTTATTTTTTGTTTTTGAGACACGGTCTCTCTTTGTCTCCCAGGAGAAGGGCAGTGGTGTGATCTTGGCTTGCTGCAGCCTCGATTTCCCAGGCTCAAGTGATCCTCCCACCTCAGCCTTCTGGGTAGTTGGGACCACAGTCACTCACCACCACTCCTAGCTAATTTTTTGTATTTTTTGTAGAGACAGGACTTCGCCATGTTGCCTAGGCTGGTTTCAAACTCCTGGACTCAAGAACTCTGCCCTCCTTGGCCTCTTAAAGTGCTGGGATTACAGGCATGAGCCACCACACCTGGCTGAAATAATTTTTTTTTTAACTCTTTCCTCACAACTTTTTATTTTGAATAATATCATGCCTATGGAAAAGTAGTAAGAATGGTATATTGAACATCTGTATAATCTTGCATAGATTCATTAATTGATACTTTGCTTTCTTGCTCTCTCTTTATATGTACTTTGAAAATTTCTGAACTATTTGAGGATTGCAGATATCATGATCATAACACTTAACCTAAATGTTTCAGCATGTAATCATGCATCTTTTGGTAATAAACACATTCTTCTATGTAGCATGATCACACTCAGGAAATTTAGCATTGACACAATAATATTACCTAAAACTCAGTCTGTATTCCAGATTTCTCCAATTGTTCAAGCAAGTCCCTTATACTTTCTACCCTAACCCCCCGCCAAATCCATGATTGGATCAAGAGCTACACATTGCAGTAGGTTGTTTTATCTTTTTAAATCTACAACGCTCCCCCATCCTTTTACATCTACTCCTCACATTTTCGAAGAATCCAGGCAAATTGTTTTTTAGAATGTTCCTCAATTTGGATTTGTCTCATTGTTTTAGTTTTATTTCATCACTAGATTCAAGTTAAACATTTTTGGCAAGAACACTATATAAGGTGTTATGTTCTCAGTATATGACATCAGGGTGTCTATGATACCAGTTTTGGTGATGTTAAATTTGATTATTTGGTTAAGGTGGGATATGACAGATTTCTCCATTGTAAAGATATCGTTTCCCCTTTGTAATTAATAAGTAATTTATGGGGTGATACTTTTGGATTATGTATCTTGTTACCCAACAACTCTCACCCAGTGATTTTAGCATTTGTTAAGTCTTGCCTGAATCAGTTATAGTAACTGTAAAATGGCATTTTTCTATTTCTGTTCTTCCTTCTATATTTATCATTAGATATTATTTTTAAAAAGTTATTCCTCTCCCTCACTTAAAAACATTAGCATCACTCTGGACTTATGGATTTTTATTCAGAGTATTATAATCTATTATTTATTTTGGAACTTAAGTTGTTTCATATTTCCTGATAGGAGTTTCTTTAAACTGCCTCTCTTTTTCTTTGACTAGTCCTCAGTTAGATTTTGAGGGCTTACTTCCTTACTTACCAGTACAAGACATTTAGCCTCACCTTGTATTTTCCTTGCCCCAGCTCTGAAATCAGCCTTTTTTCTCCAGAGTCCTAATTTCTTTTAGTGAGGAATAGTATATAGTAGGTTAAGTATATTCAGTGTTATTGGAGTATTTTGACTTCTAGGTTCTAGTGGATAATTTTTTAAAAATGAGATTAACCAATGCCTCTAATTCTCATCCAGTACTGCAACCATCTCTGATGCCATATCTGACCTCTTGTGTCCTGTAGCCAGACTCCTGGTTCTCAACAATATTAATATTTATTCATTTGTTCAATCCTATAATAGACACAAAATAGTTTCAGAATGTTGCATCAAGACCACTGTCAACAACAAACTTTATAAAGTTCGGAGTTTTTTATATTTCTTTTGATTTATCTTCAGTGTATTCTGCTGTGGTTAGCAAACTGTGGCCTGTGGGTCAAATCTGACCACCACCTTTTCAGTATGGCCTGTGAACTAAGAATGCTTTTTAAGTTTTTAAGTTCTTTTAAAAAATAAAAAATATTTCATGACCCATGAAAATTACATGAAATTCAGACTTCAATATCTGAATTTAGAATACAGCCATACTCATTCGTTTACATATTGTTTATGGCTGCTTTCATGCTACATAGGTAGAATTAAGTAGTTATACCAGAGATCTTAATGGCCTGTAAAGCCTGAAATATTTTCTGCCTGGCTCCTTACTGAAAATGTTTGTCAATTTTAATACTATTATATTTAACAATTACTGGAATGCTTTTTTTCCTGCGTGATTGTGTTATATATTATTAGATTCATTTATTTACTCAATTTTAGGGAGAAAGGAATTTTTTTTAAATGTTGGAAATTGGCAGTGATCGAATTTTAGAATTAGAAGGATATTTAGTGTTCCTGTAGTCCCACACTGTCCAGTAGGATAACCACTAGCCAAATGTAGCCATTTAAATTAAATATAAAAAATTCTTGGCTGGGCGCGGTGGCTCACGCCTGTAATCCTAGCACTTTGGGAGGCCAAAGCGGGCAGATCACTTGAGGTCAGGAGTTCAAAACCAGCCTGGCCAACATGGTGAAACCCCGTCTCTACTAAAAATACAAAAAAATTAGCCGGGTGTGGAGACAGGCGCCTGTAATCCCAGATACTCAGGAGGCTGAGGCAGGAGAATTGCTTGAACCTGGGAGGCAGAGGTTGCAACGAGCCGAGGTCATGCCACTGCACTCTAGCCTGGGCGACAGAGCGAGACTCCGTCTAAAAAACGAAAAGAAAAAAAAATTCTTAAGTTATATGAGTCACATTTCAAATGTTTAGTCATCCTATGTGGCATGGTTCCTATATAGGACAGTACAGATTATAGATCACAAAAAGTTCTATCATTTTACAGATGAGGAAGTTGAGGTTCAGAAAAATGAAGTGACTGCTCCAAGGTAATAGATAGACAGTAACAGATTTAGAGTGAATCAGTGGCTTACTAGATATTACAGTTGTTGTGACATTTGTAATAGAAAAGAAAGACCCCTGTGTTAGGCTATGAAACCCCCCCACCCCCCTTTTTTTTTTTGAGACGACCTCACTCTGTCATCCAGGCTGGAGATCAGTGGTATGATGATGGCTCACTACAGCCTCAACCCCCCAGGCTCAAGCTATCCTCTCACCTCAGCCTACTGAGTAGCTGAGACCACAGGCATGTACCACTACTCCCGGCTAATTAAAAAAAAAAATGTGTAGAGACAGGATCTCCCTATGTTCCCCAGGCTGGTCTTCAACTCCTGGGCTCAAGGGATCCTCCTGCCTTGGTATTACAGGTGTGAGCCACCACGCCTGGCTGAAATCCCTTTTTTTTTTTTTACTAAATTCCAGATGAGTGCATCATAGTAACATCGAAATATTTGTATTTTGAGAGCTTAATGATTGGTTGAAATGGGTGCCCTGTTTTTGCTGCTTTGCACTCATTTGCATTCATTCATTTGAGTTCAGTTTTCACTCATTCGTATTCATTCATTTTTGCAGTAAGGACGTTTTTCCATTTGTACATTGATTTAGGAACATAGGAAGCTATCGGGAAAGGTTAGAAAAACTGGGGTATGCTAAGTAAAACAACAACAAAACTATTGATTCTCTGTCCAGCTGTAATCCTTTTCCTGTTAATGTCACCAACATACATGAGCAGGGTTATTCTCTCATTTGTGAGCCCTTACTGTAACAAAGGTCTCAGTATATGTGATTGTGACTTCTTTTCCCCTTGATTTTCTGGGGCAAGTGTTGAGGTGGAGATTGCGGAAATAATATATTGAGTGCAGTGAATCAGATTGAAGATTAGCAAACCTTACAAATAGTAATGTGTCTTTTTCAGTGATACCTTCAATTAGTTTAGGTGCTTCTGTGGTTGACTTTGAAAATAACAATCAGAATAATTTCAGCATGAAGAAATAGAAATCATTATGATATGGTGGAAATCTTTGAGATTAGACAGATCTGGATTCAAGTACTACTCTATTACTTTTGCCTGCGTAACCGTAGGCAAGCCACTTAATCCTTCTGAGGGGATTAACAAAAGGAACTGTCATTGTTTTAAGAATAAGTGACAGAATGTGAGATGTTTAAGTTATTGTTGCTGCATAACCATGCCAACATTTAGTAGCATAAGTTAATCACCATTTTATTATTTACAGGATCTCTCAGTGAGGAATTCAAACAGGGTACAGGAGTGAGAGCTCTTTTCTGTTCCACAGTGTCTGCTTGCTCATTGGCAATGGCTGGGGGTTGGAACACTTGGAGGTGGGGGATCCACTTCGCAGATTGCTTATTCATATGTCTAATGACTGAAGGATGGGCTCAGCTGGGACTGTTGAGCAGAGCACTTATGTATGGTTTCTCTATATGGCTTGGGCTTCTTAACAGCATGTTAGAAGCTGGGTTCTGAAGGGAAGCATCCTGAGAGTGAGTGTTCCAAGGGAGCTAGATAGAAGCTAAAGGGCTTTTCTGATGTAGTCTTAGAAGTCATATAGCATCACATCTACTGTACTCTGTTGGTCAAAGCAATTACAAGTCTCAAGCTTCTTCCCCCACCCCTCCTTCCCCAGAATCAAGAGAGGTGATGTAGACTCCCTTTTTTTTTTTTTTTTTTTGAGACAGAATCTCCTGGGCTCAATCAGTCTTCCTGCCTTAACCTACCACCAAGTAGCTGGGGCTACAGGTGCACACCACCATGCCCACCTAATTTTTTTTTTTTTTTTTTTTGAGACAGAGTCTTGCTCTGTCGCCCAGGCTGGAGTGAAGTGGCGCAATCTTGGCTCACTGCAAGCTCCGCCTCCCGGGTTCACGCCATTCTCCTGCCTCAGCCTCCCGAGTAGCTGGGACTACAGGCGCCTGCCACCATGCCCGGCTAATTTTTTGTATTTTTTAGTAGAGACAGGGTTTCGCTGTGTTAGCCAGGATGGTCTCGATCTCCTGACCTTGTGATCTGCCCGCCTTGGCCTCCCAAAGTGCTGGGATTACAGGCATGAGCTACTGCGCCCAGCTGCCCAGCTAATTTTTTTTTTTTTTTTTTTTTTGTAGAGATGGGGTTTTGCTGTATTGCCCAGGGTGGTCTCGAACTCCTGAGCTCAAGCAGTCTGCCCGCCTCAGCCTACCAAAGTGCTAAGATTATAGGCGTGAGCCACCATGCCTGGTCAGTCTTCTAACTCTTGAAGGGAGGAGTGTCTGGCATTAAAAGCAGCATAAGTCAAAGTTTCTAGTTTTATCAGTCTGGGTTCCTCATCCTTTCCATTTTTCTTCTATTCATTTTATGATACTGAGGAGGAAAAGAAACACCTCTAAACTTCCTCTTATACTGTTTGTTAACAGTAGATTAGAGTTTCTCAACTTTAGCACTATTGACATTTTGGACCAGATCATTATTTGTATGATTGTCCTGTGCAATCCGTGATGTCTAATGGCGTCCCTGGCGTCTCTGCACTGGAGCCAGTAGCACTTTACCCTTCAATTGTGAGAACCAAAAAATGTCTGCATACATTGCCAAGTGTTCCGTGGAGGACAAACTTGCCCCTGTTTGAGAACCACTGCTCTACATTCGTGTTTCTCAAAGATATTGATATGGACCAGCCACATTGATATCACTTGCGGGACTTACTGAAGTGTTATTTTTTCAGAATCTGGAATTGGGTCCCAAAAATCTGTATTTTTTAAAAACTCCTCAAGTGATTCTGATGCACACTTAAGTGAGAGAAATGCTGATATAGGTTATCCTTAAAAGCTGAATGACTAAGAGGTATATAAATGCTTTACTCACTGGTAATATACTGGTTTCAGGTCAGATTAATGGCATAGTAGAGTTGTTAAATATACTGTTATATATTATATATTATTTTGGGTTCCATTTCCATAGATTATTAGTGTAAATAGTATATCCATTCCTGTTTCATGAAATTTTTGTTTTTTAATTATTTTTCTCAGCTTTATTGTGAAAACTTTCAAACACAGAAAAATTAAAAGAATGATGCATATAATGAACACTTACATACTTTACCACTGAGAATCAAGAGCTGTTAAAATTTTGCCGTGTTTGCTTTGTGTGTGTGTGTCTACGTGTGTGAGAGAATGAGTGCACACGTGTGAGCAATCAGAGCTTTCCTGGTGTATATGAGAGAGAGACAGGGAGAGAGCAATCAGAAGTTTTCATGGTATGTATGAAATCCAAGTAAAGGAGAGAGAGGTGTAGGATTCTGCAGTATAAGTGCTCCCATGTGGATAGACTGATCCATTCATCTTCACGGTATTTAATCAGGATACCTTTACTCTCAAGCAGAGTTGATTTAGTGTAATGGATTGCAAAGTTTTAAAAATGCGTGCTTGGTTGAACACCTTTCTTTCCTTACTATTTAGTGGTTTTAATGCCACTCCAGTCAAATTACACTTCTCCTCCTTTCATATAGCCTAGGACAGTGCTACTCAACAGATTGTCTATGGACTGGGTACCAGTCCCTGGCCTATGAGGAAATAAATACAGTAAATGAGAGTGAGTATTTAGTATTAGTATTTTATAACAGTTGAGAGATACTTCACCTTCTGCTTAATAATGAAAAATTATGACTCGTATTTTTTGTGTCTTAAAAAATTTTATTTTCTAGTCACTTTTATTGTATTTGCAAACATACTGTATTGGTCTGTGTTCTAGTTACCTACTGCTGTGTAACCATCCCAGAATGTAATGATTTAAAACAATAACAGTAATTAATTTTGTTCATGAGTCTGTAATTTGGGCAGGACTTGGCAAGGAAGACTTTTCTCTTTTCATTGCAGTCAGCTGTAGTGGCTCAACTGAAGTTGCTCCACTCACATATCTGGCAGATTGGTGCTGGCTCTGAGCAGAGATTCTGTCAGTGCTGAGGGCTGAGGATCTCAGTTCCTTTCTACATGTGACCTGGGCTTCCTTGGAGGTGGGTGACTGGATTCTGGGGATAAGTATCCCCAGACAAACCCAGTAAAAATTGTATCTCCTTTTGTGACCAAGCCTCAGAAGTCACTGCGTCATTTCTGCTATCCTCTTATTCACTGAGGCAGCTACTAAGGTCTACCCACATTAATGGTGGAAGGGACATAGACTCCACCTCTTGGTGTAGTGGCAAAATTGTAGAAAATTGTTGCTGTCATTTTTGTTAAAATACAATCTGCCATAGCCTGTGATAGATTAAAAATGGAAGAAACTGGCCCTTCCCCACAGATACAACCTGAGAGGCACCACTGACCTGGTCCTACCTGGCTTTAGGTTGGGCACTTACTATAATACAGTTCTAATTTAACTACTATACATTTGGAAGACACCTTATTATACCTTTATGCAGTAGACGTAATATGGGACAATGGTGGGAGAGATAACAAAAGGCTAATAGGAAACTCGTGAATGGGTGTGTAGGTGTGTGTGGGTGCACACGTGTGCATGTGTGTGCATGGTGGTTCTGTTTTTGGCTTACAGGTTTTAGCATTTACAAATCTTCTCCTGGGCTGGTGGCTAGTTTTCTCAAAGGGATTACCAGTATCCTGCCTGGGCAATAAACCTGGCTGCTAGTGTTCCAGAAACCCAGTTGGGGAAGGACATTGAGGGAAACAGAGGCCAAAGTGATACTGATGTTTCTATATAATACATACTTTTTGAATACTGCTGAGTACAGAGCTCAGTACTAGGTGCTAAGAGAAATACAAAGGTAAAGCTCCTTTTATTTGACACTTTAATGTTTAAGTAGTATTCTTATTAATATTCAAGATCTATACATTATGATTACTACTAATAGTGATACTGCTATTAGAAGTAGTATTGTCTAACACTTTATGTATGTAATACTTCAAAGATTCCAAACTGGTTTTCAGATATTTTCTACTGCCTTAGCTAATAGATTAGCTCTAGTAAGTCGTCAGTACTTACTGTAGTACCTGGAACAGAGTGGATGCTTAATACATATTTTATTAAATAAATAAATGAATCTTTAAGGTATGGTAGAATGATTGCAGCCTCTGGTGTCTGGCTCATTAGGTCTTGTACTTTCTAGCAGTGTGGCAATGAGGGGATTGTGGAACCTATGTAGTTCTATTTCTTCATCTATAGAAATAAAGTTAATCTCTCTTTACACACTATATATAAAAATTGGTTGAAAGCATCAGGTATGAGTCCCTAAGTTGGTGTGTATGTTTTCCACTTCTAGTTTTAAAGCCCAGTATGTGTGGTGAGTAGAAGAAATTGCTGGTATTAAAGACTAGTATTAGACATTTTAGGCACTGAAGTTTAAAAATAGAATGTTGCCCCTAGGAGTAGGGCAGTGCATTATTAAATTAAGTGTTGAAATCTTTATGCCTCTTCATGCAACATAAACTTTTATTTGGAATAAATATGACATATTAAACAAAATTAAAGTTTATTTTGGTTTATTTAAAAATTTACCCTTGTTACAGTAGTTTTATTGATGTGTTCGTAAGAAAACTTAGGGTTTTCTTTTTCTCCCCAGATTAACTTGTTGTTTGCAAATTTTGACAGGGCTTTTGAAAATAGGTAATGTATTTTTAAAAAGATGATGGAGGAAGAAATCCAATTGAGTGTATTTATTTAGAATAAGAGAGATCACAAATTAAGAGATGCTAATACCACAAATTTCACAAAATTCAAAAATAAAATAATTTCACTAATTAACTGCCTGACACACCTCTAAACATTTGATTACAGAAACTTAGATCACTTCATAAAATGTTATGTTTTAAAAAATTGTTTTTAATCGAGGTAAAATATGAATAGCATAAAATTTACTAAAATTTACCATCTTAACCATTTTTAAGTGTACAGTTCAGTAGTAGTAGGTACATTCACATTCCTGTGGAGCCATCACCACCATCCATCTTCAGAATGCTTTTCATCTTTAAAGTATGAAATTCTGTACCCAATAAACATCTCTCCATTCCCCATTCTACTTTTTGTCTGTGATTTTGAACGTACTAGGTTCCTCATATAATGGAATTATATATAATATTTGTCATTTTGTTGACTGGCGTATTTGACTTAGCATAATGTCTCAAGGTTCATCTGCATTGTAGCATGTGTCAGAATTGCCTACCTATTTAAAGGCTCAATAACACTTCATTGTGTGGATATACCATATTTTGCTTATCTCCTCAATGGACACTTGGTTTGTTTTCATCTTTTGGTTATTGTGAATAATGCTGTTGTGAACGTGTGTACAAATATCTCTTTGGGACCCAGCTTTCAGTTATTTTGGGTATATAAGCAGAAGTGAAATTGCTGAATCATAGGATAATTCTATTTTTCATTTTTTGAGGAACAACTCTACTGTTTTCCACAGTGGGTGCACCATTTACACTCCCACCAACAGTGTACTTCCAGTTTCTCCTTATCCTTGCCAACACTTGTTATTTTTCTTTTTTCTTTTTTTTTTTTTAAAGTAGTAACCATCTAAATAAGTGTGAGGTGGGTATTTCATTGTGGTTTTAATATGCGTTTTCCTAATGATTAGTGATATTGAGCATCTTTTCATGTGTATATTGGCCACTTGTATATCTTCTTTGGAGAAATGCCTATTGACGTTCTTTGTCCTTTTTAAATTGGATTGTTTGGTTTTTGGTTGAGTTATAGAAGTTATTTATATATTCCAGACATTAGGTTCATCTGATACATGATTGGCAAATATTTCCTTCTCTATTGTGTTTTTAAAAATCGCTTTCTTGATGGTGTCCTTTGACAGACAAATAGTTTTAATTTTGATGAAGTCCAATTTATCTGTTTTTTTCTTTTGTTGCCCGTGCTATTGGTGTCATATAAAGAAATTATTGCCAAATCCAGTGCCATGAAGCTCTATTCCTATATTTTCTTCTAAGAGTTGTGTATGCAGGGGTTTATTTCTACATCCCATCTATTTTGATGTGTTGTTATTTTTGTTTTCATTTATCCATCTCAGAGGATTTTCTGATTTCTCTTGTGTTTTACTTTGACCATTACTTATGAATGCGTTATTTTTCACTTTCTTGTAAATTTTCCTAATTTCCTGTTAATAATTGATAATTTCTTCTTTATTATTTTTTGAGACAGAATCTCACTCACTCAGGCTGGAGTGCAGTGGTGTGATCTCGGCTCAGTGCAACCTCTGCCTCCCAGGTTCAAGTGATTCTCCTGCCTCAGCCTCCTGAGTAGCTGGGATTACAGGTGCATACCACCATGCTCAGCTAATTTTTTTTTTGTATTTTTAGTAGAGACTCGGTTTCATTATGTTGGCCAGGCTAGTCTTGAACTCCTGACCTCAAGTGATCCTCCTGCCTCGGCCTTTCAAAGTGCTGGGATTACAGGTGTGAGCCACTGCACCTGGCCACCTGTTACTCATTTCTAATTTTATTCCATTGTGGTTGAATAACATACTTTGCATGATTTCAGTCCTTTTAAATTTACTGATGATTTTTTATGGCCCTAATATATATTATTCTACTTTGGAGAATGTACCATGTGCACTTGAATAGATTCTATATATTTTTTTTGTTGGTCATAGTGTTCTATAAATGTCTGTTAGATCTAGTTGGTTTATAATGTTGTTCAAATGTTCTGTTTATTTTTCTGCATATTTTATTCATTATTGAGAATGAAGTATTGAAGTCTCCTACTATTGTCAAATTGTCTATTTCTCCCTTCAATTCTGTCAGTTCTTGCTAGATGTATTTTGGGACGTTGTTTTTAGCTGCATATATGTTTATAATTGTCTGCCCTTTTGTTCTTATACAATAAGAGTAAAACTTATTATCTAGTAGCACTTTTGGATAAATATCTCATTTTGACTGAAATTAGTATTAGTATAGGTATGGTAGCTCTGTTGTTACTTTTTTGGGGTATATATTTATATATATTTTTATATTGTTTATGTTTTAGAATCTGAAATATGGCTTTTGTAGAGAGCATATAATTGGAGCAGGGTTTTAAAAATCCATTCTGCTCATCTCTGCCTTTTGATTTGAGTATTTAGTCCATTTACACTTAATGAAATTACTGACAAACCAGCACCATTTTGCAAATGTTTTATATGTCTTTGGTCCCTTTTGTTTCTCTATTCATCTATTATTGTTTGTTTGTTGTTGTATGTTGATATTTTTAAATTTGTCATTTTATTTCTATTGTTTATTTCACTGTATCTTTTCAAGAAAATTTTTTCTTTGTGATTGCCCAGGGTATTTACTTATAACTATCTCATGGGGGGAACTGCAACTTAATTCAGTAGTATTCAGAAATTTTGCTCCTATATAGCACATCCTCCTTTCCCCTTCCTTTGTATTACTGTCACACAAATTGCATCTTTATACATTGTAAGCCCATCAACGTTGTATTGCTTTACGCAGTTATATTTTAAATCAGATAGGAGGAAAAAAGAGTTACAAACACAAAATGTATTTCTACCGTTGTTTACATTTAGCTATCTAATTACTCTTTTTTTTTTTTTTTTTTTGAGACAGAGTCTTGCTGTGTCGTCTGGGTTGGAGTGCAGTGGCACAATCTCAGCTCATTGCAACTTCTGCCTCCTGGGTTCAAGCGATTCTCCTGCCTCAGCCTCCCGAGTAGCTGGGACTACAGGCATGTGCCACTATGCCCAGCTACTTTTTGTATTTTTAGTAGAGATGGGGTTTCACCATGTTGGTTGGCCAGGATGGTCTCAATCTCTTGACCTTGTGATCTACCCACCTTGGCCTCCCAAAGTGCTGGGATTACAGGCCTAAGCCACCTAGCTTAGGCTATCTAATTACTCTTAACTGGTACTTTTTATTATAGGACAGATTGCTAGTGACAAATTCTTTTAGGTTTTGTTTCTCTGGGAATATTTAAAATTATTCCTCATTTTCTAAAGCTTTGTTTTGCTACATATGGTATTCTTTTTGATAGCCATTTCCTATTAATACTTTGAATGTATCATCCTACTACCTTCTAACCTTCATGTTTCTGGACTAGATATTGCCTTGTACTGTAATTGAGGATCATTTGTAAGTGATGAGTTACTTTCTTTTTGCGCTGGAGATTTTCTTTCTCTTTGATTTTTGACCACTTGACTATGGTATGTTTAGGTATAAATCTCTTTGAGTTTATCCTAATTGGAGGTCATTAAGTTTCTTGGATGTGTAGATTAATTTTTCTAAGTCAAATTTGAGGAGGTAGGTGCCATTATTTCTTCAAGTATTCTGTCAGCCCCCTTTTCTGTCTACTATCTTTCTCGGACTTTTATTGTGACTGTATTGGTATGCTTGTTAGTGTCTTTGAGGTCTCAGGCTCTGTTCGTGTTTTTTTGTTTTGTTTTGTTTTGTTTTCAGTCTATTCTTTCTGTTCTTGAGACTGGATATTCTCAGTTAACTTGTTTTCAAGTTGACTGATTCTTCTGTCTGTTCGAATCTGCTGTTGCGCTCTTCTATTAACAGTGGTAGAAAGTTCGATTTATGATTATGGAAATTGAGATGTCATTTTTAAACTGTCCTTTTATTTCAAAAGGATTTTTAAATTGAAAACATTATAAAGTGCTTTCTTTTATATTTGAGCTAGAATGTATAGAACCACTTATATAAATTATTTTTTAGGGTAAATTGATCACTTAAAGATTAGTCATTTTGTGTTTTAGCTTAGTGCAGTACCTATATTTCCTGGTACCTACAATAGCCCTTTGAGTTGGGTGCTATTATTATTTGTCCATTTCAGTGAAGCAAGTGAGGCAGAGAGAGGCTAACTAGAATAAACACACAACTGGTTATCACTGTTCTTTTCTTATTAACAGGTTTTATGGCTATAATCTATAGAACAATGCATAGCTGAATTGTTACAACGTCTGAGGTTAAAAGCCAATATTAAAATTTTTAATTTGCACTTATATTTACCATCACTGAAAGAAATAAGCTACATTTTATTAACATAATGAAGAAAAATTACCAAAGTATGAATTTTGCCAAGTTAAACTAATCTTGATGATAACCAGGAGATTGTGAACCAGAATATCTATCGGGGAACCAGCCCCCAATATTTCAACGTAGGTTCTTTTCTATTTTCCCTAAGTGTCAGCCGGTCTGAGAAATAAAGGGAAAGAGTACAAAAGAGAGAGATTTTAAAGCTGGGTGTCTGGGGGAGACATCACATGTCAGTAGGTTCTGTGATGCCCCCTGAGCTGCAAAACCAGCAAGTTTTTATTAGCGATTTTCAAAGGGGAGGGAGTGTATGAATAGGGTGTGGGTCACAGAGATCACATGCTTCAAAGGCAATAAAGTATCACGAGGCAAATGGGCAGGGCAAGGTCACAAGGCCAGGGTGAAACTGGGATTGCTGATGAAGTTTCATGTCCCACTGTGTGCGCATTGTCATTGATAAACATCTTAACAGGAAACAGGGTTCAAGAGTGGAGAACTGGTCTGACTAGAATTCACCAGGCTGGAATTTCCTAATCCTAGCAAGCCTGGGGACGCTGCAGGAGACCAGGGCGTGTTTCATCCTTACCTACAACTGCATAAGGCAGACGCTCCCAGAGCGGCCATTTTAGAGGCCTCCCCCTGGGAATGCATTCTTTCCCCAGGGCTGTCAATTATTAATATTCCTTACTGGGGAAAGAATTCAGCGATGTTTCTCTTACCCGTTTTCAGCAATAAGAGAAATATGACTCTGTCCTGCCCGGCTCCCAGGCAGTTAGACCTAATGGTTATCTCCCTTGTCCCCTGAACATCGCTGTTATCCTGTTCTTTTTTCAATGTGCTGAGATTTCATATTGTTCAAACACACATGCTTTACGAACAATTTGTGTAGTTAATGCAATCATCACAGGCTCCTGAGGTGACACATACATCCTCAGCTTACAAAGATGATGGGATTAAGAGATTAAAGTAAAGACAGACATAGGAAATTATAAAAGTATTGATTGGGGAAGTGATAAATGTCCGTGAAGTCATCACAGTTTATGTTTAGAGATTGTATTAAAGTCGGGCGTAAGAAATTATAAAAGTATTAATTTGGGGAACTAATAAATGTCCATGAAATCTTCACAATTTGTGTTCTTCTGCCATGGCTTCAGCAGGTCCCTCTGTTCGGGGTCCCTGACTTCCTGCAACAAATGTCAAAAATCCATGTATATTTTGCTTCTTAGGTGGTTTGACCATATAGTTTGTTTATTTGTTTCATTTTTAGTTTTTTTTTTTTTTTTTTTTTTTTTTTTTGGTGATAGTCTCACTCTTCACCCAGGTTGGAGTGCAGTGGCTTAATCATAGCTCACAGCAGCCTCGAACTCCTGGGTTCAAGTGATCCTCCTATCTCAACTGGGATTACAGGTGCGTGCCACCATGCCTAGCTAATTTTTGTTTTTTGTTTTTGTAGAGATGGGGTTTTGCCATATTGTCCAGGCTGGTCTTGAACTCCTGGGCTCAAGCTATCTGCCCACCTCAGCCTCCCAAAGTGCTGGTATTATAGGTTTGAGTCGCTGCACCTGGCCAGATTTTTTTTTAACAGCTTTGTTGAGGTAAAGTAGCATATAATAAGTGACATATGTTTAGAGTATAGTACTTGATGTTTTTGTTATAGGATCCGTGGGATATTGCTTAGCCAGCTGGAAACCTCTGTGGCCAGTGGCGCCTTTGCCTGAGTTTTGTTCTGGCCTGCTGGGCTTGTTCCATCCACTTGGCATGGCAGGCTGTACTTGGCTCCCGCTACCAGCCTGGATCCCACACCTGCCAAGGGTGAGCCAGATGTGGAGCAGCAAGGCGTGTGTGGAGCTGGGGTCCAGCCACTGTGCACAGCCAGGCATGCTGGCTGTTGCAGGGTATGCAGCTCCAGGTGTCGGCATGGGTGCTGGCTCTGTGCAAGGCTGTTGCTGGATCAAGCATACCATAAGCAGCTTCCACGGCTGACGCTGGGGAATGCGGTGTGGCACCTGGAAGCTTGGAGATGCCAGAAATCACGGAGCCTTGAAGAGGGTGTCAGAGCCCTGGCTTGGAGAGTTTCTAGGTCTGGGCTCCCTGAAGGGCTGCAGCATTTCTCTCCTCCTCTCTTCTGTCCTTCTTGTCACCTGCAGCAACGTGGTGGGCAAGAGGTGTGTTTCAGCCCTGTTTGTGTTACAGCTCTTTTAAGCCTGCCATTCAGCGGGTCCTGAGTTCTTGTCCTGTGTCCAGGAAGAATGAGGTATGCAGACAAGTGGAGAGTAAGCAAGACAAAGAGGAGCTTTATTGAGCGACAGAGCAGCTCAGAGGAGACCTGCAGTGGGCAGCTCCTCTCTGTAGTCAGAGTGTCCAGATGAGTGTTCAGCTCTCAGCAGAAAGGGTAGCTCCACTCTGCAGCTGGCTATCCCATTGTTTCTTCAGCTCTCAGCGGAGAGGGTAGTTCTTCTTGGCTGCTGGTTGTCCTGTTGTCTCCTCAGCTCTGAGCAGAGAGGAGACCCTGAGGTGGGCAGGTCCTCTCTGCAGTTGGTTGTCCCATCATCTCTTGGTGTCTGGCTGAGTCTGGGGATTTATGGGCCTCAGAGGGAAGTGCTTGCTGCTTGGTCCATGGGTGGCCATGGACGGACTGGAAAAGGCACCACAAGTTCCCACTCTGGTCCATGGGACCAGCAGCCCAGCCCCCAGGCTTCAGGCTCTCTGTGGCTTGAAGGTGGGGCTTTACCGGGGACCTGGCTGGCCTCTTCCACCCAGGAGCCTGACTCCTGCCACCGTTCATGGTGCCCAGGCTATTTGTGCCAAGGGGCGCCTGCAGGCCAGTGCTAAGCGGGCCTCACCCCCTCCTCGGCCTTTCTCCTGTGCTCGTTGGCACCCAAAGTCCAGAGGGGGCCAAGGTGGCAGGGGGCTGGCATGTCAGTACTGCTTCTGGTGTGTGCATACCTGGCTGGGTTGTGACAGCACCCGGGCTTGGCCTCAACTTGGCTCCACAGTCGGAGCTGGCGTTGACAACAGGGAGAGGCCAGGCAGTGGGAGCAGACACCTCTGAGCCTGTGAGGGCAAGGGGGGGCCTTCCTGGGTCCCCCAAGATTGCAGAGATGCCTGGGTCCACAACTGTAACTTTTGCAGCAACATCCATGCCTGGGGGGCGGGGCTTCTGCCTGCTCCTGGCTTCCACCAGCTCTGTGGAGCAAGGCACCGCCCTGGGCCCAGTTCTGCCTTGGGGCCCTCTATCCCCACCCCTTTGTGCCTAACATCACTGCTCCCTCACTGGTGGGTGACTTGCCCGGCCCCATCGCAATGGCTCAGGAGCGAGGGGAGGCATGGGGGCAAGGTGCAGGTGGCACTGCAGCCAGGCAAACCCTGCAGAAATGAACCCTACACTTGGGGCCAGCCTTGCGAATCCTGACTGCACCTTCTTTGGGGTGCCTGCGGGCCCCTGAGATGCAGTGGGGAGCATGATTGCCGAGGCTTCGGGCCTGGAAATGGGTCCTACCCGGCCATGCGAGGGCAGGGGTGGCCCAGAGGCTGCCTCAGGGATGCAGGACACAAGGGACCCACTGCTGCTCCCACAGCTGCTCCTGCTGCCACTGCTCTGGCCTCCCCACTGCAGCTGGCGTGATGGCAGTGGCTGTTCTGGATGGCCCGCTGCTGCCACCATCATTTTGACATATGTATACATCCATTAAACCACCACTACAATAAAAATAATGAACATATCTATTACTCCTGAAAGTTTTTTTGTGCCTTGATGTAATCCCTTCTCCCACAGCTCCCCCACTGGACTCTCATCCCCAGGGAACTGCTGGTCTGCTGTCTATCACCATAGCTTTGTTTGTGTTTTGTAGAATTTTATATAAATGGAATCATACAGTATATACTCTTTTTTTGGTCTAATTTGTTTCTCATTGTAATTATTTTTAGACTTGTCTATGTTGTTGCATGTATGAATAGTTCTGTTTTATTACTTGTATTCCATTTTATTGATATACTACAGGTCAATTAATATCACATATGAATAAACTAATTCACCTATTAGATGCTTGTTTCCAGTTTGGGGATATAATAAAACATTCATATACAGATCTTTATATGGATCTATGCATTTGTTACCTAGGAACGCAATGGACAGCTCATAAAGCAGGAATATGTTCAATTTTGTAAGAAAGTGCCAAACCGTTTTCCAGCATTGTTGTAACATTTTATATTCCCACCAGTGATGAATGAGAGATGTATTTTCTCTAGATCATTTCCAGCATTTGGCATTGTCACTGTTTTTGTGTGTGTGTGTGTGTGTGTGTGTGTGTGTGTGTGTTTTGCCATTCTGATAGGTAGGTAGTGATATCGCATGGTTTTAAATTGCCTGAGCCTAATGTCTCATGATGTTGAGCATCTTTTTGTATGGTTATTTGCCATCCATATATCTTCTTTGGTGAAGTATTTGTTCACATCTTTCGCCTTGTTTTTTTAATTGTTTTTTTCTTTTTATTTAGTTTTGAGAGTTCTTTATATTTTGGATACAAGTCCTATGTGCTTTTGCAAATTTTTTCCCAGCCTCTGGGTTGTCTTTTCATTCTCTTAACAGTGCCTTTTGAACAGCAGATAGTTTAATTTTGATGATGTCGAAAGAGTGATGAAGAAAAGATTAGCCACTCTCCACTGAATTCCCTTTTTACCTTTGTCAAAGTTACGTTGTCCATATATATGGGGGTATTATTCTGGACTGTTTTGTTCCATTGATGTGTTGTCTTATCTTGATGCCTGTATGACAGTGTCTTGGTTTTGCTAGCTTTATAGTAAGTCTTGAAATCAGGTAGATATACTCCCCTATGGTGACCATCTTTTTCAGAGTTGCTTTAGAAGTGGTAAAAGTAGATGGACATCTTTGTTTTGTTCCTGATATTAGATGAAAAGTGCTCAATTTTTTGCCATTAAGTGCGATGTTGAATATGTTTTCTGTAGATGTCCTTTATCAGGTCAAGAAGATCCAGCTGATCTCTTTCCTCCATTCTCTGCCACCTTCAGTCCATCTTTCTTGTGCTTTCTTGCTGCTGCTGCATATGGTCATGTCATTTGTCTTCTATGGCCTAAATCCTTTAATCTCTATTTATGGCAATAGAAAAAATAAACTAAGTTTTTGCCATTTGACCTTTGAGGTTAAAACAAGGTCGGAAACAGCATGCATATTTTTATTAAACAAAATAGATTATATTAACGTTAACAGAATTTTAAATATGAAAAAATTGTATCCCAGAATTTTAATTCCCCAGTCATGGTGTGCATTTGCCTAAGCGCTTCTTCTTTTTTTGTATTTGTTCATATCTTTTATAGTTCGAACATCATTTATGTTCAACTCTTCACTTAACATAATGTATATAACTTTTTACATATTTTTTGAACATAAAAAGTAGATTTATCTTGGTTTTCAAACTTTTAGAATATTTACAATTTTATAGGTACATTAAATATGTTTAAAGGAATAAACATTTTTATAGATTATTATTTATAATCCTTTTTTAAAAGAAATGGGCTCTTTCCTACTGTCAGCAGCTGTTTATACATATATACCAATTTTACTGCAACATCTTTTTTTTTTTTTTTGAGACGGAGTTTTGCGCTTGTCACCCAGGCTGGAGTGCAATGGCATGATCTCAGCTTACTGCAACCTCCGCCTTCCAGGTTCAAGCGATTTTCCTGCCTCAGCCTACCGGGTAGCTGGGATGACAGGCACCCGCCACCATGCCTGGCTAATTTTTGTATTTTTAGTAGAGACAGGGTTTCACCATGTTGGCCAGGCTGGTCTTGAACTCTGGACCTCAGGTGATCCTCCCACCTTGGCCTCCCAAAGTGTTGGGATTACAGGCATGAGCCACCATGCGCGGCCAACTGCAACACCTTTCAAATGGAAAAGTAAAGATGTGATAGATAATTTTATTTGATCTTCTTTCCCCTTTTAAAACATGAAGATTTAGCATATTTTTTCCCAAAGAGAGAATTTTCAAGTAGTGAATTCTCCAGAAATTAAGAATTACTGTATTGTGAAATGAAAAGTAAATGTGGCAGGAAGTGGGAATATATTTGATACCTTGGTAACTAAAAATATTGTGTTAGTTTATGGAAAAATCAAGAGCTGATTAGACAATTCACTTAAGCTTTAGGTCTATATTTATTTGGATAGATTAATACCATATTCAGGTAGGTTCTCCAAATATACTGTTTTATTAACTATTGTTTATTCATTTTCAAAGACTCAGCTTATAGTGTCAGACTAATTTATTCACAGCCGTAACTAGTGGAGTATGAGGCAGAAAAGCAGGCTGGGAGGAGTGCTGATTTTCAGGACCTGAAGGGTGGAAAATATACTGTTGATATATCGTTATGATTGCTTTATCGAATGTATTGTTTGATGGCTACTCCTCGGCTTCTCTCTGATCCAGTAATAAACCTTATAAAACCCAGGAGATAACCAAAATGTAGCTCTATACAATCATCTTTCATAGTTGTTATGGCAGGTGAAGTTGTTAGGGACATTTGAATGTTATTTTTCGGCTTCAGATCATTGGAAACTAGGATGACTTAATGTTCCTCTATTGGTCTGTAGAGATTGTAGTAGCAAAGTTCAAACTACTGATACTAATTTTTGTCACAGCTATTTTTAACCTCCATAAGTGAAATGCTGAAAAGTTATAAAGCAGGAACAGTGATTATTTCAATGATGACTGCTTCTTAGTATTGGAAATATTTTATTGACAAACTATCCAATCCAAAGTTATCAAACAAATTAGTAGAACATTTGAAAAATAAAAAACACTTCAGTTAATGATAACCCTTGTTAAGAATCAATAGAAATAAGACATGTGAGTAATGGCAAATTTTTCGTTTTAAAGTTGGCCATTTAAAAGGGAAATACTAGACATGGTAATTTGGTTATTATACTTTAGGTTGGGAGTATGAAGAATTACCTTTGTATCTGGCTATAAGTCTGCCACCTCTCAGCAAATTTGAAATAATTGAGCTTACAGATTCTCACCTTTCTAAGAAGTTTGCCTAATTTAGGCACTTTTTTCACCCCAGAATTCACTCTTCTTGGAACTGAAAGAATATGGTGGGGTTTATAATTCCAAAACATTTCCCCTGGAAACACAGGAAACGGAAAAGAAGGAAAAGACGTTAAAGCTGACTAGGTGGGTTAGCTTCAAGTGCTGGTTCTCTTTTCCTGTGTCTTCACTTCATAAAATCAGGAGTTGATCATGCTTTTAATGTAATTATTTTCTGGTCAAGAAAAATACCATATAGAAAACTTTAGACTCCTCCAGTGATGTAGTTTGCAAAATAAAAATGCGTTCTTTGACCATTATGAAAGTAATTTTATACAGATTTTTCTTCATTTTCTTAAGTTACATATAGAAGATAAAATAGAAAAAAATTGTGAGTCGATACATTCTTTTTGGGTAAAAGGGAGATAATACCTTATTAAAGGAAAAATGCGTAATGACTTCATTCCTCCAGATTGCTTTAAAGAGCCTTTTGTTCTCATATGTTCTTTTAATTCTAAGAGGATGCAATCATTATTTTTAACATTCCTCTACCTCCCACTTGTAGTAAGATATTTGAATTGTATGTATTTGTTTCAGGATTTTGTCAGAGATCCAGTTTCTCAGCATCTTTACCAAAATGCCACTATTTTTTATTTTGGCCGTTAAATAGGTATATGGTGGTATCTCATAATGGTCTTAATTTACATTTCCCAAATGGCTCAGATTGAGCATCCTTTCATGTGCTTAATGGCCATCTGAATATCCCATTCGGTAAAATGTCTTTTTATGTTTTTTTGCCCATTTTCTAATGGGATTATTTGATTTTTTTTTTTTTTTACTGTTGAGTTCTGAGAGTTTATTACATATTCTGAGTACTAGTCTATTGTCAGATAAATGTTTTGCAGGCTTTTTTTTTTTTACAGTCTGTAAGTTTTAAATTTTGATGATATAGCTAATTTGTCTTTTTTGTTGTTGTTTTTATGAATCATGCTTTTGATGTCACATCTAAGAACACTTCACCATACCTAGGTCCCTAAGATTTTCTAGTATGTTTTCTTCTAAAAGTTAGTGTTTTAGGTTTTACATTTAAATCTGAGTCAGTGAGTAATTTTTTGCATAAGGTGTGAGGTTTAGGTTGAGGTTCATTTTTCATTTTGTGTATGGATTTCTGATTGGTTCAGCACTGTTTGTTGAAAAGGCCATCCTTTCTCTGTTGAATTGTTTTTGTACCTTTGTTAAAAATCAGTTGGCTGTACTTGTGTGGTAATTCTATTTTGTTCCAGTGATCTCGGTGTCTCTACTTCTGTCGTTACCAACAGTCTTGATAAATGTAGGTACATAATCATAAAATCTGGGAGAGGGATTCCCAGTTTATTTTTCTTTGGGAGTGGGAGTATAGTTACTCCCACTTTAGTCTTTTTCAAAATTGTTTTTGCTACAATGATTCCTTTGCCTTTCCATATTAATTTTTTATTTTTTTTAAATTTGAGGCAGAGCCTCGCTCTATCACCCAAGCTGGAGTGCAGTGGCACGATCTTGGTTCACTGAAGCTCCGCCTCCTGGGTTCAAGTGATTCTCCTGCCTTAGCCTACTGAGTAGCTGGGATTACAAACATGCATCACCACGCCTGGCTAATTTTTCTATTTTTAGTAGAGATGGGGTTTCGCCAAGTTGGCCAGGCTGGTCTTGAGCTCCTGGCCTCAAGTGTTCTGCCTGCCTAGGCCTCCCAAAATTCTGGGATTACAGGCGTGAGTCACTGCGCCTGGCCTTCCATATTAATTTTAGAATAAAATTATCTAAAATAAAATTATCTACAAAAAAGTACTGGGATTTTGATAGAAATTACATTAAACCTGTATGCCTATTTGGAGAGAATTGACGTGTTTACTAGTTTGAATGTTCCAGTCCGTGAACATAGTTATGTCTCTCCATTTATTTAGATTTTCTTCAATTTTTTTATCAGCATTTTGTAGTTTTTAGCATAGAAGTTCTCTATGTGTTTTGTTAGATTTACACCTAAGTATTTTGTTTTTTGTTTAGCAGTTGCAAATTATACTGTATTTTGTTTGACTCCTCATATTTATTCCTAGCATACACAAATAAAACTGATTTTTGTATGTTGATGTATTGGGTGACCTCGCTGAACTTACTTATTAGTTCTAGGAGTGCTTTTGTAGATTCCTTGGGATTTTCTTTGTAAAATTATTTCATCTGCAAAAATGTTTAATTTATTCCTGTATGCTATTTCTTTCTTTTTCTGTTTTTTCTTTCTTTCTTTCCGTTTTTTTTTTTTTTTTTTTTGAGGCAGTCTTATTCTCTCACCCAGGCTGGAGTGCAGTGGCGCAATCTTGGCTCACTGCAACCTCCGCCTCCTGGGTTCAAGCGATTCTCCTTCCTCAGTCTCCCAAGTAGCTGGGACTACAACAGGCGCCCGCCACCACACCCAGCTAATTTTTTGTATTTTTAGGAGAGACGGGGTTTCACCCTGTTAGCCAGGATGGTCTCGATCTCTTGACCTTGTAATCCGCCTGCCTTAGCCTCCCAAAGTGCTGGGATTACCGGCCACCGTGCCCGGCGCTCCTCCTTTTTTTAACCTCACAGCATAGGCTAGGACTTGCAGCATTATGTTGCATATGAGTGGTGAGAGCAGATACCCTTCCTTGCCTTATTCCTGGTTATAGGGGAAAGCATTCAGGCTTTAACCATTAAGTATGATGTTAGCTGTGGATTTTTTTGTAGATGCTTTTTATTATGTTGAAGAAGATCCCTTTATTTCTAGTTTTCTAAGAATTTTTTATTATGAATGGGTGGTGAATTTTGTCAAATGCTTTCCTGCATTGATTAAAAAGGTCATGTGATTTTTCTCCCTTAGTCTGTTAATAAGGTGGATTATATTGATTGATTGTTAAAATATTGGGTGAACCTTGTTGCACCTTTGAAATAAAACCCCCTTGGTACATGGTATGTAATTCTTTTTACATATTGCTGAATTCTGGTTTCTTGTATTTTATTAAGGGTTTTTGTGTCTGTATTCATGAGGAATATTGGTTTGTAGTTTTCTTTATGTTTTTGTCTGTTTTTTCCATCAGGATAAAATTGGCTACATGGAATGATTTGAGAAGTATCCTTTTCTATTCTGCTTTCTGGAAGAGATCATCTAGAAATTGTGTTACTTTTTCTTTAAATGTTAGGTAGATTTTCCCAGGAAACCCTCTGTGTTTGAATATTCTGTTGGGGGAGTTTTAGAATTACGAATTTGATTTTTAAAATAGTTATAGGGCTGTTTAAATTTTCTGTTTCATATTGGCTGAATTTTGGCAGTTTGTGCCTTTCATGGAATTGGTTCTTTTTATGTCAAATTGATGTATAAGTTGTTTGTAGTATTACCATTTCAATGGTTGCAAAGTCTATGTGGTATCCTCTGTTTCATTCCTAATGTTAGCAATTTGTGTTTTCTGTTTCTTTGTTAGCCTTGCTAGAGGTTTATTATGTTTATTGATCCTTTAAAGAACTAGCTTTTTTCCCCTATTGATTTTCTCTATTTTTATTTTCTTTAATTTCATTGATTTATGTTCTTTGTTATTTCCTTCCTTCTGTTTGCTATGAGTTCATTTAGCTCATTGTCTAGGTTCTTGAGGAGGGAGGTTAGATTACTGATTTGAGACATTTCCTGTTTTCTATTGTATGCATATATTGCTGTAGATTTCTGTCAGCACTGCTTAAATCATATCTCACAAATTTTGATATGTTGTGTTTTCATTTTTATTCAATCAGTGTATCTTGATTTTCCTTAAGATTTCCTCTTTGTCCAGTGGATAACGTAGACTTGTTTAGTTTCTACGTGTTTGGAGATTTTTCTGTTGTCTTTCTGTTGTTGATTTCTGGTTTGATTCCATTGTTCTCAGAATACATTTTGCATAATTTCAATTATTTAAATATTTAGATTTGTTTCTTAGCCCAGGATATGGTCTCTCTTGAAATGTTCAGTGGATGTTTAAAAATAATTAATATTCTGTTGTCTTTGCTAGAGTGTTCTATAAATGTTCATGATTAGATCCTATTGGTTGTTAAGTTCTCTTATATTCTTGCTAATTTTCCTAGTTGTATCAATTATTGAGAAAGGGGAGTTGAGCTCTCCTATAATTGTGGGATTTATCTTTTTTTATTTCAGTTTGACAGTTTTGCTTCATGTATTTTTGCAGCTCTGTTGGTTGGTACATCCACATTTAGGATTGGTAATGTCTCGGTGGCTTGACCATTTTATCATTATGTAATGCCTAATCTGTTCTTATGAATTTTATTTGTTCCCAAGTCTACTTTATCTGATACTAATATAGGTACTCTTCTTCCTATTGATTAATGTTTCCATGATACATCTCTTTCCATCCTTGTACTTTCTACCTGCCTGTATTGTTATATGTGAGGAGAGTTTCTGGAAGACAGCATTATAGCTGGGCCATGTACCCCATCCCCACCCCCACTCCGCCAATCACTGTCATTTTAGTTTCTTAGAGACAGGGTTTCTGTCTGTCTCTGACACTGGGGTACAGTGGCATGATCATAGCTCACTGTAACCTTGAACTCCTGGGCTCAAGGGATCCTCCTACCTCAGCCTCCTGAGTAGCTAGGACTACAGGTGCATGCCACCATGCTCAGCTAATTTTTTTTTTTTAATTATACTTTAAGTTCTAGGGTACATGTGCACAACGTGCAAGTTTGTTACATAGGTATACATGTGCCATGTTTGTTTGCTGCACCCATTAACTCATCATTTACATTAGGTATTTCTCCTAATACCATCCCTCTCCCTGCCCTCCACCCAACGACAGGCCCCCGTGTGTGATGTTCCCCGCCCTGTGTCCAAGTGTTCTCATTGTTCATTTCCCACCTGTGAGTGAGAACATGCAGTGTTTTGTTTTCTCTCCTTGCGATAGTTTGCTCAGAATGATGATTTCCAGTTTCATCCATGTCCCTGCAAAGGACGTGAACTCATCCTTTTTTATGGCTGCATAGTATTCCATGGTGTATATGTGCCACATTTTCTTAATCTAGTCTATCATAGATGAACATTTGGGTTGGTTCCAAGTTTTTGCTATTGTGAATAGTGCTGCAACAAACATACACGTGTATGTGTCTTTATAGCAGAATGATTTATAATCCTTTGGGCATATACCCAGTAATGGGATCTTTGGGTCAAATGGTATTTCTAGTTCTAGATCCTTGAGGAATCATCATACTGTCTTCCACAATGGTTGAACTAGTTTACACTCCCACCAACAGTGTAAAAGTGTTCTATTTCTCCACATCCTCTCCAGCATCTGTTGTTTCCTGACTTTTTAATGATCGCCATTCTAACTGGCATGAGATGGTATCTCATTGTGGTTTTGATTTGCATTCTGGTCATCTCTGATGACCAGTGATGATGAGCATTTTTTCATGTGTCTGTTGGCTGCATAAATGTCTTTTTTTGAGAAGTGTCTGTTCATATCCTTTGCCCACTTTTTGATGGGGTTGTTTGTTTTTTTCTTATAAATTTGTTTAAGTTCTTTGTAGATTCTGGATATTAGCCCTTCGTAGATGGATAGATTGCAAAAATTTTCTCCTGTTTTGTATGTTGCCTGTTCACTCTGATGGTAGTTTCTTTTGCTGTGCAGAAGTTCTTTAGTTTAATCAGATCTCATTTGTCTATTTTGTTTTGTTTGTTTTTGCCATTGCTTTTGGTGTTTTAGTTATGAAGTCCTTGCCCATGCCTATGTCCTGAATGGTATTGCCTAGGTTTTCTTCTAGGGTTTTTATGGTTTTAGGTCTAACATTTAAGTCTTTAATCCATCTTGAATTAATTTTTGTATAAGGTGTAAGGAAGGGATCCAGTTTCAGCTTTCTACATATGGCTAGCCAGTTTTCCCAGCACCATTTATTAAATAGGGCCATTTCTTGTTTTTGTCAGGTTTGTCAAAGATCAGATGGTTGTAGATGTGTGGTGATATTTCTGAGGCCTCTGTTCTGTTCCATTGGTCTATCTCTCTGTTCTGATACCAGTACCATGCTGTTTTGGTTACTGTAGCCTTGTAGTATAGTTTGAAGTCAGATAGTGTGATGCCTCCAGCTTTGTTCTTTTTGCTTAGGATTGTCTTGGCAACGTGGGCTCTTTTTTGGTTCTATATGAACTTCAAAGTAGTTTTTTCCAGTTCTGCAAAGAAAATCATTGTTAGCTTGATGGGGATGGCATTGAATCTATAAATTACCTTGGGCAGTATGGCCATTTTCACGATACTCCTTCTTCCTATCCATGAGCATGGAATGTTCTTCCATTTGTTTGTGTCCTCTTTTACCCCAGAATTTCATATTCAGCCAAACTAAGCTTCATAAGTGAAGGAGAAATAAAATTCTTTACAGACAAGCAAATGCTGAGAGATTTTGTCACCACCAGGCCTGGCTTACAAGAGCTCCCGAAGGAAGCACTAAACATGGAAAGGAACAACTGGTACCCGCCACTGTAAAAACATGCCAAATTGTAAAGACCATCGATGCTAGGAAGAAACTGCATCAACTAATGGGCAAAATAACCAGCTAACATCATAACGATGGGATCAAATTCACATATAACAATATTAACCTTAAATGTAAATTGGCTAAATGCCCCAATTAAAAGACAGACTAGCAAATTGGATAAAGAGTCAAGACCCATCAGTGTGCTGTATTCAGGAGACCCATCTCACGTGCAGAGACACACATAGGCTCAAAATAAAGGGATGGAGGAATATCTAACAAGCAAATGGAAAGCAAAAAAAAGCAGGGGTTGCAATCCCAGTCTCTGATAAAACAGAGTTTAAACCAATAAAGATCAAAAGAGACAAAGACGGCCATTACATAATGGTAAAGGGATCAATTCAACAAGAAGAGCTAACTATCCTAAATATATATGCACCCAATACAGGAGCACCGAGATTCATAAAACAAGTCCTTAGAGACCTGCAAAGAGACTTAGACTCCCACACAATAATAATGGAAGACTTTAACACCCTACTGTCAACATTAGACAGATCAGCGAGGCAGAAGGTTAGAAAGAATATCCAGGATTGAACTCAGCGCTGCACCAAGCGGACCTAATAGACATCTACAGAACTCTCCACCCCAAATCAGCAGAATATACATTCTTCTCAGCACCACATCACACACCACATCCAAAATTGACCACATAGTTGGAAGTAAAGCACTCCTCAGCAAATGTAAAAGAACAGAAATCACAACAAACTGTCTCTCAGACCACAATGCAATCAAATTAGAACTCAGGATTAAGAAACTCACACAAAACCACACAACTACATGGAAACTGAACAACCTGCTTCTGAATGACTACGGGGTAAATAACAAAATTAAGGTAGAAATAAAGATGTTATTTGAAACCAATGAGAACAAAGACACAACGTACCAGAATCTCTGGGACAACTTAAAGCAGTGCGTAGAGGAAAATTTATAGCACTAAATGCCCACAAGAGAAAGCAGGAAAGATCTAAAATCGACACCCTAACATTACAATGAAAAGAACTAGAGAAGCAAGAGCAAACACATTCAAAAGCTAGCAGAAGGCAAGAAATAACTAAGATCAGAGCAGAACTGAAGGAGATAGAGACGCAAAAAACCCTTCAAAAAATCAATGAATCCAGAAGCTGGTTTTTTGAAAAGATCAACAAATTGATAGACTGCTAGCCAGACTAATAAAGAAGAAAAGAGGGAAGAATCGAATAGACGCAATAAAAAATCATAAAGGAGATATCACCACCCATCCCACAGAAATACAAACTACCATCAGAGTACTATAAACACCTCTACGCAAATAAACTAGAAAATCTAGAAGAAATGGATAAATTCCTGGGCACATACACCCTCCCAAGACTAAACCAGGAAGAAGTTGAATCTCTGAATAGACCAATAACAGGCTCTGAAATTCAGGCAATAATTAATAGCCTACCGACCAAAAAAAGTCCAGGACCAGACGGATTCATAGCCGAATTCTACAAGAGTTACAAAGCGGAGCTCGTACCATTCCTTCTGAAACTATTCCAATCAATAGAAAAAGAGAGAATCCTCCCTAACTCATTTTATGAGGCCAGCATCATCCTGATACCAAAGCCTGGCAGAGACACAACAAAAAAAGAGAATTTTAGACCAATATCCCTGATGAACATCGATGCAAAAATCCTCAATAAAATACTGGCAAACTGAATCTAGGAGCATATCAGAAAGCTTATCCCCCAAGATCAAGTCGGCTTCATCCCTGGGATGCAAGGCTGGTTCAGCATACACAAATCAATAAACGTAATCCATCAGCTAAACAGAAGCAATGACAAAAACCACATGATTATCTCAATAGATGCAGAAAAGGCCTTTGACAAAATTCAACAGCCTTTCATGCTAAAAACTTTCAATAAACTAGGTATTGATGGAACGTATCTCAAAATAATAAGAGCTATTTATGACAAACCCACAGCCAATATCATACTGAATGGGCAAAAGCTGGAAGCATTTCCTTTGAAAACTGGCACAAGACAGGGATGCCCTCTCTCAACCACTCCTATTCAACATAGTGTTGGAAGTTCTGGCCAGGGCAGTCAGGCAAGAGAAAGAAATAAAGGGTATTCAGTTAGGAAAAGAGGAAGTCAAATTGTCCCTGTTTGCAGATGACATGATTGTATATATAGAAAACCCCATCATCTCAGCCCAAAATCTCCTTAAGCTGATAAGCAACTTCAGCAAAGTCCCAGGATACAAAATCAATGTGCAAAAATCACAAGCATTCCTATACACCAATAACAGACAGAGAGCCAAATCATGAGTGAACTCCCATTCACAATTGCTACAAAGAGAATAAAATACCTAGGAATCCAACTTACAAGGGATGTGAAGGACCTGTTCAAGGAGAACTACAAACCACTGCTCAACGATGTAAAAGAGGCCCAGCTAATTTTTAAAACATTCTTTTTTGTAGAAACAGGGCCTCCCTGTGTTTTCCAGGCTGGTCTCAAACTCTTGTCCTGAAGCAATCCTCCCACCTCCCAAATCGTTGGGATTACAGTCATGAGCCACTTCACCCAGCCCAATCACTGTCTTTTAATTGTGGAATTTTACTTGGCAAGCGTCTCCTTGTCAACATAGTAAGACTTTTTTCCCCTACATTATTTTTATATTTATATAACAATGACTTTTACTTTGAGCTTTAATCTTTTGAAATGAATAATCTGTGAGAGATCAGCTCCAGGTATTATCACTGATTTGAAATACTATTTTCATTATATTTTGCTTACTCATTGTTCATACTGCTTACTACTTATTGCTTACTCATTCAAACATCCCAAATACTAGTCTTTCTTCTAGTTTAGTGTGTTTCCTTTACCTAATTGTCTTTAAGACAGAAGTGTTAGGTGTTTTAAAGTTTGAATCCTTAAATGCCTGAGTGTTTTAAGAGTTTTTTTTTCTCCTCCATGAATGTTAATTTTCTAGGTATATAAGTCAGTGTTTCAAAGAATTTTCTTTCACAACTTTGAAGCTACAGCTTCATTGTCTTTAAACATCTAGTATCGCTGATATCACTGTGATTTCTGTTGTTTTATAGGCCATCTAGTTTTTATCTCTTAGGTTAAAAATTCAGAAGCAAAGATTGGTCACCATTTCTATTTTGTTTTCTTAGGAATAATAACAATAATACTATTAGGTTGAATTTTGAGGATGGTTAAAATGAAGGGTTGTTTTTTTTTTTAAACTTCTTGGTTTCCCCAACACCTTAAGTTTTTTAAAAAAGGGAAGGGCCTGCCAAAATTAAATAATTTTTCCTCCTGTTGTCATTCTACAGTGCTTTAAAATACTTGCATCAATGAGTAATATCCAACTTCCTGAGGCAGCATAATCTTCCCGCCCCTTTTGGCTACTCCAAAGTTTACATATTTTGAATTGGAATATGACTTCCTTAAAAATTTATGTATTAAATCTTCTGGATGGAGCAGTTAAAAAAAAAACCTCTTTTTCAAAGCAGTGGTAACTTTAGTTTGATGATGAACTATATATAACTTATACCTACAATTCTTATTCTGGTGTTTCAAAATTTATAACTGTTTTCCACCTAAGTTTTAATTGAGAAATATATAATAACTTTGCCTTTTAAACTACAGCTTATATTTTACGAACCTTTTATTTAGTGAATTTTTTTTTTTTTAACTTAGACTTTGTGTGGACAGTAATGACCTCACGTTTCCGATTGCCTGCTGGCAGAACCTACAATGTACGAGCATCAGAGTTGGCCCGAGACAGACAGCATACTGAAGTGGTTTGCAACATCCTTCTTCTGGATAACACTGTACAAGCTTTCAAAGTCAATGTAAGTATTTTGTGTCTTTTAAAAAATAATCTCTGGCTATAAGTCTGAATTTAGACATATATGTAAACTAGGATTATTAAATTATAGTACAGTTTGAAAAGTCTTATTCAAGTAAAAAAGTCTTTTTGGTGCAGGATTGTATTAGATGCATGCTCTCATTCAAACTGGGTCTTTTTAAAAAGTGTTGCTCACTGGATGTTGTTGAGAAACCAACAGTGTGCATTTTGATTAGTAGAGCAGATCCATAGTATGTGTGTGGTTTTCATAAATGTGCTTGAGGGTGCCTGAAAAGAATTTGTTCTTCTAAATAATTTATACATATTCATGGTAATTTTACTTGTACTGTCTGTGAGTAAAATTTTTGCCAAACAAAAATAAATGACAGCCCTGATCTTATCTATCGTCTGAAATATTTATTTAACAAATATTTGTTCATCCTATTTGTGTCTAGCTTTGTTTGCTCATCGTTATTTGTGAGTTTTACCCATGTGGTGTGTTAACAGTAGTTAGTTCATTGTTACTGCTCTGTAGTACCCTTTTGTATGAATATACTATAGTTTACTTATCCTTTCATTTACCATTTACTTGTCCAGTTTATTGTTGGTATATATTTGGATTTGTTTCCACTTTGGGCTCTTACAAATAATACTGCTGTGAACATTCTTGTACATATCTTGATACATATAAAAGTGTATTCTCCCTTTTTATTTAAAAACTTTTCAACCTATATGGAAAAGGTGAAATAATATTATAATGAATACCCTTATACCCTTTACCTAAATTGACCCAGTGTTAACATTTTGCACATTTACTTTATGTTTCCTTCTCTCTACATGACTTTTTTTTCCTGAACCTTTTGAAAGTAAGTACTTCAGTATTCCGAGAATCTCATAATTACCACATCCCTAAATTTAACTTTATGAAAATAATAATATATGCAGTCTGTATTCAAACTGGAATTCTTATTCTTCAGGATGTTTTGGTATTTCCAAATTTTTCAGGATGTTTTCTGCTGTATTACTTGGGTATTTCCACACTTTGAAATCTTTAAGTAATATAAAATATGAATCTTACACCGGGGCCAGTCGGGGGATTAGGGGCTGGGGGAGGGATAGCATTAGGAGAAATACCCAATGTAAATGATGAGTTGATGGGTGCAGCCAACCAACATGGCACATGTATACCTAGGTATCAAACCTGCATGTTGTGCACATGTACCCTAGAACTTAAAGTATAATAATACAAAAAATGAATCTTTCTTATTTACCAGTTTAAGCTTAAAATTTTCTGTGTATTACTATATAGCAGGATTATGAATTTATCTCAAATTCCAAGCTATTTCACATTGAAAAAGGGGCTGCAGAGTAGTGAATATTACATCATTATCATTAAAAATACCTTCAACATTATCTAAAATACCCAACAGATTTAGGATTTAGTGTGCTTTTCTAAAAAGCTAAACTTTTGATTTCTTTTGTATTCTATCATCTGTTAATATATAGTTGGAATATAGGTTGCCAAACAGAGATAACATAAAGTGAAGAGAATTCTACTTCGTACAAATTTCTATTTAATAGAAACTCTCATGTATTAGACAGTTGATGTAAGAAAATAAGCCTTTTTTCCTATTATTCACGTGTTAGAATTCTTTTTTGGAAAAGGCATAAATTTAATAACTTTTGTCTTAGCTTAAATTTAGCTACTATTTAGTTTTCATTTTAACTATAGTTTTGAATGTATTTCAAAATATTGTAAAAAGGTTTGGTATGTTTCTCAGCTAGCATAATTTTCTGTTGAGCACTTTAGTTAACAGTAGTATGCTGTATTTTTCAGTGTAGTAATCAATGTGCTGTCTAGTTACTCTTTTAGAAAGACATATATATTAATGTACTTTTATATGTTTATATTTTAAAAATATATATTACATATATTTAGCTGGCAGTTTCAATAGACCTGGATATATTACCTAGAATGGTAAGTAAGCTTACCATTCTGTGGTGCTAGAAACTTTCTCTACCATTATCTCAGGTCATCAAAAAACTTAAGAGGAACAATATTTATGAAAAATTGCTGGTTATGTGGTATATTTATTCCTCTGGGTATTTGAACCCAAGCCATTCAAACCAAAAGAGTTGCTTTGTACTTTTAGGTAGATTATTTATCTTTTAATCCATGTGAATAGATCTCCAGTTATGTACTTTACAACCTGTGGAGTGGTATGTGGCAGCCTGCAAACTAATTGGGGGTTTGAAAGTTTTGGTGTTTGTTTTCTTGTGTCCACTTAGTACCATTAAGTCTCAGAAATCCTTTGTGGGCAGCTGCCAGGTTCACCAGCATTTCTCTGTTCACCAAGAAGGAGAACTACTCAGTTTCCTTTGGAGACTACCAGGCATTGGAGTCATTGCTTTTCATGAAAGATTTTTGCACCACAGGTAAAATATTCATGTTGCCAAAGCCTGCTTTGTTTCATCTGGTAGTTATCTCATCAAAGCCGTTTCTGTATTTTCTGAGGGAAATTTTTGTAATGAAGGAGTTGATGTAACTTCACTAGATCTTGCTTTTTCTCTGCTGTGGACATAGGAATGATAAGCCTGTTATCACTGGGTTTGTGTTGGCTTGTGTTGTTTCAATGTCAAGTCCTATTTTCACTGTGGCTTTGGTATAACCATTTATTTACTGTGGCCAACCTATGGAGTGTATTGTCCCTCTCATGCCGTGAATTCATTGTCACTAAATGAATTCATGATATGAGAATTCATCTCACCAAATATGTTTGCATTAACAACTCACTAAATATGTTTGCATTAAATACTTTAAAATGCATAGTGTCCGTACTACATGGATTGATGTCTTCAATCTATGAGGATTTTTACCCCTAATTTTTGACTTGACTTTTACTTTGGTGCAGCTGATTAACGTTAGCCTGTATGATGAACAAGGAAGGGCTGGGAGGACCAGCCTATTTTAGTTACTGTGACTGCGTAAGAAATTACCCTAAAACTTAGTGGCATAAAATAACCATGTATTGTCCTCAGGGATTCCGTGAGTCAGAGATTCACACACACACACAAAAGGCTTAATTTTGCTCCATTATGTATCAGTCCTCGGCTGGAAGACTCAAAGGCTGGAGGCTAGAATCATTCGAAGGCTTATTCACTCACATGGCTGTTACCTGAAACCTTAGCTGAGGCTGAGGCACCTATATATGACCTCTTGATATCCTGGACTTCTTCATAGCACAGTGGCTGGTTTCTTTCTTTCTTTTTTTTTTTTGAGACGGAGTTTCGCTGTTGTTGCCCAGGCTGGAGTACAATGGCACGATCTCGGCTCACCGCAACCTCCGTCTCCCAGGTTCGAGCGATTCTCCTGCCTCAGCCTCCCTAGTAGCTGGGATTACAGGCATGTGCCACCATGCCTGGTTAATTTTGTGTTTTTAGTAGAGACAGGGTTTCTTCATGTTGGTCAGGCTGGTCTTGAACTCCCGACCTCAGGTGATCCACCTGCCTTGGCCTCCCAAAGTGCTAGGATTACAGGCATGAGCCACTGTGCCCGGTCACAGTGGCTGGTTTCTAAGGGTGAGCATCTTTAGAGAGAGAGCCACACTGTAGCTATATTGCCTTTCCAGTCTGGCCTGGGAAGCCATGTAATGTTACTTTTTCCATGTTCTATTTGTCAAGGTTGTCACAGAGTTAAGTGAAAGGAAATAGACTGCATCTTGATAAAAAGTGGAGGATCATCATGTGGGATCAGAAATGTTGCCGTGGACTTACTGGGAAAATACAGTCTGCCAATATGGCATCCTGTGGAGGTGTCCATTTTGCCTCTTCCTCATCACTTACTGTACCCATCTTCCTACTTTCATAGATACCCAGAAATTTCATCCCAGAACTGTCTCCTTTGCTTCTCAAGGGATAGCTACCATATTTAAGGAGTCAGAGATGATGAAAGACAGGTTTAATTTTTATTATTTGCTCTTTGTGTTTATTATTTAAATTATTTACCCAGGTGTGCCATACTTAAAAAAAAATGTATATGTGTGTGTATGTGTGACACACACACATCTATCTTTTAAATTTGATCTATATGTTTTATTTTATAAGTGTATGTATGTACATGTAATTGGCGTATTCATTTACACAATTTTCAAAACCATATAGTTTTATAGGTCTTGAGTTTGTAGAGCCTCACTGCCAGTCTTCTTAGAGCTGAGTGAGAGGAAGGGATTGGAGAGGACTTACCTATTCACTATGTAGATTTTTTCTTATTATGCAGGCTCTGTCTGTACAATACAGGCAGTATAATCTGCCTGTACAATTAGTACAGTACAAATTAATCAGCTGCACATGATGCTCCTGATTCCAGAGTCCTTCTGGTTCATTTTCTTCAGAGAGTAAATCTCCAGTTCCTATGGTGATTGGCTGTAGGGGAGGGGAAGTGAGAGAAGTCATGTAGGGGCTGTTACTTGTATAGACTCTCAACATTTTTTCAGTCCTGACCCTGCCTTCTCTTTTTGAAAGATAATTTGTACCCCTATTTCTAGAGTTTGTGGGGTAAATGAACTTGCTCCTAGGCCTTTCTCACACTGTTAACTTTTTCTGTCACTTAAGGTGACCACTGAAGTTGCTTTTCATTTTCCAAAATTTTCTTAGGGTAGTCTTTTCTTTCATTACTAACTATACCTACACTGTTATTTTAGTGTGCCTTGAGCAAACATTTATGTTCAGCCTTCCTCATTTTTAACCTTGACATCTCTCAAGTTGATTGTCAACAGTGCCTACCTTGAAGGAGAATTTATTAAATACCAAACTTTAAAAAATAAAATCAGATGTTAAAATGGAATTTATCTTTAGTACAAAAAGACATGATAATTTTGTCAGCTTTTATAGTATATGAAAAGTCCAATATTATAGTGTATGATAGATTTTTAAAGCTTTTATCTATTTTGAAATCCTTTTTTTCTAGGCTATAATCATATTAAACACTAGAAAATTATTTTATCAGTCAAATTTAGAGTTGAGCACAATTAAGGTGACCATATTTCTTGTTTTATTATTTCACCTTGCTGTGGTTTCATCAGGCATATAGTTCTTGGGTCTCATATTATATTTGCCATGCATAAGTCTGTTACTGAAAATGACCTTTACTTCTATTGAAAGATTCTTGGGCAGTTATTCAATGATGATTTTATACATCTTTATTTTGAAGGCTTACTCTGTGACTATACACAAGTTGTTCTTGTCTGTGTTTCATATTCTTTCTTTGTTAAGAGAGAATAATATCTACCTGACATTAGGATGCTTAGCATTAAACAAGAATGTTGGTGAAGTGCCTGTTTATGTATCTGACTAGTATTATGCATTTAGAAAGGTTGACTTTCCTCTCTTGCTTGTAATCCAATTGATCCATTCTCTTGTTCCAGAAATGTTTTCTTGGAAATATGTTATTTTTGAAATTCCACAAAATAGCAATTTACTAATTGTTTGATGTGCATATATAACGTTTTCATCCATGTATTGGTGTACATATACTGCTTGCAAAACCCAATTTGTTTACTGGCAGTATTGATTAAAAATATATATACACAGAAATTTTAAAATGCCAGTTATTTGTAAAAAGTAAAGAGAAAACAATTGTCAAGTGTTACTTTTTTGAGAATTAGGTTTTTTTTATCCCACAGAAAATTGTAGTTATTCATGTACATTATTTAATAATTATTGAATACCTAACATACATTATGGAGTATAATTCAAAAATAGTTGGCAGCCATTAAATTATGAGAGAGATGTTGGATTCTATTTAGAAAGATTTTCAGCTTGGTTTTCCTTCTCTGGAAATTACATGTAGATTTTATTGTTTTTTGTAATATGTATAATGCACAAAACAGTGCAGTACACAGATCTTCATTATATAACTCAATGAATTATTTTATGTATACACCTGTGCAGTACCACCAGATTAAGGCATTGAATATCTCTCTCAATAAAAAGGATTCCCTTGTGCTCCTCTAAGTATAGTCACGCATCACTTAACAACAGGCATACATCCTGAGAAATGTGTCGTTAGGTGATTTCATCATTGTGTTGAGCATCATAGAGTGTACTCACATGTAGATGGTATAACCTATTACACACCTAGGATATATGGTATGGCCTGTTGCTCCTAGGCTACAAACCTGAACAGCGTGTTAGTGAACTGGCTATTATAACATGATGGTATTTGTATATCTAAATGTATCTAAACATAGAAAAGGTATGGTAAAGATACAGTATTAAAATCTTAGTTAGGCACAGCGGTAGGCACTTATAGTCCCAGTTACTTAGGAGGCTGCGGTGGAAGGATTGTTTGAACCCAGGAGTTTGAGTTCAGCCTGGACAGCATAGCAAGACCTTGTCTCTGAAAAATAAATCAAAAATCAAAAATTAAAAATCTATAATCTATGGCAGTGGTCCCCGACCTTTTTGGCACCAGGAACCGGTTTCATGGAAGACAATTTTTCATCGGACTTGGGTGTGGGGCAATGGTTTCAGGGTGATTCAAGCACATTACATTTATTGTGTATTTAATTTCTGTTATTACTGCATTGTAACATATCATGAAATAATTATACAGCTCACCATAATGTAGAGTCAGTGGGAGCCCTGAGCTTGTTTTCCTGCAACTATATGGTCCCATCTGGGGGTGATGGTAGACAGTGACACCCAAAGTGTGTTGCTTATGTCCAGTCTACTCCATAATCTCATTTTGGTTGCTGTCACTTCAGAAAACACTGCTTCATAAAGATAGGATGTTGGAAATGGAAGCAGGCTTTTCAGTGCTGTTGTAGCAATCTCAGGATATTCCACCTTGACTTTAATCTGGAATTTACGGAGATGTGAAGTTGTCTCAAACATACTTTTATAAGGCCACCATCATTTGCAATCTCAAGCAGTTGATTCTCTTCTAGCACGGACAAAGTTGATTCACCTGGTTTATTCACAAATGGGTCACAGATCCATGTAATGCTCGAATTCTTTTGAAAGCTGAGACCTATCTCAGAAGTTGCCATAGAGCTGTGTGAACAGACCTGAGTTAAGGGAATGCATTTGTCAACTTTTGCTTTTGTTGCAATTGCTTTTGTTGTCTTCGTCATGAAATCTTTGCCCATGCCTGTGTCCTGAATGGTATTGCCTAGGTTGTCTTCCAGGGTTTTTATACTTTTGGCTTTTACATTTAAGTCTTTAATTCATCTTGAGTTAATTTTTGTATATGGCTTAAGGAAGGGGTCCAGTTTCAGCCTTATGCATATGGCTAGCCAGTTATGCCAGCACCATTTATTGAATACAGAATCCTTTCCCCATTGCTTTTTTTTTTTTTTAATACTTTAATTTCTGGGATATATGTGCCCAACTTTTCTCTCTGGCTGCCCTTAACATATTTTCCTTCATTTCAGCCTTGGTGAATCTGACCATTATGTGTCTTGGGGTTGCTCTTCTCAACAGTTGTAGGTGTGTAGCATTATTTCTGGGCTTTCTGTTCTGTTCCATTGGTTTATATGTCTGTTTTTGTACTAGTACCGTACTGTTTTTGGTTACTGTAGCCCTGTAGTATAGTTTGAAGTCAGGTAGTGTGATCCCTCCAGATTTGTTCTTTTTGCTTAGGATTGCCTTGGCTATTTGGGCTCTTCTTCGGCTTCATATGAATTTTAAAATAGTTTTCTCTAGTTCTTTGAAGAATGTCAATGGTAGTTTAATAGAGATAGCATTGAATCTATAAATTGCTCTGGGTAGTATGACCATGTTAACGATATTGATTCTTCCTATCCATGAGCATGGAATGTTTTTCCATTTGTTAGTGTCCTCTATGATGTCTTTGAGCCGTCGTTTGTAGTTTTCCTTGCAGAGATCTTTAACTTGCCTAGTTGTGTTCCTAGACATTTTATTCTTTTTGTGGCGGTTGTGAATGGGAGTTCATTCCTGATTTGGCTCTTGGCTTGACTCTTGTTGGTGTATAGGAATGCTTGTGATTTTTGCACGTTGATTTTGTTTCCTGAGACTTTGCTGAAGTTGTTTATCAGCTTAAGAAGCTTGAGGGCTGAGACTATGGGGTTTTCTAGATATAGGATCATGTCAACTGCAAACAGGGTTAGTTTGACTTCCTCTCTTCCTATTTGGATACCATTTTTTTCTTTCCCTTGCCTGATTGCCCTGGTTAGAACTTCCAATACTATGTTGAATAGGAGTGGTAAGCTAGAGCCTCCTTGTCTACACATATATTTACATCACCCCTAAATCTGTTTTTATTGACTGTCTTGTCTCTTGATTGTCAGTCACTTTCCCCTGCTTTACACATCTGCTAATTTGTCGTTGTATATTGAACATAGTGAGTGAAATGTAGAGTAATGGACAACATACTATGGCCATGGGCCAAATCCAGCCTTCTGGCTGTTATTGCATGGCCTATAGCTAAGAATGGTTTTTTACATTTTTAAAGGTTATTGTTTTTGCTATGTTGCCCAGGCTGGTCTTGAACTCCTGGCCTCAAGCAATCCTCCTACCTCAGTCTCCCAGAGCACTGAGATTACAGCTATGAGCCACCATGCCCAGCCTCTGTTTGTTTTTAAAGAGAATGTACAACAGAGACTATGTGTCCTCAAAGCCTAAAAATATTTGCTTTCTGGCCCTTTATAGGAAAGGTTTGGACTCTTATTTGTTGGAGCTCTGGATTATTAAGTCCCTCTAAATAATAGTGAATTATATTATGGCAGGCAGTTAAATAGCCAGCAGATTACTTTGATCTTATGGAGATTAGTTTTAAGCTTTTTAAGATAGGTCTGTTTCACCTTTGTTCTTACTCCTAGGACAGAGTTTGTCTAGGGTCTCAACTAAGTGACTAAGGTGTTCATCAAGATATCTCTCCTCCGAGCCTGGACCACACCTTCTCAGAACTGCACAACCTCTGAAATCTCTGTTTAGTTAACAGCTATTTTCTCCTAGAAATTCTAACCCTGTGTACGCACATCCTATGAAGCAAGTAAGGACCAAAGGGCAATTTCATGTGTATTTTTATAGCTTTTTTCCTTTCACTTTCTCAGTTCTAATAACCTATCCCCAAAACCCTGGCACCATAGCAACCCCAAACATTAATTTTAGTTTTCTTATCCTAGCAGGACTACCACTGTCTGCTTGGGCTTTGTTTCTCCACAGTATGGTTTGGCAGGTGCCCCCAAGGAGAAAGCCAGCGTGAGACTTGATTCATCTGCCCTTTTCTCCCAAAGATCATAGCCCTGTGTTGGTTGGTATCTGTTGCTTGTAAATGTTACATACATGTTTTATTTGGTCTATATTTGGTCCGGTTTTTATAGATGCTTGTAACAGGAGAATATTGCAATACCAGCTACTCTATATGATCAGAACCCCAAATCCTCATTATTTTAAAATATGAAAACGTATCTCATTATATAATCAGTGAATTTTGATTTGAAACATTTAACATGTTACTTGCTGTATTTTCTGATTCATTGTTTACTTGACCCAGATAGTTGAGCCAAATAGGACTTAGATCTCAGTTAATAATAGTAAATATATTCATCTTATAAAATCGAAATGGCCCTTGCTTTCCAAAGATGGAACCCTAAACAGCTGGGCTAATGGATTTGATATTTTAGAAGATTTCATCTGCAACATTTGAGATGCACCTTCACACAAGTTGATCTGGGCATAGCCGTTGTCAGAGAAGCTTCTGTCCTTGGCTGATAAATTATTAATGCTTAATTATTTAACTTTTTTGTTTGTTTACATATCTAGCATCTTAAAAATATTTCATAAATATTTTAGCCTATGCCCTTTTTTTCTCTACTGTATTCACAGTGTGTAAGGAATACTTGGCTGTTGTTTTTTTTGTTTTGTTTAGAGACAGTGTCTTGCTCTATCTTCCAGGATGGAATGTGGTAGTACCACCATAGTTTAGTGCAGGCTTGAACTCCTGGGCTCAAGGGAATCCTCCCACCTCAACTTCCCAAGTAGCTGAGACTACGGGCATGCGCCACCATGACCACCTAATTTAAAAAATTCTTTAGAGACGAAGTCTCACTATGTTGTTCAGGCTGGTCTCTAACTCCTGGTCTCAAGTGATCCTCCCACCTCGACCTCCCACACTGCTGGAATTATAGGCATGAGCCGCGGTGCCTGGCCTATTTGGCTCTTAAATGTGCTGCCTTTTGACTTATTTCATATTCTTGAAGGGAATAATCATTTAAATATTTTTGCCATCATAGTGCTTTGTATGTCTCTCCTGAAGCTCATTTAATAGCATGTCCATCTGTGATAGATGTGATCTGTTCTTTGGGAAAGGATGTATGACATAGCTCTGTTTTCTTCCTAGTACTTGCATAAAGAAACTTTCAGTATTCATTGGAATGGAGTTGGTGAGCATAGAAAGAGTTATAGTTATCACATAAGGAAGCTACATGACTCACTCTCTGCTGCCTCACTGCTTCCCCTGGGTAATTGTCTGTCCTGATTCCCATGTGGATTCAAGAATCCCCCAAGGAAGCCCTGGTGGGAAGACCTGGAAGGTCTGGCTCTTTGCCCAGATGCTGGTGTTGGTGTTGATGTTGATGGATGTGCTCTGCTGATCATAATACTCTAGAGAAGAAATTGCATCTTATCTTTGAACCCACCATTCATAATGTTTATTCCTAACTCAAATTGGATAGTTCAGTATCTGTATATCAGGAATTTGGTTTCATATTAAAGGTAATATCCATTTATTTGAGTCTTTGCCCTTATTATTTAACATTCTTTTCAATAATTAGACTTAATAATTATGCTTCCAAATGTTTAAAATAAAGCTGGACTTGCACATATATATATGTATACTTTACATATATATATACACAGCTTTACATACACACATGTGTGTGTATGTAAAGCTGGACTTGCATGTGTATATGTATACACGTATACATGTATGCACACATAGCAAGATTTACTTTTGAAAATATTTATCCTGAAACTCCTTTATCCTCTTGGTAATTCAGTATAGTAGCTCTTCCTCTTAAATATTATTCCTAGTGACATTTTATGACTCTGTTTTTCCATTTACCTTTTGAATTCTATCCATAATTTTTTTTTTTTTTTTTTTTGAGACAAAGTATCACTCTGTCACCAGGCTGGAGCAGTGGCGTGATCTCGGTTCACTGCAACCTCCGCCTCCCAGGTTCAAGTGATTCTTCTGCCTCAGCCTCCCAAGTAGCTGGGACTACAGGCGCCTGCCACCATGCCCAGCTAATTTTTATATTTTTAGTAGAGATGAGGTTTCACCATGTTGGCCAGGATGGTTTCAATCTCTTGACCTCGTGATCTGCCCAGCTGGGCCTCCCAGAGTGCTGAGATTACAGGTGTGAGCCACCGCCTCTGGCCTCTATAATTTTTAGTGTATCAGTTTGGTTTCCACCAAGAAAAGTGACAGCTGTACTATGTGAGGAATTAGTAATAGTATTATGACACTTTTTTTTTTGAATGTGCAGACATTTCCTTTTGATGATTCATTTGATTTGTTTATGATAAACTTCAGAGCATGTAGTTTTGGCTTTCTTTTGCAATTATTTAATTTTTTCATGTAAAATCTGGATGTTGATAGGCACTTGATACATTAAATAGGTACTTAATTTTAGCACTAGGTTAATTTACAACTTTGGATTCACTGTATTTTTTGACATCACTTACTTTGAATCACTGTGAGATGACTTTCATTTTTCTTCATCAAGAATATCTTGTGTGGGATGTGTGCTAGTTCTTTATATCCTTCGTTTTTGAAAATGTCTTAAGTTTTACCCTAGACTTAATTGATAGTTTGGGTAGAGAATTTTAGATTGGAAATAATTTCTCAGAGTTTTGAAAATATTGCCTTCTATTAATATTGCTGATGAGGAGTCTGATACTATTTCAATTCCTGATTGTTTATGTATGACGTATTGTTTGTAGACATTTAAAACGTGTTTTCCTTTTCACTTTTTTTTTTGCTTAAATTTCATGTAGATTGTGCATGAAATCCACCAGCTTGCAATATGACACTCTTTTGCTTTCCACTATGCTTGATGTCCCTAGATTTGAAGCCACTTCAGTTTATCTTAGAATAATTCAGGGGAGGTATGGGATTGAGAACTGAGGGACACAACTGTTCCCTACATGGATCTTCAACCTTCCTTTCCCATTTTTAGCCTCATGCCTTATCTTGCTGTTTCTCACACTTATCCTCCAATGTTTGAGCCTTTCTGTATATTTGATTTGCTTCCTGTTGATATCTTTCTCTGCAGGTATTTGGTGTTTAGCTCTGCTGTCTCTTCCACATGCTTTCTATCTTCCAAAGTGTATTAGTATCCCCTCCCCCCCCCTTTTTTTTTTTTGAGATGGATTCTCATTCTGTTGCCCAGGCTGGAGTGCAGTGGCGTGATCTCAGCTCACTGCAACCTCCACCTTGCGGGTTCAAGTGATTCTCCTGCCTCAGCCTCCCAAGTAGCTGGGACTACAGGCATGTGCCACCATGCCCAGCTGATTTTTATATTTTTAGTAGAGACGGGGTTTCACTATGTTGGTCAGGTTGGTCTCGATCTCCTCACCTCGTGATCCACCTGCCTCGGCCTCCCAAAGTGCTGGGATTTCAGGCGTGAGCCACCGCACCCGGCCTGTGTGTTAGTATCTCTTTAGCCGATATCTTCTCTCCTTTTGTTGTTCTTGTGGTTTTTATGTTTTTAGTACATTCCTTCTTTTTTTTTCCCCCTCAAATTAGTGGGCTTTCAGGAATGAGTAAAGGTAAACACATTTTCAGTCCATCACATTTAACTGTAGGTTTAAGCATTTTTGAACAGTAAGTTATTAATTCTTTTTCCTTTAGAAGACTAACAACAGTGGATGGTGGTTTGCCATGACATTTGAAGTCACATTCTTGTATTTTAATTAAAATCAAGTTTTTATTTTTGAAGTTTGCCTCTCCCCCCATTTCTATTTTACATGTGTTTTGGGGACTATAACAAGAGTCACCTTAACCAGTTTGTAATCAAGCACCTAAATATTGCAATCTTATCTCAACCTTTATTCTTTTACTGTAACTGCTTCCTCAGTGATTATTATCTAGTTAAGAAATTCATCAGTTTATCAAGGCTCATTTTGTTTGACCTCTAGGAGCTTTAAAAACTGGTACTGCTCCTTATTTCAAGGAAAGCTCTCTTCTCTGTGATCACATTCTGGATATACTTCATCTGTTTCTTTTTTTTTTTTTTTTGGAGACGCAGTCTCGCTCTGTCGCCCAGGCTAGAGTGCAGTGGCTCGATCTCCGCTCACTGCAAGCTCCGCCTCCCGGATTCACGCCATTCTCCTGTCTCAGCCTCCCGAGTAGCTGGGACTCCAGGTGCCCGCCACCACGCCCGGCTAATTTTTGTATTTTTAGCAGAGATGGGGTTTCACCATATTAGCCAGGATGGTCTCCATCTCCTGACCTCGTGATCCACCCGCCTCGGCCTCCTAAAGTGCTGGGATTACAGGCGTGAGCCACCGTGCCCAGCCCATCTGTTTCTTACATATCAGTATTCCTTGAGGATTTACTATTGTCTTTTGTATCTTTTCACTTTCAATTATTTCGTGGTTGCTGAAGATTGTGGTATCTGTTATCTCTAGTTTGGATATCTTTCCACAACTCAAATTCTGTGTTTGCTGAAGATTTCAGTGGTGGTTTTAAAATCTTCGAAATATTTCTTACTGAGAGAGAGAGGCTGTATTCCCTTTACTTGAACCTTGGTGAGCCTTTATGAGTGCCGTTTTCTTCCAATAGAATCTGTTGAAAGAGATGTTGCATGACTTCCCTCGCTAGCTTAGAAAAGACCCTTCAGCTTCTGCTATTGTTTTATGGTAAACTCACTCTCGAAGAACTTTTAGCTGCTCTGTAAGAAGTCTGGCTCCCCTGAGGCCACCATGTGGAGACTCTGTGGAAAGACAACATGCTATAACTATATCTTTTTGATATGTTGTCTTTTCATATTCATTTAGTTCAGAATATTTTCCAAATTCCCGCTAGACTTCCTGTTTCCCCCAGGCATTATTTATATGTATGTCGTTTAGTTTTCAAATAGTTGAGGATTTTCCATATATCTTTCGCTTAATGATTTCTATTTCAATTCTGTTATGGCTAGAGAACATACTTTGTATGATTTCAGTTCTTTTAAATTTGATAAGGTTTGTTTTAAGGGCCAGAATATGACATATCTTGGTGAATAATCCATGTGCACTTAAAAAGGATGTCTGTTCTACTCTTTTTGGGGGGGAGGCAGGGCGGTGGAAAGGGCTAGAAATATCAGTTAGGTTAAGTTGGTTAGTAGTATTTTTGTTTTTATATTTTAAAAAAATTGAGACATTCTGTGTTGCTCAGGTTGGTCTCCAACTCCTGGGCTTAAACAGCCCTCCCACCTCAGGCTCCCAGGTAGCAGGGATTACAGGCACACGGTAGTGTTTTTATATCTTTGCTGCTTTTCTTTTAACTTTGTTCTATCAATTATCGAGAGAGTAGCATTGAAGTCTTCAAGTATAATTGTGCATTTATCTATTTCTTTCAGTTATATAATTTTTATCTTTTGTATTTTGGAGCCCTGTTGTTAGATACCCATTTGGGACTGTGATTTTCTTTTTGGTGACATGACTCCTTTATTATTATGTAAGGAGTTGAATATAAACATTTTTTTCTTTGAGATAGAGTCTCGCTATGTCTGCCAGGCTGGAGTGCAGTGGTGTGATCTCGGCTCACTGCAGCCTCTGCCTCCCAGGTTCAAGCACTTCTCCTGCCTCAGCCTCCTGAGTAGCTGGGATTACAGGCACGTGCCACCACGCCCAGCTAATTTTTGCATTTTTAGTAGAGACAGGGTTTCACCATGTTGGCCAGGCTGGTCTCAATTTCCTGACCTCAAGTGGTCCGCCTGCCTTGGCCTCCCAAAGTGCTGGGATTACAGGTATGAGCTACTGTGCCTGGCCAAATATAAACATTTTTAAGCCATATTAAAAGAAAGCAAGTTTTTATTTGGTAGTTGTATAGGGTCTTTCCTACGTATATACTTATTTCTATAAACTGAATAACTTCTCCCAGCTTTTCAACTTGTGGAAATTATCTTGTTTTTCAATGTGTTGTCCATCTATCAACTTGCTTAACTGAGATATGCTTTAGTTTTAATAGTTTTGAATAATATTTAGAGTATGTTTCTGTAGAAACAGCTTTTTTTTATATATCCAGATTAATATTACCGTAATTTTACTGGGATATGGCCTTCCGTTTAGTCATAGGTATTAATATCTATGAAGTAATAGTAATGTGTGTTTATTATGTCCACAGAGTTTTCACTTTTCACACTTGTTTCATTCTTGTCAGTAACAATGTGGTGGGGCAGTTACCTCTTTTTTACAGATAGAGGAATCAAATCCAGGGATTTTGCGGCTTGCCCACAGCCACGTGCTAAGCAGTAGAGCCCAGGCTAGAACCCAAGCCTTTTTTTTTTTTTTTTTTGAGAGGGAGTCTTGCTCTGTAGCCCAGGCTGGAGTGCACTGGTGTGATCTCTGCTCACTACAACCTTCACCTCCCAGGTTCAGGCAATTCTCCTGCCTCAGCCTCCCGAGTAGCTAGGATTACAGATGCCTGCCACCACGCCTGGCTAATTTTTGTATTTTTAGTAGAGACAGGGTTTCACCATGTTGGGCAGGTTGGTCTCGAACTCCTGACCTCAAGAGATCCACCCACCTTGGCCTCCCAGAGTGCTAGGATTACAGGTGTGAGCCACCACGCTCTGCCAATCCAAGCCCTTTGACCCTTCAAACTGGTGTTTTTATTTCCCACAACATCTGCTATCAATTGGATGGTCTTCTGTTTCATCTCTATATGTCATTGTGAAAAGTGACACAAATTTAAAAATTAAAAGTTATGGCCATGAAAGACTAAATAGTCTGTGATGCTGTTTTTCTTATCTTTTGTTGAACATAAGAATATAATAGTAAGTTACTAAGGAAGGTTTATTAGAAGTTCAGATTGGTGCTTTTCCACCTCAATTTTATAGGTCTGTGTTGGGACCCAGGTGTGTATATATTAAATGAGTACACAAGATAGTTCTGATGCACATATTCTCTGGCCTTACAGAGAAACACAGTTGGGAGAGATGGAGACTGCCTTGGCCTCATTAACATTCTATAATTAGCCATATATTTATAGAACACATTTTCCTATTTGTTCATTGCATATACCAAGTGAGACAGAATCAAAATCCATGTTAAAACCTAGCTGCACTATACTTATTTTTCTCCTCACTCATGGAGTAGGATTTTCTGTTTAGTGTTTTTCTAAAGCTGAATGAGAAAATAATCTGTACAAGGATAGTGTTTAGCAAGAGCTTTTGAGCCCTTACCGGAAACTATAAACTCTAAAGGAACTGTAAACTCTAAAGCAATGATTCCTAAATGGGGCAGACTTTGCATCTCCCCAACCCAATCTCCAAGGGACATTTGGCAACGTCTGTAGACATTTTTTGTTGTCACAGTTGGATGGTGGGTGCTACTGGCCTCTAGTGGCTAGAAGCCAAGGATGCTGCTAAACTTCCTTACAATACACAGTACAATCCCTCCCCTATCCCCCACAATAGAGAATGATCCTAATACAAAATATTGACAGTGTCAAAGTTGGAAAACTGTGCTCTAAGGTTAATATTCAATAACATATTTTTGATGAGTAAATTTTTAAAATAATCTTAGGTGAGTGTGGTTGCTCACGCTTGTAATCCCAGTGCTTTGGGAGGCCGAGACAGAAGGATTGCTTGAGGCTAGGAGTTCAAGACTAGTTAGGGCAACATAGCAAGACCCCTTCTCTACAAAAATAAAAAATAAAATTAGTCAGGCATGGTGGCATGCACCTGTAGTCCTAACTGCTTGGGAGGCTGAAGCAGAAGGATTGCTTGGGCCAGGAGTTCGAGGTTACAGTGAACTGTGATTGTGTCCCTGTACTCCAACCTGGACAACAGAGTGAGACCCTATCTCTAAAAATAAAATAGTTTTTTAGCTGCAGTTTTGATCTAACTAGGCGTTTCTTCTTCAGAAAGTTGAGTCAAGTGATTTTGTTTTGTCTGTAGCCGTACCCCTATACATACACATTTGCTTCCTAAGTTGATAGTGTGCGTTGTGAGAATACTTGAAGGTTGCTTGAAGATACTAATCACACAATGGATAAATAGGTATAACTGCATCAACAAACCGATTCACAAATCTTTTATCACCCTGTTGGGGGGAAATCTATTTGAGTTTAACCTTTAAAGGAAGGCAAAGAGGGAAAGTAGAATGTTTCAAAGTACTAACTTTGAAGTAGGGAGCATTTAAAATATAAAGTAAAATTTGCAAGTTTTGTGTGCATCAGCATTACATGAGAGTCTCCACTGAGCTGTTTGTTTACTTGCTAATTTTCCTTGGTCAAACAAAAACTTCTTCCCATTCTGAATGAATGTGAACTAGTATTTTATTGAGGATTTTGGCAGTGCAAGTGGGCCAGAAATAACTTTTTATTACAAGTATAGCATATATACAATAAAGAACAAATCTTAAATGTAAGACAAGAATTTATAAGGTGAAATCTCCTGTGAAACTATCACTGGATCGAGATAATAGAATATTACCAGTACTTCAGATGCGTCCGTTGTGCTTCCTTACTGTTACTATTTGTCTCTTGCCTAAAGTAGTCACCATTCTGAGGTCTGTCATTATAGTCTAGTTTTGTTTTTGTTTTTGAATGTTATTGAGTTAAACTATATGAGATTGTGTTTTTATAGGTTGTAATTATAAGCAATTTCATATATGTAGTTCAATCTAAGTATTTTTTCCCCATTGCTGTATAATACTTCATTTATGGTAGCTAGTGTCAATAGATGGCCCCCTACACGTACACTTGATACTCACACCGTTGTAAAGTCCCTCACCCCTTGAATCTTGGCTGGCTTCTAAGTGACTCACTTTTAACCCTGACAGTAAAGTTACCCTTTGTGGCTCCCAGTCATAAGAAGCCTTGCAGCTTCCAATTGGGTCTCCTTAGAACACACACTCTTGGGGACAGTCCATTTTAGACTTCAGCTGTCATGCTGTGAGATGTTCTCACCATATGGAGAAGCCATATGTCAGTGCTCTGGTCATTAGCTCCAGCTGACCTCCCAGCCAACAGTCAGCATCAGTTGCCAGCCATATGAGCAAGGCATCTTGTACGTCAGATTCAATCAAACTTCTGATGACTTTACTATCTGCTGTCTAACTGTAGCCACAAGTGAGAACCGCCATGTGGGCCCAGTCAACCCACAGAACCATGAGTAATACTAATATTTGTTTGGTTTATGTTTGTGTATTTGTCTTAGCATTGTGGTGTATTTGCTGCATAGCAACGTAAAATGCATCATTGCATGAATATACCAAAATTTATTCAGTTTACTGTTGGTGGACCCTTGATTTGTACACTTTGGGGCTACTATGAATACTGTAGCTCTAAACAGTCTTACAATACATATATTGGTGAATATATTCATATACTTCTGTTGGGCAATTATCTAAGAGTGGAAATGCTGGGTCAGCTTCAGGAGACACTGTGAAACAGTTTTCCAAAGTGGCTATAAGTATGTATGCTCCAGCAGTTTATGAGACTGCATTTGTCCCACATCTTCAAAAATACCTTATATTTTAAAATTTTAGCCATTCTGTTGCTTATGTTGTAGAATTTCATTGTGGTTTTACCTTCTGTTAGTGAATTTTCCCAACATCTTTTCACTTGCTTTTCCCAACATCTTTTCACTTTCTTTTTTACATAAGTAGAAGGCTCTACAATAAAAAGTATAGGATAGTAAATGCTAGGTGATAGGAATTTTTTATCTCCATTATAATCTTTTGGGACCACCATAGTATATGCAGTTTATCATTGACTGAAAAGCAGTTAATGAGGCACATGACTGTACTGAAAGCTTTCCCCTGAAACTGGAAACAAGGTAAGAATGTCCACTATCCACCACCCTTTATTCATTGTGTTTTTTGGGTTTTTCTTCCCATATATTTGTTGACCATTTAGGTTTCCAATTCTTATCTCACTCTTTCTGTGGTTTGTCAGTGATTTTTGTTTCTCATGCTGAAATCTCCTACTATGAGGGATTTGTCCATTTCTTCTTTTAGGACTGTCAGCTTTTTACTTTGTGTGTTTTTTTTGAACGGTTTAATTGAGATGTGATTCACATTAAAGTGGATGATTCACCTTTTAAAAGTGTATGGTTCAATGTTTTTATGTATCACAGAATTAATTTTTAAAAATTGTTGTAAAATACATATAACGAAATTTACCACTTTAGCCATTTTTATATATACAATTCAGTGGTATCAATTAAGTTCACAATGTTGTATAACCTTTCATGTCTACTTCCAACTTTTTATTTTGCCAAACAGAAACTCTAGCCATGTGGCAGTTGTTCCCATGATTCTCTCCCCTCAGCTCCTGTTAACCTCGAATCTTTGTTTCTCTATGAATTTACCTAGTCTAGATATTGGTTATAAGTAGAATCATACAATATATGTCTTATTGTGTTTGGCTTATTTCACTTAGCTTAATGTTTTCAAGGAAGCATGTAGCATGTATCAGAACTTTCACTTTTTTTTCATTCCAGAATAATGTTTTATTGTATGGGTATACCACATTTTGTTTACTCATTCATCTGCTGACAGGCACTTGGGTTGTTTCTACCTTTTACTTATGTGATTAATGTTGCAAACATTGGCATACAAGTATCTGTTCAAGTCTTTGTTTTCAATTCTTTGGAGTCTATACCTAGGAGGAGCATTTCTGGATCACGTGATAATTCAGTGTTTAACCTTTAAGAAACTGCCAAGCTGTTTTACATGGTGTCTGCACCATTTTAAATTCCCACCAGCAATGTACCAGGGTGCCTATTTATACATATCATTACCAACACTGTTATTTTCCAGGTTTTTTTTTTAATAGCTATCTTAGTAGGTGTCAAGTGGTTACATTGTAACCATTGTAGGTTACACTATTTTTGAGACTGCAGTCATTTACTGCATAATAATGTTTCATGGGCCATAGTCACAAAGGTGTGTATTCCTATATTTTCCTCCAAGACTTTTGTAGTTCTAGCTATTAATTTTAGGTCCAAACTTCATTTGGAGTTAATTTTCTATATGGTATGAGGTAGGGGTCCAATTTATTCTTTTGTATGTGGATATCTTTTTGTCTCAGCACCATTTGTTGAAATGATAATTGATATGGTTTGAATCTGTGTACCCACCCAAATCTCATGTCAGATTGTAATCCCCAGTGTTGGAGGTGGGGCCTGGTGGGAGGTGATTGGATCATAAGGGTGGTTTCTCATGAATGGCTTAGCACCATTTCTCTTGGTATTGTCCTCGCAATAGTGAGTTCTCATGATACCTGGTGTAACACCTCTGCCCTCTCTCTCTCTCTATTTTTTGAGACGAGTCTCTGTCACCCAGGCTGGAGTGCAGTGGCGCGGTCTTGGCTCAGTGCAGCCTCAGCCTTCCAGGTTCAAGCAGTTCTCCTGCCTCAGCCTCCAGAGTAGCTGAGATTATAGGCGCCCGTCACCACGCCCCGCTAATTTTTTATTTTTAGTAGAGACGGGGTTTCACCATGTTGGCCAAGCTGGTCTCGAGCTCCTGACCTCAAGTGAGCCACCTGCGTTGGCCTCCCAAAGTGCTACAGGCATGAGCCACCGTGCCTGGCTCACCCTCTCTCTCCTGCACCTGCTTCTGCCACATGAGACACCTTGCTCTCTCTTTGCCTTCCACTATGATTGTAAGTTTCCTGAGGCCTCCCCAGAAGCCAAGCAGATGCCAGCATCATGCTTCCTGTACAGCCTGTGGAACTGTGAGCCAATTAAACTTCTTTTCTTTATAGATTACCCAGTCTTGGGTATTTCTTTGTAGCAATATGAGAACAGACTAATACAATAATTCAGCAGTACCCAAACTTTTTGGCACCAGGGACTGGTTTCAAGGAAGACAATTTTTCCATGGATGGGGGGTGGCAGTAGGGCGTGGTTTGGGGATGAAACAGTTCTACCTGAGATCTGGCATTAGATTCTAATAAGGAGTTTGCAACCTAGATCCCTTTCATGCACAGTTCACAATAGGGTTCATGTTCCTATGAGAATCTAATGCTATCACTGATTTGAGGAGGTGCAGCTTAGACAGTAATGCTTGCTAGCTCAATACTCTCCCGCCCATCGCTCACCTCCTGCTTTGTGGCCTGGTTCCTAGCAGGCCATGGACTGATACTGGTTATGGCTTAGGGGTTGGGGACACCTACAATAATTCATTTTCACTTGAGTGGTCTTGGTATTCTTGTTACAAATCAACAATAAATGGAATAGTTTATTTTTGGACTCTCTATTATTTTTTGTTCCAATGTCTACCCTTATAGAAGCACCACGTTGTCTTATAGGTTCGTAGAAACTTTTGAAATCAGGAAGTGTGAGTTCTCCAACATTCTTTTTAAATATTATTTTGGTGCATACACATTTAGGATTGCTATGTCTTATTGGTGGATTGGCCCTTTGGTCATTGTATAATAATTCTTTGTCCCTGTTAAACTCTTTAGCTCTGAAATCTATTTTATTTGATATTATAGGCACATCTTTCTTTTGATTAATGTTTGCATGGTGAATCATTTTCATCATTTACCTTCAATCTACCTATATCATTATATTTTGAGTTTCTTTGAGACAACATATATCTGGGTCATGTTTTTTATATATACTCTGCCAATATTTGAGTCCTGGTTGAAATTTGAATTCCTACAGAGAGGACTTTTATTTACTTCTGCAAGTAACCTGTTGGCATCATCATACTAGAACCACTTGAAGTTTCTTTTTTCACTTGGGTTTTCTGACTACGTCATAGTAAGTTCTCAACAGACAGACAATTTTGATTTTATTTTTTAAGTTATTGTTTTGTTTTTCTTTGCCATTCTATGTGGTATGATTTTTGTTGTTGTTTACTTTTATTCTGTGAGAATAGCTCATAGAAAGCTTGTGGGTCTCTTATTGTATATCCATCCTGAATAGACCTTAATATCACTTTTGATTCCCATGTATATTCTGTGATCAAAATCGGAGGTAGAAAACTTAAGGACTAGAAACTGACCTTAACAGGTCTTACTAGGTAGGCTCCCTGGTTTCACTTTGCTTTGGATCTTTGTTTCTACTTTTTTTCCATGCTAGCTCAGTAACAGACTAAAACAAAAAGTTTCGAAAATAATTTATCTGGCAATTTTATTGTATTTGAGAGGAGTTTTCCATAATACGTTATCTCCTGTACTGTCTGTCAAAAAGAGGAGTCATTTTTTTTTGGTGTCTTTATTTGCACAGAAAGTTTTCATTTTAATATAGTCAGATTTATTTACTTGTTTTCTTTATTGTTCATACTGTGGGATCTTTTTCTGAGAAAGTTTCTCCTATTTTGAAAATATAAGGATATTCTCACATAATTTCTTCTAGAAATTTTATAATTGTGCTTTAAATTTATATTGAATTTTTCTGTATGATGTGAAATAAGAATCAACTTTTTTTCTTACTGATTTTTCAATTTGATTTCCCCCCTATTTTTAAGGAGATACTTGTATATCTTTTTCTCCTTATTCTGTTAATATTAGTAATTACATGTACTGCATTTGCAATACTGAATTTTCCATGAAATTCTTGTACCTTTTTTTTTACTGTGATGCAAAATCAGTTTGCTAATATTTTATTTGAGGTTTTTGCATCTCTATTCCTGCATGTGATTTGCCTTTATACATTCTTTTACGCACATTCCCTCTTGAATTAGAATCATAAGACTAACTGGGTAACAGTCCCTGCCTTCTCATTCTTTGGAATAGTTTAAGTAAACTGGAGATTATTTGCTCTTTGAAGGTTGTTAGAACTTCACAGGTTTGATAAAAGCTTTCAATGTCAGATGATTTTTATGTGTGAGATTTTTAACCACTTGTTTTTCTTTAATGGTTATAGGTCTAAGTGCTCTATCATTCTGTTCCCTTTTTTATTCTGATCTGTTTGTTTAATTTGCTTCTTTCACTTCCTTCATTGTTCTTCTCTAGTCTTGTCAGAAGTTTGTTGTTAATCTTTTTAATCCATCTTTAAGTAATTTTGTGGTATGGTGCAGTTTGGATTTTGATTGTTTTATTCTTTCCATGTGGCTATCTAGTTGGCTTATTGTTATCTCATTGAAAAAGACCTTCCTTTCTCGTGCTCTTCAGTACTACTTTGTTGTAAATAACATTTGTGTAGGTCAGTTTTCTGGGCCCTTTTTCCTATTCTAATGGTCTCTTGGTGTATCTGCATGCCAATCCATATTGTCTTAATTATTTTAGCTTAATAAATAAGTTTTTATATTGGATAGAGCAAATCCTTTTGTATCTTTAATACTTTTAATCATTTAAGTTTGTAATCTCTATAGTTCTAATTATTTGAAGTTTTAAAGGGATATAATTGAGTCCTGCTAACTCTTGTTAATAAATTGATTACTCTTGTGTCTTATAATTTTGTATTGTGACCTGGTCATCAGGTAAGTGTTAACTCTGTGAATCACCTTCAGTCGGAGTTACGGATGCGTTCCTGAAGATGTTTTATTTTCACCTCGGACTAATTTTTTTTTTTAATCACAGTGTTTCACCTTTGGGGTTCTGTAAACAGTATATAATGTAAAATCAAACTTCACACCCACGTGAGACTTTTCCTTCTTCATTCCAGATCCCATTTGGAGGCAGAAAAACTTAACTTGTTCTCATCTTGGGCTTATGGGAGGATTTTTCCCCCTCCTAGTCTACCTTTCATTCAGAAATGTTGCTATCCAGACTCTGGGCTTTCACTGGGAAAGACTTAGTTCTGTATCTCACCTTATTTAGGCCCAAGGCCTGCACATTTTTCCACCTGTTTGTGATAAACCCGAATTGCTCGGTTATTTTTCCCCTCTCTTTTTTCCAGTGCCCACCTGTTTTCTGATTGATATATAATACTTGTACATATTTATGGGTACATATGATACAGGGTGCATGTTACATGCATAGAATGTGTAATGATTAAGTCAATGTTTAGAGTATCCATCACCTTGAGTATTTATCATTTCTATGTGCTGGGAACATTTCAAATTCTCTTTTCTAGGTATTTTGAAATATATAATACTTGTTTTTAACTATAGTCACCCTACTCTACTGAGGAACATTAGTATTTCTTCCATCAGACAACCTCTCATCACCTCTCCCCAAAATTCACACACCTTTCCCATGGCTTACTTTTTAAGAAACCTGTCCATGACAACCCTAGCACAGTTACACCCAACTTCTATTTTTCCTTTCTGCACACTGGAGATTTCTTTTCAGCTTAGCTATGTAATTAAAAGGGTATTTGTTAATATTATCCAGCATGTTTTAAGTATTTTGTTGCTGAGATTTCTAGATTATCTAGTCTGCCATATTGCTGGAAAAGGAAGTTGGTATTTTAAAATAAGCTATACAAAGCAATTGTATATTGTTGGCTGAAAGAATTTCCCCCTTCAGGTGGGAGTACTAAATATAATACCCTTCCATTGTTGACACAGTTAAAAACTGTGTCTTTGAAGCAAAGTATTGCATAGTGGCTCTAAGCATGGACTCTGGAGCTTGATAATCTGGGGTAGAGTATAAGTCCTGCCACTCATGACCTGAATGATCTTTACAAGTCTGTGTAATCTCCCTGTGCCTCAGTTTTTCATCTTTAGAGTCTTAATAGTAACTATCTCATAGGGTTGTTTTCATGATTAAATGAGTCAGTCCATATACACTGAACAACAGTGTCTGGCAATAGTAAGCAGTGAATAAGTTTAGCTATTACTATTGTTGTTATTAACTTCATTAGATATAACTCTTACTTAGAGCTCTTATCCTGTATGTGAAAAATTTTCCACTGACTTACATATAGACAGCATTTTTCATTTTCAACGATAGCGTCCATACTTTGTATTTGGAGTACTGTATTGTTTGGTTTCCCTTCTTCCTGCTTTATAAAGGAGCTCAGGGCAGAAAATGGAGTCTATTGTCACTTCCTTAAGCCACTACTAAATTTTAAGTTATCCATCAGTAAGTAATCTTTTTCTTATCAAAATCAGTATGTTTATGTTATCTCTTTTTTTGAGACAGAGTCTCACTCTGTCGCTCAGGCTGGAGTGCAGTGGCACAATCTCAGCTCACTGCAACCTTCGTCCCCTGGGTTCAAGCAATTCTCCTGCCTCAGCCTCCTCAGTAGCTGGGATTAGAGGCGTCTGCCACCGCGCCCAGCTAATTTTTGTATTTTTACTAGAGATGGGGTTTTACCATCTTGGCCAGGGTGGTCTTGAACTCCTGACCTCGTGACCCACCCGCCTCGGTCCCGAAGTGCTGGGATTACAGGTGTGAGCCACCGTGCCTGGCCATTTATGTTATCTCCTGAAGTTTCTGCCTTCTCTTATTAATCACTCCCTCAAATGAAGATGTATTCCTATGATGGATTCTTCATTCAGTGAGGTGATCAGTCTATATTCTCTATAAGGATCTGAAGGATTTCAGTCACTGTTAAGTCTGTATGCCTTTGGACTAAACATTATGGAACGAACTGGTTCTTACAGACTTTCTTTCTTACTGACCTGCCCAACCTATTAAATAATTATGTTTTTTCTTATATGGAAAATAGTCCCTCTGTCCATCTTCAGGAGAGCATCTTTAGAAATGTGGAAGGAACCGGCCGGGCATGGTGGCTCACACCTGTAATCCCAGCACTTTGGGAGGCCAAGGCGGGTGGATCACGAGGTCAAGAGATCGAAACCATCCTGGCTAACACAGTGAAACCCTGTCTCTACTAAAAATACAAAAAATTAGCCAGGCGTGGTGGCGGGTACCTGTAATCCCAGCTACTTGGGAGGCTGAGGCAGGAGAATGGTGTGAATCCGGGAGGCGGAGGTTGCAGTGAGCCGAGATCACGCCACTGCACTCCAGCCTGGGTGACAGAGTGAGTCTCCGTCTCAAAAAAAAAAAAAAGAAAGAAATATGAAAGGAACCTCAGAGATCACTATACTAGTTGTTTTTAGACACTTAAAAATAAGTGTCTTTCCAGTGAAGATACGCATACATGCATACACCACTACACACATGGAGACTTCATATGTGTATGACGAATCAAGTTCATTATTATAGTTAAAGCTAGGAGCCCAGATTTGGCCTTCTTAGACTTTTCTTCCTCAGTAACTCAGCCTGAGACACTCAAGGAGCCTTAGACATTACACAGTAGAACTCTGGAACTGCTGATCAGGTCTTTCTTGTAGTTTAGGGTTGATGAAACTGGCCTGTGTAGCAAGAAAAATTCACCCAAGACTACTAACTAGCCAAATAAGAACTCAGCCTTAGTGATGGCAGTGGCAGCCTGTCTGGAGCGGCCGCTGCAAAGACACCAACTGCAGTGGGGGACGCGCAGCTGGGGCTGTGCACTCCACGGAGCCTGCGGGAGCTGGGAACAGGTGGGAGCCCTGCCCCCTTTCCAAGTTGGCAGAGTGGGAAACCTGCCCTTCTGGGGGCAACTGCAGCTGCCCAGCCACGGCTGCAGACCTGGGCATCCCTGTGCTCTCGCGGGGTCCAGGAAGCCCCTCAGCCCCTGCAGGCTTGGAAGTACCTGCTCCCACTGCCTGGCCTCTCCTCGCTCCCAGCGCCTGCTCCAATTTCCAAAGTTGAGGCCAAGCCCAGGTGCTGTGGCGACCTAGCTGGGTGTGTGTGTGCGCAGGGTGGTGATAACACACCAGCCTCCTTCTGCCTCGGCCCCCTCTGGACTTTGGGCGCTGATGAGCACAGGAGGGAGGCCTGTAGGGGGCTGAGGATGGCTCGTCACGGGCCTCCAGGCAACCCTCAGCTCCAGCAGCCTGGGCACCGTGGACGAAATGATTGATGGCGGCAGGAAGCTGACAGGCTTCTGGGCGTAAAGGGGAAGGTTCCCGGTGAAGCCCCACCTTCAAGCCAGGGATGACCAGAAGCATGGGGGCTGGGCTGTCAGTTCCAAGTTGAGTCCACAGCCTGGAGGGGGATAACTTAAAGTGCTTTTTCTGGGCCCACGCATGGCCACCCATGGACCGGTTAGCATGCACTTCCTCCCTTCTGAAGTCCCTAAAAACAGCCCGATTCACACAGATGTTGGGATTTACCAGCTGTGGGAAGGAGCTACCCACTTTGGGTTAGGTCTCCTCGACTCTTCGAGGCAATCTGTCTGTGGGAAGGGGCTACCCATCAGAAGTCTCCTCTCCACTGAGGGCTGGACACTTGTCGGGTCGACCTGCCTGTGGAAAGGAGCCACCCACCATAGGTCTCCTCTCCACCGAGAGCTGGACACTTGTCTGGACGACCTGCCTGTGGAAAGGAGCCATCCACTGTGGGTCTCCTGAGAGCTATGCTGTCGCTCCGTGAACTCCTCTCTGCCTTGCTCACCTCCAGTTGTTGACATACCTCATTCTTCCTGGAGGGAGGACAAGAACTCTGGACCTGCTGAATGGCAGTACTGAGAACTGTAACACAAACACGGCTAAAACACGCCCCCTGCTCGCCATGTTGTGGGCAACGAGAAGGAGAGAAGAGCTGCAGCCCTTCGGGGAACCCATACCTAGGGTACCCTTTTAATTACGTAGCTAAGCTGAAAAGAAACCCAGACCTGTGACACCCTCTTTGGGGTTCTTGTGTTCCTGGCATCTCCAAGCTTCCAGGCACCACCGTGTTCCCCTCATCTAGATTCAGGTGCCCGCATCGGAAGTCTCGTGTGTTACATCTGGTCCAGCCACAGCCTTGCATGGAGCTGGCACCTATGCCAGTGCCTGGGGCTGCCTGCCCTGGCTGTGTGCAGTGGCTGGACCCTGTGCTCACTCGCCCACACACCCCTCGCTGCTCCGCGCCTGACTCGCCCTTGGCAGGTGTGGAATCCAGGCCGGTAGCGCGAGCCAAGCTTCCTTCCAGTAGGAAATATGATGGGAAAACAGGAAGGCCGTTTAATTCAGATTAATAGAAGAAGTAGGTTTCAATGGAGACTTCAAAGGGAAAATGTGAACACTTTTTTTTAAAATACTTTTTTTTCCTTTTTATATCATCTTGTATTTTTCTTCAGTGGATGATTTCTGGTTTTATTGTTTGTTTGCTTTTTTATTTCCAACTTTTATTGTAAGTTCAGGGGTACATGTGCAGGATGTACTCCTGCACATGTACCAGGTGTAGCCTGCCAGGTCAAGTGGGCGGAACAAGCCCAGCGGGTATGAGCAATACTCAGGCAGAAGGTGCCGCCAGCCACCGAGGTTTCTGGCTGCCGAAGTGACACCCCATGAATTCTGTGACATTAATATTTACTGTTTCCATTTTGGCTTGGAAACATACTACCTTCCAAAGTATTTTCCCCTGCTGCAGGTCTGCAGAGCTGCTGCTTTGTCTTTCCTGCAAACTTGTCTTAACATATCTCTCCTTGTACTTGGTCTGCCAACAGGAAGCTCCTTTTGCCTGGCAGTTGTTATTGACTTAAAATTCTAGTGATAAAGCTAAATAAGATCTGTCGGGACCAGTCTCTTCATCTTTAGAGAAACAATAACCAGTAAATTAGTTTCTCTGTAGATGTATTATCCCTTGAGCTTTAGAGATTCTTTCAAGTACCTTGTTCTCTAGCTGGTCCTCTTGTGAAATAAGAAAGACTGAAGAATCTGCAACACTGGCAAAGGAACTAAAAGCACATAAACTTTAAAATTGCTTCTATTTGCTGTTTTATCATTCACTCATTCAGTTATTCAACTAACCAAATATGTATTGATTGTTTTATTTAACAGCCTACTGGGGATTTTGGTATATGTTAGAATTCTGGCCACAGTTTACCAATTACATTTATCTCTCTTTCTTACAGTTAAGTGTTGCCTTTTGCCTGTGAGTTTTCTTATGTACTTATTCTCTCTGCCTGAAATACCCGCCTCCAAACCTGGTGAACTTTTATTCATCCTTCAATTGTAACTTAAAACTCCCCTATTTCAGGAGGGTTTTTCTAGCACTCTTGAGTGAATTAAGGGTTTTTTCCCCTATGGCTTTCTTATCATAATTAAATTAATTATTTTAATTAGTTTTCATTCCCACACCCTCACCTCAAGTCCCCTTCTCCAATATGATACCCATGGCAATACTAATTTTAGGAGAATTTGCTATCATAAGGTTTTTTCAGTCTTGTATTTTTTGGTCCTAGCAATGTTTCTGACACATAGTAGATGCTCAATATATATTTATTGCATTTCTTATACTCGCAGAAGATTTATAGTGCTAATAATGCATGTATAGTATTTGTCTTCCAAGACATTGTTTCCAGAATCTTCTGAAGTGAGTGATGAGAGGACAAAACTTTCAAACACATAAATATGATTACTAAATGTTGCCTTTGTCCAAGAAATACTTAAAAATCATTTAGTTCACTTGTTAAGTATATCAGAAGTAGCAACAATTTTAAAAATACTTTTTTTGGTTAGTTTACATTTTAAAAATTGCAATAAAAATAAAACTGCAAGCAGGCAACCAAACACTGATATAAGACTGTAGACCAAAGTGTTCAAGTATTTCTTATAATTAGAGGTTCCTTATTATGAATAGTATTTGAAGATACTTCAGTGCTTAGGTAAATATCAACAAATGTGAAATTATTGTACAAAATACATTACAGGACATATACATTTTGCTATATGTTGCAAATATATATATTTGCTAAGCCATCTAGTTAATTGACTGTATTTAAAATTTTGTCATCAGTATGCAGCTTGCTTAGAGAGTAAGTTGTATTGAATTTGAGAAATTATGCCTTAGATTTGTGACTTATTGACAGGCTTCCTTCCAGTGGAAAGTATGAGGGGAAAACAGGAAGGCCATTTAATTCAGACTAATAGAAGAAGTAGGTTTCAATGGAGACTTCAAAGAGAAAATGTGAACACTTTTTTATTTAAATACTTTTTTTTCCTTTTTAAATCTTCTTGCATTTTTCTTCAGCAGGTGATTTCTGGTTTTATAGTTTGCTTGCTTTTTATTTCCAACTTTTGTTTTAAGTTCAGCGATACACGTGCAGGTTTGTTACACAGGTAAATATGTGCCATGGTGGTTTGCTGCACAGATCATCCCATCACCTAGGTATTAAGCCTGGCATCCATTAGGTATTCTTGATACTCTCCTTCCTCCCACCTCCCACCCTCTCACAGGTCTCACAGGTGTTGTTCCCTTCCTTGTGTCCCTGTGTTCTCATCATTCAGCTCCCACTTACAAGTGAGAACATACGGTATTTGGTTTTCTGTTCTTGTGTTAGTTTGCTGAGGATAATGGCTTCCAGCTCCATTCATGTCCTTGCAAAGGACTGCATAGTATTCCATGGTGCGTATGTACCACATTTTCCTAATCCAGTCTATCATTAATGGGCATTTAGGTTGATTCCATGTCTTTGCTATTGTGAATAGTACTGTGATGAACATAGGCATCCATGTATCTCTACAATAGAATGATTTATATTCCTTTGGGTATGTACCCAGTAATGGGATTGCTGGGTCAAATGGTATTTCTGCCTCTAGGTCTTTGAGGCATTGCCACACTGTCTTCCACAGTGGTTGAACTAATTTACACTCCCACCAACAGTGTAAATAAAACATTCCTTTTTCTCCACAACCTCACCAGCATCTGTTGTTTTTTGACTTTTTAATAGCCATTCTGACTGGTGTGAGATGGTATCTCATTGTGGTTTTGATTTGCATTTTTCTAATGATCAGTGATGTTAAGCTTTTTGGTTGGCCGCATGTATGTCTTCTTTTGAGAAGTATCTGTTCATTTCCTTTGCCCACTTCTTAATGGAGTTGTTTTTTTCTTGTTGATTTGTTTAAGTTCTTTGTAGCTGCTGGATATTAGACCTTTGTCAGATGGATAGATTGCAGAAATATTCTCCCATTCTGTAGGTTGTTTACTCTGATAGGCTTTTTTCTTTTTTTCTTTTTTCTTTTAGCTGTGCAGAGCTCTTTAGTTTAATTAAATCCCATTTGTCAATTTTTGCTTTTGTTGCGATTGCTTTTGGATATTTTCTTATATTTTAACCGCCCACCAGATCATAATTTTAAAAATTATTTTGAAAAATATTTTTTCTCATTAATAAAACCCTAGAGGGTTTGAAAGTGTAAAATACAAAGTTAAAAACCCTTGTGCTTACACATTACTGTAATAAACTTGTGTATTCCCACATTTTCTCTGCATATGCAAGCATACATACACATACATGTATGTGTCTATGTGTGTGTATGTGTTTATATGTATACATTATATATTCTTAGAGTTGGAGTCATGGAATACTTCCTGCTTTCTGTTACCTGCTACTTTTCCTCTTTCTGTATGCTTTTTACATACAAAGAATCTTTTTGGTTCTTTTTAATGATTGCAGATATTCCATTGAATGCATGTGTTTTTCTGTTACAATGAAGCAGAGATGTATTTATGCATATATATCTATTTCTCCAGCTGTAGTACTAATAGTATAGTTGCTAGCTCAAAAGGATTTACATTTTTAATTATCTTAGTCACACACTCCCATCTAAAAGGCTTGTGTAGATTTACACAATTTATGTTCTCTCTACCAGTTTATGAATGTATCTGTTTCTTCTCCCTTCCCATGCTCATTACTCAGCAGCCTTCTAAAGTAAATAATCATGGGCTTTTACTGCGTAATCAGATTAGCACAGTAAATGGTGGAAAAATAACATTATTGATTGAAAAGTTGGTTAAGAAGACATAAGCTTGCTGTTGTTTCTTTCATAGTTTTGGTGTTAAAATTTGCTGGTGTTTGAGGTAACTAATTTTAACTAGATTCAGGGTGACACTATCTGTAAGAAAAGATCCTGGGAACTTGAGAAGAATGAATCCATATTCATACCAGGTTAGTTCATGGAAATATCTGCTCTCAACATTTAAGCAAACTAAGAATGAATAATTTGTTACAGTTTACAACATATGATTTCATTTATTCCTCACGTAGATTTTAATCTGTTATGCAGAGGAGTAGAGTGAAACTCAGAAAGATAAGGAAGGCTCCCTCAGGTCACAGTTTATAAATGGTGGAACTTTTGTTTTGTTTTGTTTTTGATGAATTATATTGCATTTCTAATCTAAGGAAGCACGTGTGCATCAGGTCCTAGTATAAGGTCTACTAAATAACAGAGGCTCAATAAAAGTCTTCAAATTAATGAATTCTCTTTTGAGAGGAAATATTTTGAAGTCTTTAAAGGCATTAGTAGGGTTCAAGACTAAGAAAGAGACCACATGGCCTTATTACTTTGATTTTTACTAGGGAAAGTTGTAAGCATATAAAAGTAGAAAGAATTGTAAAAATGAACTTCTGTATATCCAGCTTTATAACAGTTATTAACTCATGGCCAACCGTTTTCATGGTGGAAATCCACTCAACACAAGATGACAACTCAAAAAAAGCTATAGAAAACAGAAAAATTCAGGTGGACTCATGATATAATAAAATAGTTATTGAATGCCTACTATTGATAGACGTGTAGAGTAGGGTTTTGGTTGTTTTGTTTCGTTTTTTTCTTTTTCTTTTGAAGTAATTGTAGGTTCACAGGATGTTACAAATATAGTACAGAGAGGTCTCATTTACTGTTTACTCAGCTTCTCCCAGCGGCCCAATGGTAACATCTTCTCTAACTGTGGTACAATATTAAAGTCCCATTAGTTGACATTGGTACCATCTACAGATCTTTTATAGCTATCACCAGTTTTTACATGCTGTCATTTGTGTGTGTGTGTGTGTATTTGCATGGATGTGTTACTTTTTACATGTCTAGATTCATGTAACAATTATCAAAATACAGCATAAAGTATTATATATGATGTTAGCTGTGAGACTTCATAGATGTTCTTTATCACATTGAGGAAAGTTCTCTATTACTAACTTGTTAAAAGTTATCACGAACGAATGTTGCATTTTTAAAAATGATTCTTGTCTGTCTATTGATATGATCATGTGACTTTTCATTAGCCTGTTACTATAGTGGATTACCACAAACAAATAAATTTTAAACAAATAAACTAAATATGGTGGATTATATTGAGCTTTTTTAGAATATTCTGCCAAGAATTGGTATGCATTTTTCTTTTTTTTTTTTTTTTTTTTGCACCGCCCTTAATCCATTTAATCCTGAGTGGACACAGCACATGTTTCAGAGAGCACAGGGTTGGGGGTAAGGTCACAGATCAACAGGATCCCAAGGCAGAGGAATTTTTCTTAGTGCAGAACAAAATGAAAAGTCTCCCATGTCTACTTCTTTCTACACAGACACGGCAACCATCCGATTTCTCAATCTTTTCCCCACCTTTCCCGCCTTTCTATTCCACAAAGCCGCCATTGTCATCCTGGCCCGTTCTCAATGAGCTGTTGGGCACACCTCCCAGACGGGGTGGTGGCCGGGCAGAGGGGCTCCTCACTTCCCAGTAGGGGCGGCCGGGCAGAGGCGCCCCTCACCTCCCGGACGGGGCGGCTGGCCGGGCAGGGGGGCTGACCCCCCCCACCTTCCCTCCCGGACGGGGCGGCTGGCCGGGCAGAGGGGCTCCTCACTTCCCAGTAGGGGCGGCCGGGCAGAGGCGCCCCTCACCTCCCGGACGGGGTGGCTGGCCGGGCGGGGGGGCTGACTCCCCCCACCTCCTTCCCGGACGGGGCGGCTGGCCGGGCGGGGGGCTGACACCCCCACCTCCCTCCCGGACGGGGCGGCTGGCCGGGCAGAGGGGCTCCTCACTTCCCAGTAGGGGCGGCCGGGCAGAGGCGCCCCTCACCTCCCGGACGGGGCGGCTGGCCGGGCGGAGGGCTTACCCCCCCACCTCCCTCCCGGACGGGGCGGCTGGCCGGGCGGGGGGCCGACCCCCCCACCTCCCTCCCGGACGGGGCGGCTGGCCCGGCAGAGGGGCTCCTCACTTCCCAGTAGGGGCGGCCGGGCAGAGGCGCCCCTCACCTCCCAGACGGGGCGGCTGGCCGGGCGGAGGGCTGACCCCCCCACCTCCCTCCCGGACGGGGCGGCTGGCCGGGCGGGGGGCCGACGCCCCCCACCTCCCTCCCGGACGGGGCGGCTGGCCGGGCAGAGGGGCTCCTCACTTCCCAGTAGGGGCGGGCGGGCAGAGGCGCCCCTCACCTCCCAGACGGGGCGGCTGGCCGGGCGGAGGGCTCACCCCCCCACCTCCCTCCCGGACGGGGCGGCTGGCCGGACGGGGCGGCTGGCCGGGCGGGGGGCTGACCCCCCCCCCCCACCTCCCTCCCGGACGGGGTGGCTGCCGGGCGGAGACACTCCTCACTTCCCAGATGGGGTGGCTGCTGGGCGGAGAGGCTCCTCACTTCTCAGACGGGGCAGCTGCCGGGCGGAGGGGCTCCTCACTTCTCAGACGGGGTGGTTGCCGGGCAGAGGGTCTCCTCACTTCTCAGACGGGGCGGCCGGGCAGAGACGCTCCTCACCTCCCAGACGGGGTCTCGGCCGGGCAGAGGCGCTCCTCACATCCCAGATGGGGCAGCGGGGCAGAGGCGCTCCCCACATCTCAGAGGATGGGCGGCCGGGCAGAGATGCTCCTCACTTCCTAGATGTGATGGCGGCTGGGAAGAGGCGCTCCTCACTTCCTAGATGGGATGGCGGCCGGGCGGAGACGCTCCTCACTTTCCAGACTGGGCAGCCAGGCAGAGGGGCTCCTCACATCCCAGACGATGGGCGGCCAGGCAGAGACACTCCTCACTTCCCAGACGGTGTGGCAGCCGGGCAGAGGCTGCAATCTCGGCACTTTGGGAGGCCAAGGCAGGTGGCTGGGAGGTGTAGGTTGTAGTGAGCCGAGATCACGCCACTGCACTCCAGCCTGGGCACCATTGAGCACTGAGTGAACGAGACTCCATCTGCAATCCCGGCACCTCGGGAGGCCGAGGTTGGCGGATCACTCGCGGTTAGGGGCTGGAGACCGGCCCGGCCAACACAGCGAAACCCCGTCTCCACCAAAACCAGTCAGGCGTGGCGGCGCGAGCCTGCAATCACAGGCACTGGGCAGGCTGAGGCAGGAGAATCAGGCAGGGAGGTTGCAGTGAGCCGAGATGGCAGCAGTACAGTCCAGCTTCGGCTCCGCATGAGAGGGAGACCGTGGGGAGAGGGAGAGGGGGAGGGGGAGGGGGAGGGGGAGGGAGAGGGAGAGGGAGAGGGAGAGGGAGAGGGCATTTTTCTTTAAATGTAATTTTTTTCTTTAAATTCACCAGGGAAACCATCTGGATCTGATTTTTTCTTTATGAAAAGTTGTTTCTAATTCAGTCTCTTTACTTATGATAGGTATATTTAAAATTTTTATTTCTTCTTGAGTTAATACGTGTAGTTTGAGTCTTTCTGGCAATTTGTCCATTTCATCTACATTATCTATCGGCATACATTTGTTCATAATGTTCCTTAACATCTCTTTTTTCCCCTTGTAACTTCAGTATTAATGTACCTTCTTTTATTCCTGGTTTTAATAACTTTTTACTCTTTTTTTGTTCTTTCTCAGTCTACCTAAAGGTTTATTAGTTTTTCTGATCTTCTCAAAAAACTAACTTTCGGTTCTGTTGATTTTCTTTATTGTTTTTTAATTCTCTATTTTATACATTTCTGCACTAACTTTTCTTTCTTTGTGCTTTGGGTTTAGATTTGTATAGTGTCTTCAGATAAAAGATTCTTTATATGAGATCTTTTCTTTTGTTATGCAGTCATTTGTAGCTATAAATTTTTCTCCAGTTTACCTGCATCCCATCAAATGTGATATGTTGTTATCTTCATTTTCATTTATATCGAAGTATTTTCTAATTTCTCTTGTGATTTCTTCTTTGACCCCTTGGTTATTTATGAGTGTGCTATTTAATATCGACATATTTGTGAATTTTCCAAATTTCTTTCTGTTACTGATTTCTAGTTTGATTCCATTTGTTGTTGGAGAATATGTTGGGTATTATTTCAGTTCCTTTAAATTTACTGAGGTTTATTTCATGGCCTACCATATGGTTTATTGTGGAGAATATTGCATGTGCACTTGAGAAGAATGCCCATTCTGCTATTGTTGGATGGAGTGTTCTGTCTGACCTGTCAGTCAGGTCTCGTTAGTTTATGGCATTGTTCCAAGTCTTTTATTTCCTTGCTGATCTCTGCCTTGTTGTTTAATATGTTATTGAAAGTTGAGTATGGGAGTCTCCAACCATTATTGAATTGTCTGTTTTATAGGTACATATATTTTTATGTTTGTATCTTCTGATGGAACGACCTTTAGCGTTATAAAATTTCCCTCTTTGACTCTAGTAACATTTTTATTTTAAAACTTTGTGTGATATTAGTATAGCTGTTCCACCTTCCTTACGGTGTAACTTTTTAAATCCTTTACTTATTATATATTTGTATTTCTGAAAGAAAAGTGTGTCTTTCTTTAGCAGCATATACTTGCGTCTTATTTTTTTTTTTTACCAGTCTGACATCCCTGCCTTTTGATTGATTTTTGTTATGTCAGTTAATGTTATTATTGATATGGTTGGATTTATATTTGTACTATTTTACTTTTTGCTTTTTTTGTTTCTCTTTTCCTCCTTTATTGCTTTCTTTTACATTCAGTGCATATTTTCTTGTGTAACATTTCAATTCCTTTAATGGTTTTTTCAGTTTTCTTTTTTTTAACTAGTTGCTTTAGGACTTAACCAGATACATCTTAACTTATCAGAATACTTCAGGCTTATAATAACTTAATTACAGTGAGATATAGAAATGTTACTTTATATAGCTCAGTTTCCTCTTTCCCCTTCTTGTGCTATTATTCTTATATATACATATATTACAAACCCAAAAATATATTCTGTAAAATTATTACTTTATATAATTTATGTAATTTTATGTCTAGTAAGCTGAGAGAAGAGAGGAGAGCAAGTATGTATATATAGAAATTGTATATTAGCCTTCTATTGATCATTTCTGGTGCTTTTCATTTCTTTCTATAGATTCACGTTACCATCTGGTATCATTTCCATAGGCCAAAACAACTTTGATTCCACTATAATTATATACATATACATATATATGTATACATATAAAAAAATATATAGAGTATATATATACACACATATGGTTTTATACTATTTATACTATAATAAATCAGTTAAGAAAAAAAGGAGATACTCTATATACACACACACACACACACACACACACACACACACACACACATATATATATATATTTTTTTTTTTTTTTTGAGACAGAGTTTTGCTCTTGTTGCCCAGGCTGGAGTGCAATGGCGTGATCTCAGCTCACTGCAACCTCCGCCTCCCAGGTTCAAGTGATTTTCCTGCCTCAGCCTCCTGAGTAGCTGGGATTACAGGCATGCACTACCACGCCCAGCTAATTTTGTATTTTTAGTAGAAACGGTATTTCTCCACATTGGTCAGGCTGGTCTCGAACTCCTGACCTCAGGTGATCCGCCGCCTCGGCCTCCCAAAGTGCTAGGATTACAGGTGTGAGCCACCATGCCTGGCCAGAGATACTCTGTTTTATAGTTACTCATTTACCTGTACCAGTGCTCTTTGGTTTTTCATGTAAATTCATATCACTGTCTGGGGTCACTTTTTTTCAGCCTGAAGAACTTCCTTTGGTATTTCTTGTAAGGTGGATCTGCTGGCAACAAATACTCTCAGTATTCATTTATGTGGAAATGACTATCTTTATTTTGCCTTCGTCTTTTAAAGATGTGCTGAGTACAAGATTCTTGGTTAGTGTTTTTGCCTCTTTCAGTGCTTTGAATATGTCATCCAGGTGTCTTCTGGCTTCTGTTGTTTCTTATGGCAAGTCAGCTATTCATGTTTTTGGAGTTTCCTCGTACATGAGGAGTTGTCATTTTTTCTTTTGCTGCTTTCAAGATATTCTTTGTTTTTTGGGGGCATTTTTACTCTAATGCTTCTTGGTGTGGATCGTTTTGCATTTATTGTACTTACAGTTCATTGAGCTTTTTGCATGAGTAGATTAGTGTTTTTCATCAAATTTGGGAAGTTCACATCCACATTTCTATTTTTTTTTTCTCCTTTTTCTTTTTCTTTTTTTTTTTTGAGATGGAGTCTCGCTCTGTCACCCAGGCTGGAGTGCAGTGGCTCCATCTCGGCTCACTGCAAGCTCCGCCTCCCGGATTCACACCATTCTCCCGCCTCAGCCTCCCGAGTAACTGGGACTACAGGCGCCCACCACCATGCCCGGCTAATTTTTTGTATTTTTAATAGAGACGGGGTTTCACCGTGTTAGCCAGGATGGTCTCAATCTCCTGACCTCGTGATCCACCTGCCTCAGCCTCCCAGAGTGCTGGGATTACAGGCGTGAGCCACCACACCCAGCCCACATCCACATTTCTTTAAATAATTTCTTCCGTTTCCTTCTCTCCTCTCCTTCTGGTACTGTCATTATACATACATTGGTGGGCTCTTAATGGTGCTTGCATATCTCTGAGGCTCTTAATTTATCTTCTTTTTATTTATTTTTTTTGAGACAGAGTCTCACTCTGTCACCCAGGCTGGATTGCAGTGATGCAATCTCGGCTCACTGCCACCTCTGCCTCCTGGGTTCAAGCGATTCTCCTGTCTCAGCCTCCTGAGTAGCTGGGATTGCAGGCACATGCCACCACGCCTAGCTAGTTTTTGTATTTTTAGTAGAGACGGGGTTTCACAATGTTGGTCAGGCTGGTCTCAAACTTCTGACCTCGTGATCCACCCACCTCGGCCTCCCAAAGTGCTGGGATTACAGGCGTGAGCCACCACACCTGGCCTCTTCATTCTTTTTTCTCTGTATTATTTGGATTATATAAGCTGTTGATCTGCTTTCAAGTTTGCTGATTATCTTTTTTCAGTTCAGATCTACTGGTGAGCCCCTTAAATATATTTTTCATGACAGGTATTTTTGTGAAAAACCATTTGATTTTGTTTTATAATTTCTATCTCTTTATATTTTGTATCTGAGATATTGTCATCATACCTTTCATTACCTCTTTAAGCATGGTCTCCTTTAGTTCTGTGGATATATTTATAATGACTGCTTTGAAGTATTGTTCAGTCTGACATGTAGGCCCTCTCACGAGCAGTTCCTGTTACCTGCTATTTTTCTTCTGTTTCTCTTATATGTTTCTGTTTCTTCTCCTGTGTTATGTTTTCGTTTAAACTTGACGTTTTACTTTATTTTATATGTTTTTGAGATAGGGTGTTGCTTTGTCACCCAGGCTGAAGTGCAGTGGTTGTGATCATGGTTCACTGCAGCCTCAACCTCCCAGACTCAGTTGATCTTCCCCCTCAGCCTCCTGAGTAGCTGGGATTACAGGCACACAGAAACACATCTGGCTAATTTTGTACTGTTTTTGCAGAGATGGGGTTTCACCTTGTTGCCCAGGCTGATGTCGAACTCCTGGGCTCAAGCAATCCACCCACCTCAGCCATCCCAAAGTGTTGGGATTAGAGGTGTGAGCCACCGCATCCAAGCAAACCGGACATTTTAGATTGTGTATTGTAACTATTGATAATATATTGACCCCTCCCTTCCAAGGCTTGTCGTTATTGTTTACTTGTTTTTCAGTGATTTGATTGAACTATTTTAGCCTCTGATATCTTCTCACAGTGCGCACAGCATTAGGCATTCTCACAGTCACCCTGGGATGACAGTGGTTTATCAGGGCTCTGTTTGACTCCTCTGATTTCTGTTAGGTTAACTACCTCTGTCAGTTTCATATGCAGCTGTTAAGCTTCAATAATTATTGTCTAATTTCTACATTTTTTTCATCAGTATATAAATAGAGCATAAATTGTTCCACAGTCTTGATCCAGTTAAATCTAAGCCCCTTTGCAGGGATAGTTCTTGAGGCCAATCTTTGATGTTTGTTCTGACTCTAGGAGGGTTCTTACTTTATTTGTCTTACCTGCTTATCGTATTTCCCTGGTTATCTCTGGTAAACTAGCTGACGTATGTTGTTTTCAAGAGCACTCTTAGACTGGAACTTCTCTATACTCGCTACCAAATAAAGTCAGTTTCTTTGGGTAGAGTTTTAAAGTTTTCTGTTCTTGTGGCCTGTCTCCCTTTAACACAGCTTCTCCACTGCCCTGGAGCTGGGGTGGGGACAGTGTTCGGCTTCTCTTGGAGTGAAACTCCTGCCTTACAAGCAGGGCTCTTGTAGGGGCAGTGTCCTTTACTTGATTTGCCTCTCCCTACATGGAATTTCTGCCCTATGAGTAAGCTGAGGCAAGGGTGATTAGGGCTCAGTATTCTGGACCATCTGTGTCTGAGGTAGAGTCTTGCCCTGCAGGCTTTGGGTGGAGGAAGGTTGCTTTTGATTCTTTGACATACCATTCTGGAATTTAAATTGTGATAATGTTGCTGGGAAGCATGAGAAGTGCTGGTGGTCTGCCTCTCCTATATCCCTTGACTAGGATCTGGGGAAGAAGGGATTTGCATCTTCCTGGCCATATTTTCCCAGAGTGGAACATTGGCCAGGGCAGAAGAAGGAGGGAGTGGGTTGTGGCTCAAGTGCCACAGGGTCTTGCTGATTTTACTGAGATTGAGTAGACTTTGTGGAATAAATGCTGTTTTCTTTGTTACTTTCTTTTAGGTGAATTCTCCAAGACTAAATTCTTGCTTTTTGTTTTTGTTTTATAATTTTCCCTAATAGTAGTTGTTATGCTCAGGAGCAGATCCATAGAGTTCCTTTCTGTACATTATTACTTGATTGATTTTTAAGCACTGAACCAGCCTTGCATCTGTGGTAAAACCCCATTTGGTCATGTGTATAATCCTTTTGAGATATTGCTCAGTTCCCTTGCTACTATTAATATTTTTTGAGGATTTTTGCATCTGTGTTCATGAGAAACATTAGTCTGTAGTTTTCTCTTTTATACTGTCTTTTTCTGTTTAAGTATCAGGCCAATGCTGGTTTCATAGAGCAATTTGGGAAGTTCCATCCTCTACTGTTTTCTGGAGGAAGATTGTGTAGAATTATTCTTAATTCTCATCTAAATGATTTGTATTTTTTAGACTTCTCCAGTGAAATCAGGCCCAGGAGATTTGTTTTTGGGGAGGTTTGCTTTGAAACTGTTGTTACCGGTGGAAGGTGTCCCGAGTTACCGGCAGTGAATCCTTACAGGTCTGCAGCAACCTTAATTCTTGCCTCCTTATAAGAAAGAATTCCACTGAGGGTCATATGGTAGAAAAAGAGACTGAGGCAAGTTTCAGCAGGAGTGGAAGTTTATTAAAAAGCTTTAGAACAGGAAAGAAAGGAAAGTGCACTTGGAAGAGACCCAAGTGGGCACCAAGAAGGTCAAGTGCCACGTTTAACTGTGATCCTAGGACTTTATAGGACTTCTGGCATCTTGGAACCCTTCCCCATGATTCTTTCCTTACGGTGGGCTGTCCATATGCACAGTGCCCTTCTTACCCTTTGGAAGTGAGCACATGCAGTGGATTTAGGAAGTTTTATACATGCCCATCTGAGGCTTTCTTCCCTTTTCCAGTGGTGTGCCCTCGGAAAGCCAGGCTCTGCTATTTTGTCTCTTAATGCACATGCCTGGGTTCCCTCACCCAACACCTGAGATTTTATTGGATGCCCTTTTTACTTCTCCCTGGGGCCTGCATTCAATTAACACTTTATAATGTTAACAGCTGTAGATTATCAGGAGATTGTCTGTCCCTGCCTCCGGCTGCTGAATTATCTTTAGAGAGGCAATGCAATAATTGTGGAACCATCACCTGATCACCTGACATTCCTGGTGGATGGGGAGAGCCCTCTCCTGCCTGGCTTATGCCTGCCTAACTACCTGTAACACTATGATTTCAATTTTAAAATTATTGTGTGTCTTTTAAAATGATCTATTTCATATTAGGTGAATTTTAGTAGGTTTTGGTCTGTGAGGAATTTGTCTGTTTCATCCAAGTTCTCAAATTTATGCTTAATAGATTCCTTTCTCCTATTTTGTTACCTTGTAAATGTTTTTGGAGTGTGTAGTTACATCCTCAGCTTTGTTGGGACAACTAAATTCCTCTTCAAAGACTCAACTTCCTGGTCATAAGTTGTAAATCAACCCTACCTCCTTCTTTTTTCCGCTTCTCCTTTTCTTGCAGATTGCGCGTTTACCCTATTTGGGAAAAAAAATTAGGTCTAAGCCAACGGGGATCAGCTTAGGTTGTGCGGTCTGACCCCAGCCAACAGGGGAAGGACACAGAAACAGGAGCTGTGTTAGGGTTAAAAACCCCTTCCTTCCTTTGTTCAGTGTGCTCTTGCAGTTGTAACAGGTGCAGGCAACACCCTTCCACCAAAGTAAAAGTGCCTTGCTGAGAAATTTTCTGTTTAGGTGCGGGTTTCTTTTGGCTACGCCAAGCACTTGTTTCTGACAGCTTCAATTCTGTAAAGGTTGATTTGTGTCTTTTTTTCCCCTTTTTATTTTAGTCTTGTTTGAGGTTTGTTAATTTCATTGATCTTTTCAAATTGACCAGATTTTTGTTTTACCAATTTTGTCTATTTTTTGTTTTCAAATACTTAGATTTCTGCTCTTTCCTGTATTCCCTAATTTTGGTTTATTTTCTCTTTTTCTAATTTTCTTTAGGTAGGAGCTTAGACTTGATTTGAGACCTTCCCTTTTTTTAATGTAACATTTAGGTTTATAAATTTTCCTCTCAGCTCTGCTTTGGCCTTATTCCACAAGTTTTGATATGTTGAGTTTTCTTTCAGTTCAGTGGTTTTTTTTGTTTTGTTTTGTTTTGTTTTGTTTTTCTCCAGAGTCCTCTTTGTCCTGTGGGTTATTTAGAAGTTGTTTAATTTCCAAATTTTTCCTATCTTTCTCTCACTGTGTTCTATTTTGATTTCATTATAGTCACAGAACACACTATGTGATTTCAGTTATTCTGAATTTAGTAAGGTTTGTTTTATGACCCAGGATATAGCCTGTCTTGTGAATGTTGATGGATGCTTGAAGAGAACATATATTCTGCTGTTGTCGAGTAGAGTGCCCTAGAAATGTCAGTCAATCCTATTAGTTAATATGTTGTTGGGTTCTTTTATATCCATGCTGATTTTCTTTTTTACATCTTTGCTGATTAATCTAGCAATTGCTGAGAGAGGGATGTTGACATCCCTAGTTATATGTGTCCCTTTTCTATGGCTTAAGTTGTTTTCTGCCATTTTATTACTAGTTTTATGACTTTATTATTTGTTTCCTTATTTTCTGTTTGTTCTGCTTTTCAATTCTGTTTTACTTTTTCTGCTCTTCTTAGATTTGTGGCATTTTCTAGAATTTCATTTTTGTTTTTATAGTGTCTTTGAGAGTAGTGTCTTTGAGTGTCTTTGGATAGCTTTTTTAGGTGATTCTTGCTATTATAATGTACATTAAAAATTTTTTATGCTATATCATTAACAACATTTTACCGCTTTGAGTACATATAAAAACCTTATCTACTTTTAGAGACCTTTGCCTTCCCCCTTTATAATATAATTATAATAGTATTGTGTTTTCCCCAATATAATATAACTGTGTTTAAGTATTTTTCTATATACATTAGGAGCACATCAAATAGGTATAATTTTTGCTTTAGCCTTTAAACATTTATTCTTAAAGAGAAGAATAGGCTTTTTTATTTACTTCCATTTCTCCCATTTCATTACTCTTTCTTCTTTTCTGTTGTTCCAAGTTTCTTCATGTTACTTACTTTCTGGTTGGAGAACTTCTGATAGGGCTCTGATGACTAGAGGAACACCAGGGTCCTTTGTCTCAGACCGATTAGATAAACAACACGGACACATGTGGCATGGTTTCAAGGTTTCAGTGAGTGGAAAGTTTAATAAGAAAGAAGGAAAAGGCTCCCCCATAGAGAGACAGAGGGAGCGGGGCTCTGAACGAAGAGGAAAACCCTGAGTGCACCAGAAAACAGTCTGTTATATTAGGAGGCTGGAGGAGGCGGTGTCTGATTTGCATAGGGCTCAGGGCATTGGTTTGACCAAGTGTGTCATTCACATAGTCTGTGAAAAACCTGGCTCTCCCACCCTGGCCTTTTAATATGCAAATGCAGGTCTCCATGATGTCCTGCACACGCGGAGTCATCTGGAGGCAGCCATGACACTTGGCACACATGGTGATGAGGAGGAGACGGAGGAATTACCATGCTGAATGGACCCAGTTTCTAATCACCAGCATTTGCATATCAAAGCTTGCTGGCCTGGCTTTTTAAGCTGCTTTTCTATTAGAAAAGAAATGTTTGAGGAGCTACCTTTATTAAAAGAAAAAAACCTTACTGAGGACTCCTTACCCTATCTGCGTAAAATAATTTCTTAATAACTCCCGTAATATTCCCCCCTGAGGAGATGTCACCTTAACTGCTGTTAGAGAGTTTTGGGTGACGACTCTTTCTGGCCACTTCCTGCTGAAAAGGGGCGTCAAGTGGGGAAGAGCAGCTAGGGTTCCTCTTGGAGTCGATCTAAGGGTCCTTGGAAGAATGGCCTGCCCATGCATGGTTCGTTTTGCAGCACCATTTGGAGTTTGATTGCTTCTAGGCAAGAGAAAACAATTTGAGTTATAGTATTGAGTATACAAGGTGCAAATATGAATACAAGATGTGTAAGCAAGAGGGGGCTTAATAAAAGAGCTAACCAATTCCGTAAAGATGATTGGAATTCATTAAAGAGGGATTATGGCCACCCGGGCTGAAGCCTGCGTTGTTTCTTAGCCTGTCAATTATTTTGATTTGATCTTTAAGTACCTGTATGTTTTCTTCTACTTGACTAGAGGTGTTAATCCAGAAACAGCGTGTTTCATTTAAAAGTGCACAGGTACCTCCTACTTCAGCTATGAGGACACCTAAGGCCTGTCTATTTTGTGCTACTACTGAGGTTTTTAGTCTGTAGATTGCTGTTGTGCCTCTATGACACTTAGAGTTGCTTTCCATCCTTGTTGTATCATAATGGAAATATTAAGTACTGATCTTTCAAGGAGAGGGGTGCCCATAAACCAGAATAGACCTCTGTCTATAGAATTTCTCATCCATGGTTTTTCTAAGATGATGTTTTCACGTGCATGTCCTCCCCAGTCTACCCTTTCAGTTAAATCTCCATACAAGGGCATAGAAATGATAGATCTCTTTGTCCAGCATATACAAGATAATGCAGTTTCCAGAAAAGACCCTAAGTTAGGGATGTCCCCAGATGATGCTGCTGTCTCGGTAGAATTTAAAAATAACAAGTTGGGAACTATTGCTACTATAGTACAAGTTCCCTTACAAGGCCTTGGGAGGATTAAGTTTATCCAGGAGCCGCAAAGAAAATATAGCCCTGTTCCTTGAAGGGACGGTTCTAAGTTGTGGCTTGTGAGAGACACCGGCAGATTTTTCTCATATCTTAGAAGTTTCCCTTCTTTACATATAATAGGGGCATCCTTGGGATAAGGATATCCGTCTTTAGGATAGTCATTTACGATGCCGTTTGGAATTTGACATGCCAAGTGAAAAGGATCCACCTGACAAGTGGAGTTTGGAAAAATCAGAGACGTAATATGCCCTGGCCAGTATCTCAGATGATCCTGTGGCAAGGGCTGTCAGTCCAGATGTCTCCAGTTCCCCCACAGATCTGTAAGCTGCTACTATGAGCAAGCATCATACAAGGGTCTGGAATTCCATGGGGGAATGTTTGGAAAGGCTCATGTGTTATTTTATTTATTATTATTTTTTTTTGAGACAGACTCTGTCTTTGTTGCCCAGGCTGGAGTGCAGTGGCGCGATCTCAGCTTACTGCAAAGCTCCGCCTCCTGGGTTCACACCATTCTCCTGCCTCAGCCTCCCAAGTAGCTAGGACTACAGGCACCCGCCACCGCACCCAGCTAATTTTTTGTATTTTTAGTGGAGACGGGGTTTTACTGTGTTAGCCAGGATGGTCTCGATCTCCTGACCTTGTGATCTGCCCACCTCAGCCTCCCAAAGTGCTGGTATTACAGGCATGAGCCACCGCGCCCAGCCTATGTAATTCTTTACATTATAGTCAACATGGTGACTTAGAGCATATCACTCCCATCGGGACTTTCAACCAGAAGGAGAGGCTAGATTCTGAAAGCCCCCCATTAGGGCTTCTCATCCTTTTAGATCGCTCCTGTTGCGTTTTCCTCCCCACATCTTTGAACTATCAGCAGTTACAAGTGTGATGTTACAGTATCTGAGATCTCCCAAGTATGGTCCTTCCCTACTGCTTTTAAAGCAGAGGGAGCCATTTGCTATTACCCGATCAACTTTTACCAGCCTGAGGGTGTGAAATTTATCTTTGGGGAGAATGTTGTTTGGCACTGGGGGAAGAGTGTTCTCCTGAGAGGAGTTAGTTACCCAGTTAAAAGTGCCCCCATACTATGTCCCATTTATGCCTCATAAATCTTTAAGGGTTAAAGGTAAAGCTAACAAAGGGAATCCTACGATGATGAGTTGTGGGTCATTGAAGGGTTCCTTAGTGTCATTAAACTGAGCAAACCACTTAGGACAGACCCAACAATTAGTCTTGTTGTCCAAATGGGCCATGGCTGATACTGCAGGAGCCAAAGGATGTGACATATTACTAAGTCTGATAAGAAGTCTTAACAGACTTATTGGTAGTAAAACGCTCATGTTTACTTCCTGTTAGTAACTGTTATTCATACTAGGAGGATAATAATTAAGCAAAGTGCTACAGTAATTGAGATTCTCTGTCCAATATTGTACCCTGAGGGTGCTACAGTCTATAATCCTACTGCAAATAGTAGAATGTAGCAATTCCTGCAGGTGTGGCATGGTAAATAACTTCCATCAAAAAGAAATTCTAATATTTGGCAATGAATCTTGAAAGGAGAGGTAGACACGGCAAAAAGTATTTGGTGAGGTAGGGGTGAGACTGAGTAAAATGAGTAGTTCTTACTCAGTTACTTATCTTTTGTGACTTTCAGCTTAAGATCTCCTATTTCTTTTTTACTTATATTTTTAAATTTTTTTTTATTTTGAGACAGTCTTACTCTGTCACCCAGGCTGGAGTGCAGTGGTGTGATCTTGGCTCACTGCAACCTCTGCCTCCCGGGTTCAAGGAATTCTCTCTCAGCCTCCCAAGTAGCTGCTTTTCAAGCTGCTTTTCTATTAGAAAAGAAAAGTGCAGGGCACGGTGGCTCATGCCTGTAATCCCAGCACTTTGGGAGGCCAAGGCGGGCGGATTGCCTGAGGTCAGGAGTTCCAGACCAGTCTGGCCAACATGGTGAAACCCCGTCTCTACTAAAAATACAAAAAAAATTAGCCAGGCTTGGTCGCGTGTGCCTGTAATCCCAGCTACTGGGGAGGCTGAGGCAGGGGAATTGCTTGAACCAGTGAGGTGGAGGTTGCAGTGAGCCGAGATCACACCACTGCACTCCAGCCTGGGTGACAGAGTGAGACTCCATCTCAAAAAAAATAAAAAAGAAATGTTTCAGGAGCTGCCTTTACTAAAAGAAAAAAAAAAAAAACCTTACCGAGGACTCCTTACCCTAACTGCCTAAAATAATTTCTTAATAACTCCTGTAATATTTCCTAGAGCATTATTTTAGGAAAATGATCTGTTGGTGATAATTTCCTTAAATTTTTCTGAGAATATTATCATTTACTCTTCATTCCTATTGAGTATTTTCTGTTGACATAGAATTCTGGATTGGCAGGCTTGGGTTTTGTTTGTTTGTTTGTTTAGCACTTGAAGTTTTTTTGTACATTTCCTGATATGGTTTGGATGTTTGTCCCCTCCAAATCTCATGCTGAAATGTGATTCCCAGTGTTGGAGGTAGAGCCCAGTAGAAGGCAATTAGATCATGGGAGCAGATCCCTCATAAATGGCTTGTGACCAAGCCCTTGGTGATATGCGAGTTCTTGCTCAGTTAACCTGAAATCTGGTTGATTCTGGGACCTCCCACACTGGCTCTTTTACTCCTGCTCTTGCCGTGTGATGTGCCTGCTTCCACTTTGCCTTCTGCCATGATTGTAAGCTTCCCGAGGCCCTCAACAGAAGCTGAACAGATATCTGTGCTGTGTATACAGGCTGCAGAACCATGAGCCAATTAAACTCCTTTTCTTTATAAATTACCCAGTCTCAGATATTTATTTACAGTGATGCAAGAACAGCCTAACACATTTCCTTTTGGCCTTCTTGGTTGCAGATGAGAAATTCATTCTAATTTGAATTGTCATTGCCTGTTGGTAATTTCTTTTTTTAAGTTGCTTTCAAGATGTTTACTTTGTGTTTAGTTTTTAGTATTTTGATTATGATGTGTTATAAGGTAGATTTATTTTGATTCATTTTGTTTGGGGTTCACTTGGATTCTTGAATCTGTATTTTTGTTTTTGCCAAATTTGTAAAAATTTTATTTTACAAACAAAATACTCAAATGTTTTATTATTTTATCATCCTAGAAACTCTTCCTCATCTCTTAAATACTGGAGTGAAATGAATGTCACCTCATTTTTTTCTTGTCCCACAGGTTGCTGACAGTCTGGTTGTTGTCATCTTTTTATTTTTTCAGTCTGTTTTTTCTGTTGTTCTTTTTTTTTTGAGATGGAGTCTCGCTCTGTTGCCCAGGCTGGAGTGCAGTGGTGCCATCTCTGCCTCCCAGGTTCAAGCGGTTCTCCTGCCTCAGCCTCCCGGGTAGCTGGGACTACAGGCACGTGCCACCATGCCCGGCTAATTTTTTATATTTTTTTAGTAGAGACAAGGTTTCACCATATTAGCCAGGATGATCTTGATCTCCTGACCTCGTAATCTGCCCACCTCAGCCTCCCAAAGTGCTGGGATTACAGGTGTGAGCCACCGCACCCGGCCCTTTTCTGTGTTGTTCTTATTGAGTAATTTCTATTGCTTTTTCTTCAGGTTCATTGATTATTTTTTTTCTTTCTTATCTTTATTCTTTTGTTGAGCCCATCTAGTCAGTTTTTATTTGTTATTGTATTTTTCAGTTATATAATTTGCATTTGGTTCTTTTATATCTTCTATTACTTTGCTGAAATAATCTTTGTTTTTTTCTAATTTCTTTTCAACAGCATTCATAATGGTTGCTTCCATTGAAACATTTTTTTCTGATGACTGCTTCCAAATCTTTGTCAGATAATTCCAATATCTGATTCCTTTCGGTGTTGACATCTGTTGATTGTGTTTTCTTATTCTAGTTGGGATTTTCCTAGCTCTTGCTATAATAAATGATTTTAGGTAGTATCTCAGACATTTGAGACATTTTGTTACGAGACTTTGGATCGCATTTAATTGGCTTTGTAGTAGGGAGTCACCTTGGTAGCATACAGGTCTTGGCTTACTTTTTAAATTTTGGTCAGTTTTACATGTAGTCAGTTCGTTGTTAAGTGTCCTATCCAGGATTACATTTCAAGATTTAACTATCCCTTTTTCCATCTACCTTGTCTCCTGAATCTTCTTCCTCCTGTCTGTTTGGGAGACACCACTTGCTACAGCTATGTGATGATAGCAGTGGAAGTCCAGGCTTCCTCTTCAGCTTCTCCTAGTACCAACTCAATAGGGGAAGCCGAACACCTCCTGCTACCAATAAGCCTAAGTGAAAGTTCAGGATATGTTTTCTGCTTCTGCTTAACACCACCCTAGAGGAGATATTATGAAGTACTACTCGGTACTGTTTGGAAGTGGGTATAAGTTCAGGCTTTTCACTTGCTGCCTGCTCAAACCAGGTGGCACATGAAACTAGGCTTCTTATTTGATTTCCGTGGACACTAGTAGAGAAGGGCTCAGTTTTTTTCCCATTGAGTTTGGCATTGTCAGGTTTCTGTCCTACCACGTACCCTTATCTGGTCCTTTTCCTAGAGAAAGCAGGCTTTTCTTGGGCTCTTTCATCAGCACCTATTAGCATTTCTGGGTAACAGAATTCTACAGTACCCAGTCTGTGATATATAGGAAGTGAAAAGAAAATGCAAGGTCTAGAGTCCAGAAATAAATCCATACATTTAGTGGAAGAAAGCATAGTTTCTTCAACCAAAGGTACATTGGATTCACCTTAGTAGCTTTTAAAAAAGATTAATGCTTGCTCTCTTCCCCAGACAAATATAATCAGAATGAGAGACAGGTCAGGGAGGTAGACTGTATCAGTATATAAAACATTTGCAGGCGATTTAAATGGGGGCCAACATTGAGAAGCTCTGTTTGAAGCACATACTTCCCATCATTGATGAGTTTTTTCAGATAGCCATTTGACCCAATTCTGGCCAATAAGAGTCTTTGTAAGGTAACTTTTACAAGGAAGCTTGTTCTTTTAAACATTGTCACATGGATATGAATCTTGGAATTGCTGTGAGCATCTTGCTAAAGGCTCACGAATATAGCCAACACTTGGAATGCAGATGAGAAAGATGGAAAGAAACCTAGTCTTAATGTCCCTCATCTGCCAAATTAGCTTGCGCTGGAGTCTTTTGTGCCTCTGTACTTTCCATTATATGAAAAAAAAATGTCCTTAGTGTTTCATCCATAAGTTTGAATTCTGACTGGTACCTGGAAGCTTCTAAACTGCTATAGCTAATGAGAAGAAAAACTAGTGGTAAAATATATTGCTATTCTCTACCATATCCATTTTCTGTTGCTATAACAGAATACCTGAGACTGGGTAATTTATTTTAAAAAGAGGTTTATTGGCTAGGCGCGGTGGCTCACATCTGTAATCCCAGCACTTTGGGAGGCTGAGGCAGGCAGATCACCTGAGGTCAGGAGTTCGAGACTAGCCTGACCAATATGATGAAACTCTGGCTCTACTAAAAATACAAAAATTAGCTGGGCGTGGTGGCATGCACCTATAATGCTGGCTACTCAGGAGGCTGAGACAGGAGAATCGCTTGAACGTGGGAGGCGGAGGTTGCAGTGAGCCAAGATCAGATTGTGCCATTGCACTCTAGCCTGGGCAACAAGAGCGAAACTCCATCTCAAAAAAAAAAAAAAAAGTTTATTTTGGCTGGGAGGTCCGGGATCAGATGGCCACATCTGGTCTGTTCTGAGGGTTGCGTGCTGTCATAACATGACAGAGAAGCAGAAGGGGAAGTGGGTGCATGTAAAAGGGATAGAACTCCAGGGGCAGCCTCACTTTATACCAACCCATTTGTGGTAATTAATCTAGTACTGTGATAGTGAGAACTCACTCGCTCCCTTGAGAATTAACCTTGTCCCTGGAATGTGACATTAATCCTTCTAAATGACCTAATCACCTCTTAAAGGTCCTGTCTCTCAAAATCACCATACCAGGGACCAAATTTTCAACACATGAATTCTAGGGGACAAACTCAAACCATTGCACATATTTTTCTAATATATGTTGTATATAAATGTAACGAGAATAAACTTCTCTAGTGAATTTATTGATAGGTATAGAAGTTTCCTCCAGTATTAGCTTTTGTTTGCTACTTATGTTAAGATGCCAGAGTAGTTGATATTGTTATTGCTTGTTTTGTCAAATTGCTTTCCCAACAGATATCTTTCTACCATGTTAGCAGCAATAAGTATTTCTTGTCTTTATTTTTTATCATTGGATTTTATTTTGGGGGTTGTTTGCCCATGGCATGTCATTATAATTTCCCATTTTCTTTTTTTATTTTAACTGAACATGTTGATCATTTGTCTGTTTTTACTCATAAGTTATATTTTTTATTGGAGGGGGATTATCTAATCATGCCTTTTGTACCACAGTTTAACAGCTTTGGAACTTGGGGAAGTTGTATTTACTCTTTAATGCCTACATGATAGAATTAGTATGAGGTTAAAATGAGATAGTTTTCTAAAGTTCTCTGAGTACTTTGGCAATGAAAATATTAGCAATCCTTTATCAGTTTGCTATAAATAATTGTTACCATCTTCGTTCCCCTTTTATGGCATTATAATACAAAATTATATTTTAAGTAATATTTAGCCAAATATGTCACTTTCCAGTCACAATTTAAATATAAGAATAAAAGGCATAACAAAATGATATAGATATATGCATGAGTTAATGTGGCAATAATATAAACTAAAAAAATATCGTGATAGCCTGAAAGTGAAAAGTATTTTCAATCAAATGTTTCTTTGTATTTTCATATTTATTATATGCTCTTTAAACCAGTTTGCCTAAGGTCAGGTTGTTTTCTAAAAGTGCTGTGTCACATGTGAAGTCTTTTTTCTCAACCAAGTCATTGGTATGAAAACAGTTACCAAGTTAACCCATTTATGCCTAGTGCTCCATTATTGGCTTGCTAAGCTTATGGGAGTTATTTATATCCTACTGCTCAAGGTCATTGCCAAGGCCTGATTTTTCACACAAAAAACGTTTGCTACCTCTGGCATAAATGGGTTAATAGATGAGGACAAAAGTCAACCAGGTTAAAAAATGTGAAGAATGTAACCTATCAAAGTTGATTTCATTCAATTTTTTTTTTTTTTTACAGAAACATGATCAGGGGCAAGTCTTGTTGGATGTCGTCTTCAAGCATCTAGATTTGACTGAGCAGGACTATTTTGGTTTACAGTTGGCTGATGATTCCACAGATAACCCAGTAAGTGTAAGATTTTGTCTTTCATTTTCATTTAGTTTTTCCTCTCAGTTTAGTGTAGAAAGTCCTTTCTGATTTACAGTGTTCACTGATTTGATGAGTTTTTTTTTTACTTGACTTAAATAGAGGTAATTCTTTTGCTTTTGTTCCTCTTTTCTTGACATTTTAATCTTTCAGAAGTTATTAGCTTTAAGGTTTTCATAATTATGTCAGGTAATGTCACTTTCATTAATTATGTGTCTCAGACAACTAAAAAGTAAATCCAATTTATGCCTGTTGACTGAAAGAGAGGAAATTGGGCATAAAGGTTAAAATACCTTCAGATGTATATAAATTAGTCTGCACTAAAGTAAAATTAGTTTTTTATTGTATTTATAGAGAGCTATTTCTAATAAAAATTCTTAATTTATTCAATGTCAAATTTCCAAATTTCATCAGAGACCCTCACAAATAAGATAGAGATTAAATTTCAGAGCTGTACAATTATTTGGCATTAAATTTCTTGGATTTTTACTTATTCTTCAGTAATTGCAATTGTGGTTCTTTTAATTAGATAGATCACATCATAGAAATAGAAGATAGCATGTGATGAATAATAGAAATGTTTACTTTGACAATTAAGTGTTATAAAATGCACTAAAGGATATACCTTACTCTGAACCGAGATAAAGGGTATACAAGCAAATTCTGATTGAATTCTTTGTAAATTTATATGCTTATACAGTGAGGGACTTCTGCAATAAAGTATATTCTTTTGATTAGTGTAAGAGGATCTCCATTTTGAAGGGAATATTTTGTATACTTTTAGAAAGATTAGGAGGCTGAAGAAATGGTTCTGGATTAATGTTTTAGAAATCTGTTTATAAGGCTATATTAATAGAAGGGCTATAGAAAATACAAATAATGTTTATGAGAAAAGTTGGTTTGTTTTTTTCTTCCTCTCTCTCATGGTTGGGATCTTCATTCTCTGAATGAATAGCTAGTGGGAATTATATATCAAACGTTAAATACTACCACTTATTTTTTTGACATCATTTACTGATTTTGTATTACAAACCAGTCATGGAAAAATACGAGGATGACACAAAGAAAAACAAACCAAGGGCCAGCTAGTTTCAGTGAAAATAAATGCTTTTATACTGAACTAAAATTAAAATAAACTTTCCTCATACTTTGATGCCTTCACTAGACCACTTGAGCTTCTTCAGGGGCCTAGAGTTATACTGTTGTTTCCTGATAAATAAACCCATGTAAAAATGGAAGTGAGTAGAAATGTCAGTAATGCAGCCTTTCCCAGGTTGAACCTAAAATAATCAAAAGGGTCAGAATGTAGTTTAAAGAGAGTTTATTCAAGTGCAAAGGTTGAGGACCTCAGCCCAGGATACACTTGCAAGTTGCCTTGGAGAGTGCTCTGGAGAACATAAGAAAGGTTCAAGTTTTTAAAGAATAAAGAGGATCACTCAGGAGAGTGAGTAAGTGCAAAAATTGTTCTTCAGGAATTCTCATTGACTTACAGAAATAACATTGGTTAGCGATTGGCTATACATGGTTGAACTATAGGGTGTATAACATTTTATGGCTACTTGGCTTCAGTCTGCAGCCCACATAGCAAGTAGCTTCAAGAGGTAACTATGTAGCTGAAGGGAGAGTGAGATGTGACTGCTGTTACTTTTTAAATGCCTTTCTTGCCCTGATCATTTAAAGGTGCTCCTATTCCTCAGATATAAGGTTTTTTTCCTTTCTTACCAGAAAGGCAAATTGTGAGCCAAGCAAATACCTGAAAGGTGACTGTTATACCTCATTAAGTATACCTCGTGAAGAGAAAAAATAGATAATTCTTAGCTCTTGCTGACCCTCATAAGTCAGGCCCTGTAGCTGTAGGCTGGCATTAGATTGACGGGGTAAGTGACAAGATGACAAAAGAGGAAGAGACCAGTGACTCACCACTGTAGTCACTACCATAAATATGAAAACAGTCCTTTTCAGGAAGTACTCCAGAAGGATTAATATCGAGATCATGTATACTACAAGAGATAAAAATTCTATCACATAAATTTGTATACAAAAAGACATATCATATACAAAAAGATGTAGGGCTAATTACACCAGAATGAATGTAGGGAAACAGGTATTTGGAGCTAGATTGATCTTTTTGCTGTCTCCTACTTTTTCTTTCTTTGTCTTTCTGTCTTGAGTATTCCTTCTCAAATAAGATACATTCCAAGTTCCAAGAGTCCAGTTGTTTATGATTCAAAGTAATTCTTCCAGAAAAGTTAGAATCATAGAATTTTAAAGGTCCAAAAGAGGCTTTAGAGATTATCTAGCCTCACACTCTAATTTTTCATAAGACATTATCCCAATCCAAAGCTACTTCCTGGCATTAGTGAAACTAGGACCTGGATCTCCTAACTCCCCATGCTAGTCTTGTCCACTGCACTGCAGTTTCATTATTTAAATATTTGGAAGAATTTCTGAGATGCCAAAATGTGTCCACAGAAAGATCTTTAGAGCACAAATCTTATAAACAGTGTCCCATTTCTAGTTGTCAAGAGCACAAATCTTGTAAGTAGAGTTCCAATTCTAGTTGTCAATGTGAAATTAAGGCTTTGAGGATAATTAACGGACTGAAGGAAAAAGATGCTATGCTTCAAGAGAAAGGAGTAGGGGAGTATCATTTATAAAACATCTGCTGTGAATTTGTTAATCAACTAAATAATATTCCATTTTATTCTCACAATACTTTCCTCACTTATGATGAAAGTGTCATTAAAATCATTTTAAAGATGAAAAACTAATACTTATAGAAGTCAACTAATTTGTTTAATGTCACGCAAATTAGTGAAGTAGCTGAGAAAGGACTTGAACTCAGATCTAACTTCAAAGCCTGTACTCTCTACCATATGATGTTGCTTCCCAAGTGATGATGATATAGATGCATAGGATTTACAGAGTAAATGAACATATTAAGGAGAGGAGGTAACCATATAATAAAATTACTATCAGTGATCCAAAGGAATTTGCTAAGATTCTACAAGAATTAATTCTCACCTATCTTTAGCTCATAATTTTTAAATCTTAAAACTTATGTATGTTACATATACATATGCACATGTATGTATATATTATGTGTATATGTGTATTTTTATATATTAGTTTTAGAGAATTAGAACTGTTGCCTTAGACATTGAAATTAATGTAATTGAGTTTATAATTGATAAACTTAAAAGGCACCTAGCATTTTGTTTTTTTCTCCTAAGTATGAAATAACAAATACAGAATAATAGCTGACGGTCTTTTCCTTTAGAATCTTCCCTGGTAATGAGTTCCAGTGCAACAAAGAAAATTACTTGAAGCTTTGACTTTTCAGAATTTCTCCTGCTTTAATTTAAAGCCTGTTTATCACAGTTTTAGCTTTTAGCATAATATCTTGTTGTAGTAGTAATAGTAAATGTATGTTGAATAAATGAGGAAAATAATATTGTGGTTATAATTCATTATGCATTATTTCTTTAATTTTATGAGCAGTCAAAGGTGGCTTTTTCTTAGTGGTCTTTATCAGCATGCTATTTAACAGAGGCTTGAGATTATATTATTCCTGTGCATTTACTGTTTCTTTCCCTATTAAATTGAATTATACTGCTCTTAAGTAGGATAGAGGGTAGATTATTAATTATTGTTGGCCTGATCTTTCTGCAGGTTCATTCTTCTGGTAGTTTTTGTTGGTTTATGATATTTGACTGGTTTACTCCTCTTTGCATAGCTCCTAACCCTGTGGTTTTCAAACTGGAGCTTGCATGAGAAACAACTGGAAGGCTTCTTAAAATACAGATTTCTGGGACCTATGCCTAGAGATTTCTGAATCAGAAGGTCTACTTTGGAACTCAAGAAATTGCCTTTCAAATAAGTTTCCTTGTATCACTAATGCTGCTAGTCCAAGGAACTATATTATGAAAATCACTACTCTAACCCAGTATGCTGTTAATTAACACTACTAAGTTATGACATATTTTTCTTGGGGTAAGTTTATTTACCCTTTGAAGATTTCTTTTATATAACTCAATTCTTACATTATTTATTTCATTAGGTTTGAGTAAATATGGGAAAAGTCACATACAGGCTGACCGTTATTTCAACAAGCCATGTTTGAATACATGGTTGCTAAAATGCTTAAATCTATTTTATATGTTTCACTATTTCTCTCTTATCTATTCATATGTTTCCACTGTAATATCTTAATTCAAGCTCTTATTTGCCTGTTGTGTAATCCTCTTTGGTAGCCTGCTAAATGCAATTTTTTGCTTCTTGTCTCGTTTAACTCTGTTGTATTTTGAGAGGGAATGGCAAAGAGACCTGGGGTGCACAGAAGTGTTTAAGAAAGAAGCAGGAGCATATGCAGAGATCAAGAGTGAAGAAACAGGAATGCTGAATTTGAAGAACTGGAAAAAAGTTTTAGTATTAAACCTTTATTTAATAAAAGGAGAAGGGGTAAAAGATGAGATTTGAGCATTACATGATATCATGAAAAGCCTTTTAATCCATGATAAAAATCAAACTTACCTATGAATTTATTTATATGACTAAACACAAGACTTGTATTTTACACATATCCCTGTGGTTATAGTGTAGCCAGCAACTAATAGACAGTTGGGAGATTGTTGGAATAAAGAAATTGCTAAGAAAGTAGTGGTTGGCTGTGGGGAATGAAGAAAAGAAGATGAGTGCTAGAGATAATTCAGTTAGGAGATAAAGTCAACAGGACTGGTTGGTTTGATTCAGATACAGTGAGTTCATGAGGAAAAGGGGTAAATCAAGGTTACTACTTCAAATTCTGCTTTTGGCAACTTGGTAAATAGAAAAAACATGCAAATAGTATTGTTGGTTTTCTTTTTTCATTTCAAATTGTTTATTTCTAGCATATAGAAATACAGTTAAGTTTGTGTATTGATTTTGTATTCTGTACCCTTCCTGAACTCACTTAATTCTAGTAGCTTTTTGTAAATTCTATAGAATTTTGTACCTAGATTATCATGTAGATATATGGTAAATTACATTGATTTTCAATTTTTAAACCAACTTTGTGTTTCTGGGATAAACCCCAAGATAACTAACTGATTGTATATTAACCTTGTATCTTGAGACCTTGCTAATACACATTACTGTTAGTAGTTGTTTTCATTGATTCCTTAGGATTTTCTGTGTAAATAATCATGTCTTTTGTAAATAGGGACAGTTTTACTTCCTCCTTACAAGTCTTTATCCTTTTTGTTTTTCTCATTTTTTAATTCATTATTGCACTGGCCGAAGCCAGCAGGGCAAAGATGAATAGAAGTGATAGGCGCAGACTACCTTGTCTTGTTCCTGATCTTAGAGGAAAATACCGAAGATACTGTTTCCCCATCAAGTATACTGTTGAGTTTTTCCCCTAAATCAATGTAACTGAGGCATAAATTACAGAGAATAAAATTCAGCAGCCATTCATAATGAAAACCCAACTAAACTTGGAAAAGAAAGGAACCTTTTTACTCTGACAAAGGACATTTAATAAATATTTAAAGATGCATCCAGGAAATGCAAAGTAAAACCACAATGAAGTAGTACTTCCTCTAGAAGTAGTATACCCACTAGTAGTATATCCAGTGAAGTAGTATATCCACTAGAATAATTAAAATTAAAAATTATTTCAATACCAAATGTTGACAAGGATGTGGAACAACTGATAAAATTGCTTGTGGTAATTTAAAATGATACAACCACTTTTTGAAAAATAGTTGGAAATTTTCTTGTAAAATTAAACATAGATTTAATATATACTGTTGGGAACAGGACCCCCCAAAATCTGGCCATAAACTGGCTCCAAAACTGGCCATAAACAAAATCTCTGCAGCACTGTGACATGTTCATGTTGGCCATAATGCCCACGTTGGAAGGTTGTGGGTTTACCGGAATGAGGGCAAGGAACACCTGGCCCACCCAGGGCGGAAAACCGCTTAAAGGCATTCTTAAGTCACAAACAATAGCATGAGTGATCTGTGCCTTAAGGACATGCTCCTGCTGCAGTTAACTAACCCAACCTATTCCTTTAATTCGGCCCATCCCTTCGTTTCCCATAAGGGATACTTTTAGTTGATTTAATATCTATAGAAACAATGCTAATGACTGGCTTGCTGTTAATAAATACGTGGGTAAATCTCTGTTCGAGGCTCTCAGCTCTGAAGGCTGTGAGACCCCTGATTTCCCACTTCACACCTCTATATTTCTGTGTGTGTGTCTTTAATTCCTCTAGCACCACTGGGTTAGGGTCTCCCCGACTGAGCTGGTCTCGGCATATACCACTGAGAAATCCCACTTTTAGCTATTTATCCAAGAGAAATGAAAACATGTCTCATAAAGCCTTGTATACAAATGTTCACAGTAGTTTTATTCATAATAGCCCAAATGTGAATTAACTTTAATGTCCATCAATAAACAAAGGGATGAAAAGTAACTGCTGTGTATCTATAGAGTAGAACACTATATGGTTCCATTTATATTAACTTACAGAACAAGCTAAACTGACACATAGTGACCAAAAGCAGATCAGTGGTTGCCTAGGATTTGGCAGACTGATTGCAAAGAAGCACAGGAAACACTTTAGGGTGATAGAAATATCTTGATTGTGGATGGTGGTGGTTACCTGGCTGTACACATTTGTCACAATTTAAACTGCATATTGCAAATGGGTGCAGTTAACCTGGCTGGACCCACAGTCTGTATTCTGTGTCCAATTTGGGAGCAGTATCTCTACTTATTTCTTAAAGGTTCAAACTCCTCTTTCTTGGGACTCTGGAGTCTAACTATACATGCATAGTTCAGCTGTCAGCCAGAGTTTGGAGCTAATCCTCTTTCTGAGTTCTCCTTTTCAGAATCTCCTCCTCAATTTTCTGTTTTTCCCCCACCCCCATTCCTAAACTCTGTCCTCTGACACCTCAAGTTAGTAAGGATGTCCTCTGCCTGTGTAGGATTTGAACTTGCCCGTAGGCAAAGATTGCTAATATATATCTCAGCCCTTGCAGTTTTTGTTTTTCAAGAGTAGACTTTCCTCCTCTTTCTGCCTACTTTTGGTTGCTTTCCAGTGTCAAATAGTACACTCATGAACACACAGAGAATAAAAATGAATGCCATCAGCAGACAAGAAATTTTCAAGATTTTTTAAAAGATCGAATGTTGACATTCAGTGTTGACAGGATTGGTGGAAGAGTCAAACCAGAGGAAAACTTACCAAAAAGGTGTTGAAGAGGAAAGATTTCTGGGTAATGTAGTACGGGTATCAAAGTGATTAACTGAGAAACTATTTGAGGCCACTTGGCCTCCTCTTTTCCCCATTTCTAATTGAACAGAGGGCAGCAGATACAGTTCCCTGCAGAATAAAGCTGTGTGTTAGGGTATGTTTGTTGGGGGAAGAACTCATTTTTCTTTAGCAATATGATTATCCACCTTGAAAGCTCAAATGAATCATTTGGAAAACTATTATAACTGGTAAGACTTAGAGCTCAACAAACATCAGTACCTTTTTATATACCATTTAGGAGACATACACCAAAAAATAGCAAATCACGTTTTTTTTAAAACCCAGATTCATTAAACATCTAGGAATAAACTTAAGCAGGAGTGTCAAGAGCCATATGAAGAAAATATAGAACTATGCAGGAAGATATAATAGAAATTATGAATAAATAGAGACACACCATGCTCATAATGAGGAATGCTCAGTATTGTAAAAGATGTCAGCACTATTTCAGTTTCATTGGTAAAACCAGTGGTATTGCTGGTTAGTATCTGAATGGAATTTTTGGGGAGAAGATTTGACAATAGGATCCTCAACTTCCTCTGGAAGAGAATCTGGATAAACTTAGCCAGATATATAAAATATAATCAACTCGTCCTAACAGGTATAAAAATGGAATATGATGACATAGTACTTAAAATAGTGTGTTCTTAGTATCGATATAAGTCAATGGGGTAGAAGAAACAGCCCAAGTATCAATTTTTGTCTATATGAAACATAGTTTATTATAATGATGGTATTCAAGATAGGTATTGGAACAATTGGTTAAAGATGAGAAAATATGTATTTAGATTCCTAACAGATACCATATATAAAAATAAATTCCAATGTAAATTTAAATGTAAAACAATAGTATAGTTGGGTAAGAGTTGGAAACATTTTTAATAATATTTGTTATGATCATCCTAGGCAACAATAGTTCCTGCATTTGTAAAGGAAATGTTGATAGATTTCACTGCATAACATACAGAGTATACACTGAGGACAAAATACCAACTGGAGGGAAATACTTGCAACATATGTAACATAATATTAAAATCTAGAAGAGCTTCTACAAATAATAAATAAAAGTCACATAACCCAATAGAAAAATGGGAAGATAGCATGAACAGAAGAAGAGTAACTATTAATAACAAACGTGACAAGATATTCAGCTTCACTGGTTAATCAGAGAGATGCCAATTACAATGATAACACTCTTTGCATACTAGATTAGCAAAAATACAGATTCACACTACCTGTTTCTGGCAAAGGCTCGGGAAATGTGCATTCTCAAGACAGTTGGTGAGAGTGTAAAGTGAAAAAGTGTTTTTGGAAGGCAGATGGCAGCATATATCAAAATTTAAAAATTATTGTATGGAAGAATTTCTCTTGCAACACTATTTTTAATAGGAAATAGTAATGGAAAAACCTGAAACCCTCATAAGAGAATAGTTGAATAAAGTATGTGACATCTGCTGGGCATGGTGGTGCATGCCTGCAGTCCCAGCTACCGGGGAGGCTGAGGCAGGAGAACCACTTGCGCTCAGGAGTTCTGGACTATAGTGCACTATGCTGATTGGGTGTCTGCACTAAGTTCAGCATCTAACATTATTAAATGCTTGTATGCAGGTGTACCACAGCATTATAAGGTATACTTGCTGGTATGTGAACAGAGGCTACCTCTTTGGATGGAAGAGTAGAATTGGAAGAGCCATAATAAAGGACTTTTATGTTTTTTTGCTCTGTATGTGTGTGAGAAAGAGAGAGAGAAAAAAAAAGCTTGAATGTTTTATATTGATACTGTTATTTTAGTAATAATTTTATTATAGAAAACAAAAGGATAAACGATCATTCATCTAAACTTGGCTATGCTTCCAAATTCCTTGGGAAACATAAAAAAATTGCTGACACCCTATGCCTACAGATTCATGGTTAGTTGGTCTATTCACCTAAATATCTGAAGAAAGTCCCTTTGCGAGTCTGATACTCATTGACTCATTCATAGTCACCCATTTGGTTAAATCACCTGATTTTATAATAAAATGATGAAAGACTTGAGAGGTGAAAGGGGAGCTGTAGTGGGAAAATATTCAGACGAGGATTTATTGAACCCCACTAGTTCTCCAGTATTGTTTTTAATTTTATTAAATTTTGTTTTAATTTTATTTAGCCATTGTTTTTGTTATTAATTTTATTTTATTTAGCGTAGTGAAAGGTAAAGTTGGGATCAAATCCAAGTTTTCCACACCTTTTCTTTCTACTGTTTTACTAAACCCTATGTTTTTTACTGGATCTAGTGACTCTCCAGAATTACTTTATTTGGGAGATGCTCTTCCTCCCAAGTTTCTAACTTAATTTCTAGTAAGAAATAGGATTGATTTATAAGAGAAACAAAAGGTTAATATCACAATGTATACAGCTACCATTAAGATGAGTAATGGCAGGTATTACAGCTAAAGATTTCTAAAAATGGATAGAAAATGGAATATTTTACAGATGAAATAGGCAGTACTTGATCTTTGCTATCTTGGGCATAAATACTTTCTCTTCCTGAAATATCTTACCTTTAACTCACATCCTTCACTCCCGTCACATCTTTTACCCTACCCCTCTTACCTTCACATTTTTTAAGACTCAGAGTAAAAGTCACTTTCCCTCTCAAGCCTTTCCTGACTACCACTACTCCCCAGGTACAGTTTACCTCTTTCTTTTTTATCTGTAGCAGTGATGATACTTTCTTGAGGTGATATGTTTCATGACTTACCAGTTTTTGAGGATAGGGACCATGTTTTGAACTTATATCACCCCAGTACCTGACACAGTGCCTTATAGAAAATAGGCTTCAAATAATGAATGAGTTAAGGGAAAAAAGTATACATCTAAAACTTGATACTGTGGAAAAGAATATAAGCTAGAATTTAATCTCCAAAGTGATACTGAAACAGATGAAGAAATAAATATATGGCTGTAATTTGTCCAAATTATATTTTCTTTAAGACCAAGGCTATTTACAATAGGAACCCTGAACAGTTTGGAGTTAAATTACTTTATTGATTGATTGAAACAAGGTCTTGCTCTGTCACCCAGACTGGAGTGCAGTGTGCAGTGGTGCGATCATGGCTTACAGCAGCCTCAGCCTCTCAGACTGAACCTCAACCTCCTAGCCTCCCGAGTAACCAGGACTATAGGCATGCACTACCACATCTGGCTAATTTTTTCTGGGTTTTTTTTTTTTGTTGTTGTTGTTGTTTTTTTTGTAGAGACGTGGTCTTGCCATGTATCTTTCCCCTAATTTGCAGAAAGATACAGATATGCAAATAGAAGAAGCTCACTGAACTCCAAGTACAATGAAAATGGTCGAAAGAGTTTTGAAAGCAGCAAGAGAAAGAGAAAAGTGACTTGTCACATAGAAGTGCACCTCAATGAAATAACCAGTGGATTTCTTAGTAGAAACCATGCAGATCTCAAATGTAGAAATTTTATTACTACGTTTTGGCAGATACAAAAATTAACTTTGTCATGTGAAGCAGTATATAGAGTAAACAAGAGATTCTTCCCAGGGAAAAGAATGGGAAATTGGCTTTGAAAAGATTAGAAACCATGAGTCATCAGGTAACCGATTAGCAATGTCTAATCGCTTTGAAAGGTTTGAAAAGATTAGAAACAGAGCTCCATCCCTAAGTAGACACTCCTTCATGAATGGGGTTGATGATGTAGTACCGTCTCTTGTTAGCTATCAGTGTTAACTAGATAGTTATAGTTTCTAATAAAATATTATGACATTTAAAATTCATATATATTGTATTGCAGACAGTTCAGCTTTTCTCAGATGTAGCACAGTAATCCAGCTAGTACAGCAGTTCTTGGCAAAGAAAATGCAGTCTGTAACTAAATATAGGTAGTGATATAACCCCAATGCTCATTTATATAAGAACAAAATTAAGGGTTTATCATATGTGATTTCAAGATGTATTAAAACAGTTACTTTAAGCAGTTCCACTCCCAGATATATATTGAAGAGACTTGAAAATGTATGTCCACACAAAAATTTATACACAGATGTTCATAGCAACATTATTCATAATAACTAAAATATGGGAACAATCCAAATGTCCATCAAGTGATGACTAGATAAACCAAATATGGTATAGCTATACAATGAAATATTCAGCAATAAAAAGGAATGGCATACCACAGCACACTCATTGGGATGGCTATAATTTTTTAAAGATAGTGTTGATGAGGAAGTGAAGAAATGGAAATCTTTATACATTGATATTGGAGATGTAAAAGGTACAGCCATTGTGGAAACAAGTTTGGCAGTTTCTCAAAAAGTTAAATATACAATTATCCTGTGACCCAACAATACTACTCCTAGGCATGTACCCAAGAGAATTGAAGACATGTGTTCACACAAAAATGTGTACACAAATGTTCATAGCAGTATTATTCATAATAGTCGAAAAGTAGACACAACCCAGTATCAGCCATAAAAAGGAATGAGTTATTGTTACATGCCACAATGTAGATGAACCAAGAAAACCTTGTCTGTGAAAGCAGACAAACACAAAAGGCAACCTGTTGTATGATTCCATTCTTACGAAATGTTCAAAACAGGTAAATTTGTAGAGACAGAATGTAGGTTAGTGATTGTTAGGGGCAACAGGGAAGGGTACATTGAGACTGACTGCGAATAGGTACAAGATTACCTTTGAGGGTGATGGAAATATTCTGGAATTAGATAGTGATGATGGTTGCACACCGTAGGGAATATACTAAAGTATAATGACACATACATGTTAAAATGGTAAATTTTGTGGTGCGTGAAATATGTCTCACTAAAAATAATAAAAATAATGCTGAGTCTTGGCATATGCATTTTATAATTTGATAAATTTTGCCAAGTTATCCTCCATTGAGATGGTACAATTTATACTTTCAGAAGCTATGTATGAGAGTGCCTGTTCTTCTCACGTGTGTGTCATCAAACGTTTTAGTCTTTGCCCAATATTACTGTTGAAAAATAATAACCCAATGTAGATTACTTTTGTATTTCTCTAATTATGATCAAGATTGACTATCTTGTCATATACTTAAATGCCATTTGTAGTTCCTTGATTGTGAACTTGCATTCTTATTCATTGCCTGTTTTTCTATTAGTGTCAGTTTTTTCTTATTGATGTGTAGAACTTGTTTATATATTATGTTTTTTCCTAGTTTGTTTTGCAACTTGATGGATTTTTACAATGAATGCTATTTTTACCATTCAGTAGTGCTTGTTATAGCACTGTTCCATCTTCCTGGTTTAAACCAAGAACCTTAACCCTATCTCACTGATATCATTGATGAGAGCAATTAAATTTCTCAGTGCTTATCTTTGTACTTCTAAGCTATGTCAGCTTGACACATCTGTGTATGTAAATGTGTTTGTATTTCTTTTACCAGAATATTTTGAAGGAGAACTGAATGAGGAAGACAAGCTTTCAATAGATTAATTGATCTGAAATTTTGATTGTAGACAGTCATTAAAGTGGATATAATTTATGACTTTTCCTAGAAGATATGAAGAACAAAAATCACTAGATTAATAGATAGATGGATGGGAAGGTGGATAAATGGTAGATGATTGAGGAAAGAAGTTTATTAAACAGGGCTGAAAACCCTACCCCCAGCTATTGAGTCATTCAGCAGGTTTAGTCCTTCAGTAAATTATTTATTTATTTATTTACTTATTTACTTTGCTTACTTTCTTATTTTGAGACAGGGGATTACAGGTGTGTGCCACTGCTTTTGACAGTATTTTTAACTCATATTATGTCAAGCCCTGTGCTAGGTGCTGACTCTACAGTATTGACTGAAACAGCTTTTATCCCTGGTTTCATTATAATCTAATGAAGGAGTCAGACAAAAAAAGACAAAAGGTGAAACAAACTTAATTGAGGTAATGTAATGAAGGGATATAATGTTCCTTACTTGTTAAATGGGAGCTGTACGACATACTTTTGGTAGGGTGGTCAGTTGAAGGCCTTTCTGAGGTGGCAGGCTTTAAGCTGAGACTTACGGATAATGAAGAGTACTGTAGGAAATCTAGAGGGCATTCTGTGAAAGGGAAGCTTGAAATTGAGGGCCTTATGATGGCATCTTTCAGAAACAGAAAGGAGGCCATTATGGCTGGAATTTAGTAAGCTGAGGTGGAAGAGGTAAGAAGAGACCATACAAGCTGTAGTGTAAGGACTTTGGATCTAGTACTGAGAAATTATCAAGAAGTGTTAATCAAATGAGTGACATACTCAAAGTTATGTTTTAGGACTATTCTTGCTTCTTTATGGAGCATGAAGAGGGACATGGTGATGAGAAAATCAACTGGGAGAGCAATTAAGAGGCGATAGAGCTTAGACTAGAGAGATAAGGATGATAAATTGATAAATTCTAGATACAGTTTGCAGATAGACTCAGTTGGATTTGATGTGTTGGATGTTATGGACAGTGGAGAGGAAATCATTGTTAATTACTCCCAGCCATTTATTTATTATTAAAAATCTATGTGTTCTGCCTGGATTTAATTATGGGTGGTAGAAGTTAGGTTTATAAATAATGATACATAAACTTACTTGGAAAATACTACCACATCTAGTACCTCATTTTGGGTTCTTTGATTTTTTTTTAATTGAAACATGTTAGCAGTTGAAGTTTTTCTGAATTCAGTCCTAATTGTCCAGAAATAGAGCTAAACTGGCCTTCAGAAGTATTGAAACTGCTTAAAATTTCTCACACATAAAAATCAATCATTCTCAAAACTAAACATTATATCTTTAAAAATTGGTGGGTTTTTTTCAAATGGGAGGTATTTTATTTTTAAAGGAATGAGGCAAATGTTATAAAATTTCTCCTCAGTGGATTTTCAAGTTCTGTAGTAGAATTTTGCCTGAATGAGTATAAAGCCCAAGAGCATGTGTGTGTGTGTGTGTGTGTGTGTGTGTGTGTGTGTGTGTGTGCGTGAAGGGTGAAGAGAATTTTGAAAACTTGCCAGACTTTTAAGAAATATAGTTAGATTAATGTGAATCACTTCACATTCACTTCAGGTTGCTGCAATTATTAACTATCTTTACTTATGAAATAGAGGTTGTTGCACATTGTACTGTTTGATGGAAAAGTCAAATCAAAATCTTAATATTAACACATTCACTAATTTCTAGCATAATTTTATTACATTTGATATGAAAAATATTGTCTGTAATGCAATGATTTTTTTCCTACCTGGGCCTTTTCTGAAATGCAGCTTTTAGCATTAATCTCCAAATGGAACAGATTTGCAAGAATCAATATAGTAGTTCCTCAAGGAAAAAAGAAATCAGTTTTATTTATTTATTTTTCAGAGGTGGCTGGATCCAAACAAACCAATAAGGAAGCAGCTAAAGAGTGAGCATACATATTTACTTAATGTTTTGCAAGTTTACTTTATAAAGATAAAGGATTAATATAGTCTGATTAATTAGAACTACTTTTATTAATTCTAGGAGGATCTCCTTACAGTTTGAACTTTAGAGTCAAATTTTTTGTAAGTGACCCCAACAAGTTACAAGAAGAATATACAAGGTGGGTTTATGGATATATTTTTCTTGAAAATATTGTCAAAACTCTAATATGAAATTTTGAAATTAATTAGGCAAAAAGAAATTACTGTGGTGTAATTCTGAGCTTTCCAGTCAGTACACAGAATAAGTTATGGCTATTCCAAGATAACGTTTTCCTCCTTTTTTGGATGGCTGGGAGAGTGTAAGGGGATTTAGAACCTCAGGGCTGCCCAGTCCAGCCCCAGCTTCCTGAACCATGTAAATATTAAAAATTTCTACTTGTGAACACTGCTTAAGTGTGGCTATAATTAATTGAGGTCATCAAATGTGCTGAAATTGTATCCAAAGGATGCTGTGTGGTGAGAAATTTGGGTTTTTTTTTTCCCATGTGAAAGCATATTCTAGTATCTTTTTTTATTGGGGAGAACATAGAATTTATAAAATATATAACCATTATTTGCGGGTCAGTAGGTACCTTTTGTCCCCTATGTGTTTTTAATCTTTGGTTCCAAAAAAATATAATGGAGTTTATAAAGGATGTTGCAGAGAGTGCACTAGCATGTTGAGGCCTTTACATGCCCACTTGACTCTCCATTTTAAGTCTCAGCTTATGTTACTATCTAATTTTATGGTCATTTCGACTTGACAGAGTATATACACATGAATGATCCAGATGAACATTTTGATAATGTTCTTGATTATAGGGTGAAATATTGAAGGTAGAAATGGAGAAATACCAACAGTGTAGTAACTGTCAGTATTAACCTGAATGACAACCTTGTGTGTTGCCTGAAAGACAGAATTAGTAATGAGTTATTTTACAAAGACAGTTAAAAATTAGCATGTTATACTCTCTGTAAAATTCTCAGATATAAGAATATAGGCCAGTGACTACATTCAGAATTACTCTAAAAGATAGGTGTCAAAATTAAAAAATCCATACCTAAAATTACCTATAGATGGGATGTTAAATTTTAATGTATTGGTTATCATTTAGGATACTGTCTTGGAGTAGAGAAACAAAAGGATAAATTATTTAATTAGCTGCAGCTGCCAGTTCTAAGGTGTTTGCAGAGTTTTCAGTAGTAAACCAAGTGAGAAAAATTAGATTGAAATTCTAGAGATTTCTTTTCAGTCAGTGTGTTTTGGGGTGGGTGCGCAGGTGTTCCTTTTTTTTTTTTTTTTTTTAACAAATGGGAGAACTCAGTAATGTAGTCTCTGGATTATGTAATCCTAATGCTTGCAACTATTAGTAGAATCCAAGCTAATTCCTCTTGAAAAACTAAGTTGTGGCCGGGTGCAGTGGCTCACGCCTGTAATCCCAGCACTTTGGGAGGCCAAGGTGGGCGGATCACGAGGTCAGGAGATCAAGAACATCCTGGCTAACACGGTGAAACCCCATCTCTACTAAAAATACAAAAAATTAGCCGGGTGTGGTGGCAGGCGCCTGTAGTCCCAGCTACTGGGGAGGCTGAGGCAGGAGAATGGCATGAACCCGGGAGGCAGAGCTGGCAGTGAGCCGAGATCACGCCACTGCACTCCAGCCTGGGCGACAGAGTGAGACTCCGTCTGAAAAAAAAAAAAAACAAAAATGAAAAACAAAGTCGTGTTATATGTATACACCTTAGCTTAATATTGTAGCCCTTAAAATATTGTCAGTTAAAACTATGTTTATAATGTACTTCACTTGAAAAACTGTCTTTGAATTTCTGAATGGAGGTAGAATGTGTTGATTCTTTTATAGCCTGCATTGAAAACATAATAAGGAAATAAATATGTTTCACTAATAAGTTGAAATAACTGCCTGAAGCAGAAGAAAGTAAAATCAAGTTTGATGGTAGTCAAGGAATTAATTTGCTCTCAGACCCTTTTATAATGGAATGTTATGGAATCTTATAACTGGTATTGTTTGGTAAAATGGGGTAAATGTCTAGTTTTTTGTAAATTTTACTACCATAGTGTATATCAGTGATTTTTCTACTCTGATTAGAAATTAGAATCATTTGGGGGAGCTTTAAAACCATAATGATGTCTTGGCCACATCCCTAGATAATTCTGATTGAACAGGTCTTAGATGGGACCTGAGCATAGGCATGCACAAGTTCCCCCAAATGATTCTAATATATAGCCAAGGCTACATATTAGCCAAAGCTTTAATGCTTGAGTAGCCTTAATGTGATGGTTATGATTAGTAACAGTGCACCTTCTGCCACAGCTGCTAAGTTTTCAGAACTAGTTTAGACCCCAGGAAACAGGAAATCTGCTGCACCTCCTTACCTTGAGATTTCAAGAATGTAAATAGTATATTCCCAATATGCAGATGAATCTGCTCAGTAATTCTTTCTCAGTTTTTAGCTATATGAAAGTTGACTCTGTTTGGTAGTGAGCCAAGAGGAGAAAATAAACTCTATGTAATACTAAATTAATTTTTAAAATATCCCTTTAACTAATGAATTAGTTTAGTTTAATTAGTGAAAAATATTCCTTTAATTTTGAAATTATGGGGGGGTGGGGGGCGGGAAAGAATGGAGTCAAACAGGTTCACCAGGTTAAACACCGTTTACTTTTAGCAGGTGCTAGCATCATTAGAACTGAATTTTTCCAATTCCTGAGATACATATACTAGGCAAGTTGATACTACTTTCTTCTTACAAATGTAGAAACTAAGGCTCAGCCACATTTTAACTAATTTGCCCAAGATCACAGGCTAGTTTTGCCTAGGACTTGAATTCTGGTTTCTACTTTTAACAGTTAAGTTCTTGCCTCTTGGTTAAATGAGTATGTAAGTAAAATTTGGCAAGTATAGGCATTATTTATGTCAGATTTACAATATTATGGCAAGGATATGCATGACCTTTAAATCCTGACTATAAGATTGTTTCTTACCAGGAACCTTTAACTTTGAATTTTTTTTTTTTTCTTTTTTTGAGATAGAGTCTCACTCTGTCGCCTAGGCTGGAGTGCAGTGGCGCGATCTCGGCTCATTGCAAGCTCTGCCTCCCAGGTTCACGCCATTCTCCTGCCTTGGCCTCCCGAGTAGCTGGGACTACAGGTGCCTGCCATCACGCCTGGCTAATTTTTTTTTTTTTGTATTTTTAGTAGAGATGGGGTTTCACCGTGTTAGCCAGGAAGGATGGTCTCGATCTCCTGACCTTGTGATCTGCCCGCCTCGGCCTCCCAGATAACTTTGAATTATTAAACCAAAACAGGCCTGATAGAAATATACTGTCTTGGATTGAGTAAATAGATTATATTTATAATATTATGCACTAAGCCTCACAAGAAGTTATATATGAAGCCAGGATGTTTGTATTCTTTTTTTTTGTAATGAATATCTGATTCTCTGAAAACCTCTTTGGTAATTTGAATATTGTCATGGAGCTCTTCAGTGACTTAATCAGCCAAACTAGAATTTCTAATGACTTTTGACTCTTGGAATATGTACTTTTTTTAGTTTAGTGAAATAAAAAATCTTAAGATTTCCTGGTTAAACATTTAAAACCAAAAAGTTTGGTCTTCTGCCACCCCTATACAACACAGGTGACTTTGCCCAAGTATTGACAAATCTTTGAGTGGGTTACCCACTAGCAGAGACCAAAGGACAATGCTATCTTGTAAGCAATGACAGCAGGCTTGTTAAAGAAAACCTAAGTTTTTGTTGGTTTCACAGGAAATTGAATACTTGACAATTCTAACAATAGTAGACAAAAGTATTCTTCCCCTGCCCCGCCAATCAAAGAGAGACTTCCTTAATTCACATGGAAGTGTATAGGTGCTTTTCTGTAACAGGCAGCTTCCTGCCATCTGATGATAAAATGATCAAAACGCTGGCCTGTCCTTGTAGCTGGCTTTCTATCTCAGACCAGCGAAAATCATCGCTGGTCTCTAGTGCATTGCTTACAATGCTCTTCCATGTTTGTGATACTCAGGTTTTCTATGCTTCCCACTTCTTTCTGCATATACCAACCCTCAAGAGTATTTCTCCCTCTGTCATGTAACTATTTGAAATCTTGAGGGCTTCTATAATGGAAGCTAGTGGAAACAAGACATTCGAAATACAAATTTCATACATCAAAGAGTTTTAAAGATTTAGATTCATGAGCTTATGAAATCTTATTTTTAAACTACTTTACATGTTTTAATATGTAAATTATAAAAGCAAATATTTAAATATGTTTATTTGTTAATGTAAGTATACAGTTTCTTAGAATTGAAATTGTTACAATTCTATTAAATGCTATCCTTTTTGTTTGTTTGTTTTTAAGGTACCAGTATTTTTTGCAAATTAAACAAGACATTCTTACTGGAAGGTGGGCTCTTTAAATTTCTTAAAAAATTTTTTGTAATGGACTTTAAAAATACTTTTTAAATCTGTGTTAAGTAATTCATGGTCATTGCAAACAAATTATTTAAGAAGGTTACATGTAGTGTGAATTCCTTTCATCAGATAAGTTTATTTCTTAACAGTTAAAATCAAATCACATGAAACTTCAAGTGTGATTGTTTAACAAATTATAGCACTTTTGAAATTGCTATGTTTAACCTTCGGTTGTGTATTTTTGTTTTGTTTTATTAGATTACCCTGTCCTTCTAATACTGCTGCCCTTTTAGCTTCATTTGCTGTTCAGTGTAAGTATCAGCCCATTTTTAGGTCAAATAGCATATAACTGTGGTTTGTGTTGCTAGTACATTGGCTTCAATGTGGGAGTTCTTTAGAAATGTTGCTATATAGAAAATAGTGACTGCAGTGGAAATGTAATGAAATCTCCAGTTAGTTAGCAATTACTATGATTTTTGAAAAAATTTCCTCTGAAATTGAGACCAAGAAGAATGTTAAATGGATTGCTGTGGCTTGCTTAAGTGGTTATATTAGAAACATAAGTATTTTACATCCAGAAATAGAATTAATGGCATCGCTGATTTGACTATAATAATTTAAAAATTTGTTTATTAAAATGTGAATGTTTTCCTTTCATTATTAGCTGAACTTGGAGACTACGATCAGTCAGAGAACTTGTCAGGCTACCTCTCAGATTATTCTTTCATTCCTAATCAACCTCAAGATTTTGAAAAAGAAATTGCAAAATTACATCAGCAACACATGTAAGAGTTTTTTAGTTTTTTATTTGATAAACTTCTTAATGGCATTCTTTCTAGAGAAATGTTTGAAATTCTAATATGATGGCTGTATTTAATATAGAACAATTACTGTTACCTAAAATAATATTATCATAAAGAAATATAGGTGATCTATGCTAAAAAACGATTTCATAGAATATATGAAGCTCATTTTCATTTCTATTCAGAGCCATTAAGCTATCTGTAAACAGATATTTATTTGCTATTGTGTAATAGTCTAAATAATTTTAGAATATAAACAGTATAGTCACAATATAGAGATCAGTCTGCTTAGTAATTCTTTCTCAGTTTTTAGGTATAAAGGACTTGATTCTCCTTGGTAGTGAGCCAAGAGGAGAACAGGAACTCTATATAATACTGAATTAATTTTTAAAAAATATTTCTTTAAGAACAGTACAGGTTGAACATCCTTAACCCAAGAGTTTGAAATTCAGAGAGCTCTAAAATTTAAAACTTTTTGAGCACTGACATTACACCACAGTGGGAAATTCTGCACCTGATCCCATGTAATGGGTTTCAGTCAACATTCGGTGAAAACTTTGTTTCATACACAGAATTATTTTAAATATTATATAATATTACCTTCAGGCTATGTGTATAAAGTGTATATGAAACATAAATTTCATGTTTAGACTTGGTTTCTATACCAAGATATTGCATTAAGTATATGCAAATATTTCAAAACTTGAAAAAATCTGAAATCTGAAACACTTACGATCCCAAGCATTTCAGATAAGAGATACTTAACCTTATCAATATTCATTCATTAACAATATTCATTCAACTTTGATTTTTTTGTGTGAGTATAATTTTATATATTATTTTTTCAAAAGAGATTTGTTGCCTTGAATAGAAAGTAATATTGTTTATTGGTTCAGAATTCAGTTGTGCTTCAATATACAATTCAGAATACTCAGGGAAAAACTAAGGCAGTGTTGCGTATTGGCTAAGAGTCTGAACTAAAGAGCCAGACTGCCTGGTTTGAAATTCTGTAAGATTACTTACTATCTTATAACCTTGGCCAAACTGTTTTATGCCTCTTCTTCTCTGTTTCCTTACGTAAACTGGGGATAATAAAAGTATCTATCTCTGGAGTTACTGTAGGTCTTAAATGAGTTTATATACATAAGGTTCTCAAAACCATACATAGCACATTGTAGGCACTGAAGAAATGTTAGCTGTTGTTATTATTAAGAAAACTTACTTTCTTTTACTAATAACTCATGTATCTAAAACAGGATAACAAACCATGGCCATTGAAACGGAGTCTCGCTCTGTTGCCCAGGCTGGAGTGCAGTGGCGCGATCTCAGCTCACTGCAAGCTCCGCCTCCCGGGTTCATGCCATTCTCCTGCCTCAGCCTCCCGGTAGCCAGGACTACAGGTGCCCGCCACCATGCCTGGCTAATTTTTTGTATTTTTAATAGAGATGGGGTTTCACCGTGTTAGCCAGGATGGTCTTGATCTCCTGACCTCGTGATCCGCCTGCCTTGGCCTCCCAAAGTGCTGGGATTACAGGCGTGAGCCACCACGCCCAGCCCCTATTGCCTATTTTTATATGGCCCACAGGCTAAGATTGTTATGTAGATTTTAAGTGGTTGCAGAAAATCAAAAGAAGAATAGCATTTTGTGGCATGTGAAATTTTGTGAAATTCAGTGTTCATGAATAAAACACTTACTGGAACACAGATACCCTCATTCATTTATATGTTGTCTATGGCTGTTTTCGCACAATGGCCAAGCTAAATAGTTGCCACAGAGACTGTATGTCCTAAAAGCCTACAATATTTACTGTCCAGCCCTTTGCAATAAAAGGTTTGCTGATTCCTGATCTAAAATAGACTAATGACTGAGTTTTTAATGGACTACCTAATGTGGTGAGGGGGCTATTTTAATCTAAGTAAATTCCATTCATAGTGAAAGTTATACATACAGCATATCAGAATCAAGAGTTTGAAGATAAGCCAGATTTTTTTAAATTTACCGATAATGAAAAGACTCTTAAGGAAAAGCTTATTGATTATATATATCTATTTGGTTTAAGTAAATGATTCATCAGATCTTTAAATGAAGAAAAACAGAAGTATCCACTTTAACTGGAGGGAGTATATATTTAATTTAATTTTATAGAAATTGGAAGTGTACTGTTTTTTTTGAGGAGTCGTGTTATGATCATGCATTAGCGGGCTGTTGGCTCCCTTTTCTAGTAGCATTAGTGAATAGAAAGTTTGTATCTTTGTTTTTGTAATTTGCTGCTTTTGCTCTGCTGTAGTCTGATAATAACAGATAACTAAGGTTGTAAAAACTATATGTGAAATAGGAGTAAATCTATTTTTAAAGGCCTTACATTTAGAGCAATGGTTCTTCAACTTGTGTTTATAAGAATCACTTGGTATTCTTGTTAAATATAAACAGTTTTGACCTCATCCTTTCTAAATCAGACTCTACAGAATAGTCTTCTTAAACCATCTGTGATGAAAGATGATTTCTTCCCCCCAGCTGTCATTATTGTGTTACTTATATTTTGTAGAATATAATAAAAATTAATTACTAGAAAAATAAAGTGGAGAAAGAAAACAAAGACGTAAAAAATACAAGTCCTCATTTGTTTGTTTTTTTGTTTTGTTTTTTTGCTGTTAGATTTAACAGATATTACCCAGGCAGATTGCTATACAAGCCTCCAACACTCAGGTTCCATACTGTGAATCAACCTCTGTCTGTGCACCACACTCTGAGAAGCACTGCCCTGGAGGTTGGCTTAGAATCTGCAAGTTTCAGAGATATCCTGTGTGATTTAAATGCAGATATGGTATATGAACCAAATTTTGAGAAATACTGCTTTTAAGTTATATCTAAAAGTGAGGGGTTTTGTTACAGTCACCCATATAAATAGTGAGGAGCTTTAAAAACTTGGTGTATTCTTGTATTTCTAGAAAATAAGACAGTATTCTGGAAAATAATAATTTGGGTTACTGAAAATGTGCCCTCCAGATAAGTTAGAGGAGTAGTCCTGCATGGTGTTTCATAGATTTAATTAGACTGCTCAGTTTTTTCAGATAAATAGCCTTTTTCTAATTTAGCCATATTTATTTGATTGATTGATTGATCTCATTTTTAACTTAATGATGTCTTTATAGAGGCTTATCTCCTGCAGAAGCAGAATTTAATTACCTAAACACAGCACGTACCTTAGAACTCTATGGAGTTGAATTCCACTATGCAAGGGTAAGTGAAGAAAACTTACTTTGATGTTGTTGAGTTAGGCTCCGTTACTCAATATAACATTTTTTAAGATTAGATAACAAATGGAATAAGTTATGATTGCTGCTGACACAGCTGCACTGAAAATTTCCTCTGAATTTAAGTATTTTCACAATAACTTAAGATTCAATTCCCGAATGTGAAGGATGGTTAATGTGGATTCTTCAAGGTAGTGTTTTATATGTAAAGATAATTTTTACAGACCGTAAGATATAGTACCTTTAGAATATTTATTTTAAAATATAATTGTTAGGCTATAGGAAAAGTGGCTTTTGTATACTTTTATAATAATGATCATTAAAAATGTTCTCACATCACTGAGGCCTGTATTAGTGCACTTACTTTGTTTTCATCATTTAAAAGCACTATTACGAGTTTTTATTTATAAAGCACAACATGGAGCATATTAACATTTTTATCTCCCCCCATCCCTGTAGTGAAGTGGAATTTATAGTCACTGACTTTTTCTATATTATACCGTGTGACTTCTTTTCCCTTGTGTCAAACATTGCTGCCTTTGAAAAACTGGTAACCTCCTGGCATAAGCATATTTGTGAGTGTTTATCCTGTATTTGTGTGTTTCCTCATGTTTTTCTTGAGTTCTCTATCAAAAGTTCTTGGAGTACAGCTATTCTATACCCAGTGAAAAGTGGAATTATAATCATCAGTTGAGTTGGTGATAGCGTTTATCTTCTCTTGGAAATGAATAGTTGAGCCTAAAAAGGATATCAACCTGAAAGAGAATTCAGAGCCAATATTTTTCTTAGATAATTATTTTCAATCATGTTAATACTCAGACACTCACAGGTACACAGATAGTTGTTGAAGTACTCAAAGTTCTACTTCATGTAATGGTTTTATCCTTTAGGACCTTACCTGACCATGTTCTGGGAGAGGAACATTAGTTCTTATGTTTCACAAAGCTTATGTCAATCTTTCCTTTAAAAGACCAGATGAATTGCTTTCCTCACATGATTTTATCTTGTAATTCTGAGTGTTACTTGGAAATCTTTTTGTCTGATTCCATTTAAAATGTGTCTCTTAGAAACCTTCAGCTTTCTTTTTTTTTTTCCTTCAACTTTTATTTTAAGTTCAACTTTCTGCTTTCTTTAAAATATGCCCCTTTATTTTCCTTCCTTATTTAGGGCCTATATCTTTTGAACATGATTCTTAAAAATGTAATGTACTGGTCAGTATTTGTGTAACTAGTTTGTTTTTTATTATAATAAAGTTTAAAACAGATGGAACTTTAAATATATGAATTAAACTATGGTTAAAAATAAAAAGGGGCTGGGCATAATGTATCATGCCTATAATCCGAACACCTTGGGATGGCGAGGCAGGAGGATTGTGTAAGCCCAGGTGTTCAAGACCAGCCTGGGAAACATAATGAGATCACATCTCTACAAATTTAAAAAATGACCTGGGCATGGTGGTGCATGCCTGTAGTCCCAGCTACTCAGGAGGCTGAGGCAGGAGGATCAGCTGAGCCCAGGAGTCTAAGGCTTCTGTAAGCTATGATCATGCCACTTCACTCCAGCTGGGGTGTCAGCAAGATCCTGTCCTTTCTTCTAGTATTTTTATAGTTTCGGGTATTACACTTTAGTCTTTCATTGTCTTGAGTTGATTTTTGTATATGGTAAGAGCTAGATGTCCAGTTTTCTTCCTCTGTATGTGGCTATCTGATTTTCTCAGAACCGTTTATTGCAGAGAATGTCCTTTCCCCAATGTAAGTTCTTGTTGACTTTGTTGAAGATCAGTTGGCTGTAAATATTTGGCTTTGTTTCTGGGTTCTCTAGTCTGTCCTATTGGTCTGTGTGTATGTTTTTATATCAGTACCATGCTGTTTTGGTTACTGTAGCCTTGTAATATATTTTGACATCAGGTAATTTGATGCTTTGTTCTTTTTGCTCCGGATTGCTTTGGCTATTTGAGCTCTTTTTTGTTTCTATATTAATTTTAGGATTGTTTTTTCTAATTCTATGAAGAACGATGTTGGTATTTTGATAGGGATTGCACTGGATCTGTAGAGTGCTCTGGCAATATGGTCATTTTAACAATATTAGTTCTTCAGATCCAAAGGCATGGGATTTTTTCTATTTGTTTGTGTCATCTTAAATTTTTCATCAGTGTTTTGTAGTTTTCCTTGTAGAGATCATTCACCTTCTTGGTTAAATTTATTCCTAGGTATTTTTTGTAGCTATTGTAAATGGGATTGCCTTCTTGATTTCTTTCTCAGCTAGATCATTATTGATGTATAGAAGTGCTGCTGATTTTTAATGTGTTGATTTTTACTGAATTTATTTATGAAATCTAAGCATTTTTGGTGGAGTCTTTAGGTTTTTTTTAGATATAAGATCATATCATCAGCAAAAAGAGGCCATTTGACTTCCTCTTTCCCAATTTGGATACCTTTTCCTTCTTTCTCTTGCCTGAGTGTTCTGGCTAGGACTTCCACTACTATGTTGAATAAGAGTGTGAAAGTGGGCATCCTTGTCTTTTTCCAGTTCTTAGGGGGAACAATTTCAACTTTTCTGTGTTCAGTATGATGTTGACTTTGGGTTTGTCATATATGGCTTTTATTATTTTGAGGTATGTTCCTTTTGTGCATTTGTTGAGATGTTGAAGTTTTTCAAATGCTTTTACAATGTCTTTTGAGATGGTTATATGGTTTTTATTCTTCATTCTGTTCTTGTGATATATCATGTTTATTGATTTGTGTGTGTTGAACTATCCTTACATTCCTGATATAATGTATTGTATCTGATTGTGGTGTATTATCTTTCTAACATGCTGTTGGATTTGGTTTGCTAGTACTTTGTTCAAGATGTTGGTGTCTGTGTTCACTAGGGATATTGGCCTGTAGTTTTCTTTTTTCTAGTTTTTGCATCTTTGTCTGGTTTTGGTATGATGCTAATGCTGACCTTATAGAATGAGTCAGGAGAATTCCCTCCTCTTCAGTTTTTTTTGGAATAGTTTCAGGAATGTTATTACTTCTTTGTGTGTTTGGTAACATTCAGCTTTGAATCCATCTGGTCCTGGGCGTTTCTGTGTTGGGAGACTTTCTTTACTGATTTCAATATCACTACACATTATTGGTCTCTTCAGGTTTTCTATTTCTTCTTGATTCAGTCGTGGTAGGTTATATGTTTCCAGGAATTCATTTCCTCTAGGTTTCCCAGTTTGTCAGCTTGTAGTTGTTCGTAATAGTCTCTGATGGGCTGGGCACAGTGGCTCATGCCTGTAATCCCAGCACTTTGGGAGGCCAAGACGGGCGGATCACGAGGTCAGGAGATTGAGACCATCCTGGCTAACGCGGTGAAACCCCGTCTCTACTAAAAATACAAAAAAATTAGCCGGTCGTGGTGGTGGGCACCTGTAGTCCCCACTACTCGGGAGGCTGAGGCAGGAGAATGGTGTGAACCCTGGAGGCGGAGCTTGCAGTGAGCCGAGATGGCGCCACTGCACTCCAGCCTGGGCGACAGAGAGAGACTCTGTCTCAAAAAGAAAAAAAAAGTCTTGATGATCTTTCGTATTTCTGTAGTATCAGTTGCAGTGTCTCCTTTTCATTTCTGATTTTACTTATTTGGGTGTTCTGTCTTCTTGGTTAGTCTAGCAGTTTATTAATTTTCTTTATCTTTTTGAAGAACCAACTTTTTGTTTCATTTATCCATCATTTTTTTTATGATCACTATTTCATTTATTTCTGCTCTGATCTTTGTTATTTCTGTTCTATTAATTTTAGGTTTGTTTTGTTCTTGCTATTCCAGGTTTTTGAGATGCATTGTTAGACTGTTAACTTGTAATCTTTCTCCTTTTTTTGTGTAGGCATTTATTGCTGTAAACATTCCTCTTATCAGTGCCTTTGTTGTATCCCACAGGTTTTGCTATGTTGTATTCCATTTTCATTTGTTTCAAAGAATTTTTTTATTTCCATCTTAATTTCTTAATTGACCCAATGGTCATTTAGAAGCATGTTGTTTAACTAATTTGTTGAGACTTGTTTTGTGGCCAAACATATGGCCTATCTTGGAAGATGTTCCATGTGCTTATGAAAATAATGCATATTCTGCATTGTTCAGTGGAATGTTCTGTAAGTGTCTGTTTGGTCCATTTGATCTAATGTTCAGTTTAAGTCCAATGTTTCTTTATTTTTTTTCTAGATTTGTCTAATGCTGAGAGTGAGGTGTTAGTCCCCTACTATTATTGTATTGCAGTCTGTGTCTCTCTTTAGATCCAGTAATATTTGTTTTATGAATCTGGGTACTCCAATGTTTGGTGCATATATATTTAGAATAGTTATGTCCTCTTACTGGGTTGATCTCTTTGTCATTATATAATGACCTTCTTTGTCTTTTTTTTTTAACTGTTCTTGAAATAATTAAAATCTGTTTTATCTGATAAAAGCTGAGGTACTCCTAACTTCTCATTTTCATTTGTATGGAGTATTTTTTTCCATCCCTTTATTTTCAGTCTATATGTGTTTTTAATGAAAAAGTGAGTGTCTTTTAAGCAACATATAGTTGAATTATGTATTTTAATCCATTCAGCCATTTTGTATCTTTTAAGAGGAGAATTTGATCTATTTACATTCAAAGTTATTGGTATGTGAGGTTTTGTTCTTTTCATATTGTTAATTGTTTTCTGGTTATTATATGTATTCTGTGTTTCTTTCTTTTTCTCTTATAGGTTGTTGTTTTGATGGGTTTCTGTAGTGATACTGTTTGAGTCCTTTCTCTTCCTCCTTTATATTTCTTTACCCATTAAGTTTTATACTTTTGTGTGTTTTCATGATGGTAAATGTCATCATTTTACTTCCAAGTTTAGGACTTTCTTGAGCATATCTTACAGAACTGATCTAGTGGTATAGAATTCCCACAGGATTTATTTGTCTGTGAATGATTTCATTTCCCTTTCATTTATAAGTGATAATTTTGATGGATATAGTATTCTGGAGTGGCAGGTTTTTTCTTTCAGCACTTTCAGTATATCATTCTATTGTCTTCCGGCCTATAAAATTTCTGCTGAGAAATTCACTGTTAGACTGGTGGGATTTTCTTTATAGGTGATGAGACACTTCTGCTATTTTTAGGATTTGTTCCTGAAGTTTCACTTTAGACAGTCTGATTATAATGTTCCATGCAGAACACCTCTTTACATTATTATCTGCTTGGGGGTACAAGTAACATGTAAATTTGGTCACCTTATCTTGCCTCAAATTTCAGGAAGGCTTTGCTCATTCTTTTTTCATCTCTTTTCTTTATTTTTGTTTGACTGGATTATTCTGAAAGACCTGTCTTCAAGTTCCAAGATTCATTCTTCAGACTGATGTAGGCTATTGTTGAAGTTTTCAAATGTATTTTGAATTTTTTTCAGTGAATTCTACAGTTTCAGTTTTTTGTTTGTTTGTTTGTTTGTTTTTGAGACGGAGTCTTGCTCTGTTGCCCAGGTTGGAGTGCAGTCGTGTGATCTCAGGTCACTGCAACCTCTGCCTCCCAGATTCAAGTGATTCTCGTGCCTCAGCCTCCCCAGTAGCTGGGATTACTGGCGCACGCCACCATGCCTGGCTAATTTTTTTTTATTTTTAGTAGAGATGGGGTTTCACCACGTTGGACAGGCTGGTCTCGAACTCCTGACCTCAGGTGATCCACCCACCTTGGCCTCCCAAAATGTGGGATTACAGGCATGAAACAGCTTCAGAATTTTTATTAGGTTCTTTAAAAAAATATCTCTTTGGTAAATTTCTCATTCATATCCTGAATAGTTTTCCTGACTTATTTGTATTGTTTTTCAGAATTCTCTTGGGTCTCACAGACCTTTCAAGTCAATAATTTGAATTCTTTATTTCATGCTGGGATTTTGAACTTTTCTTTTTGATTAAGATCTATTGCTGGAGAATTATTGTATTCCTTTGGAGATACCATATTTTCTTGCTATTTCATGTTTCCTGTGTGCTTACATTGTATCTGTGCAATAGTTGCTGCTGCTTATATTTGAATTTGCTTTTGTAGGGGAGGACTTTTTCCTGAAGATTTATCTGTGGTTTGGGTTGAGTAGGGTACATAGACTTCGATTCTGGCTGCATGCAGTAATATGGTCTCATTTATAGATATCGTAGACATAGCAGTGAGTAAAGTAGATAAAACTGAACCCTCCCAAAGCTTGCATTCTGTGGGGCAAGAAACAAAACTATAAATGAACAATTATGGGTATATCAGAGTATGTACTATTTGATTCCATTGAAGTTCAGTAACTAGCAAAATACCAGCCTATATTGATAGAAGTCAGAATAGCAGTCAGTTCTGGAGGAATGTTTATTAACTGGGAGACTCATGAGGGAGCTTTCTGGATTTTTCAAAATGTTCTATATATTGGTTTGTGATGGTTATGTTGGAGTGTAAATAGGTACGTGTATGTATGTGTGTAAAATTTTGAGTTGTACATTTAAGAAATGTGCATTTTACTATACAGTACTTCAGTTCTTTTAAAAAATTAAGCAGGTCATACATCAGATATTGATAGATGCTATGAAGAAAAGTTAAGCTGAGAAAGGGGAATTAAGACAAACAAATGAGGGATCAGGGAAGGTCTCACTGAGAAGGTAAACAGATCTGAAAGAGCCATGCAAACATCTGGGAGGAGATTATTCTAAGCAGAGGAAAGAGCAATGAAATAGTGTATATAGCAGTTCAAATAATAGCTAAGAGTTTAGTGTGGCTTGTGTAGTGCGAACAAGGAGAGGAGAGTATTAGGGCATGAGATCAAAGCAGACAAGAACTTTTAAGACTTTTTTTTTTTTTCCTTCTTTCTTTCTTTCTTTTGAGGCAGAGTCTTGCTCTGTCATCCAGGCTGGAGTGCATTGGTGCAATCTCAGCTTACTGCAGCCTTGGTCTCTTGGGTCCAAGTGATCCTCCCACCTCAGCCTTCCATGTAGCTGGGACCACAGGCATGTGTCACCATGCTGGTTGAATTTTTTTTTTTTTTTTTTAAGTGGAGATGGAGTCTTGCTATGTTGCTCAGGCTGATCTCAAACTTCTCAGCTCAAGCAATCCTACCTGCCTCGGCCTCCCAAAGTGCTGGGACTGCAGACATGAGCCACCACATCTTTATAAAACATTTTAAGGACTTTGGCTTTTAATTATAATCAAAACCATTAGAGAGTTTTGAGGCAATAAAAGACATGTTGTGAATTTACATTTTTAAAATATAACAATGACTTTTGTTTTGAGAGTATACTATAAGATACTAAGGGAAGAGACTGTTGGAGTGATCCAGGTGAAAGGTAATGGTTCTTGTAGTATTGGGGTGGTGGACAGTAATCAGATTTTGAATATATTTTGAATATGGAAGTGACAGCTTTTACTCATGTGTACTGGCTATGGGTGTGAGAGAAAAAGGATTTGGTAATTATTCCAAAGCTTTTGGCCTGAACTTTTACTAAGTTGGGAAAGACCTGGGAGAAGTAGATTTAGTAGAAGCATAAGTCAAGAATTTATCTTGGGACATGTTAAATTTGAAGAGACGTAAATCCTCACGAAAGAGGGGTAGGCAATTCAATTTATAGACCTGGAGTTGAGAGGAAAAGTCTGGACTAGAAATAATACATTTGGGAATTGTTAGCGTATAGTTAATAGTTAAAATCATGAGATGAGAGCACTGAGGAAGTAAATTTAGTAGATGTTGAAGAGAACAGGTCCTCAAAGTTAGAACACTTCAATGTTTAGAATTTGAAGAGATGAAGAAGAACCAGGAAAGAGAACCAAGAAGGAGCAGCCATTCAGAAAGGAGAGCCTTTCTTTCTATCAAAGACACAAATGTGTGTCTCTGAAGCCAAGTAAATCAGGAGCAGTCAGCTTTGTCAGATGATGCTGTTAGGTCAAATAAAATGAGGACAGAGAACTGGATTAGAAAAGTGGAGGTCACTGGTGACTTTTCAAGAGCAGTTTTGGAGGTGCAGTGATGGCCAAAGAGTGATGAGAGAATATGAAAAAAAAAACAAAAACGGAGAACAGTAATTTTGAGGGCTTTTGCTCTACAGGACACAGATAATAATAAGAGGAAACACCTATATAGCATTTACTGCGTGCCAGCCATCCTTCTTAGGGCTTTATGTATGTTAATCCCATTTAATCCTTACAACAGCCTTGTGAGGCAGGAGTATTATTATCTCCACTTTACAGATGAGGAAAATGAGACACGGAAAAGTTAAGTAATGTGACCATATAATCCCTATTTCTGTATTAAGAGCCAATTTATAGCTTCTTTCCAAAACCTCATTTTTAACCTGCATGTATTTGAAGACTTTTCGACAGATCCATTAAAATAATGAAACAATTTACAAATGTAATCTCTTGGAACAGAGAAAGGAACTCTTTTCTCAGATTGGAGCTATACATATGACTTTATCCATGTCACTCTACTGTACTCAAATCACATAGTGGTTTTCCATAATTCTGATGTGTGCTTTCACTTATTGTGACACAGCATTATTTTATTTTTAGTCAACCATCTTTCTATATCAAGCATCTTTATGAAAGCATAAATAGGTCACTAATTGTTTTCATTTTCACTGAATAATTTGTTTGCATTCTCATACTCCATTAGGCCTATATAAAGCATACAAACATTTTTTTCATCATTAATGAATGTATAAGCCTTTATGCCTAACTACATTAAAAATAGACATGAAAATTTTAAACAAGTGATATATTGGAAAAGAACATACTGCTACAGGATAAAAGAAAATAATTTCAACATATGTTACAGAAAATTTTTTAATATTCATGTTTTATAAAGAGTTCCCCAAAGGAATAATTTTTTTACAACTTGTAAGTAGAAACATATGGCATACAGATGTAATAAACATTTCACAGGAGAAATATAGGTGATCAATATTATGCACTTGTCACTAATAATGAAAACAAGGAGATACCAATTTTATCAGATTAGCAAAAGTTCAAAGGATTAAAAATAACTATTTTTTGCCTGAGTATGGGAAAGTGGACACTCTAATACATTGTTGAAATATAAATTTGTAGAAATCTTTTGGGGGGCAAATATGAATATAATCTTTGCTCACTTCCATTACTGAAACTCCATTCTTTAAAATATTTATAGATGTGTTAGAAAAAGTTGTATAAAGATAGAGGAAAATATACACCAAATTGTTAATAGCGGTTATCTCTGAGAATGAGGGAAGGAGGCAGGGAAGGTGATGAGGGGAGTCTTTGACTTCTTATTTGATATTTGAAATTGTTGTATATTGTTTTGAAATTGTTTTATAATTGAAAGTAATTAAGAAAATTAACGGCTGTCTCCACCGTGTAAAATTAATGTTGTTCTTATGTACATCATAACATTGAGTGGGTTTGCGTTATCGTACTGTTAACATGTGATAGTAGAGAGGTCAGAACATTTAAGTACCCTAGGTAATTAGTTTGTGTATAGTGTAGTAGTCTCCAAAGAAAGGAGGGGATGTTGGGAGGCCGAGGTGGGTGGATCACCTGAGGTCAGGAGTTTGAGACCAGCCTGGCCAAAATGGCCAAACCCCGTCTCTACTAAAAGTACAAAAATAAGCTGGGCATGGTGGTGGGTGCCTGTAATCCCAGCTACTCAGGAGGCTGAGGCAGGAGAACTGCTTGAACCTGGGAGCGGAGGTTGCAGTGAGTCGAGATCGCGCCACTGGACAAGAGCGAGACTCCATCTCAAAAAAAAAGAAAAAGGCCGGGTGCAGTGGCTCACGCCTGTAATCCCAGCACTTTGGGAGGCCAAGGCAGGCGGATCACGAGGTCAGGAGATCGAGACCATCCTGGCTAACACGGTGAAACCCCGTCTCTACTAAAAATACAAAAAATTAGCTGGGCGCGGTGGCGGGCTCAGTCCCAGCTACTCTGGAGGCTGAGGAAGGAGAACGGCGTGAACCCAGGAGGCGGAGCTTGCAGTGAGCCGAGATGGCGCCACTGCACTCCAGCCTGGGCAATAGAGCCAGACTCTGTCTCAAAAAAAAAAAAAAAGAGGGGATAGCGGTCTATACACCACAAGAGAAAGTGAAATGAACAATTAGGGTATGTGCAGAAAATGTTAGAACATCTGTTCATATTCAGTTTAAATATCATTTTTTTCCTGCTCTTTTTAAACATACTGTTGTAAAATAAAACACAGACAGGTATGTATATCTTACTGAATTACTGTAAGGCAAACATCCTTGTAACTACCACCTAGTTCAAGTGGTAGAATGTTGCCAGTTACTCCAGAAACCTTTTCCCAATAACAGCTCCTTCCTACATAGTATTTTTTTTTAAATAATTTTTATTACCCAAATGTGCCTTGGTAGAAACTGTAGCTTGGTCTTGCTGTTGTTTAGTTATTTTATTTGACTCACAGTAACTGAGATCTCTCTTTTTAATCTACAGGTTGTTGCTTCTTCTCTTGTGCTTAGAATTTACCTGTAAAGCACTGGATTATTTTACCTGTAGTTTCTTACAGTCTGGATTTTACTTGATCACATATTCATAATGTAATTCAACATAATTTGCTGTCCTCTCTATTTCCTGCAGATTGGCAGCTTAATCTAGCAGCATGTTCAGATTCAAGATTGATGTCTGTTATGTTCTTTTTTCAGGTGGTGCATAATGCCTGGGTTTTGCTCTTATTCTGTGCTAGCAGCCATTTATGCTGGATGCCTAGATCCATTAATTTATTGGAAGCAGCAAAATGGAGATATCCTAATATATTTTTGTTTTTATTTATTTGCTGGAATGATTTTATAAAGGGTCGTTTTCTTTCTTTTACTATTCAGTTACCCAGTGGTATAGTTCATATAGAAAACACATGGAAAAGAATGTTTGATTCTTTTCCTTTTATTTACCTGGTTTTCAAGGTAATGAATATGAAGTGGTGGATTAGATATTACTGATAAGATTTAATACAGTATAATTATTCTCCTTATTAAAGCTCAAATTAGCCCATCTTTGGTCACCAGTGGGGAGTGTTCTTCTTTTGGCTCGTAAGTTTTGTTTTTGAAACAGGGTCTCACTCTGTCACCCAGGCTGAAGTATAGTGGTGCAGTCTCGGCTCACTGCAACCTTCGCCTCCTGGGTTCAAGTGATTCTCCCACCTCAGCCTCTTAAGTAGCTGGACTAAAGGTGCACACCACCACACCCAGCTAATTTTTGTTTTTTGTTTGTTTGTTTTTGATAGAGACGGGGTTTCACCATGTTGGCCAGGCTGATCTCAACCTCCTGACTTCAAGTGATCCACCTGCCTCAGCTTCCCAAAGTGCTGGGATTACAGGCATGAGCCACCACACCCAGCCTCCTAAGTCCTTTTGACATGATCTTGGTCTAGCTTTGATAGCTTTTATGCTATCTAGTATTTTTAAGATGTTTTGCCACAGACATGAAATTAGCCATTTCTCCAAGAAGCCCTTTTAATGGAAAATGATATTTCAAAAATCTCAGTGTGGGTGCTAAGGATGCTTATTCCTACTGGGTTGGTCATTGTTTCTAGGCTTTTTAAGTGAACAGAGTTGGGCATTTGCTAGTTTCTATATCTATATTGAGATACACAGAATATTTTGGTTCTTAGGGCTCAAAGAATTCTACAATTCACATATCCTATAATTATTTACTTGCTTCATGCTATCCTGTAATTAAAGATAGTACTTATAATTACCATATCAGTTATTACTAGAACAATGAAAATTTTTAACTTTATCTCCCATTTTCTTTCTTTTTTCATAGTTGCTCTGAATTTACATTTTCAAGCCATATAGCCACTGCATGTTATAAATTCTCCCCTTTAATTATCATTTAATCATAGTTCCAAAGATAACTACATAGTTAAAGCTCATCACAAATCTTTATAATCTGATTGTGTATTAAACATTTTCTAGTAATATGACTGGCTAAGTGTAAGCATAAAATTACCATCAGAAATCAAATAACGTATTTGATAAGTAGGCTCTTTGGAGGAGTGTGAAATGATGTAATTGTTTGTTGATGTTCCAAGTACGATCCACAGACTGTTGCCAGTCTGTAAACTGTAGTTGGTCCGTGAAGAGACACATGCAGAAATTAAGTGTAAGATTTAGCTACTTTTATAGCAGTCTGACATAAAGCATGTTAGTGTGTTTTGCAAAAGCATCAGTAGCTGACAGATTGGAAACTTAAACAACAAAACATAACTGGTCCTTTTCCACATGTAGTTTGAAAGACACGGTTACACACAATCTCAGCCCTTATCTCTACAATAATTAGGTCTTTCAGATAAGTGGTTTAAGAAACAGATAAATATGAGAGAAACATGTAGATGTGGGCTAATAAAATTTTTACTGAGAAGATGGATGTAAGCTAGACTTTGGTTTGGTTTGGCTTGATTTGGCAGGGAGATATGATCAGAGATATGAGAACATTTTTAACACGGAATTGTGGGCACACAAAACATATCATAAAAATGGCCTGGCTAGAGTAGAAGATTTTTACCAGTTAGGGAGGAGAGATTAAATGGGAATAGTTGTATAAAGGCCTTGGATCCCAAGCTAAACAGCTAAGACATTTTCATACAGACAATAATAGGGAGCCATTCATGCTGCAAAAGAGTACAAGGTACTTTTTTCAATGCCTACGAGGTACTTTTTTCTATGCCTAAGAATCCAATAAATAGCTCTACTCTCTGTTACTTGGGTTCTAGTGAATAATTTATTTATTAGATTTATAGTACAGTATTAATAAGTGATATGAAGAAAAGCAAAATAAGGTATTTTAAATTAAGGTGGTCAAAGTGTATTTTTCTAGACATTGGAATTAATAACATTTGTGTCCCTGAAGGCTATAATACTTGTTCTCTCGTTTTATCTTACCCAACTCTAGGAATGCCTTGGGAACTGCCCCTTCAGTCTAGATATCTATAATTTAAAACTTGAGTTCCTACATATTTCTGAATATGTTATTTTTTAAACTTGTTTTTCTACTAACATTGTATCTTGATTGGCTTCTCTGTTTATTGGGTTTGGTATATCTCTCTAATGGTATTAGCTTTCCACAAATACTTGATGATTTTTGGTTATGTACTGTCTTTTGTATTTGTGATTTCTGGTTCACTTGGTTGCGAATGCTGTTTCTCTTTACTGTAGCCTGCCTTATGTGATGGTTAAGGTGGGAAGGAATACAAAGCCAGCTACAATGTGCCTATAGTTTGCCTCTTTCAGTTTGGGGTTCTCCATTCATTCCTTCTGAAGATTACCCTTAATTCTAAATTTTTGGACCTACTGTCCACAATTGCTGTTTTAGACAGGCTTCACACTTTCATTTCCTATAGTTGAATCCAGTTGGAGTGGGATTATGGGACTGTTCGGAGTTAATTACCACAGCTGCTCCCTACCTGATTATCCTGACAGTAATTTGCAGGCCTCTCTTAATTATTTTATCTATGGTAACTGAACTCGTACCTGAAAATTTCTTTTCTGTTTTTTACCTCCACATAGAGCAGTCTCTTTCCTACGTAGTTTGGGCTGTGGTTTTATGAATTTTTTTTCCTCTCAGTAAATCTAGTCTTACCACTTTATATCTTTAAGGATTCCTCAAAATGTCTGGTCCATTGATAACATATGTTCATATGTTATAGATTGTTTTTAAGTATTACAGATTCTTTTGCTTTATGTATATCTTCCCTAATGTATATCTTCTCTAATGTTTTATGAGGTTGGGAGCAGATAGGCTAATAGGAGTATATATTTACCCTTGCATCATTTAGGCTCAGTCTTAACATCTTGATCCAAACTTCTAATTGATGTCCTTTAAAACATGCTTTTTAATACTCTGATAATAGTGTACTAAAATAATGTTGATTATTGCTAGTCAAAGGCAGCCATGCAAATTAATATACACTGTTGCATTTGACCATTTATGTATTACCTTACCTAACAGATTAATAAGATTTTATTTCATTAGAAGTTATTGATACTATAAAGTATTTGTTCTAGGAAGACAATGATAAAATCTAGTTTATATTTTATTAATAAGTTCTATCTTCTGATTAAATGAATGGTAGGTGGTAAAAGCGTGCCTCCTGTATTAGGTTACTTGTAGAATCTTTTAAATAAAGAAGCAAAATGGTTTCAAGGTAAATTAGCATCTAAGAAATGTATTTTTATTCTACCCATTCTCTCATTAGTGTAGGTTAGCTATTCAAATTGGGTCATTTAGTTTGAAAACTCTCACTCATTCTTCAAGGCACAATTCAAATGTTATTCTCCGGGGTCTTCTAAACTCTCTAAGAATTGTTCTCTATTATATACTCTCATGATGTTTCTAATGTATTATATTAGTTATAGGACGTCTCATTATGTTGTAAATATTGCTTTATTGGGTTCCTTTTCACCAAACTCTGAATTCCTCCATGTTTTATTCATGTTTGTGATGTTAGCATCACAGTTACTTAGTAAATGGATTGTAATACTTTTAGGAATGGTAAAATGAATACTAAGGAAAAGGTCTCTGATTTCTGAATTCTTGGTTCCTATTCCAAAGAGTCAGTTCTAGTCATAAATTGTGGGAAATCCTGAGATCCATTTTACTTTAGATTAAAGAATTTTAATAAGACATTTCAGTTTGGTTTAAAATTTGTTCTTTATTTTTATTTGGTAATAAGTACCATTTGGGTTTCTAATTAGTATTCGGTTCTTTGCAACCTTTGAAAATGCAATGTTTAGTTTTAAAAATAGAATCCTATTTTTAAAATATATCTCTAACAAAGCCCATAAATTTAGATTTATCATGTTTTTATTCATTTTTTTTGAAGGATCAGAGTAACAATGAAATTATGATTGGAGTGATGTCAGGAGGAATTCTGATTTATAAGAACAGGGTACGAATGAATACCTTTCCATGGTAAGAACATCTATTGATACTTTTATGTTTACCACTGTATTACTAAATATAATAATTTATATTAAAGGCAGTGGCTGTTGAACTATTTTAATGTTGTCATTTTACTTGTGAGATAAACTTTATACTTTATCCCACTTAGTTAGCACCTACCAGAAGACACCAAAATGGTTTATTTCAAAATTACTTTTTAAAAATTATTACTTATGAGTTTTTCTTTTATGGAATTTTTGAAAGATGATCAGAGCTTTCCAGTCTTTTTAGCAGAGATTTGCCCCCAGGGCAAATTGTTTTACCAGCATCTAACCAATATGGGTTTTATCAGAGTTTAACCAAAGTAGGAGAATGGAAATACCCAATTTAGACCCCTCCTGCTTTCTTGTCTCACCTAAGGAGGGGTTGACCTGAGAAGCACCGAAGATCGCAGCCAAGAGGCACAGACCACTAAACCACTAAGACCTAATTACAGGATGAAAGAATGATTCCTCCCTGTCCCACACCTTACTGCCACATCAACATGGCTCATAAATAATAACAGGGAATCACAACTAAAATAACTGTAAGGCTCAGATTGTTTAGGAGTCCCTTAGGGAAACCTGAAGACAGCAAGGATGTGAAAAACAAAGATAGAGAAAATTACAACCTCTGACACCTACGGTTTGTACACAAACATTAAACATAGTCTTATGCCTTGCCAGGTCTACATAAAACTTCACACCAAAGGCATATTTATTTCTTTCTTTTACCCAGTATATCATATCCAGCATTTAGCAAAAAATTACAAGACGTGTCGAAAGGCAGTAAACACAATTTGAAGAAACAAAGCAAGGATGAGAACCAGACCCAGATATAGAAGAAATTTTGGAAGTATTATACCAGAAATTTAAAATAACTGTAATTAATATACTAAGGGAAAAGTATATGGAAAAAGTGTGTAACGTACAAGAACAGACGGAAATGTAAGCACAGAGATGGAAACCTTATGAGAAAGAATTAAACAGGAGTGCTAGAAATAAAATGCATTGCAACAGAAATGAAGAATGCCTTTGGTCTTATCGGTAGATTATACACAAGAAAAAAATGAGTGAGCTTGAAGATATGTCAATAGAAACTTCAAAAACCGAAAAGTGATGGGAAAAAGGAATGAAAGAACAGTATTTAAGATATGTGATGGGAATAAAGAGAGAGAAGATCAGAAGAAATAAATATCTGAAAAAATAGTGGCTGATAGTTTTCCAAAATTCATGACAGCCACCGAATCACAGATGCAGAAAGTTCAGAGAATACCTAGCAGGTTAAATAACCCAAAAATCCACACTTACACACTATCATAGTCATGCTGCAGATAATCAGAAAATCTTTTAAAAAGCAAAGCATAAAAAGCACATTTAACCTAGAGGAACAAGGTAAAAAATATGTTGTATTTCTCTTCAGAAACCATGTAAGCAAGAAGAAACTGGAGTGAAATATTTTGGTTAAAGTGTTGAAAGAAAAAACCCACCAACCTGGAAGTCTGTAGCAAAGTTATCCTTCAGAAGTGAACGAGAAATAAAGACTTTCACACACACAAACAAAAATTGATTGAATTTGTTACCAGTAGACCTGCCTTGTGAGAAATGTTAAAAGAAGTTCTTCATAGAAAAGGAAAATAATATAAGACAGGAATCTGGATCTACAGAAAGAAAAGAAAGCAGAGAGGGGACTTCAAGATGGCTGACTAGAGTCACGGAGGCACTTGTGTCTTCCACAAAGAAGGACCAGATCAGCAAGTAGATAAACACACAATGAATAGGACATTTAAAAGAGAACAGAAGAATTCAACAAGGAAGTGACAGGGAACCTCTGAGACACAGAAGGAGAGGGAAGCAAAGTAGCCAGCCTAGCCAGGATCACCTGAGAGCCAGGAGGAATTGCCCATTGCAAGGAAAAGGTAAGCAAGAGATCCTCAATAGTTCACATTTGCACCAAAGATTACTGCAGTCCTTCTTATATGAGAGAGGCCCTTGACCCTCATGGGCCGTGAGACTAGCATAGGGAGCTGCCTGAAGTCCACACCATGGCATTGTTTCAGAGAGGGAGTTTGCACTCCCTCTACACACCCCCTAAGACCCAGGCAGTTGCAACACAATGCCATTTTGAGAGCTCAGACCCCATCAGAATACATCCTGCAGTGAGGCCCAGTAGCTCCTGCATTTCCCCACTGACAACCCTCCATGTCCACACAGAGGGCTGCAAAGTTGCAAGACTTAACTGCACCCAGGATACAGCTAGGTCCTCGAGACTGTATCTCGTGCAGTGTCCTTCACCCTGGGGAATGGGCAGTGCAGTGTGCCAGGGAGGCTGTACCTGTCATAAAGGGAGATGAAGCATGTGCTCACCACAGCCTCAGAGTTGCCTGCACAGGGACATTACCATTGACAGCAACTCACATCCTCCGGCAGCAAGACCACTGTACAGCTGCATGTGCCTTTGGGGGGCTAAGTAAGGACTGGCCTATCTGAGCACACCTTCCAGGGACATTTATATGCCCTGTCCACCGTCACCAGTGATAACATCAAGGGCCTGAACAGAGGACCATCCCAGCTGCTGGCACCTGTATATGTTATTCATGAACCTAGAGATTGACCCACTTAGAACTGTGAGGGCCCTCACGTGACATCCAAGGGCCTGACGATAGATGTGCCTCGCCCTCAGCTACCACCTCCAGACACTGTTGGAGTCTAGGCATTGGCTGGCCATACCTGCAGCTGCTGACACACACACACACACACACACACACACCTTTCAGGGGCTCAATAATGGACCTACCTTGCCTGCCACTGGCACCTGTGGGCACTTCCCAGGGGCCCAGGGACTGGCTCGTCCACCCTGCCTCTACCACTATTGTCCCCCACATGCATAGCTCAGGACCCCAAGGGATAGCCCACTGATACTGCTGACACCATGCATACCACCTGGAGACCCAAGGACTGGCATGCCCAGCCTGCCATCACCACAGCTGGTGCCCATGAACCAGCCTACCTGGCATTTCCATCCCCAATACAGCTTCACCACAACCTCTACACCCTAAGCCACTGAGGAACTCACAGACACCTCTGACACTGATTAGAGCCAAATAAATAATGTGAAGACTATGCTACTGCACCCATCCAGAATCAAAGCCAAAGCACCCTATCCAGCCAACACTATAGGTACATCACAAGAAAAAGTTTGTTCCTATGACAGCCAATTCATAAAATTGGAAGAAGCACCTGTTACACCAGATGTGCAGATATCAACGTATAAGGACAGAAGAAATAAATGCCTGAAAAATAAAATAATGATATTAAAGAAATGCAATGATATATGACAGCTTGACAATACAGAGATATCAAGAAAACCATTCATAATCTGAATGAGAAATTCAACTGAGAGATATTTAAAAAAAAAAGCCAACAAATTTTGGAACTGAGTTCAGTGAATGAAATAAAAAATACAATAGAAAGCATCAACAATAGACTAGATTAAGCAGTAACAATAATTTCTGAACCCGAAGACAGGTCTTTGGAAATAACCTAGTAATTTTTTAAAAGGCTAAAAAAGCCTGAATGACAAATGGAACACTGTAAAGCAGCCAAATATTTGAATTTTGAAAATTTCAGAAGAGTTGGGCAAAGGCATAAAAAAAAAACCTATTTAAGAAAATACTAGCTGAAAGCTTCCCAACTCTTGCAAGACGTAGAGACGTTAAGATACCAGAAGCTCAAAGAACCCCACAGACATTCAACCCGAAAAGGTCTCCTCCAAGGCACTTCATAGTCAAATTTTTAAAAATCAGAGACAGAAGTCTAAAAAGAGCAAGAGGAAAGGATCAAGTCACACATAAGGGAATCTCCATCAGACCAATGGCAGATTCCTAATCAAAAACCTTACAGGCCAGGAGCGAATATGGTGGTATATTCAAACTGCAGATAAACCAGTAGAAATGCTGACTGAGGATACATCACCCAAGCAAATCTACCCTTCAGAAGTGAAGTAGAAATAAAGTCTTTCTGAGATAGGCAAAAACTGAGAGAATTCATCACCACTAGATGGATCTCACAAGAAATGCTTAAGGGAGTCCCTACATCTGGAAGTGAAAGGATGCTATGAACTATCATGAAAACACACAAAAGTATAAAATTCCCTGACAGAGCAGATAAGATATATCTAGAGTAGATGAGAAAAAGAAAGGAGTCAAAGGTTATTACTACAAAAAAAAAAAAAACAAATAATCAAGGGAAACAATAAGAGGATGAAAGGAATAAAGGATGTACAAAACAATCAGAAAACAATTAGCAAAATAACAAGAATAGATCTTTACTTAACAACATTGAATGTATATGGTTTAAGTTCCCGTTAAAACTTAGACACTGGCTGAATGGATGTAAAAAAAGAAGACCGAATTCTATGCTACCTACAAGAAACTCAACTTCACCTGTAAAAAGCACAATAGACTAAATGTAAAGGGAAGGAAAAATCCCATGTAAATGGAAACCAAGAGCGTACAGAAGCAGTTATTTTAGACAAAATATACTTTGTAAAAAACCATAAAAAGAGACAAGGTCAATATCAAATGATAAAGGGATCAATTCAGCGAAAGGATATAACAATTGTAAATATGTACCTAATACTGGAGCACCCAGATATATGAAGTAAATATTGTTAAAGATAGAGAAACAGACTCCAATACAATAGTAGTTGGGGACTTCAGCACACCAGATTCACCACTGGACAGATCATCTAGACAGAAAACAAACATTGGACTTAATCTGCACGGTAGACCAAAGGAACCTAATAAACATTTAAACAACATTTTATCCAACAGCTGCAGAATATGCATTCTTCACCTCAGCACGTGAAACACTCTTCAGAAAAGACCATATGTTAGGCCACAAAACAAGTCTCAAAAAAATTTTTAAATAGTAATTATATCCAGTATTTTCTCACACCACAATGGAATAAAACTAGAAATCAATAACAAGGAACTTTGGAAACTGTACAAATACATGGAAATTAAACAACACTCTCCTGAAAGACTGTTGGGTCAATGAAGAAATTAAGGCAGAAATAAAAAAAATTATTGAAACAAAAACAGCAACATAACATACTAGAACCTGTGAGATACAGCAATAGCATTGCTAAGAGAGCTATTTATAGCAATAAATGCTTACATCAGAAAAGTAGAAAGAGCTCAAATAAACAGTTTAATGATGCATCTCAAGGAACTAGAAAAGCCAGAACAAACCAAGCCCCAAATTTAGTCGAAGAAAAAGCAATAAAGATCAGAGCAGAACTAAATCAAGTAGAGACTGTAAAAATAATACAAAGGATCAACAAATTGAAATTTGTATTTTTTGAAGTGATAAAAATCAACTAACAACAAAAAAAGAAAAAATTATCTAGGTGTGGTGGCACATGCCTGTAGTCCTGGGTACTCGGGAGACTGAGGCAGGAGGATCACTTGTGCTCAGGAGTTCATCCTGAGTGACAGTGTGAGACCTGTCTGAAAAAAAAGAAAAGACAGAAAAAAACTACCAGCCAGTATTCCTAATGAATATAGATGCAAAATTCCTCAACAGAATACTAGCAAAGCAAATTCAATAATACGTGAAAAAGAAACATTTTTCACGTATCTACACGTGATCAAGTGGAGTTTATTTCCAGGATGCAAGGATAGTTTAACATACAAATATCAGTAAGTGAAATACTTTATTACATCAACAGATTGAAAACCAAAAACCATGCAGTCATCTCAGTAGACACATAAAAAGCATTTGATAAAATTCAACATCCCTTCATGATAAAAACTCTCAACAAATTAGGTGTAGAAGAAACATATCTTGACACAATCAAGGCCATAAGTGACAGTTCCACAGCTAACATCATACAGAACAGGTCAAAGCTGAAAGCTTTTCTTCTAAGAACTAAAAGAAGACAAGGATGCCCACGCTGACCACTCTTATTCAACATAGGACTGGAAGTCCTAGCCAGAGCAGTCAGGAAAGAGAATGAAATAAAGGCCATCCATATAGGAAAACAGGAAGTCAAATTGTTCCTCTTTGCAGAAAACCTGATCATAAAGAAAAGCCTGAAGACTCCACTGAAAGTCTCTTAGAACTATTAAGTGAATTCCGTTAAGTTGCAGGGAACAAAATTAATGTACAAACATCTGTTACGTTTCTGTACACCAATAATAGCTGGAAAAGAAATCAAGAACGCAATCTCATTTACAGTACCTACCAAATGTTACACTTAGGAATAAACCAAGGAGGTGAAAGATCTCTACAACAAAAACTACAAAACACTGATGGGAAAAAATTGAAGAGAACAGAAAAAAAGTAGAAAAACATCTCATACTCATGAATTAGAAAAATTAGTACTGTGAAAATGACCACACTACCCAAAGCATTCTACAGATTCAATGCAACATCTGTCAAAATATCAATGACATTCTTCACAGGCATAGAAAAAGCAGTTTCAAAATTCATATGGGTGGGGAGCCAAGTGGCTCACACCTGTAATCCTAGCGTTTTTGGAGGCCAAGGCAAGAGGATTGCTTGAGGCCAGGCATTTAATACCAGCCTACACAACATAGCAAGACCTCGTCTCTATAAAAAATATTTTTAAAAATTAGCTGGGCATAATGGCATGTATTTGTAGTCCTAGCTACTCCGGAAGCTGAGGTGGGAGGATCACTTGAGCCCAGCACTTTAAGGGTTACAGTGGGCTATGATCATACCACTGCACTTCAGCCTGGATGGCAGAGTGAGACCCTTTCTCTATTAAGAAAAAAAAAAATATTGTATGGAACCCTAAAAGATCCTGAATAGCCAAAACAATACTGAGTCAAGAGGACAAAGATGGAAGACATCAAATTATCCTGTGAAGCTACAGTATTCACAACAGCATGGTACTGGTATTAAAATAGACACATAGACCCAACAGAACAGAATAGAGAACATAGAAATAAATCCACGTATTTACAGCCAACTGAATTTTGACAAAGGCACCTAGAACATAGAGTAGGGAACAGACACCCTTTTCCATAAATGGTACTGAGAAAACTGGGTATCTATTGCAGAAGAATGGAACCAGACCCTTATCTCAGTATATAAAAAATCAGCTCCAAATGGATTAGAGAGTTACACGTAAGACCTGAAACTATAAAACTGCTAAATGAACATAGAGGAAATGCTTCAGAATACTGATCTAGGCAAAGATTTTATGGGTAGGTCTTTAAAAGTACAGGCAACAGAAAGAAAAATAGTCAAATGGGACTATCAAACTAAAACGCTTTTACATAGCAAAGGAAACAATCGACAGAGTATAGAGACAACCTATAGAACTGGAGAAAATATTTGCAAATTGTACATCCAACAAGGGCCTGGTATCCAGAATAACAAGGAACTGAACAGCAAAAGCCAGCCCAATAATTCATTTTTTAAAATTGACATTTCTCAGAAAAAAGACATGCAAATGGTCAAATTGAAGGTTTGTGGCAACCCTGCATCAAACAACTCTGTTGTTGCCATTTTTCTGCCAGCATGTGCTCACATTGTGTCTTTGTGTCATATTTTGGTAGTTCTCACAATAATTCAAAGTTTTTTATTGTGTATGTTATTGTATCAGTGATCTTTGCTCTTAGTATTATAATTGTTTTGGCATGCCACAAACCACACCCATATAAGACAGCTAACTTAAGTGATAGATATTGTATTGTTTGTTCTTTCTGCCCCACTGACTGGCCGTTTCTGTCTCTCTTCCTCTCCTTGGAACTCCCTGTTCACTGAGACACAACAATATAGAAATTAGACCAATTAATAACCCTTCAGTGGTCTATAAGTGATCAAGTGCAAGGAAGAGTTGCACTTCTGTCACTTTCGATCAAAAATTAGAAATGATTAAGTTCAGTGAGGAAGGCATGTCAAAGTCAAGATAGACCAACAGCTAGGCCTCTTGCACCAATTAGCCAAATTGTGAATGCAAAGGATAAATTTTTGAAGGAATTGAAAGTACTACTCCATTGAACACCCAAATGATACAAAAGTGAAACAGCCTTATTGTTGATATGGAGAGTATCTTAGTGGTGTGGATACATGAAACCAGCCACAGCATTCCCTTAAGCTTAATCCAGAACAAGGCCCTAACTCTCTTTAATTATGTGAAGACTGAGAAGAGAGGTGAGAAAGCTGCAGAAGAAAAGTTTGAAGCTAGTGCAGGTTGGTTCATGAGGCTTAAGAAAAGAGGTCATCTCCATACATAAAAGTTCAAAGTGAAGCTGCAGGTTATACAGAATATCTAGCTGTCTGGCTAAGTGATGAATGGCTACACTAAACAACAGGTTTTCAATGTAGATGAAACAGCCTTCTATTGGAAGAAGATGCCATCTAAGACTATCATAGATGAAGTTAATACCTGGCTTCAATGTTTCAAAGGACTGACTGACTCTCTTGTTGCGGAATAAAGTTGAAGCCAGTGCTCATTTACCATTCTGTAAATGCTAGGTCCTAAATCTACCTTACCTGTGTTCTAGAAATGGAACGTCAAAGCCTGGATGACCACACATCTGTTTACAGCATAGCTTACTGAATATTTTAAGTCCATTGTTAAGTCCTACTGCTTAGAAAAAGATTCCTTTCTGAATATTACTGCCCATTGACAATGAATGCACCTTGCCACCCATGAGCTCTGTTAGAGATGGCAAGGAAGTTGATGCTTGCTGTCACAATATGAATTCTGTAGCTGATAGATCAAGGAGTAATTTTGACTTTCAAATCTTTTTTAAGAAACATATTTTGTAAGGCTGTAGTGGCCATTGAGGATGATTTCTCTGATGGATCTGGGAAAAGTAAGTTGAAAACCTTTTGGAAAGGATTTACCATTCTAGATGCCATTGAGAACATTCATGATTCATGGTAGAAGGTCAAAGTAGCAACGTTAACCGGAATTTTGAAGAAATTGATTCCAACCCTCATAGATGACTTTGAGGGGGTTAAGACTTCAGGGGAGGAAGTAACTACAGGTGGGGTGGAAATAACAAGAGAACTATTATTAAAAGTGGAGTCTGAAGATGGGGTAGGGGATGAATTGCTGCAATCTCATGATAAAACTTGAATAGATGAGGATTTGCTTCTTATGGATGAGCAAAGAAAGTGATTTTTTGAGATGGAATCTACTATTGGTGAAGATGCTGTGAGCATTGTTTAAATGACAACAAAGAATATAGACTATTTCATGATAAAGCAGCAGCTGGGTGAAGAGGATTGACTGTTTTGAAAGAAGTTCTAGTGTAGGTAAGTGCTATCAAATAGCATTTGGCAATGTGGTCTTGCCACATTGTGGCAAGACCCTCCACCAACAAAAGATTACAACTCCTGAGGGCTCAGATGATCATTAGAATTTTTTATAAATTACTCTGATTTTTTATTATACAACTTGTTTTCATTATAGTATATCGAACTCTTAATAGACTACAGTATAGTGTAACCATAACTTTTATATCCACTGAGAAACCAAAAAATAGTGTGACTCACTTTATCACAGTATTCGCTTTAGTAGTCTGGAACTAAGCCCTCAGTATCTCTAAAGTTTGGCTGTACCAATATCCAGAATGAAAGGGGATAGCATTACAGACCCTACATACATTAAAAGCATAATAAAATCATATTGTGAGCAGATTTGAATGTTTGAATATTGATATGGTTTGGCTCTGTGTCCTGCCCCCTCCTCCACTAATCTCACCTTGACTTGTAGTCTCCATAATCCCCATGTGTCAAGGGTGGGACCAGGTGGAGGTAGTTGAATGATAGGGACAGTTTCCCCCATTGTGTTCTCATGATAATGAGTGAGTCTCATGATATCTGTTGGTTTTATAATCATCTGGCATTTCCCCTGCTTGCACTTCTCCTTCCTGCTGCCTTGTGAATAAAGTACCTTGCTTGCCCTTTGCCTTCTGCTGTGACTGTAAATTTCCTGAGGTCTCCCCAGCCAGGCTGAACTGTGAGTCAATTAAACCTCTTTCCCCAATAAATTACCCAGTCTCGGGCATGTCTTTATTAGCAGTGTGAGAATGGACTAATACAAGTACCATTAATAAATTTCACAACGTAGATTAAATGTGCAAATTCCTTGAAAGACACAAATTAAAAAATGACCTGAGAAGAAAAGAAACTTGAATAGATCTGTATCTATTAAAGAAGTTGAAATTATAATTAGAAACCTTTTGAACATTAGAACTCCAGGCCCCTTGTTGTGAATTCTATCGAACATTTAAAGTAGAAGTGAGGCCAATTTTACATAAGCTCTTTTAGACAATAAAGAAGGAACATGGTTTATGTGATTATTACCTTGATGTTAAAACCAGACTTAAGACCTTACAAGGAAAGAAAACTGCAGTTACTCATGAACATAGATGCAAAAATACCTAATAAAAGTTTAGCAAATTCTATCCAGTAATATATAAAAATGACAATTCATCATGTTCAAATGGGGGTTATTTTAAGAATATAAGGTTGCTTTAACATCTGAAAGTCAGTCAGTATAATTAACCATACTGTTATAATAACATAGAAAAACCATTTGAGCATTTCAATAGATGCAGAAAAAGAATTTGACAAAATTGACCATTCATGATTTAAAAAAATAAAGACATAGCTAACTATAAATACAAGGCACTTTCTATTTTGATTAAGGGCATCTACAAAAAATCTGCTAATATTATACAAAATGGTGAAAGTCTCAATGCTTTTTATATAAGATGAGGAAAATATATGCTTCATCTCACTACTTCTCTTCAGCTTTGTACACCAGGTCCTTACTAGTGTTTTAAAAAAAGAAAAAGGAAAAAGGAATAAAAGGCAAACAAATGGGGAAGAAAAAAGTATAATGGCTTTCCTTGTAGATAAGAATATATATATAGATTGGCTGAAAATAAAGAGATAAAAAAGGTATACCATGCAAGTAGTAAGCATTAAGGAGACTAGAATGACTGTATTATTATAATATATACAATGGTCCAACCAGTCTAGAAAACTGTTCTGTAGTTTCTTAAAAAGTTAGAAATATGTCTACCATATGACCTAGCTGTTTCACTCCTACCTGGTATTTGACCACCAGAAATTAAAGCAAATGTTTGTACAAAGACTTGCACACATGTGTTCAAAGTGACTTTATTTGTAATAGCCGAAAACTAGAAACAACTTAAATATTCATCATGAAGTGATGGCTATTTCCATCCATGTTGTGGTATATCCATAGAATGGAATGCTCCTCAGCAAAGTGGAGAAAAGATTTAGTGAAAAACACAATGCAGATGAATCTCTAAATAATTAAGCGGAGTGACAAGACAGATGAAGAAAAATACATACTGTATGCTTCCATTTATATAAATTCTAGAAAATTCTATCTGTAGGGACAAAAAGTTGGTCAGTGGTTACGTAGGCGGGATGGGTTGCTGTGTTGGAGTTCTAGAGGAGGATCACTGTGTGGCGGAAGGAATCTTTTGGAAGTGATAGATATGTTCACTATCTTGACTGTGATGATGGTTTGATAAGTACACATGTATGTCACACTTACCAAAGTATATACTTTAAATATGTGCATTTTGCATGTCAGTTATACATAATAAAATGCTTAAAAGGGAAAATGAAAAGATGCATTGGTGGTATAATGATGAGCCTAGCTGCTTTCCAAAACCATGTGAAAGTTAATCAGTAAAACAGTATAAAATAGTTATATGATTACATAATTGGCATTCCAGTAGAAACAGAAAACTTTGGACAAGTAGCAAAAAAAATTATGGTAGAGATAAATCCAAGTATGTTAATTATTATCGAAACTGTAAATATGTTGGATATTCATATTGAAAACATCAAACTGAATTTTTAAATCACTATTGATATAATCTATGTACCATAAATTTGCCTATTAAAGTATACAGTTTAGTGGTTTGTGGTATAGTTTCAGGGGCAGCATCACCATAATCTAATTTTGAATCATTTATATTACCCCTAAAAGATAACCTTGTAATTATTAGGAGCCATTTCCTGTTCTTTTCTATGCTTTTTATTTGCCAGAAGTCTTAGGCAATCACTAATCACTATCATATATCTCTATAGATATGCCTATTCTATATATTCTATTAATATTGAATGAGATCATGTACTGTGTGGTCTTTTGTGATTGATTTTTTTCATTCATTTTTGAGGTTCATCCGCATTGTAGTATGTATCAGTTTTGCTTTCCCCTTTATTGCTGAATAATTTTCCATTTTATGGTTATACCACATTTTGATAACCAGTTCACCAGTTTTTTCCCCTTTTTGGCTGGTGAGAATTATGTTGCTCTGAACATTTGTACAAGTTTTTGTGTGGACATGTTTTCATTTTTCATGAGTGTATATATCTAGGAGTGGAATACCTGGGTTTGCTAAACTGTTTTCAAACGTGGCTGCATCATTTTACGTTCCCACCAGCATTGCATGTGGGTTTAATTTCTCCAGATTCTCACCAGCACTTGTTATCTGCATTTTTATTATAACCATTCTAGTGAGTATAAAGTAGTATCTCATTGTAGTTTTTATTTGCATTCCCCTGCTGGCTAATGATAATGAGTGTCTTTTCAAGTACTTATTATTGTTTCATATATTTTGGATTATTCAAACTGGATTTTTAAAAATCAATCTGAGCCAGATGCAGTGGCACACACCTATAGTCCCAGCTACTCAGGAGGCTGAGGCAGGAGGATCACTTGAGCCTAGGAGTTTGAGGCCAGGCTGGGCAACATAGCGAAACCATGTCTGTAATAGGATACATTTTAAGATGGCAAAGGCAAACCTTAAACTGAAATGTAAAGTCATTGTAAAACCTCTGATGTCAAGTGAAAAATGCGTAGTATGTCTAATGATTTATTAACTACAGAAAGGAATTGTTCCAGTTAAAAAAAAATCAATCTTTATACTGTTTACAAGAGACATACCTAAAATGTTATACAAAATGACAGAAACATTGAAAAAGATAAACCAGGCATATAGAAGCCAAAAAAACGGTTATGGCTATATTACTGCTATATAAAATAGATACTGTTTGAAAGATTTTTAATTTATACATTGGTATTTTTCTGAAAAAACTTTGTAGCAAATACAAGTCACACACAATACATTTATAAGAAAATAAAAGTTATACAAAATATATATTATGCCACAGAGAGCATTCAGTGAAAAGATTTTTATTCATTGATTGATACCTTCCTGGGAATTTTTGAAATTAAAGTGATTTGAAACTGGCCTAGATTTCCTTTCTCTTGATCATTTAGAAATGAACAGTGTTTTTTGTTGTTTAACTTCTGAAATATCAGTGTGTCTTCATAAGATTTTTTGAATTGAGGCACCTGGCTTTTTTCCATAAATACAGTCAATAGTTACTCAATTTTTTTTTTTTTTTTTTTTTTTTTTTTGCTTCTGGAAATAATGCCCTCTCTCTATGACAGAATATTTTTCCCATGTCGAGTGAAAGCTCAGTATCCAAAAGTAAAATACAAAGTTTTCAAATCAGAAACCTAAACATGTCTCTTCTTCCCTATTCCAAACATGCATGCTTGAAAAGTTGACTCATGCATTTGCCTCTTCAAGTGATTAAAGTGTGAGAAGTTTATTCTTTGAGAATGCTGAGAGCTTCTTGGATAGATAGGGCCATAAGCCATAAAGATTAAGACTTAGAATTATCATGAAAATATTTACTTAGAAGACTGAGACAGGATCCTGAAGGACATTTTTCTCAGTAAGAAAGATCAAATCTCTTTAGCCTTATTACCCTTATGTCTTAAAGTTTACAAAGACTGTGTTTACTGTGTTACTTATTTTATGGTTTCAATGAGACAAAATGACTTGGCTCATATTGATTGTACTAATAAGGCTTTGAGAACGCTTATGGCATTATGTGGGTTGCGTTTAAGAAGAAGGGTGGTGTACAAAGGTAAATTTTTAAAATTTAATGCTTTTTAAAATTAAAAGTGTTTTTAGGGTTGTTGCATAAAGTAATGAAATCTTACATTTTTCCAAGGCTTGCTTATAGTTTTAGAGAGTAAACAACTAAGTTAGTGATAGTTTTTGAAATTTTAATTTGTGACATCTGTTTTTAAGTATTTCTGTAGATACAAAATTTTCCTCAGTTGAACACAAATACTAATTATTTTTTCCATGAAGCAAGAAAAACTTTCAATTCTTTATGTACTATGTGTATGTATATATGATAAAATGTTTAGATATTACTAAATATACACTTAAAACATTTTTTCATAATTTGTTAATATTTTTATCATTATTCAATACTTTGAATAATTTATTGTCTTTTGTCCAGGTTGAAGATTGTAAAAATTTCTTTTAAGTGCAAACAGTTTTTTATTCAACTTAGAAAAGAATTGGTGAGTACGGATTTAATAATTATTGACATAAATGAAGCCTTTTAAGAAATACCCATTCATGACAGAACTTTTCTATTATTAGTACAAGTGAAAGTGCAATTAATACTGTGGATAACTGCCCGCTGAGGTAATGAATTCACTTGTTATAACAAAATGTACTTGTTTTTCCAGTGTGTATGTGGTTCTAATTTAAAGTTCTTCTAGATATTCCTCTTGCTGTTTCTCGAGCTTAGAAACTGATTTCTCACACATGATGTTCATTGAAAACCTCAGGGTCCATTTTTGAAGGGCAGCAAATGAGCATTTCATATATCCCTTTTTCCCTACTAAATCTATAGTACTTACTTTCGTATATAAGTTCATTTTATTTTAGGGGAGCTGAGTGTTACAAGTTCATGAACTTATAACACATTGCCTCCCTTTGTTGGAGTGGTAATGGCTTTATATATTATAAATAACAAATTGAGTTGTCATGGAAAGTACAGTGTTGGAAATAATTTCATCTTGTTAATGATTTTGTCTGTTTCATTAAATCAAACTAACCTTATCCTTTGATGTACATTATTTCTTAGAAATCTGAGAAGTCTTGGCAAATTCATGCAGATTTCAAGATGGTTGTGTGTGTATGTGTGTAAAATGTATTTGAAACCATAAAAATGTCTTTGGGGCTGTCCTCAGTGGCTCAATCCTGTAATCCCAGCACTTTGAGAGGCTGAGGTGGGAGGATCCCTTGAGGCCAGGAGTTCCAGACCAGCCTTGGCCACATAGTGAGACACTGTCTCTACAAAAAAAAAATGGAAAAAAAAAATTGGCCAGGTGTGATGATGTGTGCCTCTAGTCCCAGCTACTCAGGAGGCTGAGGTGGGAGGCTCTCTGGAGCCCAGGAATTCAAGGCTGCAATGAGCTATCATCACACCATTGCACTCCAGCCTGGATGACATAGGGAGGCCCTGTCTCAAAAAAAAAAAAAAAAAAAGCCTTTGGGTACAGTGGTGGCTTCTACCTGTTATCCCAGCTACTTGGAAGGCTGAGGTGGGTGGATAGGTTGAGCCCAGGAGTTCAAGGCTGCAATGAGCTGATTGTGCCACTGTAGTCCAGCATGGGCAACAGAGCAGGACACCACTGCCTCTTGAAAAATAAAGAAAGTCTTTGAATCAGCTCTGTTGTATTGGTCTACTACGTGATTATAAACTATGGTTTATCGTTTATGTTCATAAAATACAGAGGGATTTTTTTCAAGAGAATTTTTATTGAAATAAAACATAATACCAAAAATGTGCATATTTTAAGTACACAACTTGATGAAGTGAACATATCCATATCAGCACCTCCAAGATATGTAGTATATGTACCGCCTTCTAATATGTAGAACTTTACCAGCACCCCAGATGCTTGAAATGTTGCTGCTGGAGCTGATGCCCACTTCCAGTCATTAAGCCTCCTGGAAGGTAAACATTACTCTCATTTGTATGACCATGGATTAGTTTGCTTATATTTGAACTTTAAAAATTGAAATTATACAGTTGTTGTCTTTACTGTCTGCCTTCTTTCCCTTAATATTTTTTGTGAGATTCATCCATGTTGTTGCATATAACATTAGTTCGTTCCATTTATGTATGGTATTCCTCTGAATGACTATGCCATAAATTATTAATTCATTCTGCTGCTAGTGGACAGCTTTGCCATTTCCAGGTTGGGGATATTATGACTAATGCTGCTAATGGAAATTATTTTACATGTTTTAAAATTTAGGTGATTAAAATATAATATTGTTATCTGGAAACTAGAGGACAAATATTTTACTTTAAGTAATCATAGATGGCACTGTAGAAGTCAACTTTTCTAATTAGACTTATAATAATATCCCATCATAATACTAGTGTTATTAATAATAGTTATAATATCCAGCCTTTATTGAGAACTTACTATGTGCCTGGTAAAAGACCAGTCATTTTCATATCACTGAATCCTCACTCTCATTTTCTGAAGTAGTGTACCAGTTAAAAATGTATTTACCAATAAGTGATAACAGCAACAATAGCTAACTGACAATTGATTAAAGACAGTATACAGGGATCCTTTTGTGGTTCATAAGCATGATGATTAGATTTTCATGCTATTGGGTGAGATATGCCTTCCTCAGACTTTGTTACAGCATAGGCACATTACAACCTGTCTGATAGGAGAAAGAAAGTAAAGATGGTATACAGGCCAGGTGCGGTGGCTCACGCCTGTAATCCCAGCACTGTGGGAGGCTGAGGTGGGTGGATTGCTTTAGGCCTGGAGTTCAAGACCAGCCTGGCCCACATGGCAAAACCCCATCTCTACTAAAATACAAAAAAATGGTTGTGGTGGCACACACCTGTATTTCCCGTTGCTTGGGAGGCTAAGGCACAAGAATCTCTTGAACCAGGAGGTGGAGGTTGCAGTGAGCCAATATCGCACCACTGTACTCCAGCCCGGACAACAGAGCTGGACTCTGTCTCAAAAAAAACAAAAGAAAAAAGGAAAAAAAAGACAGTATACAGGCATACTCTGCAAAAGGTGGCCTTGTTAATGTTTTCTCTCTAAAACATCTTTGTTTTTAAATACCCAAACTTCATACGATATACTTATCTCTCAGTACAAATTTTTTTGTGTGTTGTTTAGAAATTGGGCAAGAAAAATTTTTGTTACATTTCAAATATAATTGATAGAATATGGAAATTACTTATAGACTTTTTGAAAAGTATACCAAGTGTCAAAATGGGTGAATATGTATGCATCTTAGATGCTGACAGTGAGAAGCTTCAGTGCATCATAGTAGCTGAGACATTTTCTGTTATTTTGTGTAATGTTTGTGGCATATGGTAAAACATATGAACTATATATGTTAGTGCAAACAAAACAACTATTAACCATAATTAAGACAATTTTCTGGCAATCAAGAAGTGATGTTTTAAGCATATTCCCTTCTAATATGATAGTTTAATACTTTATACATGGGCATTTATTTGTGTATTAGTCACAGGAAATATCTTAATGACCTTTTGATGGGCAAGAATTTCTTTAACCGGACATAGAAGGAAACCTTCATACCCTTAAAAGATTGATGATTTGGACTATGTTAAAATTAATAACTCTGTTCATCAAAAGATATCACTAAGAGAGTGAAATAGTATAGACCATTATATAATACACACAGAATCCTTGGTTGTATATGCATCCTGATAGAAATATATGCCAGTGAATTGAACAGACACTTCACAAATGAGGATATCCACGTGGCCATTAACATTGAACCTCAATAATTATAAAGGAGGTTCAGATTATAACCAAAATGTGCTACCTCTACATACACAACAGAATAGTAAGGGGAAAGAGATTGATAAACCAGTGGTTGGTGAATATATGGCACATATGCTACTGGTGGGAGGGATTGTATATTGATCTACCCATTTTGGAAAACTGTTGGGCATTATCTACCAAAGCTGAGCATATGTGTACAACATATGACCCAACAACAAAAATGTGCATATGTGTACACCAGAGAACATACAGGAATATGCATGGCTGCATTCTTCTTATATCCCCAAACTAGAAATATAAAATGTCTGTGAACAGTAAAGTGGATAAGTTAACTGTTAAATTCATTATAATAGAGTACTATGGAAATTAGTGAATTACTGCTTCATAAACGTTGAATTTATATCAGAAACATAATGCTGAACAAAAGCCAGACCTAAAGACACATATGTTTGATTCCATGTATGTACAATAAAGTTCAAAAACAAGCATGACTATTCTATGGTGATAAAGGCAGAAGAGTGATTAACTTTGGGAAGGTAATCTGGTAGAAAGGGGAGACAAAGGATACTTCTGTGGTGGTAGTAATGATCCATTTCTGGAACTGGGTAAAGGTTACATGGTTGTATTTATTGTGTGAAAATCAGAGCTGTGCAATTATGGGATGTGAATGTTGCTATATGTGGTTTACTTTAAGGAAATTATTTATTTAGAAATTTGTACCAGTTTTCAAGAAAATGGAAAATTATTTTAGTGCTAATTTTAAATTTTGAATTATGTAATAGTGTTCAGAGCTGCTGAATGTTCTTTATTTACAATCTAGACAGATATTTTAAATTAGGAATATTGTTAAAAGTTGTGATGATATATTTTAACATTTAATTTATGGCCTAGAATTATATTTTGAAACAGAGTCATAGCTAATGTTGAAAACAGATACATATTAAAAGTTTGAACTCATTTCTAACTATGATCTAAGGTTAAAGTTCCTAAGAGTTATAATATGAATGAACAAGGCCAGCACGGGGGCTCATGATATAATCCCAGCACTTTGTGAGGCCAAGGCAGGTAGATCACTTGAGGTCAGGAGTTCAAGACCAGCCTGGCCACCATGGTGAAACCCCGTCTCTACTAAACATAGAAAAAGTTAGCTGGGTGTGGTGGTGCATGCCTTTAATTCCTGCTGCTCGGGAGGCTGAGGCACAAGAATCACTTGAACCCATGAGGTGGAGGTTGCAGTGAGCCAAGATCGTGCCACTGCACTCCAGCATGGATGACAGAGTGAGACTGTGTCTCAAAAAAAAAAAAAAAAAAAAAGACTGAGTTAGGTCCAGATTTTTCAGGCTTTTGCATATACTTCATTGCCTTTTTATTGGATAAGCAAAAAAGATCCTAGATAAAAGATCCCATAGGTTCTATCTATATCATTAACAAGTTCATGTTTACAAGGCTAGAATAATTTATCTGTCAAAAGTAAATTAAATGGAGCATTAGATCCTGACATTTTCCTGGTATTCTCTGCATTTTGTCATTTATTACAGCATGAATCTAGAGAAACATTATTGGGATTTAATATGGTGAATTACAGAGCATGTAAAAATTTGTGGAAAGCATGTGTAGAACATCACACATTCTTCCGTTTGGACAGACCACTTCCACCTCAAAAGAATTTTTTTGCACATTATTTTACATTAGGTTCAAAATTCCGGTACTGGTAAGTATTGCTTCTGTGTTAAGGCTTTATTGTTGGATTTTGTTTCCTTTCTTTAAAATAAAGATGTAGTTTATGGAACCATACAACCTTTGTTACACAAACTTAACTGAGTCAAAAATCCCTATGGATTGCAGCCTCTATATCAGTATCATTAAAAAGTTCTATAGGTTCTTGTGATATGCTACAGGCTTGAGAAACCAGTTCTGTGTTCTGTATTTGCTGTCATTATTTTCTGGAGTAAATTAACTACATTTACTTATTTACAATAAAGACAGATGACATAATTTCTATTGTGTCTTTATTAGATATTTGCTTGAAAACTTTTCTTTGTTCTAAGACACCCAAGGTATCTTATGCCTAAAACTATATAATTATTGTTTTTTAATTTAGAATTTAGCATATTTTTGGGTTGTCAAACCCTTTATTGTAAAGTGTTTAAAACAGTCACGAGGCAAAATCAGATTTAGTCATTGAACAGTAACCCCAGGTTCCATTTCCTAAAATTGTTTTATTCTTGATAGCTTTTATTTTTTCCTGACGGCAACAAATCTTTGGGGAATAACTAAATCTGAAGAAGCTCTGATTAGTTTTACCTTTGGAATTCTTAAAAGACCCATGCAAGCTAGTTTTTAAGTGGAACCTGGTAAGAATCATGTAGAAAGTTATTCATTATCTTTTAGTAAAACAAATGTTATTCATTCTTGTTTGTTTATGCTTCACATAATAAGATTTTTCATCTTTGATAAATAAAACCCTTGGCCAGTCGCAATGGCTCACACCTGTAATCCCAGCTCTTTGGGAGGCCGAGGCAGGCGGATCACCAGAGGTCAGGAGTTCAAGACCAGCCTGGCCAACATGGTGAAACCCCGTCTCTACCAAAAACAAAAAACAAAAAATTAGCTGGCTGTGGTGGTGGGCGCTTGTAATCCCAGCTACTTGGGAGGCTGAGGCACGAGAATTGCTTGAACCCAGGAGGCAGGGGTTTCATGAGCCGACATCTCGCCATTGCACTCCAGCCTGGGTGACAGAGCAAGACTCCATCTCAAAAATAAAAATAAAATAAAATGAAAAACCCTTGACCATTATGTGTTAAGATTAATTCATGTTATATGTTCATGAGAAAAATGTTTAGATGTTCCCAGAAAAGATTTAAATTGTAAACCTAAACATGTATAATTGCCTAATTTGTAATCTCCGTAAAAATAACAGTATGAAGCTTAGTACAGGATATGTCACTTGAAATACATGACTCCCACCCCAGAAAAATTAGTAAAAGTGGCTCAAAAGTTCAGTAGTAACAATTAAACAGAATTAGAATATTTTTAACCAAACAAAAGGCACAGTAATTTCCTAAGCAGTTTGCTGTCACGTTTAACTCCTTTTTTTTTTTTTGCCTTCCTAAAAGCAATTTTGAGTAAAGTAAGATGACAGTACTTGCAAATTTAAAAGCAAATAGATGGAAGGAGAGAGTATCAGATCTATAATGAAAGTCAAGGAAAAAGCAAAGAGCCTTACCTACTGTTAATAAATCTCAGCAAGGACAGAAGAAATCTCCACGGCTTTATGTGAAATGAGAACAGTACAAACCCTAAAGATATTCTTTCAATGAATTTAATTTCTGATTGGTTACCAGGGTAGTTATACAAGGACTACTCTTACCCTCTGTTCAAATTCTTTTTTCTCCTCTTTGTCCTTGCAAATGTGACATAAACACACACCATTTAATTTAGGTACAAAGAAATGAGTAGGACCAATAACCAGTCTTCAACTATAATTCAAGCAAGTCTCAGACAAGATGAGAAAAGAAAGTCAAGGAAGTTACCCAAACCATACCAAAGCAAACATAAAATTTACATACGGTGACTTCAAATACAAAAGACAGTTGAAGAAACCTGTTTGGGAGGAAATCATCACTGAAACAGAAGGAAATTTGTACCATAAATATTAATAAAAGCAAGTTCAAGGACAATCTGATTTAAAAAAAAAAAAAAAAAAAAAAGATCGGCCGGGAAGGGAGCAACACCTGCCATTCAGAAGGCTGTTACTGCCCTTGGGGAAGATTGGCCTAGTATTGACAAATTTTACATGTTTTTCGACAAAACTGGGATTAAGGACTATTAAATGGGATATGTACATTTTAGAAAGTTGAACAATTATTTTAACAGCTTTATTGAAGTATAATTGACACATAAGAAATGATCATATTCAAACTTTAAAATCTGATGTTAGTATGATGAATTACTTTGATTGCATTTCAAGTGTTAAGCCAGCCCTACATTCCTAGGATAAACCCCACTTAGCCATGATATCCTTTATATATATTGTTTGATTCACTTTGCTAAATTTTGTTTAGGATTTTTGCATATGTGTTTATGAGGGATATATCTCTGTAGTTTTCTTTCGTACGATATCATTTTCAGATTTTATTGTGTCAGGGTCAAATTGGAATCATGAATGTGTTGAGAAAGTTCCATTTTCTGGAAGAGGCTGCATAGTAATAATATTATCTCATTTTTAAATGTTTCATAGAATTTGCAAATTAATTCATCTGGGGCAGAAGTCTTACTTATAGGAAGGTTTTGAACATTCAAATTCTTTAATAGATAAGGCAATTAAGGTTTTGTCTTTCTTCCTGAGCAAGATATGGTAGTTTCTGTCTGTCAGCAAATTTATCCATTTCATCTAGGTTGTTGAATTTATTGGCACAGAGTTTATAATATTCCCCATTTCTTTTTAATCTCTCTAGAATATGTAATAATGTTGCTTCTCTCATTCTTGGTAACTTGTGTCTTCTTTTTTCCTTGATTAGTCTGCTAGTGGTTTATCAGTTTGAATTAAATATTTTAAAATAATGTAGGCCAGGCATGGGGGCCTGTAATCTCAGTGTTGTGGGAGACCAAGGTGGGAGGATTGTTTGAGGCCAGGAGTTCAAGTCCAGCCTGGGCAACATAGGCAGACCCCTGTCTCTACCAAAAGTTTAAAAACTAGCTGGGCTTTTGGCACACACCTGTAGTCCTAACTACTCAGGAGGCTCAGGGAGGAGGATCACTTGAGGCCAGGAGTTAAAAGTTACAGGACTATGATCAGGCCACTGCACTTCAGCCTGGGTGACAGAGCAAGACCCTGTCTCTAAACAACAACAAACAGTATGTATTCCAAATAAAACTTGTATCTTCAGGCTTATGTTACTTGTGGGCCATCCTTTGTCAACCAAGTCCTAAAGACAAAAACATGACCAAAAAATATTAAACATGATCACATTGCCATTCAAGTCCAAAGTCAACATATAGACATTATCCAATATGCAAAAACTCAGAGAATATAACATCTCCAGGACCTTCCTGAAAACATTTATTAAGTAGTAAAATTCAGCAAACCAGGAGATAAATCAGAATAATCCTGATTAAAAAAATAACTTTTTATCAGGTATAAAAAAATAACTTTTTATCAGGTATAAAAAGTTATTTTTATATAAAAAGCCCTGAGAGTGAAGATTAAATCCTCTCTATATAGAAACAATTCTTGACAACCGTGAGAATTATAACTGCAGAATAAAATTTAAATGGTATAAACTTTGCCAAAGTAGAATAAGTAATATAACTTTAAAAAAATGAGGCTGGGCACGGTGGCTCACGCCTGTAATCCCAGCACTTTGGGAGGTCGAGGCGGGCGGATCACGAGGTCAGCAGATCGAGACCATCTTGGCTAATGCGGTGAAACCCTGTCTCTACTAAAAATACAAAAAATTAGCCGGGCGTAGTGGTGGGCACCTGTAGTCCCAGTTACTCGGGAGGCTGAGGCAGAAGAATGGCGTGAACCCAGGAGGCAGAGCTTGCAGTGAGCCGAGATGGAGCCACTGCACTCCAGCCTGGGCGACAGAGTGAGACTCCGTCTCAAAAAAAAAAAAAAAAAAAAGCAAGGGACTAGTGGGAGGAAGTATTTGAATCCTTAAAGTTTGAAACAATTTTAGACATTAACACAGCAGTTCTTAAGGTTTTCTTCATCTTTTTTCCTTTTTTTTAATATGAATGGCAGTCTTTTTTATCTTTTATTTCACTGGAAACCAGTTTAATTTTTTTCGTTAAAAGTGGCATATATACCATAGTTTCATTGTAATAAAATTATTGTGCCTGTATGTCTAGCCTTTTTAATGTTTATATACATGAATTTCAGAATGATTTTTACCTGCTCATAATGGTGATGATTTCTTTATGGATAGGACTGTGGGTAAAAACAATTTTTTTGTTCTTTTTATATTTTTCTATGTTGCTTGAATAACTTATAATAAGCCTATATATAAAGAGAGAGAGAAAGAGAGAGAACTTTCTCATTGCTCAAAAGATAAGTATCTTACTGTGAAAGTTTAGTGTTCTGAAACTGGAACAGTTTTTCATTTTGTTGTAATGATAATACTAAATCCCTAATGTCTGTATTATGGACAATATGAAATATAAGCCTTTCTTTCATTAATTTTAAAAAAAATTGTTTCTTTATTATGAAATTTAACTTGTTACTCCAGCCTTTTGAGTAATAGTATCCCATTTGAATCTTCTTCACTGGAAAATTAAGGTATCAGTCAGAGTTCAGTCAGGGAAGCAGAAAGCCCTTTTGGTATTTCAAACAAAAGCAATTTAATTGAGGAAATTAGTTACATGGTTGTTGGAAATGCTGGGAAAACAAAAGGGTGGAAACATGGTTATGGAGAAAAAAACAAGAAGAAGGGGTAATGCCTAAAATTCAGATGCATTCAGGACTCCCTGGGCTGGAGTCCACAAACTACACCTGCTACTACACTGTTAGAGCTCTGTTTCCCTGACTGAACTCTGACTGATACATTAATTTTCCAGTGAAGAAAAATCAGTCTGCATCTTGCAGAGAAGTACTGCTTTAATCAAGGATGGGACCATCTACAGGATGCTCTTTCTCACTATACCCTATCCCCATGACTATTAAAGCAGCTGCCAGCAGCTGCCAGTTTCCTGCTCTGCCTTTCTCCACTTTCTGATCTTCCACCAGTACCTTCTAAAAGCAGAACCTAAGGCAAAATAATCTAGAAAATGGAATTTGTTTATCATAGCCCCTGCAAAACATAGGGCACAGGACAGGACTGGGCCTATGACAGCTCGCACATTAAATTGTATATACATAATTGTGTATATTTATAGTTTTAAAAAGTTAAGCTTTGCGTTTGTAGTCCTTAAGAACTTTAAAACATATCCAAAGCACTTTTTAATCATCAAAGTGGTTAGACATCTTGTAAATGAAGTAGGAATGGGAGAACTTTAAAACTTATCCAAAGCACTTTTTAATCATCCAAGTGGTTAGACATCTTGTAAATGAAGTAGGAATGAAGTAGGAAATGAAGTAAAAATGTTAACTGGACACAGTCCTGTCCCTAATGAGTATGCACTAAATAAACTTTTTTTCCCTTCATAATAAGCAGTGGTGGAGAATACTGGAACTGTTGTCATACTTAAAATGTTGAAATACTCTTTTGACTGACAGATGGTACTGGGACTATCAGATCTATTACTTTCTCCACCAGTCTCTTCATGTACATATCCTTATCTCTGTTCCAAAGTATCCAGAGGATTAACATCATTATTCTAATGTGGAAATACAAAACAGTGATGAACTTTAATTTATTACCTCCCTCTTAGAGGAAATATTTTCTTAGGAAAATTCAACTTGAAGTTTAAAAGTCATGGTAGTATTTCTCATTTTTCCGTTAAAATCTCATAAAAGTGCCATTCAGTTCATATTTACTGATATTTATCCATGGAAAATGGTCTTAAAATTGCTTGCTTAACTATGGAAACTGGCATTTGGCTGTTTTTATATGCATTAGATAGCTATATTTGTATATGGTTACATTTGATATACCGCAAATTTATGTTAATTCACAGTTAAGTAATGAGAATGTCTCAAATAAATGCTCTGAGAACTTTTATTAACAAACTTCATCTGAACACATTGGTGTACTTCAGAAGAAGATCAGTTTCTCTCTATCAACAATTTCCCTCTAGACAAATCAGCTTGAAAACAAATCTCCTAGTGCCAAAACCCCACCATTTTTCTGCCTTAGTTCCTTCCTCTAAACAAAAATCTGGAGCTGTTCTGTGTCTGGACATGGAGGGAGTTGAACACATCTTTCTTCATTAATGGGAGAAATGTAACTAAGCTTCATTCATCCAGGTAGAATTGGAATGTTGTCCAGTCTTTTTATTCTCTGCTTCCTTTTCTCTGCTAGAAATGTCTTGTCTCTTAGGAAGTTACACTATAATCATGTTATGTGTTGTCATTTTATCTTATAGTTCTCTTAAGACTTTATTGTTGTGCATATTTATATATTTCAGTGGGAGAACTGAAGTCCAATCAGTTCAGTATGGCAAAGAAAAGGCAAATAAAGACAGGGTATTTGCAAGGTAAGCCAAATCTGTTTCATTGTTTGAATTTTTTTAAAAAGATGGATTGAGTTTACTAAAAAGTTTTTCTAAATATTTTTTCTAAAGTTTTTCTAAATATTTCAAATTTTTGATTACAGAATTATCACAATTCTTTAACAGTAAATAATGTTGAGGGAATGATAAACTAGCTTGTCTAGTTTATTGATTCATTTTTTATATTAATAGTGTGCCAGGCATTGCAGTTCTGAATAGGCTGATCAAATATTATGTTATTAATATAATATTCTGTTCGAGGTTGCTCCACTTTTTTAAACATTTTTGAGAAATATAGTGACTTATTTCATGTTATCAAGCCATTTCCATATTTATTTAAATTATAATGTTAAGAGATAAGTTGTTTTATTTTTTGTTTTTGTTTACCATTTATTGTCTTTATTTCTTTAGGGTCTGTCATAGCCAATTTGCTTTTTTTTTTTTTTTTTTGAGACGGAGTCTTACCCTGTCATCCAGGCTGGAGTGCAGTGGTGCAATTTCAGCTCACTGCAACCTCTGCCTTCTGGGTTCAAGTGATTCTCCTGCCTCAGCCTCCCTAGTAGCTGGGATTACGCATGCCACCACACCTGGCTAATATTTTTGTATTTTTAGTAGAGATGGGGTTTACCATGTCAGCCAGGCTAGTCTCGAACTCGTGACCTCAGGTGATCCCCCCCACCTTGGCCTCCCAAAGTGCTGGCATTACAGGCATGAGCCACCACTCCCGACCTAGCCAATTTGCTTTTTAACAAGTGAAATGACATGATAAGATCTATGTTTTAGAAAATAGTATTATGAGCAATGATAGAGAATGGATTAGCGAGGAAAGCCTCGGTACCCAGAAACTATAAGGTAATTGCAGTAATCCAAGTGAAAATAATAAAGGCCTGAACAAAAACATTGGTAATGGAATGGAAAATAGGGAACAAATTTAAGGAACGTTTTGTAGGCAGAACTAGCAGAAGCTGATGACCAACTGGATACAGGTGTGTTAGAGACAAGAGTTTGTTTTCAGTGAAAATTACTTTGAGAGGCTAAGTCTTTTAATTAGTTATGTGTTTGGCATCTACTGCTATTAGAGGCTTGAGTTTTAATAAAGAGAACTAGAAAGTTTGCTTTTGATTTCACTTTGTTTAAATTTTGTTCTTAAGTCTTTATCTAAGAGACCTTCCTTCTTTGTGTTTCTGGAGTAAAGGGAGTTTTGTGTTCTTGGTTTTTTTCTTCCTCCTTCCAAAAGTGGAAATTGCTTTTTTCCCCTAGTAATATAAGTGATAGCTCATTATGTTTAAAAACTCCAACAGTATCAAAGAGCATAAAGAAAATTTATCATCCCAAGACAACTTTTTAAAAAAATTTTGATACTCATTATTCAGGATTTTTCTATGCATATACTCATAGAGACATTTTTATATATGTGTGTATATTTGTTTCCAAATTGTTTTAAACTATTTGTTGTTTGTTTTTATCATCTAGCATATCGTGCACATTTTCTTTGCTGTTCAAAAATCTAGTCATTTATAATGGCAATAAATCTTTTAACAGTTAAATTCTTTGATTGTAAACTGTAAACTTAACTTTTAGGATTCCTCCCTTTACTGAGCCACGTCCCTGCCTCCAGAGTAGGAGTTGTTGCTAAGACTTTGTAAGGATGTCACAGTAATATGTGACATACAGCTTACATTTAGTAGTCTACTATATGAGGAAATAATAGTTTATTACATTATGAATTAACATTAATAGAAGAGCCATAAATGGTAAGTTAATCTTTATTTTAAAAATCAAATGCATGAGATAATATACTTTATTTTCATTCTGTTGTGACTGATAGGAAAATTTGCACTGCAATATGAGGGGGTTGGACCAAACGGTGTCATGAGTTGTCTTCTAATCAAAAAATCCTATAATTTAAACCTGTGATAATGGAAAATCTTCACACCTAAATTACTTTGAATTCACTTATGGAAAATGAAATGAGTCCATGTATTTTTTAAAAAACGAATAACATTTCTTAAAATATTTTTCTGATTCTTAGTGTTGTAACAGCGTAGCAATATACTTAAAACTTTCCTTTCTTAACAAGTGTCTTCTTTCTGCTTGACTTTTATAAACAGTGTAGAACGTGCGATGTGGTCACTAGTTGTATGCAGCATATCCTCATACGAGTACCAGATCGTAGGCATATTTATGTATTAAGTTAATATCACATACAAATGGTTTCTTTATAAGTGTTAATGTTTTCATGTTTTGATCCTATCAGATTTTAGAAATAAGCAGAGTTATACCTGCATCTTAGTTGTTCATTTTGTGTATTCATTATTAAAATGTATAGTTGTTTAATAGGTTATTTTATAAAACAAATAGCCATGATTCCGTGAATAGTAGAGGTAAAATTTCAATATTATAAGCCTCAGATAACTCTCTTCCTTTTGTTTTTCTGGAATTGTGTGGTTCCTCTGAAATAATAAGGTATCAGCTACAATGAGGTTGTAATAGTACTGGGCTGTTTAATGATCTCTCTTTCTCTGAAAGATAAGCTTTTCTGGGATTGTTTTTCTAATATGTTAGGATCTAATTGTAATGAACAGATATATGTCTACCAAAATTCTCTAATGGTTTTAGTAATTATTAAGTTATTTTATTAAAGTACCAGATAACCTAGAGTTCTTTTTTTTTCTTTGGGTTTTAGTTGGCAATATGAGTAGATAGAAAAGGCTCCTCCTTAAACTTCTCATATAATAATTTTTTAGCAATCATTAAATGTTTTTTCTTTTTTCTGATTATCACCTCTTTGTGTTCGCCTCAGCAGCACATATACTGATTATCACCTCTTCAAATTGCTTTCACATTTTGCAGTTGTCATATAATATATCTAAGAAAAGAGAAAAACAATGTTCTCATACAACAGAAAAATAAGGTGCCCTAGACAGAAAAGAAGCTTACCACATCGCAAACACACTGATGCTGTGTGGTATTTTTTTCTCTGAAATTTCCACACTCAACAGGAAACATAGACAGCAAGCTTGAGTGGGTGGGTCCCTGAGGTTAAAACTGTTAATAAAATAAAATACATGAAGTTTGGTTTTAAGTTCAAAGTGTCCAGCCATGTTTAGTCCATTAACAGCAATAAAGTGTTCTGACGCTTCAGACTAGGTGAGTGTGCTGGAATTTTTTTTCTTCAAATGACTTTTTCCAGCTTTTAGAAAATGAAAGTAGTTGATCTATTGATTACAGTTAGTGAACTTTCATACAGCTTACATTTCGTAGTTTAATATTTGAGGAAATAATAGTTTATTACATTATGAATTAGCATTAATAGAGCCATAAATGTTAATCTTTATTTTAAAAATCAAAGTTTTATGCATGAGGTAATATACTTTATTTTCATTCTGTTGTGACTGATAAGAAAATTTGCACTGCAATATGAGGGAGTTGAACTAAACGGTGTCATGAGTTGTCTTCAAATCAAAAAATCCTATAATTTAAACCTGTGATAATGGGAAATGTTCACACCTAAATTACTTTGAATTCACTTACGGAAAATGAAATCTGAGTCAATGTATCTTTTTTAAAACTAATAACATTCCATGTCTTATAAAATGCCTACAAGATTTTTGATTAAGGAAATGTCATTAGGCCAAACTAAAAAAGTTTTAGCTATGAATTGCTGAAATGACAGGACACTTCTGTGGTGTAGATTCATAAGTAACTTAAATTTTTCGTGGTTTAGTAAAATTAATAGGCTAAAATATTGCCCTGAAAATTTGGATATTCATAAATCATAAAATTCAGGAGGTAGGGAGAGACCTATGGGTCATATTATGCTAATAAATTTATACATTTAGATACAGAAACATAAGAGGTCTGTCTAATAGGAAGCCACATCTAGAATTCAGAGTCCTTATCATTATTTTAATGCTTCCTACTGTACACATAATAACAATTTGTTCAGTTCTCTTTGGTCAGTGTTATTGTGCGTGTTAGTCCGACATTTCTTTTTACACGTTTAACATATTGGAAAGGAAATTCTAGCAGGCAGTGAAACTTCAAACTTCATGAGATCATTATGTATCAGAATTCTAATGTTATTAAGTTTTAATGTAATCAGATGAGTTAATATTGCATTTGCTTTGTGCCTTCCTTGGTAATTGTTTTTTTTTTTTTAGCCATACAGAAGTGTATACATAGTACATGATGAGAGAAAAATATCCCAATGAGCTAAAAAAGCAAGTCCAATACTACCTGCAATTCTTTATCAATATAAGAAAATCTGAAAATAAATCCAAAGTCACACAACAAAGGCCTATGATTCTTATTAACTATAACCAAAAATAGTCTTCATTTTTAAATTTTACTCAAATAGGTATTTCTACCTAAATTTTTATGATCTGATTTTTGTAGGAAGACAACAGGATGTTTCATTTTTTGTAAATTGTGCTGGAATGGAAAATACATATAGTTTTTATATGCTTCAGTTAATTACTGAAATATAAAACTGTTTACAAGATGATTTATTATATACTTTATATATGTAGCTTAAATTATTCGCCTCCACATTAACTCTGCACTTCATAAAGCCAGGCATTTAAAGAAATAACATATATTTTCAGCTAATTTTGTCTATTATCTGAATTTGCATATAAAAAATACTTTATTTGTTAACATTCCTAAAATTCTAAGGGTTTATGATCTCTGCATAGATCAGTATCTTTTGATCTGAATGAATCAATATGAAGATCTTTCTTTCTTTCTTTCTTTTTTTTTTTTTTTTTTTTTTTTTTGAGACAGGGTTTTACTCTTGTCACCCAGGTTGGAATGCAGTGGTGCTATCACAGCTCACTGCAGTCTCAAATTCCTGGACTCAAGTTGATCCTCTGACTTCAGCCTCCCAAGTAGCTTGGACTACAGGCACTTGCCATCATACCCAGCTAATTTATTTTTTGTAGAGACAGAGTCTCCTTATGTTGCCCAAGCTGGTCTTGAATTCCTAAGTTCCAGTGATCCTCCCACCTGGGCCTCCCAAAGTGCTGGGATTGCAGCACTGAGCCACCTCGCGCATCCAAGATCTTTTTTTAAAACATCACTTAGTTTTCATCTTTATCATTAGGATAGCTGATAATATATAGATTGGTAACAAAACATATCCTTTTACTCCCCACCAATAGACAGAATTATTAACCCTCCAAAATGTTTTTGGAAAAAAGGGAAAAATCCACTAACCTACTATATGTAAACAATTTTTTAAGTAGATAAAATGTAATATGCATAATTATTTTTGTTCTGTCTTCATTGAGGCAGAGGATTGGGATTTAGTTATAGAAGCATTCAGGAGATAATGTGCGAGGAGTTATTTAATACATCCCAAGATAAGCTAGTGTTCCAGATACTCTGGAATAGAAGTAGGTAGTATCTGTCTTGTCAGTAACATCTGAGAAAACATTTGGTAGCAAACCCTTCCCTTTTTACCTTTGTCCTTCCTTTTCTTGTTTCTTCTGTTTTTCTCATCCTTCTTATTGTCTATCTTACTCTTCCTAGCCTGTCTTACCTTTATTCTTCATATAAAGCCAATGTACATTCTTAGGAAGTTATTTGGTAAATAGCCTCTAAATGCATTAATTTTTTACAAGTAAACTCTTTATGTTGCTCATCTAGAACATAATCTCTGAAAACAAATTGTAGGATTTGATTCATGGTTTGGGGTATAAAAATAAAACTTTTAACATATTATTTAATTTATTTCTGCAGATCCCCAAGTAAGCCCTTGGCACGGAAATTAATGGATTGGGAAGTAGTAAGCAGAAATTCAATATCTGATGACAGGTTAGAAACACAAAGTCTTCCATCACGATCTCCACCGGGAACTCCTAATCAGTAAGTGTGAATTTTGTGACCAACATCAGGTGTGAATTTTGCTAATTTCTAATTATTGGCTGTATATTTTTATGCCTGAAGACAAAGATACGCAAAAATTGAATTCTTTTGGTGAAACATGATTTTTGTTGCTCCAGAGCATTATTTTCTCTTTGCCTGCTGCTCTTTGCAGAAGTAACATGGTATAGACTTGCGGAATGAGAGTAGCGCATTGAATAAGGACCCTCCACTCTCACTCTCCTCAACAGTTAACTTTCGCAGTTAAGAGTCCCTGATAAATGAAGATCTGTTAGACTTAAAATCTTGTATGGTTGTTGTTGACATACTCATTTTTCATGTGGATTCCCAGCAGAATTTCTAGGGGAGCATATATTGTTTGAAAATGCTTTGCAAGTGATTGGGATTCTCTTAAACCCCCAGCTCAACCATGGCTTCAGCACGTTCTATGGCCTAGGAAAAGGGGTTTCCAGCACCAGTCCCCATAAGCTTAGCTCTCCCTGAGCTAAAAAGCACTGTGTGATTCAGCACTTACCGTATATGTACTTCAGTCTGACATTGCTCACAAAAGTTGTATGTTTTGGTATAAATGATTATAAGTTCATAAACTAGCCAAATGTACCAGCCAAAGATGTTGATTATCTTAATTTGATAATATTACAAATGTTGTATGTAATTAAGATAATGGTAAACAATTGTGTGCCACCATATTAACATACTTAGTTAACCCATAAGGTTCACTTATAAAATACTTGAATTTTGGTATGAAATATAATATTTGAAGATGTCTTTTTTCATAAATGTTTTACACACATTAATGTTTAATAAATTTGTATAAAATTCTAAACGTGGCTGGGTGCAGTGGCTCATTCCTGTAATCCCAGCACTTTGGGAGGCCAAAGTGTGTGGATTCCTTAAGGTCAGGAGCTCAAGACCAGCCTGGTGAACATAGTGAAACCCCATCTTTACAAAAACATACAAAAATTAGCTGAGCATGGTGGCGTGCACCTGTCAGGGGGGTGGGGCAGGGATTGCTAGAACCCAGGAGGAAGAGGTTGCAGAGTTGAGATCACACCACTGCACTTCAGCCTGGACCACAGAGTGAGACCCTGTCTCAAAAAAAAAAAAAAAAAAATCTAACAGCTAGAGCATTGAAGGCTATTATCAGCTGAAGAATAAAGTTCTACCATATCAGAACAGTTTATACATAAACAGTTTGGTTCACAGAGCTTTAATACTTAACGTGTTAAAGTTACTCCTAGAAAAAAATGGACTTAGTAATTTCTGTCTTGCCAATTTCAGGTTGCTTTTATCATTTTTTCTTATAAATGATTACATATATTCAAAGCCTCATTAGCTTGTCTGAAGAAAATTCAGACCTTGTTTTTCTCTTCCCTTTTGCACAAACAGCCATTTCTCCATTTGTACCAGCAACACTAAACAATAATAGCAAGTTATAGAAAATAATAGCAAGTTAAGCCAAAGTACTCAAGTAACTAATTAACAGTAGCTCTGTTTAAGTTTTCTGGTTAATGAAACAATTTCAGGTATAATCTAAAAAGATTTTTTAAAATTCTGAAGAGATAGTACAAGGTGGTGGTTAAGAGCATGGGCCCTGGAATCACTGTATGCTTGAACTTGGGCAAGTTAATCTCTGTCTCATTTTTCTCATCTACAAAATTATATTTATAATAATGTCTTTCTTATAGTACTGTTATGAGGATTAAATGAAATGCTTAGAGAAATGTCTGACACATACATAAATACTGAAATATTGTAATTAAAAATTGTAATAACACTACTTTGTGTGACTGTCAAGAGGATGGCAATATAGTATTCAGTATCTACTCTAAGGCTTCAAAGAAAGTCCCATAAATAAAAACATTTATAACAATTAAAAAATAATTCAGACTAGAATATATTTCTAAATGATTTATTCTAATCCCTTTATTTTATAAATGCTGAGTAAGACAAAATCATAGTGACTAACACCTAGAAACATGAAGGCACTTAGAGATAGTAGGTAACTTTATGGGTAGAATCCTTGGCAGATTGTTGATTGTAACTCAGATCACTGACTTCCCATTCTCTGTTCCCTCTGTTTATATCACACTGTCTTTTTCAGAGATTGCTTAGTCAACATGGCTTGACTTAAAAACACATACCCCCTTTCTGATGTAACCATATATTAAGAAACTTGGAAATTTTGAATTGAAGCATATTTTTATTCAGTTTTTCTCCCTCTTTATTTAGTCGAAATTCTACATTCACGCAGGAAGGAACCCGGTTACGACCATCTTCAGTTGGTCATTTGGTAGACCATATGGTTCATACTTCCCCAAGCGAAGTGTTTGTAAATCAGAGATCTCCGTCATCAACACAAGCTAATAGCATTGTTCTGGAATCATCACCGTAAGAGCTTTTTTATTTTGCTTCCTCTGTATTTTCAAATGCCCCAAATTGCTTTACTTAAAATAATCTGGGAAATTAGGATATTCGATACAAGATTTTAATTATGCAACTTTTCAAAATGTGTATGTTTGCAATTATGCTCATTTGTTCCTGAGAGTTCTTGTTGCCTCTCCCTCCCCGACCCAGTCACTATGTTGTTATTTTGTTGACTTAGACAGTTCTTCAGTTTTTAGTATATAAACTCAAATATTTCTGCAGATGATGTAGCACTCTGGTCAAGGAGGAGGGTAGTTAAAGCAGAGTTTCCTTAATATTTTTAAAGGAAAAGAACCATAAGTATGAGTAAAAAGTGTTGAGAAAATTAAAATACTTACAAGATATGTAGATAGGTAAGAAGATTTTTTAATTTACCTATGTAGATAGGTAAGAAGATTTATTTCTTGAGAAGGAGAAATTGGTGTAAGATATAGTGAGTGCGATCAGGGGTAAAGAGTGGGCCCAAGAGTGGTAGGTGGAAGAGAGTACAGGTGTAGGGTCATGTTTGTCCCTGGGTAGGGTAAACCAAGGAAGACTGGCTGAGCTATCAAAACAAGTAGGAGTTCAGCCTGCGTGATGTATATCTTGGTAAAACATTTTGATTGTGTGTATATATTATTAAAAATGGAGAAATAGGACAGATACACACTGTACAATGATACCTGTGGGGAATTAGTTGGCAAGAAATAGGATTGATGGGAGATTTAATATTTTATTACTTTAGAAGTTATAATTCTAAACTTTCCAGTTGATTTTTAATAATTATATATGTTCTAATTTGAAAACTTTAAAAAGTATAGTAATTAAGGACATGATTGAAATATTGATTTGATTTTTAAAATTACATACTTCTGTGACATAAAAATGAATCATATGCAGGAATCAAAAAGCCTAATTATTACAAACCAAAACCAATATAATTCTTGAGGCCTAACAAAATTATCTTTATCTATTTTTAAAGGGCCTTTTCCAAAGAAAGACATATAAACGCAATTGAATATTTCCACATGTAAATTTTTTTTTTTTGAGATGGAGTCTCGCTCTTTCACCCAGGCGGGAGTGCAGTGGCGCTATCTCGGCTCACTGCAAGCTCTGCCTCCCGGGTTCACGCCATTCTCCTGCCTCAACCTCCCGAGTAGCTGAGACTACAGGCGCCAGCCACCACTCCCGGCTAATTTTGTGTATCTTTAGTAGAGATGGGGTTTCACCGTGTTAGCCAGGATGGTCTCGATCTCCTGACCTCGTGATTCGCCCACCTCGGCCTCCCAAAGTGCTGGGATTCCAGGCGTGAGCCCCCGCGCCCGGCCTCACATGTAAATTTTATAGATTCACAAACCCCCAAATCACTTGCTGATATGGTTTGGCTCTGTGTCCTCACCCAGATCTCACCTTGAATTGTAATCTCCAGGTGTCAAGGGCAGGACCAGGTAAAGGTAGTTGAATCATGGGGGTCATTTCTCCCATGCTGTTCTTGTGATAATGAATGAGTCTCACAAGATCTGATGGTTTTATAAGTGTCTGGCATTTCCCCTGCATGCACTCATTTTCTCTCCTGCCGCCCTGTGAAGAGGTGCCTTCCACCATGATTGTAAATTTCCTGAGGCCTCCCCAGCCATGTGTAACTGTGAGTCAATTAAACCTCTTTTGTTTATAAACTACCCAGTCTCAGGTATTTCTTCATAGCAGCATGAGAATGGACTAATACATTTGCCATCTCAAAACACCTTTATTCTACTTTCCTGACTTGAGTGGAGAAGCGAGTTCAGGGTAGCTTGGAACTGTGAAGAGTTTTTGCTTCTTCTCTCTTGTGCACAAGAATATAAAATGCTTGGAGCCTTCTCCTTGGACATATATTTTATAAGGTTTATGTGTTTGTATTCCATTTTGAATCTATATTACTGCATTTGACATTCAACCAGTTTTTAACCTTAAGAATAATGAGAGAGTTCTGAAAAGATAAGCTTAATAATAATAACTTACTTAGTTGCTTACAGTCACTTTTACATAAATTATCTCACTGTTCTATTCAGGAGAATTCAGTGAAATAGGAAAGATATGTAATATCCATTTTATAGATAAGAAAGCCACACTTAGAACACTTGTCCCAATTTACAGAACAGAAACTCGGGCTTTCTGTAGCATGAGAATCAGCCAGGAGAACTTTGTATCCCCAACAAGATGTTATAGATGTTTTTTGATTTGCAATTTAGATAAAATACTTTGCAGCTTGGAATCCATAGATTTCAGTTTTTCTGTTGTCCAAATGTGAAAAGAATTTAAATGATGTATTGGATTAAGCACAGAACATTTCAACATGTAATGAAATAGATTTTTTTTAAGGTTTTTCACATATACCTTTTTTTAATTGTCAGATAAAATCATCTTACCAATTATTTATTTAAGTGAGTACAGGAGGTTGCTTATACTGTTTAGAATAAAGTTACCATTTATAGGCTAAGGATAAAGTAAAGGAGACCACAGTCTACAACACAGCATGTGAATTGGATGGTTAAATTTATTAGCATACAAATTTCTAAAGGCGGCAACAGAGAGCTGCATTAACTGCAAAATAAGCTTTTTTTCACTGCTGTTGTTGAAGCATTTATAAGAAAATTTAAAGCTCAGTGGACTGAAATAAATTGTGCACATTTTTTCACACATCTTGATTGACATTTCTAACAAACTTTTGCTACTATGTGACAATATATTGCTCTGCTACCAGCATAGTACACTCGAATATAACATTTTCATTATTTACCCTCCACTTAACATTTTCCAAAATGTCAGATTGCCAAGTGTGGTGGTGTGCACCTGTTGTCCCAGCTTACTCAGGAGGCTGAGGCAGAAGGATCACTAGAGCCCAGGAGTTCGAGGATGTATTGCTCCATGATGGTGCCTGTGGATAGTCACTGCACCTCAGCCTGGACAATACAGCAAGACACCATCTTTTAAAAACCAAAACCAAAAAAAAAAAAAGGTCAGAGTTTAAGATAAGCAAGTTATTTTTGGTAAAAAGCCCCAATATGAATGTTGGGCATTTGGAACACTTTTAGAATTATATTGCCATCTTTCCTTTCTCTTAACAACCGAAAGTTAACACGAATAGTACTTTTTTTTAAATGTGGGATAATTTTTTTTTTTTTTTTTTTTTGAGACAAAGTCTCACTCTGTCGCCCAGGCTGGAGTGCAGTGGCACAATCTTGGCTCACTGCAAGCTCTACCTCCCGGGTTCACGCCATTCTCCTGCCTTAGCCTCCCGAGTAGCTGGGACTACAGGCGCCCGTCACCACACCCGGCTAATTTTTTGTGTTTTTAGTAGAGACCAGGTTTCACCGTGTTAGCCAGGATAGTCTCGATCTCCTGACCTTGTGATCCACCCACCTCGGCCTCCCAAAGTGCTGGGATTACAGGCATGAGCCACCATGCCTGGCTAATGTGGGTAAATTTTTTATGTGGGTAAACTGTGTACAGTATGTGTTTTGAGCCCTGGTGCCCCCTCCTTTAGTACATTTTAGGCAAATTATTGGTTTTAAATATGTTAAAACAATTGAGTTAGAAATGTTATCAATTAAAGTTAAATATGGATGTATATAAGCCCTGATATTTACTAATCTTGCTTTCTGTTCATTAAAATATAAGTGATTTGTGTTAGAATTTAAAATATAGCAGTATTACCATTTATAACCAAAAAAAGGGATTTAAAATAGTCATATTCTGGATATATTCTGATAAGTTCTGGGAGTTCTGTTGAGGCCTCAGATACTGACAGGGGTGGGGGATGCTTATTAGCATTTATCTGTTTTATAAATTGGCTTCTGAGAAACTTTTTTTTTTTTAGAAAAAGATTCCACTGCCACAAAAAGTTTGGAAACCTCTGATTTAAAACAACTTTCCTCCTTTTTGCAGTTACTTTGTTTTAGATGCAACTATATATCATAGTGTTTACGAGCACAAGCTCTGGATTCAGACTAGGTTTAAAACGTGGTTCCACTACTTCTAATTAGGTGACCTTTGGTGAGTTATTTTATCTCCGTAAGCCTGTTTCCTCACTGTTAAAAAACAGGGTGATAATAATATCTACCTCAAAGAGTTGCTATAAGCATATAATAATTATATAGCTTTTTTCAGTTAAGCTCTTGGGATATATTCCAACAACTTTTAATATATTATCAACAGTTTGTCTGGATATTTGAAGTGTGAGCATCTGGTTGAAGACAGTGAAGAATTCTCCAGATTCTCAACTTTATTCTTACATTCCTAATCACAAGATATTCTAGACAGACTTCATAATCCAGAAGTGGCTTTTTGTTTGTTTGTTTATTTAGGGACAGGGTCTTGCTCTGTTGCCTAGGCTGGAGTGCAGTGGTGTAATCACCGCTCACTGCAGCCTAGACCTCCTGGGCTCAAGTAATCCTCCCACCTCAGCCTCCCAAGTAGCTGAGACTGCAGGAGCATGACACCATGCCCAGCTAATTTTTGTATTTCTTGTGGAAACAGGGTTGCATCATGTTGCCCAAGCTGGTCTTGAACTCCTGGGCTCTAGTGATCCACCTGCCTCAGCCTCCCAAGTTGTTTGGGAGGATTACAGGTGTGAGCCACCGTGCCTGGCCATCCTCAAGTGTTAAATCCAGTTCCCCGAGCCATTCTTTCCTGGACTATTCCATTCTAGTCTTATCTAATGAATCTCCGCAGCTTTGTCTATACCTCTTCAGTTCCTTTTGCTTGGTCTTCAAAGCTTTGCCTTTCCTCCACCCCTCTCAGCTACTGGCACTGATGATTTCCATCTACAACTCAGTTGTCCCCAATTCCTATTCCAGTCTTGATCAAGTCTAGCAATATATTGTGAACTCTTCAAATACTAGGCTATTCTAGGACAAGGAAGTAAAAAAATCGAAGGTTTGAATAGAAGGAGATATCAAGCCATGGGGACTTAGAGAATGTAACATATTAGATGCTGTTGTATTCATGGCTTCAAGACTAATTACAGGTCCCCGGACACTGTAGCTGCAGTATGCTTACCTACCATTCATCTCTGGCTAAAGGCTCTGTCACTTGCACTTGGGAGCTAAGGGCAGACACCTTGAGTTTGGTTGAAACCAAGAATCTCAGGTTGCTGGGAGGCTTATTCTGGAATAGATTCCTACTGTTAAAATCACATGACATTGTCAGTTCTATTCTTAGATATTACTCATATCCCTGATAGTTTACACGAGCTTTTTAAAGTGCCTTGTGCGTTAATTGGTAATCAACCTGAAGTGACATTTACTTTGAAACACTGTCATTATCAGAATAAAGTAGCCAAAGTGTTAAGAAGCCTGAATTTTGAATCAGAATTTTATCTGTATCTAATGTAATATAAGTAGAGTATAAGTTGGGTTAAATGCGTAATTGAAGACTAGAATAACAGTAGTGGTTATAGTTAAATAAGACATGTTCTCTTGATCTACATCTTAGAAAATAAGGGTTTGTTTTTTTCTTTAAGAGACAGGGTCTCTTTGTCTCCCAGGCTGGGGCATAGTGGCGCAATTATAGCTCACCACAGCCTCAAACTACTGTTCTTGAATGATCTTCCCATTTCAGCATCCTGAGTAGCTGGGACTACAGGTATACACCACCATCCCCAGTTTATTTTTTTAAAAAAATTTTTTGTAGAGATGGTGTCTTGCTATGTTGGCCAGGCTGGAAAATAAGAGTTTTTTAAAGAGCCATCAATTTCTGGCACATTTGTATTAGTGTCTAACAAGAATATAGTTTTTGTTTTCTAGTCTATTGGAATAAATTTTATGCTTCTGTGACAGATTTCTATGTACAATTGTGCCTTTACCGTTTTTTAAAAAAAATTCATGATTTTCAAGGGTTGTTCATTTTTCTTTTTTAAAAGTAATAAAATAATCCCTTCAGGATTGCATTTTTTTCTCACTTTCCCTAACTCAGATCTTTTCCAGCTCCCTTCCTTAAAGCCAGTAAATGCTGGCCTTCTTTGAAAATTAAAGGTCTCTTTCTTGAGGGTACCAGCTGTAATTTCTGACAGGGCTGTGTTTCACTATGCTGCCTGGTTATTCTCCAAATTGCATCATGTCTCTTCATTCTCTTATACTTGGCAGATTTTTGTGTGTGTGCACTTAGAAATAGTATTGTTTTTAAGAATTGGACTGTTTCATGACATTATTTTTAATGTATCATTTCTAATTATAATGCAAGGTTTACCTATGAAAATCATCTTCCTAGATAACTGTTTAAGTAATAAATATATATGATAGCTGTACAATAGAAATGAAGAAGAAAGTTATTCATTAAAGTAAATTGAATTAATATTCTTGGAGTATGTCTTTTAAAAAATGTAATTGATAACCTTTGCCCAATATTTGAATTTCAGGAGTCTGTGTTGACATCCTTGATTACTTTTATAGACTTCAGAGTGTGTGTGTGTGTGTGTGTGTGTGTATAGAGTTTGGTTGTGTATGTATACAGTTTGGTTATTGAAATTAGAAGTATAGAAAAGGGAAACAGTTACAGGGATTACTGTGAGAGTACATAATTAAATTATAAGAGCTCCCTAGACTAACCTAACCCTCTGCAGCAGTCAGGCATATGGAGAGCCTGTCTGCCACTCTCTGAAAAGTTACTTTAATAAGAAAGTTACATAAGACAGTGAGAAGGCAGGTAGCTCTGTCCTGAAATCCAAAGTTTTACTGTCCTTTCGTCTTCATCTTAATCTATACTTCATTCTCCTCACCTTTTCCTTATAATTTGGCTTAAATCCCAACCTCAGCATTTATACTTGGGCTCTTTTCCTATCTGTATCTTCCTGCTTGATTTGATTGTTTAAAAAGAGGTTAAAAGAGGTTATTCTCAAATACCTGTAGTCTTGCAAGTAGCACGGGATGGAGATTTGTGTAGATTATAGAGCTCATGCTGCATCTAAAGACAGCAGCTGCCACTTGGCTTTATACAGTGTTTGACAACTGGTACTGCAGGCCCATTCTTTCCGGAGCTTCCAGATTTTTCATCTTGAAAATCTAGATTTGTATGCAATTTTAAAAATGTAATTGTTTAACTCAATTATTTTTATAAAAACAATGAATGGTCCAAATGTATGTTGGCCAAAATTGGCCCATAATCCATGAATTTATAACTGCTCTTTTAGGACAATAATGTCTAATCATAATTGCGCAATAAAAACCACCTCTGGAGGTGTTTCTTGTAACCCCAGAAGTAGAGATTCAACAGTTTTAGCAAAATGTACCATAGAATCAGTGCTGTCCCTCTCATGTAACTGAGTATTGCCACTGTTAGGCCCATACTGAGTATGCCACTGTTAGGCATAACTGAGTATTGCCACCGATAGGCCCATACAGGTTTGGCTCACTTAGATATACCACTGCTGATCAGGCTTGAGTTTCTCCTGTATATTTTGGTGCTGTATTTAAACTGATAGCTGGACCAAGAATAAGGAAGGTTTCCCTGACTCCATTTTCATATGTTCTCCACCTTACTCCCTTTCCCACAGGCTTTTAGTTTTAAATTTTTTTTCTCAGCTTTTAAATTTAGCTTTTAAATGTTTCCTGGTTATGACAACTGTATGCAAAGCAGAAAGAGTTTCTAATTATATTGCCTAAGTGGTTACACTTAGGTCCAAGTAAGGGGTGAGACCTGTTATATATGTCGAGTCCAATTACTTCTGGTATTTGTAAAGTTTTAGAGATTCTTATCAACTGCCTTTTAAAAATGTTGCATCTCTTAAGTTCTGCTAAGGGATGTCCATCTCTGTGTGCTCTAATCCTATGTAGTAGGCCGTGGTTGAGTTACATATCTCTATTCTAATCCATGGAAACATTTCCCTAGACAAGCAATACTTGAATCTATGGGCCCTTAGAAGCTTGTATTCTTGGCAGTTGAAAGTAACATAAGAACTACCACATTTGGGAGCTGGAAGCCCTGGCCATTAAGGCAGACCTCAATGAAGCTTTGGCTGAAAAAGAGGGATGTATGCTCTGATGCAGTCTTTGTAGACTTGGCAGAATTTAGAGCATTTGTGCCCTGAAGTATTTCTATGCAGACATCTAGGCTAAGTGGGCATTGCTGTTCACTTGCTTCTTTTGCAGTTATATTTTATACCATGTTATAAAATTTCAGAAAGACTCTAATCTCTCCTAGGAGAAACTTCTCTTTAAGACCATACAATCACATCATTCATTATTAATCCCAGCTGACTTCCTTGGCACTGATCATACTTTCTTTCAGTTTCACAACACTTATTTACTAGGTGTCTAGCAGCCAACCTCTCAATAAGCTTACACCTCCTCTACAAGGGAGAACAGATGTATCCAAGGGTCACTCTGGCAGTAAATCTCTGTATCAGTTATCTTGTTATGCTTGATCACAAATGAGCCTAACTTAAAGAGACATAACAAAAGTTCTTTCTTTCTTACATTGTATGTACATTATGTGTCATCTGTGGCTGTGCTCTACCTTATCTTCATTCTGGGTCCCAGACTGGTAGCATTCCCTGTTTGGGACATGGCTAGTCTCATGGGCAAGGGAAAAAAGAAGCATAATGAAATCATAAGCTGTTTCATTTTTTTCTTTTTTTTTTTTTTTTTTTTTTTGAGATGGAGTCTTGCTCTGTCGCCCAAGTTGGAGTGCAGTGGCGCGATCTTGGCTCACTGCAAGCTCCGCCTCCCAGGTTCACGCCATTCTCCTGCCTCAGCCCCCCCGAGTAGCTGGGACTACAGGCGCCTGCCACCATGCCTAGCTAATTTTTTTGTATTTTTAGTAGAGACAGGGTTTCACCATGTTAGCCAGGATAGGATGGTCTCAATCTCCTGACCTCGTGATCCGCCCACCCCGGCCTCCCAAAGTGCTGGGATTACAGGCATGAGCCACTGTGCCCAGCCCATAAACTGTTTCTTAAAGCTTCCTTTCAAAAGTTACACATTCCACTTCTACCCACATGTCATTGGCCAAAGCAAGTCACATGGCCAGGCCTAATGTCAGTGGGGGGAAGAAGAACTTTTTTTTTAATGATAATATCATCTAATACATTTTCCTTATCTCCAGACCTTATAGCTTGGATGTTAGGTGTCCCGTTAGTCAACAGAAGAGCAGATACTAGGTATAAAATGTGTGCTTCAGTGCCACATCAGCAGCCATGTGGCTTGACACAGTAGCTGTCATCTCTCTTATACCTGTCCTTAGGCAATAAGACAGTAATTCTTTTATCAGATAATAACGCCAATAGTGGTCAGTGTTCTTATCAAGAACAATTTTCCGCTTACCTATTTAATCTTTTACTTCTCCCAAATCCACGACTTCTGTGGATGCATACTTCTTAAGACACAAGTTGAACCACAAGTTTCTACTTTTGGCCTTTGTGGAATGCTCACAAGTAATGTTTTTATACATTTTATGCTTGTTAAAAGCTAGAGTTTCTGACCTGAAGTTACCTTTATCATATCTAGCTCTTTTTATCAATTCCTGTTGCCACAAATTGAGGCTTATGCTCTCTAATGTTAATTGGATTTTGTTTTCTCACCTTAAATCATATGTTCTGACAATATCTCAACCAGTTTTGGCTCTGGTGATGATCTCAGCACTCTTACTCAGATTTCCAATCCTCACTGCATCATTGAATTCATTACTTCCATGAATCGTATTTTATTTCTAAATAGATTAGGCCAATCTCTTAAGCTATTTAGGCTGGAATAGTTACTTTATCTGTGGAACTACCCAATTATCAGTTCTGGATTTTCTTGCCTACCTTATTCCTGGCTACCCGTGACTCCTCTGACAACCTTAAAAAAATTTTTTTGGAAAGATGTTTACTTTGTTATAATAGATTAATAGGTATCTTCACAGGAATACCTTGATAATATATTTTATTATATAATTGTTTATAAATTTGATAAAGTAGGAAATTAGATTTATTACTTCAAAGTTAGGAAAATTTTCATTAAAAAGTGGCACTTCCAAATAAATATGGTATTTAGAGCCTGTCTCCTACCAGACATTGTAAATATGTGGGTTGCTTGACCCTAACTTTTAAAAAAGTTATGAAACAACTTCCAAATTTGTTTTCTTGTCTAGATCACAAGAGACCCCTGGAGATGGGAAGCCTCCAGCTTTACCACCCAAACAGTCAAAGAAAAACAGTTGGAACCAAATTCATTATTCACATTCGCAACAAGATCTAGAAAGTCATATTAATGAAACATTTGATATTCCATCTTCTCCTGAAAAACCCACTGTAAGTAGCTTCTTCAGATATTCTCATTTTTATTTGAATTTTTAAAATCCTAAATGAAATTTCTTTTGTACTTTGGCAGTTTTTAGTTGTAAGTTGTATTACAGTACCTTCTCTTTTTCATCATATTCTTTGGTCCTGAATTGTGCCATGATGTATCTCAATATAAGTTCTATAATTAGAAGTGATCATGGAGTACATAGAGTATATAATTAAATAAGCTGTGGGGTTAAGGGAAGATTCCTATAAGAGATCATCTCTGATAAGAACTAGTCAGATTTTTTCCTTCAAAGAGCAGGCATAGAACATACTGAACAAACCTGCATGTTGTGCACATGTACCCTAAAACTTAAAGTATAATAATAATAAAAATTAAAAATAAAAATAACAATAAAGAACATACTGAATGAAAGAAGCCCAGGACAAATAGCCATGTGTTGTAGGATTTCATATATGTGAAATATCCAAAACAGTCAGATCTGTCAAGAGACAGTAAGTAGATTTGTGGTTGACTAGGCTTTGGAGGATGGCAGGTGGGAAAATGGGGAACGACTGCTAATGGATACAAGATTTCTTTTGGAATTGATGAAAATATTCTAAAATTAGATAATAGTGATGTTTGTACACCTCTGTGACAAGAGTAAAAATTATGGAAATATACACTTTAAATAGGTGAATGATATGTGAATTATATCTCAATAAAGCTGTTTTTTAAAATCACATATATCAAGCAGTGGAAGTATCATTTGAATTCATGTAACACTTATGAGCACCCTCTGTATACTCATACATATGAACCTGGCTTGCTATGAGCCAGATTCTACGGATATAGCAATTAATAAAGACAGACATGGCCCCTGTTCCTCCTGTCACTTAATAGTCTAGCATATGCTCGTAAGAATGCATGAGAGGATATATCTGGTTGGGCTAACTGCAAGTTATTAGTCAAAGAATTTACTCTTCTGAACTAAAATTTTTATTAGAATTATGATTTTTTACAAACTATGCATAATATAAGCATACAAAAAATATGCTTCCTATATATCTGAAGAATAGATTTTAAGTGAAGAAAATTACAAGTTATTTAATTTTGTCTTTTTAAGCCTAATGGTGGTATTCCACATGATAATCTTGTCCTAATCAGAATGAAACCTGATGAAAATGGGAGGTTTGGATTCAATGTAAAGGTAATCTGGAATTTATTTTATACTCAGTTTTTAAATTAAGATGTTCTTATTTTGGTAATATTTGACTAACATTTTACTTATTCTCTTTTTAAGGGAGGATATGATCAGAAGATGCCTGTGATTGTGTCTCGAGTAGCACCAGGAACACCTGTGAGTTATCTAAATGTTTCAAATAAATCCTGTTTTCAAGAATATGTACTTATTTTATAATTCTTACTAGTTTAAATAAAACAAGGAATTTCATCATTTCTTTTATTTATCAAGTGTCAAATGTTGGCTGAATCTCTTTAAGTTGCTGGGAAGTTAGTTTTGACTTGTTCTCTGTAAGTATTTAAAATCCCTGTTTTTATAAAGAAGCTATTTATGACTTTCATTGCTTCTAAAGCATTAACAGATTCTATCAAAATAACCCCCTTAAAAAACAAAATATAGACAGAGGTATAGTTTCGTGGGGGTTTTTGTTTGCTTGTTTATTTTTTATTAGAGTAATTTAAGTACATTATACTTGCCTATGCACTCCTTTAAAATTTTACTTTAAATGGAAATGATACTACAAGGATAATTTTTAAAACTTTTTATTATGAACATTCTAAACAAAAGTAGAGAAAACTTATATATCCATTATGATGAATCTCCTATTACTCATTGTTCAGCTTCCACAATCATGAACTTTCTGTTCATCATAGGACAATTCTTAACTAATTGTAGGTACATCATCTTTATTACTGTTTTATATAACAAGTATTGCTTTCAAATTCCTATTTATGTTGTCTACTCTGTTTACTTTCCTTTTTCTTACCTAAATGATCTTCAAGCACCTTTTATCATTTAACTGTCTCTCTGTTCTAGGAAAGGTATGAACCAGCAGCCTGAGAGAGGGAGGCCAGCTATGCTTTTTTTGGTGCTTTGCAGCAACCTCAAAGTTGGTTTGAAAATCACAATTGAGATTGATCAAGGATATCATGTTATGTGGTTTTGGTTCTGGTTTTTAAGGACCTTGTTTTTTGCGAAAATAACAGGGTACTCATGGAATACCCCTGGCATGAGCATAAACACAGAATAGTTTATTTAAATATAAATACATCAGATAGCTATTGAGGTGTCACACAAAACTAAAGAGCATGAATGCAATCACACCTCTACAGGAAACTTTTAAAATCATCGACTTTTCTGCTTTTCATCTGTTTCTTTTTATGTGATTGTTTGATTCCTCTCAGTGTGAATGAATTTGTACATTGAATCAGCCTACCTCTCAAGCCACTCCAGATAAACACTCCAGTCTAAGTAAAAACAGTGTACTTAGTAGCAGCTTCAAGCAGAGTTTTGTAACACCACTACCACACACACACACACACACACACACACACATCAGATTGTGACTCCTAAGTCTCCACTAAATAGAAATTGTGTAACTACCTACTGCTATTGTGATCCTCAATCCATGTAGTAGGATGTGACTACTAATAACTTCCAGGTTTGTATATTACCAGCTCAGTAGCCCACAGGGACCTCTCAGTCTAAATTATAAACTCCTGGGATGTAAACCCTTAATAGACCCAGCGTGGATCCTATTTCCTTATTTGAAAAAAGTCCGTTGTGACTGGGGGACAAGACCGGGGATATTATGTATAAAATGACTCCTGGGGACATACTATTAATATGTATGTAAAAGATGGGGACAAAGATGGTAGAGATAATCCAAAATTATTTATTTTATATATATTTGATGGGAAATATGAATATGATTGGGACTGCAGATGAAGGGATGAAGGATTGATGAATTATCTATCATGTACAAAGTTAATAGATAATATCTAAAACAGAAAAGAATAACAATAGAGAGATGTTAGAGATGCAGAGGTAAATACAGAAAGATATATCTAAAGTGTTGAAAAAAGTTGCCTCTAGAGATGGGGAGGTGGTAGGGAGGAACACAAATAGTTTCTTAACAGTCTTATAAACCTAGTCAAATCTTTTAATGGTGTGATTTATAACTTTGCTAAAAACAAAAATTTAAGACTTAAAAAAAAAGCAGTTGTATATCTTTTGGCCTGACAGTTTCACATTTAGGAATTTCTCCTAATGAAATAGTTTGACTAGGGAACAAAGAGTACTTACACAGGGATATTAATTATATGGTTTATAACAGTTTAAAGTGGAAAAATAATCAAATGTGGACTAGGGAACAAAGAAATACAAGGATATTAATTACAGTATGGTTTCTAACAGTTTAAAATGAAAAATAATCAAAATGCTCATCGTTAAAGTTGGGGAAACAAGTTATATGTTGCTTTGTGTCTATTGAGATGGTAATGTAACTATATAAATATGGAAATATATCCATACGATGGCATTATGGAAAAATATATAATTTCACATATATGTTTGAACCAGTTTATTAAAATATTAGATACATAGAAAAATTCTGGAAACGTGCTAAAAAAGTTAACAGTGGGTAATGGAATTACAGGTATTCTGTATTTTTTTAATTGTCTGGATCATGACAATGAGCATATATTGCTCTTATAATTAGAAAAGATAATACACATTTCTTTATTTACATGACAGTTGTAATAGTCAATGACTCACACGCATAAAAAAAGTATTCATTTTTCTGAGCAATGAATATGGATAGTTTTCAATTAAGTCAAGGATTCAGAGAATATTCTATAGATATATTCATTTCCAAACAGAATTCTAAGACTGTTAAGTTCTCTTTTTAATCTGTACATATTGTTGGTAATTTTTCCCTTCTGCCATGTAGAACTATGTTCCATAAATATTGGCTGGAATTTAGAGCAAATTAAAACATAGTCATTCTATTGGGGGAAAAAATTAAAACAATAGGAATTTATTATTTTTGTATTATTTTGTTAATTTAGAGATCACCACAACCTTCTAATTGGAAACCACAGTTTAGGCAATCGGGGGAAAAGGAAAAGGTTTCTGTTTTTGTATGAATACATAATAGTTGTACATGTTTATGGGATTCAAATATTTTATTGTCATTTTTTATATTGGACATCTTCTGAAATGGATAAAACAACTCCCAATTAAAGTTATGATTCTCTTTCTGTTTGATAATCTTAGCCAAAAGCCGTTGCTGCAACAAAACTCATTTTAACGTAGTTTATTGGCCGGGTGTGATGCTCATGCCTATAATCTTAGCACTTTGGGAGGCTAAGATGGGAGGATTGTTTGAGCTCAGGAGTTGAAGACTACCCTGGGCAACATAGTGAAGCTTTGTTTCTACAAAAAAAATTTTTAAATTCACCAGATATGGTGGCACACGCCTGTGATGCCAGCTACTCCAGTGGCTGAAGTGGGAGGATCACTTGAGCCCAGGAGATCGAGGCTGTAGTGAGCTATGATCACACCACTACACTCCAGCCTAAGCAACAGAGCAAGACCCTGTCTCAAATATATAGCAAGACCCTGTCTGAAATACACACACACACACACACAGAGCAAGACCCTCAAACATATATTTGAGCAAGACAGGGTCTTGCTCTGTATGTGTGTATATATACACACAAACAGTTTATTTAGACTTGTCAGATCAGAATGAAATGGAAATGAAAAATTGTAACATATCTGACAAAAGGCATATTAACTATAAGAGAGTTCCCTTTAGTGATAATGGATACAGTAAGAGATTCATAGCTATCCTCTTTAACACATAGACCACCTCTTTTTTTCTGCCAACTACACTATGCACAAAATAATGTGAGGAAAAGCTCTGTCTGCTATAGCCCATTATTACATTTTCCCCAGTACCATTGGCTCCCAATTCACTATACTTCAGGTATCTCAAAGACATTTACAAAAACTTGGAACTAATTGGTATACAAAAGCATCATACTGCTAGTGCACAGAGGGAATATATGAATGTCTGTCATCTACTTCACTACATAAGTAGACAAAAAAGCAACTTGAGAGAATGAGCATAACTCTAAATTTGAACGTTCCAGATTTTAAAGCTTTGGGTTGAATTATCTCATCTTCACAACAACTCTAAGAAATAATCAGAACTTTTCATTTTCAGATGTCTTTTCAGAACTTCAGATGTCTAATTAATCATTCATTTCAGAAGCAGCAGAGTAACTTCTAGACCAGTGTTTTTTCCACTAATGACAGTGCCTTATTGGATTTTATTGACTTTGTGTTGATAAAGAATTTCAGTAGTTGTGCTTTTATTTCTTCATGCCTTTACCACAAGCAGTTCCCTTTTTTGTAAGATCCAACCCCATCATTTCCTTCTCAACCTGGCCTATCATTCCTCAAAATTCACTCTCATATGTTTTCATTGCTATGTTCCCAGAACATGTCCATATTTCTATTTCTTTTGTCTCTTTTACCTTAATCGCTGTTTGTCTTCTCACTTTGTGCTATAGTGCAAGACTATAAAAATGACCATGCAAGATGAAATTGTGCAGGATCTTGATGATTAATAGGAAAAATTATGGTTGTTCCCATGACCTTTAAATTTATTGTCAAAACATTAAGAATTTCCTTTACTGTCTCTTATAAAGGTAAAAGGAAATGAAAAAAATAGTAAAGCTAATATAGGATTTTGTATCCTGTAATTCAAAACATTAGAAACACTGAGAATTTAAATGTTTTATTTTCTTGTGAAAACTCATTATGAGTAGTTTAAACGGTGCTTGCCTCCTCCCCGTGGTACAGCTTAGAATACCAAATGAGCTTCATTTCTTGCCTTGGCAAATTGTCATAATACTGTCTACTTGACACACTTTCAGTACTTTGTCCTCTGAACTTTTGATGTTGTGAAATATCTCCAAAAGTTCCTTTGGCTGCATATCTAGAGTCTCTCCAACAACAGTGTTAACATTCCCATGGTCATCTATTGCTTCTCTGACTCTATTTATGGTCCATTCAAACTTCACCTCCAGCATTATTCACTTTGCTGCACTTTCATCTTTTGTGATCAATTTCCTCTTTAGATTTAGGTTATTCATTTTAATATGGGTTTATCACTGGGAGACTAGGAGGCAGCCCAACTACATGCTTTCCTGTCTGCACTTGAACTGAAAACAGATGACCATCAGACTTTGGAAGAACTGATGTGACTGGCCACTGATGATGATGTGTGTCTATTATTTATGTAGTGATTTTTGTGTACTTTTTACAGTTATTCACGGTAAATGCACTGTGGTAACTAAAGTTTGAATTGTATTGTTGGGGGACTGCTGTTATTTAATTAAATCATGGTAACTGAAGTTTGTATGTATCTAGACAGTGTAAAGCTAAAGCTACTTGTGTGTATGTACTTGGAAATCATCAGTCTTATTTGTAGGTCTAGGCACATAATAGGTCATCAGGAAAGAAATTGTTGCATGAAGAAGGAACAAAAATACTCTCTCTGGCAAAGCTAGATTTCTACATTTTTTAAATAGATAATAAATGAAAGATGCTTTTCTATATGTAGTTTAGTTCTCCTGCTATTGGGTCTATTAAAATAAATTCCTGTGCTCTACTTTCAGAAAGTTGCATGCCAATCTGAAACCTTATCTATATTATATTACAGGCTGACCTCTGTGTCCCTAGACTGAATGAAGGGGACCAAGTTGTACTGATCAATGGTCGGGACATTGCAGAACACACTCATGATCAGGTTGTGCTGTTTATTAAAGCTAGTTGTGAGAGACATTCTGGGGAACTCATGCTTCTAGTTCGACCTAATGGTGAGTACTCTATGTAGTACCAGATAATTTATAGTAATTTATTACTGTTCATTACTGAGCACAGCAGCCAGATTTCTGACATAAAACATAAGTCACCTAAGTTTCCTGCTCAAAGCACAGTGGCTTTCATTGACACGTGGAGCAGAATTCAAGTTCTTTGCCCCCCCACCCCTTGCTCCCACTCAGCCTTGCTTACTTTCCTCTATTCTACACTAGCTTTCTTGCAGTTACTCAGATCTTCCAATCTAATCGACTTATTAGGGTTTTTATCCTTGCTGTTCCCTGTGCTGACATACTCTTTTTGATTTTGTTATGACTTATACCTATACTTCATTCAGGTCTCTGCTCAGATATCATCTTCAGAAGGGCTTTCTCTCCTGACTACCATAGCTAAAATGGTCTCCCATTTCCCCTAAATGGTAATAGTTGTAGTACTAGTACTCAATAAATACTAGTTGAATGAATGAGTAAATTTGAACTCTGTTCCACTTTTAGAAAATGCCATAACAAGCTATAGTTAAAGTGTTTTTAAAATACTGCCTTTGTTTTCAGTATATGATGTCTACTTGCCTAATCATGTCATCTCCCAATCTGGACAGCTGACTTGTTAATTCATAGTCATAGAATTCCAGGTTTGGAGAAAACTTGAATGCCGTAAGCTCTAGCTCTTTGGCTAATTGCACGAATTTCCTCCACAACAACCTCAAGAACATTCTACCAATATAGATAGAGCACTTTGTGGCTCCTGAAACAGGTCATTCCATCTTTGGATAGCTCAAACTATAAATTGAACTAAAAGTCCATCTTTCTTCAGTCCTGCTCCTAAGTCTGTCACTCTGTGCTATGCATTATAAGTTTAACCCCCTTTCCTTCAGTTTTTTGACAATAGCTAATTTTACCAGAAACCCACCTCCCTTTCTCCAGTTTAAGAGTCCTAGAGTCTTCAGCCAGTGTTCATATGGCATTGTTTAGAGTTCCCTCAACACTTTATCAGTCTGCTCTAAGAAAAAAGTTTTATATGTCTAATATCCCAGGATTAGACATATTCTTCTGGTTTTGTTCTATACAATTTACTATTAATCATTATTTTAGCCACAGAATAATTATTGTTAATGCCATATTACCACTTGAATATGTACCATAGGAAAGTGAAATATCATTCGAATTCTACTTGTCACCACCACACCCAACCCTGCAAAATTTTGCAAGGATATTTCTTTTTTGTAAACAAAAAATAAAAAATCCTCTTTGTACCTCTTGTTCACAAATAGGCGTTTTCATTTTATCTTCTCCACTTTGTGTTCTTTTCCATTAATGGTCTAGAATTGGCTTTCTAGGAAGATTAAAAGGACTTCAACAGAACATTCTATTTTGACTTTTCAAGGAACTTGTTCATTTAGACTTGATACTTAGGTGAGTCATTAGGTGTTTTCTGTCACATACAGCTACTTAAATTTTAAACCAGGAATAACATTTTTTTCTGTATTTATTGTATTATATTTTCTCTTGATAATAGATCCTAAAGAACTCAATAATATTAGCTAATAGTTATTAAAAACTTTCTGTGCACCTAGGCTCTTTTGTATATTTTCATTTAATCCTCATAGACATCCAATGAGATTGATGAATTATCCCCATTCTAGAGCTGAAGATACTTTGACACCAAGACATTCAGTTACCTGCTCACAGATTCATGACGCCACAGAGCCAGAATATGAACAAAAATCCATATGATGGCAAAGACCCAGCCTTTTTACAATTCCAGATCTCATCCTTTTGCTTTATAGTATGAGAGGAACCCACCAGGGTCTACTTCTTGCAAAATATCTTTCTAAATTGTTTCATAGTCAAAATACGGAGCAGAACCTGCATCTGTTTTCAGTGTGGGTCTGTCTTTTCCATTCTTAAAGTTTCATATAATTAAAATTTAAAACTGTGTTTGCCAAGAATATATTTTTGTTTTTCTGATCTTTTCTCCTTTAATTCTTATTTCTTCTTAGGCAAAATGTTGTCATACCTTTTTGTCTTTTCATTCTTCATTTCAGAAATTTATTTTTCTAAAAAAATGTATAGATATTCAAGGAGGAACCAGATCTCTTAGGCAAGGGTAAAGAGGCCCCTACCTTGGCTCCATGTTTTAGAAGGCCCTGCTTTGGCTCTCTTTCTTCTCCCAGTGGAGTCATAATTTTATAGGACCAAAAGGACATGCCAAGCTGTAACCTCCCTTCCCTTTCTATACCACTTTTTTTCAAACCTCAGTTCTGGGTCCAGATAACCCTGAGCCTCTCCAGATCTTCATGGGTATTTTCCACACATCCGTTCTCTCAAGGTGGGTTCACATGGTGTGTGTATCCTAGCCCAGAAGGTGGCTAAGAGGCTACAGTTTGTGGAGGGACAGGTATAGATATATCTTGCATGTGGGCTGGGATCTTCACATGTATGTTTATAAGCCCCTATGTTAAAAAATGGGACTGAGAGTGGGTAACGGTAGAATACAGGCCTAGGATCTAGGGTCTGAATCTCCTCACATTACCATGACCATGAATTCTGGCCTAGAATTCTCATTTATAGTCTGGCCTCCCAGGTTGTTTTGTAGATACATCACAGAAAGAGGATGAAGCATATTTTGTTTAGCACTGTGTTCAAGTTTTTTGTAACTTCTCATAGTTAAACATATGGTATATAGGTCTCTATTTGTACTCTTGCCCTAGGTCCCCTACAAATTAAGAGCGGGTGTATTCACAGCTGCTTCTCAGCAGCTCTTCTTTCTTACTGTCTCTTCAAGTTATAGACATTTTCAGCAATGTAGCCAAGAACACTTCTTCCCTCCAAAGGTACAGCAAAGCCCCTCAACTCCACAACTAGTTTCTGTCCCCCCATAGTGACACCAGACTCAGATCTGGTGTAATTCTTCACAAATGAATTATTTTTTGAACAAAACATTATACAGTGTATCTGGTAAATTCCTATCGTGTGAATTCATTAAGATTTCCACGTTTTGGGGTTTGTTTGATTTTTTTTTTTTAGCTGTATATGATGTAGTGGAAGAAAAGCTAGAAAATGAGCCAGATTTCCAGTATATTCCTGAGAAAGCCCCACTAGATAGTGTGCATCAGGATGACCATTCCCTGCGGGAGTCAATGATCCAGCTAGCTGAGGGGCTTATCACTGGAACAGTCCTGACACAGTTTGATGTAAGTAATATCATTATATATTAAAAGCATTTTGCTGATATTTGCTAACTAGTTTCATAGTTTCTTAAGTGCCTAATCTGTGCATTATAATTTCTAAACTAAAATGATATTCTGAGAAATGTTTGACATAAAGAGTTCTAAAATGCCAAGTTTTAAAAATTGCTCCCAAAATACTAGCTATGGTTATATAAATAGAATATGTTTTAAAAAGAGGGATAAGGAAATTTTATACATATGTCATCAAACTAAATTTTTTTCTATAGTTAAATAGCTGTTTTTTTGAAAGGTGGCAGATGAAGATAGGCTATTATATACTTTAAAATCCTGAGCTTGGCCAGGTGTGGTGGCTCACGCCTGTAATCCCAGCACTTTGGGAGGCCGAGGCGGGCGGATCACAAGGTCAGGAGATCAAGACAATCCTGGCCAACACGGTGAAACCCCGTCTCTACTAAAAATACAAAAAATTAGCCGGGTGTGGTGGCAGGTGCCTGTAGTCCCAGCTACTCAGGAGGCTGAGGCAGGAGAATGGCGTGAACCTGGGAGGCAGAGCTTGCAGTGAGCTGAGATCGCGCCACTGCACTCCAGCCTGGGCGACAGAGTGAGACTCCATCTCAAAAAAATAATAAATAAATAAATAAATAAATAAATAAATAAATAAATAAAATCCTGAGCTAAAGGAAAATAACTTTTATTTTTGAAGTTTATACCTTGTCATTTAATCTTTGTTTATTTTTCATTGGTGCAATCTTGAAAACTGGAAAAACCAAAACTTTCAGACAGATCATTATATCCAATGAACTAGAATGCTTCTTCAGTGCTTATAATGTGCATTTTGACCCACGATCACCCAGTGGATTTTGAAATGTTTTATTCAGACTATATCAACCTAATTTGTTTAAATTAATAAACCTGAATTTTTTTTTTTTTTTTTTTTTTTGAGAAGCGGCCTCTCACTATGTTGCCTAGGCTGATCTCAAATTCCTATGTCCAAACAATCCTCCAGCCTCAGCCTCTCAAGTAGCTGGAATTACAGGCATGCACAGCCATGCTAGGCTCCCTGGATAGTTTTTAATGTGTTTTTAGAAATGACCATCATTAATATTTGTTGTTCTGACATATATGTTATAGGTAAGTGTTTAACTATAAAACATTTAGGATATGTCTGTTTTTGTTCAAAAGTTCTTAGTTCATAGACTGTAAACACCTCCAAACTAAATGAAAGTTAAATGTTTTCTGCAGATTTGCTACTCACAACTTCAGGTGCTCCTGCTGTAAGCAGAATTGGTTTCACTAGTTTTACCACTTTTCAAAATATGACACATAATTTATGTTAGAAACTGAAGAATTCAGCTTTGCAAATCTGGTTCAGTACTCTACTAGACTATGGTATATCATTGTATAGATGACCTATTCAAAGGCAAAGAAACCTGTTTCCTGTTAGTGTAGAAACAAGTCTGGTAAACAAAAGAGAAATTGTTTATGGCTTTTGTTGGAATTGTACCTTTTTTTTTTTTTTTTAGCAACTGTATCGGAAAAAACCTGGAATGACAATGTCCTGTGCCAAATTACCTCAGAATATTTCCAAAAATAGATACAGAGATATTTCGCCTTGTAAGTATCTTATTGTCTCTGTTAAATTTAATCTTTTAAACATAACTTTACTAAAACATTATTTCTTTTAAATTTTTTTAGATGATGCCACACGGGTCATTTTAAAAGGTAATGAAGACTACATCAATGCGAACTATATAAATGTAAGTTTATTCTTATTATGCCTTTGCCATTTGGAAAAATACGAGCCACTATGAACTTTGAGGTTCTTTTTGTTAAAATCCTGACCTGGATAGAATATTAAAACTTTCAGCTATGAAAAATATTATTGAAGTAATATTAAAGAAAATATTTTGGTACTTGTGTATTAATACAGGTAGAGCAGTGGAATGGAATAGTCCAGTTCATAAATAGACTTAGATACTAGAATTTTGTTTATGGTAGAGGTGGCCTTTTAGATCATTGGAGATAGACTATCCAGTGAATGGGTGGTTGGGTCAACTGTCTAGAACAGGAGCCCCCAACCCCTGGGCCATGGACCAGTAATTGTCTAGGTTGCATGCTCATTATGAAAATCTAATGCCTGATGATCTGTGGTGGAACAGTTTCATCCTGTAACCATCCCCACCTCCCACCCTCCCAACCCCACTCCATGGAAAAATTGTCTTCCAAGAAACCAGTCCCTGGTGCCAAAAAGGTTGGGGACCACTAGTCTAGAATACGTCATTGTAAAGAGGCATTTTTTTTTCTTACCTGGAAAAAAAAATTACTATTTTTTTCTTAACTCTGTAATTAGAAAATTTCAAATGTACAAAATTAAAGCAAACCGTAAAATCAACCTTCATGTACACATCACTCAGTTTCAGCACTTGTCAACTGATGACAAACTTGGTTTCACCTTTACCAGGTTCTTTTGAAGCAGATCTTTATATCATATCGTTCATCTATAAATACTTTACCTCTACTCACTCTTGATGCCAACATGTATTTCAAATATATCAAAATGTAATTTTTAAAGTGGAATTATGAAATTATTTGAAGGAAATATGTGAAAATTGTTTAAAATCTCAAGGGGAGGTTTTTTAAGCTTAGATACATGTCTAAGCTTAAAGAGATGAATTTGACAAGGTAAAATTTGTTATTTTTGGTATGCTTAAAAACTACTAAAATCAAATGACAAATGGAATTTTTTAAATACTAGAAAAAGCTTATTTAATATACAAAGAGCTTCATAAATGAATAAGAAAAGTAAGCCTCGGCAACATATTGAGACCCCATTTCTCGAATAAAAATAAAAATATAAAAATATAAAAATTAGCAGTCATGGTGGTGCATGCCTGTTGTCCCAGCTACTCAGGAGACTGAGGTGGGAGAATTGCTTGAGCCTGAGAGGTTGAGGCTGCAGTGAGCCATGATCACATGACTGTCACTGGGTGACAGAACAAGACCCGTCTAAAAAAAAAAAAAAGAACAATGAAAATAATGGATGAAGGACATGCAAAGACAATTCATAGAAAAGGAAATTATGCAAATGACATTTTTAATAGTCATTTTTAAATTTATACAAAAGTAGAGAGAATAGTATAAAAGAGTCCCCCCATACCTCTTACGCAGTTTCAAGAGCTATCAACTAGTGGCCAATCTTAGCTAAATACTAACCTCCAAATTATTTTTAAGCCCAAATATATCACTGTATATGTCAGTTGAGTTAATTCTCACCATTCGATGTTGTCATGCTCTAGAAAGTCTTTGTACATGCTAAATTAGAGACTATTTAATCATTGCTTCTAGGGAAAATACAGGGTTAGGTTCCCCCAGGCCAAAAGTCACAACATTTTAATTAGCTGATCAATACATACTGTTGTTTCTGTTTAAAGACACTTTATTTAATATATAGTGCTGATTCATTAACATTTAACTCATAGTCAACAGCACTATAACTCATGCCTCAAGGAAGCTTATCTAACACACATATTTTCTCCATGAGGTATATCACATCCTTCTTGCACTTAGAAACACTAGTCAGCACTTTAAAACTACACTTGGGGGTCAGTTTTAAACAGCAAAATCACCAGTAAAAAAACCCAAAAGGTAAAAAGTAAGGCACTACATAGAATGCAAAAAGGCCACTTGTTTACAGTATGAGAGCTAAAACAAAATGAGTTGGTTTGTTTGATCTCACCTGGAAATGTGCATGTCTTCAGATGACTCAAATTTTTCACTGCTCTAAGTATGTCTACTAGATGACCAAGAAATCCCTGCAGCTGTTTTGAGGGTTATGAATAAATTTTAGCAAGTAGTCAAATTTGCAAATAGAGAATCCTTGATGGAGGATTAGCTACTTAGGAATATATCTCTGATAAGGCCTTTTTTTTTTTGGTAGCAAAACCACAATACTATTTTAACACTTAGAAAAATAATATCAGAGTTAAATGAAAAATACGTGCAGTTTACAAAAAGAAAAGTGCAAATGAAAACTTCAAGGAATTACTATTTCACCTGAGATTGAAAGAGCAAAAGTTTGGTAATACTACATGTAGGTCCACATCCTTTATGTGAAACCTTAGGTTAAATATACTATGGGGCCAGGCGCAGTAGCGCATTCCTGTAATCCCAGCACTAAAGAGAGGCATAAGCTGGAGGATAGCTTCAGCCCAGGAGTTTGAGACCTGCCTAGGCAACATTAGGAAGACCTCATTCTCCACATAAAGGGGCAGTGAGTGGGAGGGTGTAGAAAAATATGCTTTGGGATTCCGAATTTTTGGAATTTTGAAAGGGTATTTAGTACATATACTATAATAAGTAGCATCGCTGGCAGGCTATGGGACAAGTGCTCCATAATCAATATATCTGAATAGTTAACAGCAAACTATAGATATTCTCCCTAAGTAAGACTAATAAAGAGTGCAAATAGTCTTAGGTCAGTTCAGGTCAGATTTTGCTGTCAAATGAGCACAGGTTGGGGCAAGTTTACAGAAATAAAAAACATGAGGGCCTTAAATCTGCATTAAATATTTTCTTGTATATTTATACAGTAGAGCCATTTAAAAGAATGAAATTTTATTTACTCATCAAACATCATCTTGAAGATGAAGTAAAAAAGACAAGCAGAACAACATTATATATATAGTATACTACCATTTTTAAGCAACAGTTTTACAGAAAAGTGGGAAGTTGCATATATGTTTATATGTTGTATATAGAATATCCCTGAGAAGGCTATATGACAAACAGAAAAAGATTACCTTCCTGGCTGCAAACTAGAAGCTGAAATGGGAGAAGAGACTTTCTTTATTCACTCTTTGTTATTCTTTGAATTGTCATGTGCATATATCACCTTTTTAAAAAAAATTTAATCTCAAAATGTAGTAGGATAATGACTGATGACTCAACTTTCCCAAATACTATCTTACCTCTTTCTGAAAATTATGAATTTAAAATATTCTGATACCCTCTAAAGTTACTTTATATGTAAAAATTCAAGCTAAAACCAATGGCAGAATTTTTGTTCCTCACAAATTTTACCAATAAACTATTTACAGATAAGTATTTTTTATTTCTTTACCAAGTCTCTGCCTCTGAAACAAAATTCTGTGTTAAGCTGCTTTTAAAAATCATAATCGGCCGGGTGTGGCTCACACCTGTAATCTCAGCACTTTGGGAGGCCAAAGCAGGAGGATTGCTTGAGCCCAGGAAAATATTTAAATTCTTATTTCCACTAATTAAAAGATAAATACATGTAACTGTTGAACATTGCCATGAAATTTCTTCTACAGATAAAATAAGAAATTGTTAATAAAGATTTGTTTTACTGACGGCAGTTTATTGAGGTTAGTTGTATTCACTATAACAGTTAGTGGATGATTTTCCTATTCCTGATTACTGTAAAAAGTAATGCAAAACATTTTATTTTCATGCCCTTTTCTTTTTAGATGGAAATTCCTTCTTCCAGCATTATAAATCAGTACATTGCTTGTCAAGGGCCATTACCACACACTTGTACAGATTTTTGGCAGATGACTTGGGAACAAGGCTCCTCTATGGTTGTAATGTTGACCACACAAGTTGAACGTGGCAGAGTAAGTCATAGTTGAATCTTACACATTGCTTGGACTTTTTTCAAATTATACTGCACATATGTAGTCAAAATATTCATATTTATTTAAGCCTTTGTAACCTTTAATCTTCTTTTCTTGTGGTTTCTTGTTTTAAATCATCATGTTTAAGTGCATAAAACTGTGACTAACACATAAATAAATGTGACATAAGTGTTAGCCATTACTGTCATTGTTATTTAAAGGGATTAATATACATTTGTTAAGGGTCTTGTGTCTAACGTATATACAGAACTCTACAGTAAAATAAATAATGCAATTTAAAAATGGGCAATGGATCTGAATAGACAGTTCTCCAAAGAAGATATACAAATGGCTAAGAAGCACACGAAAAGGTGCTCAACATCATTATCAGGGAGATGCAGATCAAAACCTTAATGAGACTTTATATCCTAGAGGATGGCCAAAATAAAAAGGACGTATAAAAACAAGTTCTAGGGATGATATGGAAAAAACAGAACCCTCCTATTGTGGGTTTGTAAAACCATCCAGCCATTTTGGAAAACAGTCTTGTAGTTCCTCAAAGAGTTAAACGTCGAGTTGGTATAACTTAGTACTTCCATTCCTAAATCCAAAAGAGTTGAAAAGGTCTGTCCACACAAAAATTTGTACATGAGCATTCATAACAGCATTATTTATAATGGCCAAAATGTAGAAACAACTCAAATATACAAATAAAATGTGGTATAGTCTTATGGTTGGATATTATTTGGCAATAAAAAGGAACGAAGTAGTGATACATACTACAGCATGGGTAAACCTGGAAAACACTTAGCATAGTGAAAGAGGTCAAAAAGACCACATAGTGTATGATTGCATTTATATGAAATGTCCAGGATAGGCAACTCTGTAGAGACATGAAGTAGATCAGTGGTGGTCTAGATCTGGGGTAAGGATGGGGGAACGGATGAGGAAGAATGAACAATGACTACTAATTGGTATAGGGTTTATTTTGGGTGTAATGGGAATGTTCTAAAAGGGATTGTGGTGATGGTTGCACAGTTCTGTGAATATACTGAAAACTATTGTATACATTAAACGAGTGAACGGTATGGTACATGAATTACTTGTCATTACAGCTGTTTTAAAAAATCTTAAGATTTAATGAGGATTTTTGCTGCCTCAAAATATAGCCAGATTACTTACTATTAAAAAGGGAAAAAAGTGACAAAGAAAAAATGTCGGCTGGGCGCAGTGGCTCACACCTGTAATCCCAGCACTTTGGGAGACGGAGGCAGGTGGATCACCTGAGGTCAGGAGTTCGAGACCAGCCTGACCAATATGGTGAAACCCCGTCTCTACTAAAAATACAAAATTAGCCAGGCTTGGTGGCACATGCCTGTAATCCCAGCTACTTGGGAGGCTGAGGCAGGAGAATCGCTTGAACCCAGGAGGCAGAGGTTGCAGTGAGCCAAGATCGTGCTATTGCACTCTAGCCTGGGCAACAAGAGCAAAACTCCATCGCAAAAAAAAAAAACACTAGTCAGCAGATCGAGATGAAATTTATTAAATTTTTCTTGTAACTTTTATATGTTTGAAATTTATTAAAAAAACATTTTTAAAAATTGGAGAACATGAATCCATATGTATATAATTTTATTTATTATTTATTTATATCAATATCAGGTTAAATGTCACCAATATTGGCCAGAACCCACAGGCAGTTCATCTTATGGATGCTACCAAGTTACCTGCCACTCTGAAGAAGGAAACACTGCCTATATCTTCAGGAAGATGACCCTATTTAACCAAGAGGTAAGAAGGCAGGATATCTGTTCATTAGAACTGTTGTGTTCAGGGTAAAGACTGAAAGCTGAAAATGTTTTTAGTTTGAGTATTGGTTGCTAGGAAATACTATAAGAATTATTGAATTATTTATCTGCTTTAATGGGGTACTTTGGAATTTTATTAAGAGTATTATCCTATTCTATTATAAAATTAATGTTTTTCTTTAGTTTCTATGACTAAATATGAATGGTCAGTGAAAAAGTAGTCTGGTAAATAATACTACTGTTACTACTTTGCTTATTCAGAACAACTGTTTAGATATGTTTCATTATAAAAAAAACTTTTACTCCAAGTAGTATCAGTACAGTATTTGGGTGTGTCTGTGGAAATGGAAAAAACAATTGAAAGCTATTAAATTATTTTCCTTTTTTAAAAGAGTAGAGGAGAGCAACTTCACAGTCCCCTACCTATTAAGAAGGAAAAGGTTGTAACCAGGACCTTCTGACAGCAGATGGGGTGTAGATTTCTAATTGCCAGCTCTTAATTTTGCCTGAGTCAGTCCTCTTGGCTTCAAATGAAACTGATTAATAAATGATGGCTCAGTATCCCAATTGGAAGATGTATGTAGAGAGCGTCATGCTGCCAGTTCTGTCAGGCTGCTAGAGACAGTGCACCCTACTTTCTCTGCCTGCAGCTAGCTATCCCCCTGCCACCATCTTTGGTTTTGAAAGGGACTAAAAGAATAACTGCTAGAGAAGAGCAAATAGCCCAAGCTATGAGTGCCCAGGACTATCCCATCAATGGTCAAGCCTTTGGAAATGAGAACTCCCCTCCAACCCCAAGAGCATGATTAAAGGAAACCAGAGAGACAGAGTCTTACTGACGAAAAGGGAAGAAGCCAGAAGTTGTGCTGATTTATAGAAAAGGAATCTGGCATTGAATAAAGCTAAAATGACAAGAATTTTAAAATTTCAAAATTTTATGGGCTAGAGTCCATCAGAATGAATTTAGGGTTTGGGGACATATACTGTGTAGCTCATGGTCTAATGTAACAGGTCAAGCCAATATGATATTTCTTCATTTTCTCAAATAGATAATGAAAGATAGGCTACGTATGTTTATATAAAATAATGTCTATCTTTAGCATAGTCTCTATTATACTCCACCTGTAGATTATCCATGACAGTTTTATATACCATAGTGGCTTTTCTTTACACACCCTGAGTACATTAGAACTAAGACATGAGTTAGTTTCTAAAGTTTGAGCCAAACATAATTGGGAAAATGAGTTCGCTCCCATAAATACATACATACATGGATGGATTAATGATAGCAGATACTACCTCAAGTCTTGAATACCTTTTACTTTTACTCTTCAGGAAGCTCTCTTCAGTGTAAATGGCAATAACCATAGTTATAATTATAGTGTTGAATGACTATAGCAACCATTTATTGAGTATATGGTGCCAAGTAGCTGATGGGGTGATTTACAGGTCCTCTCATGGAGTCTTTTTAGCATAAGACTGATCCTTTAAAGTATAGATGTTATTTCATTTTTCAGTTGAAGGAAATTATTTTCTGAAACACTGAATGCTGTAACTGGCAGAGTCAAGATTTGAACCAAGATGTATCTAAACGCAATACTCTTACTGTCTCCGTTATACCAACCTTGGCTCTCCAAAAAGAATTAATCCCACTGATTTGACTTTGTGTTTTTATTAACTCCAATTTTTAATATACATTTATCTTGAGATTTTATTTTTCTGATTTCCATAATTTCATCTGCATTGTGTGAGGATTAGGTCAGCTTTGTTCACAAAAAATGTTTTTTACTTTACCATTTTTGCTCACCCAAGAATTCATTAGTTTTTTTTAAGCATTTCTCTGGGTCTTAATTTGTTTCTACCTATGTACTTGATTATCATCTTTAAAATACTTTACACATATAGAAATTGAGTTATAAAAAGAGTAGTAATGTAATTAGCCATACTTAAATGGATACAACTATTTCTGTAAAATAGTTTCTTTCCTTTTTGTTGAAATTTTGCATTTTAATGAGTTTATACATAACTTTTGGTGGAGAAGAGGAGTGGTTGGTTTTGCTTTCCTTCTAAAATTCCAATGACATGAATATATTTTAAAGATAATGTCATAGTACCAACAGGTTCATATTCCTGCTGTGCAATAACAGACGAATACACTGAGACAGCAGGGATGCAGCAGATAAAGAGTTTAATGATCGCAGGGTACCGAGCAAGGAGATGGGAGGAGACCCTCAAATCATCTCCCCAAGGAGATGAGATCTGGGATGGGGTTTTTAAGGGGATGGTGGAGAGCAAGGGGCTGGGAAGTTAAGATCGTTGATTGGTTGGGATAAGGTGGATGAAATCATCAGGAGGTGCATTCTTTGGTGAGTTAGCTTACCTCAGGGTCCTTTAGACCAACTGAGTCAGTAGTTTCATCAGTATGCAGGACCCAAAAGAATGTCTCAAAGGGGAAATCTAACATTTCATAATGTCCCAAGTTGTTATCTGTAGAGCAGTTAAGGGGAACTATAATCTTGTAATGGGTCTGTGGGATTCTGAGGCAACAGGCACCAACCAACTATGAGGACGCGGGTCAGAGAGCAGCTGACCTAGTGATCAATGCTAAGTGTGCTGCAAGCTGTGTTTAGTTTTCTATCTCCCCCTCCCTTCTTTCCTGATGAATTTTATGAGGTTTGTAGGGACAATTTCAATAATACATAAGTCAAGGTGCATAATTTTTCATTTGTTCTTAGAAAAATGAAAGTCGTCCACTCACTCAGATCCAGTACATAGCCTGGCCTGACCATGGAGTCCCTGATGATTCGAGTGACTTTCTAGATTTTGTTTGTCATGTACGAAACAAGAGGGCTGGCAAGGAAGAACCCGTTGTTGTCCATTGCAGGTACTCTGTTTTCCGTCTTTTATGAGTGTATAGCTGAACAGATACGTCATTTTTAAAAGAGAGTACATATTTTGTCCTTATGGTGTTATTGTCACTGTAATAATTAGAACTCAAAGCTATGCTCTGAAGGTAGGAGGCAAAGGATATGTTCTAACATATGATTGGCAGTAACTTTATCATAAGATATAAAAATAATACTGATTGCACTGATTCTTAGATGCTCCTCCTTTTCATATTTTAACACCTCTGAAATTGGTCTTAACAATTTACAATAGATTTGATGAAGTACAGTACTGTGGGCTGTCTTAGTCCATTTGTGCTATGTAACAAAATATTCGAGACTGGGTAATTTAAAAGGAACAGAAATGTATTTCTTATACTTCTGGATGCTGGGAAGTTCAAGATCAGGGTACACACAGGTTCTCATGAGGGTCTAATGAGGACTGCTCTCTGCTTCCATTATGGCACTTTGTTGTGTCATTCTCTGGACGGGATGAATACTGTTTCCCCACATGCTAGAAGGGACAGAAGGGGTGAACCCACTCTCTGAAGTCCTTTTATATAAGCGCTTTAATCCCATCAGCCCTCATGACTTAATCACCTCCAAAAGGTCCCACCTTTTCTTTTTTTTCAGTCGGAGTCTCATACTGTCACACAGGCTGGAGTGCAATGGCATGATCACAGCTCACTGTAACCTCTGCCTCCCAGGCTCAAGTGATCCTCCTGCCTCAGCCCCCGGAGTAGCTAGAGGTACAGGTGTACCACCAAGCCTGGCTAATTTTTGTATTTTTTTGTAAAGATGGGTTTTTGCCACGTTGCCCAGGCTGGTCTCGAACTCCTGGGCTCAAGGGATCCACCTACTTCGGCCTCACAAAGTGTTGGGATTACAGGTGTGAGCCACCGCGCCTCACCGGTTCCACCTCCTAATATTATCACATTGGTGATTAAGTTTTAACATAGGAATTTTATGGGACACATTCAGACAACAGCTTAGGCATTAGGTTACAGCCTAATATTTAGATTCCCTTCCTTCTTCCTTGCCTGTGGCTCCTCTTAGGACATTCATTGAGTACTCCTACCTCTCTTGAAGTGACCCTACCAAAGGCTTTGCTACTTCTAAAAGCTTTAAGTAAACAGCAGGCTACTCTTTCTTTCTTTGAGACCCAAGTCCCCTTCTGCCCTCAAAGGGCCAAATACAGTGACTTCAGTCTTTACTGCTACTGATCCAGAGATTAGGAGACAGTTGTTCCTCCCTATTACGGCCACCTTTGTTAAGTGATTTATTCAGAGGATATCTTGAGGTATCTCTTTATACTTAGACTTTCCAACACACTTTAAGAGTAGAGTTTCAAATCTTCAAAACAGATTATAGACCAAAATTTGAGAGGTAAAGTAGCAAGAATGGTGAAACACCATTTTATATCCCAAGTCCCTGATAACTACTGCATTCGTGTTCACAGATTAGAAGTTAAAAAGTTGTTCTTGGCTATCCCAGTGGTAAAGTTTAATTTAAAATCAGACCGGGAGCGGTGGCCCATGCCTGGAATCCCAGCATTCTGGGAGGCTGAGGCGGGCAGATCACCTGAGGTCAGGAGTTCGAGACCAGCCTGACAAACATGGTGAAACCCTGTGTCTACTAAAAATACAAAAAAAATTAGCCAGGTGTGGTGGTGCACGTCTGTAATCCCAGCTACTCGAGAGGCTGAGGCAGGAGAATCGCTTGAGCCCAGGAAGTAGAGGTTGCAGTGAGCCGAGATCGCACCACTGCACTCCAGCCTGGGCGTGAGCGAGATTCCGTCTCAAAAAAAAAAAAGATATATTTGAGTTTAAAATATTGTTGTCTTTTGTGCATTCGTTGATGGTTTATTATTGTCATTCTATCATTTTGCATTTTAAGGAGTTGCTCCAGTAAGCTTCTATTCCTTGTTCAGATTTTAAAAACTTAAATTTAACTCCTTTAAAATAGTATTTTTCCAACTAACGTGGTAGATGGAAGATACAGAACAAGTAATTGAGTCAGTGCATTTTTTTTCTGTTTTCAAAATATTCTGTATTTGGCTTACTACTTTTATAATTAAAATATTAAAATGATATTGTTCTTCTGTGTTATAATTCAGTTTTATGCACAAAAGCCACAAGTAGTTTAACAGAATAGTATCGGTAAGATCTTGCCTATATTTGTCTTTTTTAGTGCTGGAATCGGAAGAACTGGGGTTCTTATTACTATGGAAACAGCCATGTGTCTCATTGAATGCAATCAGCCAGTTTATCCACTAGATATTGTAAGAACAATGAGAGATCAGCGAGCCATGATGATCCAAACACCTGTGAGTACTGTACTTTATATACAAGTGTATATTCTTAACATGATGATTTTTGTTGCCAATGCATATTCTAAATCATATTTTTATCCTTTTTTATCTTTTCAATTCCTTGCCATGGTCAAATAACCTCTAGCACAGGGGTAAGCAAACTACTGCCCACTAGTCAAATCTGGCCTGCCACTTGTTTTTGTAAATAAAATTTTAGTGGAACACAGCCATGCTCATTTATCTATGCCTGCTTTGATATTATAGCTGCAGAGTTTAGAAGTTGCAACAGTACCATATGGACTGCTATTTCTAAAATATATTTAATATCTGGCCTTTTACAGAAAAAGTTTTGCTAACATGCAAGTTGCCTGGCATATTAAATCTTGAGTGCTTAAACAGGCACAGAGGAACTTGCTTTGTATTATTTAGTCAAGCTGAATGCTGAGAATGATAGTATCCCTGAACTGGAGAGTCTTGATAGACCTGCTTTCTGTGAAATAGCTGTGGTGAAATTGTTTTTCTTTTTACATAAAAACTTGCATTGCAGCGGCCGGGCGCGGTAGGTAGCTCACGCCTGTAATCCCAGCACTTTGGGAGGCCGAGGCGGGCGGATCACGAGGTCAGGAGATCGAGACCATCCTGGCTAACACAGTGAAACCCCGTCTCTACTAAAAATGCAAAAAAAATAGCCGGGCATGGTGGTGGGCACCTGTAGTCCCAGCTACTCAGGAGGCTGAGGCAGGAGAATGGCGTGAACCCGGGAGGCGGAGCTTGCAGTGAGCCGAGATTGCGCCACTGTACTCCAGCCTGGGTGACAGAGTGCGACTCAGTCTCAAAAAAAAAGAACTTACGTTGCAACAACAAAAATTACAGAAATTAAGTTACTTTTTAGTGCATTCTACACTGAGTATTAATTATGCTTCAGGAGCCAAAAGAAGAATCATGGAATTTTAGTGTTAAAATTATCTTTTGCACTGATTAAGACACTGTGAAATAATAGCATTGTTGGTGGAATAGGTTACTTGAAGGAAATTGACCTATGTGATCCAGTAAGTGCCTATAATTTTTTTGTTTTTGTTTTGTGAGACAAGAGTCTCACTCTGTTGCCCAGGCTGGTATGCAATGGTGTGATCATAACTCACTGCAGCCTCAGCCTCCCAAGCTTAAGCAATCCTCCCACCTCAGCTGGGACTACAGGCATGAGCCACCACATTGGGCTAATTTTTTTTATTTTTTGTAGAGAGGGGATCTCACTATGTTGCTTAGGCTGGTCTTGAACTCCTGGGTTCAAGCTGTCCTGCCACCTCAGCCTCCCAAAGTGTTGGGATTACAGGCATGAGTCACCATGCTCAGCTTGGTTTTTAATTACAGAAAATTTCAAACATAGACAATATAATGAATATCATGTTTATACTCAGATCCCACATTTGCCATATTGTTTCATCTGGATAGCTGTTCACTTTCCCTGTATTTGAAGCAAATCCTAGATATCATATCATTTTGTTCATATTTTAGTGTGTATCTCTAAAAGATAAGGATTGATTTTCCTTTTAAATAAAACCGCAGTACAATTATCAAGAAATGTAATCAATTTCTTTTTTTTTTTTTTTTTTTTTTTTGAGACGGAGTCTCGCTTTGTCGCCCAGGCTGGAGTGCAGTGGCGCGATCTCAGCTCACTGCAAGCTCCGCCTCCCGGGATCACACCATTCTGCTGCCTCAGCCTCCTGAGTAGCTGGGACTACAGGCACCCGCCACCATGCCCTGCTAATTTTTTGTATTTTTAGTAGAGACGGGGTTTCACCATGTTAGCCAGGATGGTCTAGATCTCCTGACTTGGTGATCCACCCGCCTTGGCCTTCCAAAGTGCTGGGATTACAGGCGTGAGCCACCACACCCGGCCATCAATTTGTTAATATTATCAAATTGGCAGTATTTAAATTTCTAGTTGTTTACTAAAAACCGTCTTTTTAAATTTTATAACAGCTTTATTAAAATACAATTCACATACCATAAAATTCAGCCGCTTAAAGTATACAATTCAGTGGGTTTTGTGTATTACAGAGGCTTGCAACTATTGCTACTATATAACTTTTATTTTTATTTTATTTTTTATTTTTTTGAGACAGAGTTTCGCTCCTGTTGCCCAGGCTGGAGTGCAATGGCATGATCTCAGCTCGCCGCAACCTCCGCCTTCCGGGTTCAAGCGATTCTCCTGCCTCAGCCTCCCGAGTAGCTGGGATTACAGGCACCCGCAACCACGCCCAGCTAATTTTTGTATTTTTAGTAGACACAGGGTCTCTCCATGTTGACTAGGCTGGTCTTGAACTCCTGACCTCAGGTGATCCACCCGCCTTGGCCTCTCAAAGTGCTGGGATTACAGGCATGAGCCACCAGGCCCGGCTATATAATTTTTAAAACATCTTCATTCCCTGCCACCACCCCACCCCAAAAAACCCCAAGCTCATTAACAATTATTCCCATTTCCCCTCATACCCTCTCTAACCTCCCCCAACCCCCAACCTCCAATCTAGGCAATCACCAATCTACTTTCTTTCTCTGTAGAGTTGCCTATTCTGGACCTTTTATATGAATGAGATCATACACTTTGGTCTTTTCTAACTGGCTTCTTTTAAGTAGCATATTTAAAGGTTTATCTGTACTGCAGTATGTATTATTACTTTATTCCTTTTTCTTGTTCAATAATATTTCATTGTGTATATTTTTACCACATTTTGTTCATCCGTTAATCTGTTGATGGACATTTATTTGGTTTGTATCCACTTTTTGGTTATTATGAGTAATGCTGCCATGAATTTTTATGTGAACATACGTTTTCATTTATCTTGGGTATACCCAGGAGTGGAATTGCCAGGTCATGTTTTCATTCTGTTTAACCTTTTGAGGAACGGCCAGTTGTTTCCAAAATTTCTGTACCATTTTGCAGTTCCTCTAGCAGTGTATGTGGCTTTTGTTTTCTTCACATCATCATCAACACGTGTTACTGTCTTTTTTTATTTTAGCCATCCTGCTGGGTATGAAGTAGTATCTCACTGTGAATTTGTTGTGCATTTCCCTGATAACTAATTGTATTAGTCTGTTTTCACACTGCTACAAATAAACACTTGAGACTGGGTAATTTATAAAGAAAAGAGGCTTAATTGACTCACAGTTCCCCAGGCTGTACAGGAAGCATGGCTGGGAGGCCTCAGGAAACTTACAATCATGGTGGAAGGCAAAGGGGAAGCAAGCAGGTCTTCACATGGCCGGCGGGAGAGAGACAGAGAAAGAAGCAGGAGGTGCTGCATACTTTCAGACAACTATGTCTTGTAGAGAACTCTATCACGAGAACAGAAAGGGGGAGGTCTGCCCCCATTATTCAGTCACCTCCCACAAGGCCTCTCCTCCAACACTGGGAATTACTATTTGACATGAGATTTGGGTGAGGACACACAGCTATACCATATCACTAATGATGTTAAGCATCTTTACATGTGATAATTAGCTATTTATTTGTATATATTTTTTGGAGAACTGTTCAAATCTTTTGCCTGTTTTTGAATTTGGCCGCCATTTTATTGGCGAGTTGTAAGTATTTTTTTTATGTTTTCTGGATAAAAGTTTCTGATCAGATCTGTGGTTTGCAAATATTTGCTTCCATTTTCTCTTTCTGTTTTCTTGATTATAGTAGTTGATGCACAGAAGTTTTGAATTTGGTGAAGTCTAGTTTATCTGTTTTTCCTTTATCACTTATGCTTTTGGTATCATAGATGAGAAATTATTACCTAACCCATAAATGAGTCTACAAGTTTTATAGTTTTAGCTCTTGCATTTAGCATTGATCCATTTTGAGCTAATTATTGTGTGTGGTTTGAGGTAGGGTTCCAACTTAACTCTTTTGCATGTGGTTACCCACTTGTCCCAGCACCATTTGTTAAAATGACTGTTCTTTCCCATTGAATTGTCTCAGGGCTCTTGTCAAAAATCAGTTGAGCACAAATATAAGAGTTTATTTCTAGACTTCCAATTCTATTCCATTGATTTGTATCTCTGTTCCTATGCTAGTACTACACTGTCATCATTACTGTAGCTTTGTTGTAAAATTTAAAATCAGGAAATGTAAATCCGTAACTCTTTTTCATTTTCCAGCTTGATTTAGCTATTCTATGCCCCTTGCATTTTCATATGAATTTTGAATAAGTTTATTCTTTCTGAAAAAATAAAAAAAAAACCAGCAACCAGAATGTTCATAGGGATTGGGTTGAATCTCTAGATCAAATTGGGAAGTATTGTCATAATAGTGATATCACATCTTGCAAAGCATGAACACAGGATGGTCTTTCTGTTTATTTAGGTATTCTTTAATTTTAATTGTAGTTTTCAGCATGCAAGTCTTGCGTTTATTTAAATTTATTCCTCAGTATTTTAGTATGTTTTGGTGCTATTGTAAATGGAATTGTTTCCTTTATTAACCAATAGTTTTGTGTGTGAGAGAGTGAATTTCTTAGGATTTTCTTTTGACAAGATCATGTCATCATGTCATTTGCAAATAGATATGTTACTTCTTTCCAATCTAGATGCCTCTTTCCTTTTTCTTTGTCTTTCTTGTATAAGTATCCTGGATAGAACCTCCAGTACAATGTTGAATAGAAGTGATGAGACCAGAACACTTGTCTTCTTCCTAATCTTAGAGGGACAGTTTTTAGATTTTCACTAATTATCATATTAGCCATGGATTGTTTATAAATGCCCTTTATCAAGTAGAAGAAGATCCCTTTGTTACTTGTTCATTGAGTGTTTTCATCCTGAAAGTGTGTTCAGTTTTGTTAAGTGCTTTTCCTGCATCTGAGATATCATGTGGTTTTTGGTCTTTTATTCTATTAAGGTGGTATATGACATTGATTTTTAGATGTTAAATTGACCTTGCATTCCTGAGATAAATCTCACTTGGACATAGTATGTAATGCTTTTTATATGTTGCCTGATTTGATTTGCTAGCATTTTCTTGAGGTCTTATATCTATATTCTTACATAATAGGATTTTTAAAAAGATTTTAATTATGGCAAAATACACATAACATAAAATTTACCAGCTCAACCATTTTTAAGTATACAGTTTAGCAGTGTTAAGTATACTTACATTTTTTTGCAACCAATTTGCAATTTCTTGCAAAACCAAAACTCTATATCCATTAAAAAAAACTCCCCATTTTCTCCTCTCCTGAGCCCTTGGTAACCACCATTCTACTTTCTGTTCCTATGAGTTTGACTACTCTAGATACTTTACGTAAGTAAATTCATGTATTTGTCTTTTTCTGACTGGCTTATTTCACTTAGATTAATGACCTCAAGATTCATCCAAGTTGTAGCGTAAGTCAGAATTTCCTTCCTTTCTAAGGGTGAACATACCACATTTTCTTTATTCATTTATCTATCAGTGGACAGGGTTGCTTTTGCCTTTTGCCTATTGTGAATAATGCTGCTAAGAATATGGGTGTATAAAGATCTCTTTGAGACCTTGCTTTCATTTCTTTCAGGTATATACCTAGAAGAGGAATTCCTGGATCATAGCACACATGGGCTTTTGGTTTTGTTTTTATAATTTGTTTAAAATCAGAATTCAGATATAGTCTACACATTTTGATTGGTTTATATGTCTCTTAAATCTCTTTTAATTGAAAGCTTCCTCCTTCATTTCTTGTTTTTTTTTTTTTTTTTTTTTTTTTTTGGTAATTTACTTGATAAACGAATCAGGTTGTTTGCAACATATTTCTGACGGCGTGAATTTTGCCAATTTACATCCTCAAGGTGGTGTTCTCTGTGTTTCCTAAAAGTGGTACATGTATGGCTTGAGCATCTTAGGTCATATATTCTTTCTTCAAACGCACATAATGTCTGATTGTCTTTTTTTTGTGAAGTTAGCACCCTTGAGTAATCAATCCCTGCATTCATTAATTCATTGGATTTGCAAAATAATGATATTCTAATTCTATCATTCTGTCTTTATTAGCTGGACTACTTCTTTAAAGAGAAACTTCATATCTACTATTTGGTTAGCAAGTGGTATAGCATGTGTAGGAAAGGCAAGAAAAACATTTGATTCTTTCCCTTTATCTATAAGCTTTCAATATAATGAATCATTTACTAGCTTCCTCCAAGGGTGATGACTTAAATTTATTTGGGTATTATTTTGAAATCAAGGATTTAAACATAGTTGATGTGTTTTAGCCCATTGTAGTTTTTGTTGTTGTTTTGTTTTGTTTTGTTTTGTTTTGAGATGGAGTTTCGCTCTTGTTGCCCAGGCTGGAGTGCAATGGCGCAATCTTGGCTCACTGCAACCTCCGCCTCCCAGGTTCAAGCAATTCTCCTGCCTCGGCCTCCCAAGTAGCTGGGATTGCAGGCGCCCGCCACCAGGCCTGGCTCATTTTGTTTTTAGTAGAGATGGGGTTTCTCCATGTTGGTCAGGCTGATCTTGAACTTCTGACCTCAGGTGATCCACCCGCCTCGACCTCCCAAAGTGCTGGGATTACAGGAGTGATCCACCGTGCCTAGCCTGTAGTTATTTTTCTTAGTGATATCCAGATTGTCCTATTTTTGGCCAGTGGGAGCCTGTTCACCTTGGCTTCTGAGTCCTTTTGTCAAGACCCTGGTAACTTTGATAGCTTTGTTGCTATCAGAAAATATATCCAGGCCCAGCTTGTACATCTTGTGCCCCTGATTTAGAATCAGTAGTTTCTCCAAGAAGCCCGGTTCTTTTTATTGAGAAACTATTTTAGGCACCAACCTCTGAGCACTAAGGACTTTTATTTGCTTGGGTTAATTTTTGTCTCTCAAAATGATAAATGGCACAACCAGTAAAATACATTTATCATAGGTTAATGCTTATGCTTCCAATACAAATTCAGGACCACAGTGTTTTTACTTAGCCTCTTTTACATCTTTAACAAGAATACTGGTTCTTTACAATATTAGCAATGAAAGACTTAGAATATCACAAATACTCCACATTACACAACTGTTTCAGAATAACAACACTACCACTATAAACAGTATGGCTAATGAAAAGAGTTTTCCTTTTTTTCACAGCTCTTTTTGCCCTTTGAGTATATTCTCCCACAGTATGCAGTCAAATTACTGAGGTGTTTGTTTGTTTGTTTGTTTATTTGCAGTATTTTTGAGACAGAGTCTTGCTCTGTTGCCAGGCTGGTTTGCAGTAGTGTGATCACCACTCATCGCAGCCTCAACCTCCTTGGCTCAAATGTTCCTCCCATCTCCACCTCCCAAGTATCTTAGGACTACAGGCACACACCACAGCACCCACCCAATTTTTTTTTCTTTTTTTGTAGACACAGGGTCTTGCTGTGTTGCCCATGCTGGTCTTGAATTCCTGGCCACAAGTGATGCTCCCACCTTGGCCTACGAGAGTGCTGGTATTACAGGCATGAGCCACCATGGCCAGCCAAATTACTGTTTTAAAGTCCCTTCAGGGATGGGTGCGGTGGCTCACGCCTGTAATCTCAGCACTTTAGGAGGCCATTGCAGGTGGGGATCACCTGAGGTCAGGAGTTCAAGACCAGTCTGGCCAACATGGTGAAAGCCTGTCTCTGCGAAAGTACAAAAATTAGCCGGGCATGATGGCAGGTGCCTGTAATCCCAGCTACTCCGGAGGCTGAGGCAGGAGACTCTCTTGAACCCGGGAGGAGGAGGTTGCAGTAAGTCAAGATTGCGCCATTGAACTCTAGCCTGGGTGACAGAGTGAGACTCCGTCTAAAAAAAAATGTCCCTTCAAATAGCTCTCCTCTATATGGTTGTCATCAACTAGATACACACATTGATTAGTTTTATGATATTGTCAATGCTTAGGGATTTTAAGATTTTTATAATTATATGCTATATTTACATTATTCCAAAGTATAAATCTAAAAAGGAAGGTATATTTAATGAAGTCTAGTCTAGTCTCTGTCCCTCTCCTGCTCCCATTTCCCTCCATCCCTTTATAAGAAACTATTTTTATTTATTTTATTTTATTTTTATTTATTTATTTATTTTTTTTTTTTTTGAGACGGAGTCTCGTTCTGTTGCCCAGGCTGGAGCACAGTGGCGCGATCTCGGCTCACTGCAAGCTCCGCCTCCCAGGTTCACGCCATTCTCCTGCCTCAGCCTCCTGAGTAGCTGGGACTACAGGCACCCACTACCACGCCCGGCTAATTTTTTTTGTATTTTTAGTAGAGACGGGGTTTCACCGTGTTAGCCAGGATGGTCTCGATCTCCTGACCTCGTGATCCACCCACCTTGGCCTCCCAAAGTGCTGGGATTACAGGCGTGAGCCACCGCACCCGGCCAAGAAACTATTTTTAAAATAATTTATTCTTCCATTGCTTTTTTTTTCTTAACATACATCAAGATAGATACTGTATTTTCTTCCCTTTCTTTTATAAAGGTAATATAATATATTATACGTACTTTACCTACCTTGCTTTTTTTACTTAATAAAATAACCTGGAATCATTCTCTAGTAGTTTGTAGACTTTTATCCCTTTTCTTCCCGACTAGCTAGTATTCCATTTTGAGAATGTACAGTAGTCACCTGGTCCCTGTTGATGGCAATTAAATTGTTTCCACCTTTTCTGTTATAAATAATTAGGCAATGAATAGCCTTGTTTGTGAATATGTGTTTTCAGTTTCTTTTTCTGGTTTATTTTTTGGATAGATTCTTAGAAGTGGGATTGCTGGGTGAAGAGGTAAATTAGGTTAATTTTCTTATATGCTGCCAAATTCCCCTTTATAGAGGCTGCAGTATTTTAACATCCCTACCAGCAACATATAAGTGAGTTTTGCCAACAAAATATATTGCCAAACTGTATTTTTTAACCAGTCTAGACTGTTAGTGAAAAATGGTATCTTTATGCAGTTTTGTTTTGCATTTTTTAAGTAAGCAAGCCAAGTGAGATGTTTGTCTTTTTTGGGGGGAGAGGGGACGGTTTTCTGACTTTTCTGATCAGTTCTGTTTTTTATATTTTATTTTTCAGAGTCAATACAGATTTGTATGTGAAGCTATTTTGAAAGTTTATGAAGAAGGCTTTGTTAAACCCTTAACAACATCAACAAATAAATAAGAAAGCAAAAAGATCTGGGATATGTGTTGGAAAACTGCTTTCCCTTATGTTCACTGTGCCATAATGCTGCTCGCAGGAAATGGCATTTTACAAAAAAAAAATGAAGAACTCAAAAAAACTTTGAAAACTTCAGCACTGTTGCACTTTATGTTTTAAAAAATGTCACTCTTTCAAAATCTATAACTCATGTATTTGAAGACTGTTTCATGCTTTGCTCCGAACAAATAGTAAATAACTGAGTATGTTCAGGGTAATTTATGAAATTTTGTGGTGGTGCCATGCAATCCCCTTTTGGTAGAATTGCCACAAACAAGGCTCAAAATTCTCATCATCTCTGTTATACACCTGTATCATGAAAGCAAAAAGAAGTAAACATCAGGAGTCAGCTCTGGTCTTTTGCAGTGGTTTGCGTACTTACTATACTGATTACCAGATTTTATTTTTAAAATTTTAGCAATATCGTTCTTAATATTAGCCAATACACTGCCTATGGATGCAGCACATTTTTCCCTGCACACCCCCTGTAGAGACCTGCCTGCTGCTCAGAAGAAGAAAGATGGAATTTGCTGTTCCCAGGAAATGCTGCACATTGTCCATTTACCAGCATCTTATAGAAAATATAAATATGAATCTACAAATTCTCTTGGATTTAATAATGTAACTTATATTTATCATAAGGTTGGCTTATTCCAAATCATGTGATTTCACATACTTGATGTAAAGGAATGCATGCATTGTGTCTTAACCCCTTAAGTGCCTTGAGACGTCCTTGTATGTCTAACGAAAAGGCACTCATTTGACCCCACTAGGAGGTATATATGTATATTGTACATTCGTATATTTTTATGCATTTTGAATAAGTTCACATTTTAAAAAACAGCTATATTGAGTGTTATACAGTCAAAGAAGGGTAAGGAAATTCTGTTTCTTACTCAGTACTCGTGATTTGCTATAAGAAGCAAAGATAATTTGTGTTCTACTGAGTGCACACTGCTGCTATGGAATTGTTCAAAATCTGCACATTCCTTTACTTGAGGGACTGAGGGGTTACGGTTTAGCAGCTCAACTTTAAAAGATGCTTTTATGCTTCAAATTTCATATTTATTTCATCCCTAACTTTAGGAAGACATCTAACATGCAGATTAATGTTAAACATATTGATAATCTAAGCTAAAGTTAGAGCAAATAATTGTGATTTATTCATGTCCATAACTAAAATATTATTCTTTAGCACTCATTTCAGTTAATATCAAGCTTTGTTCACACTGATATATTGATTGGGATTCTTCAAACGAAGAATGAAACATTATTGACTTATTTCTAAGTGTAATAACTCAATAACTAAATTGAGAATTTTCTTGTTTTTTTGTGTACAATTAAATTATTCCATTTTATATATACTTATTAAGTTATAAGCATGTTAATAAGGAGACTTTTGACTGTCCAGCCTAATGGAGGATCTGATTCCCATTAAGGATGTGGGAATTCCCGTATTTTCCTCTTCAGGTTTTTTTGTTTTTAAGTCTACAGAGAGATAGAACCTTAACATTGCCCAGTTTGATAAAAGTGAAAATTTGCTCACCTATACAAATGTTATTTTACACAATTATTTTATGTGGATTGGGGTTTTAAAAGATTCATTTCCTAGCAGTTTCTGAATATTTCTGTAAGATCTTGATAAAGTTTAGAGTCAAATGGCAGATATTTTGGAAAGCCATTTAGTATGAGGGGAAGAGTACACATTTTAAATCTTTGGTATAATCTAAACGATGTCATTTCAGACATTCAAAACTCATAATAATAAATTTCAGGAAATCAAGCTCCTAAACATTAATAGCCAAGATACCAAATAAATTATCATATTAAAATATTTAAGTTTATTTAAAGAGAGAAGTAAACATAAACTTATGTCAAAGAGAAATTCTCTTAATCTATTTCCTGACTTCACAGTCAAAACAGTATAAGATAGTGAAGTAACTTATAATCTTATTTGGTCATTCTGTTCTATAAACAGACAAATATAATTTAGGCTGCTATATGACATGATAAATTAAAAACTGAGAAAGTAAAATTATGTCGGGGTCTACACATTAAATGACTGTTTTGGCAGTTTTTCACCTGAATTTAAAAATAAAATTTGTCTGTTCTATCTGTATGGACAGAATATGACAACCATAGACCAAAAGATATCATTGTATAGATGTAAAGAGACAAAAGTCATGGTTGGCATGTTCTTTAATTTAGGGCCTTGTTTATACTTGTGAGTTTAATAATTTCTTGGCAATGAGCACTGCTGCCTTTTTAAATCATCAATGCCTGTCTTTAAATGCCAATCATTAGAAGTTTAGAATTACATTTAAATTTCTCATATATGAATTTTTCATCTGGGAACTACCCACTGTCGTCATTTTTATGTGCAGAAAAGATCCTTTTTGAAAACCATATTTATTGGGATCTTATTTAAATTTAAATTATCCTTTACAACTTCTTAAAATGAATATGCTAATAGATAAGACTTTATCCATTACATCTAAGAACTTTTTAACCTGTATATCAATCTAAATAGGTTTCTAGAAATAATCCTAGCTTTCATACACCATGTAGTTCTAGACTCCGTCCATATCAGTGTAACATTGTGTGATAAAATGCCAAATGTCTTGTATCTAAGCTACGCTCCCACTCTTCCAGCCACCCCTACCTCCCACCTTGACACCCTTAAGAAAGCAATGCTGACTTTTATTCTGACAAGTGGAAATCAATAGTGGTTAATCAAGTGGATTTTGTAAATGCTAAGAAGTGTTTGTGAAAACCTTCCCTTTCTGAGTTAGGATTGTTTTTTCCTGTTCATTTCAGGTGTTTTATTGAGCATCTGATTTGTGTCAGCACCATGTAAATATGATGAGGAGTATTTGGAATAGACTTTACATTCACCAGAAAATTGATAGTATTTGTTAAACCAATGCATCCATTCAAAATAGAGGCAGAGTAAACAGCCTAAGAAATGATTTCCTTTCTACAGTCTGCTAGGAGAAAGAGGTGAGAGGGGAGTGGTTGATGATTTTAATCAAGAGTAAAGGGAACATTTATTACATGAAATCTGACTTCAGTTGTGCAAAGGTATGTTAAGACATTAAGACAATTGCTGGAAGGTTTCAAATATGTGTACACACACATAGAGCTACTTTTGTGTGTTTATTTATATGTATATTTCACAAAGGCTAATGCCCACAGAGGAAAATGATTATTTTAACTTCTGGGTTATCATCTGCTGGCAGGGTCTGATCAGGTCTAGAGTATTTAAGGAAAAGTCTCCTGTCTTCTATCTCCACTAGAAGTACTGCAGCTTGAGAGCTGAAAGGAACTTGAAAAATGTTATCCAGTCTTCACTTAGCCCATTTTTATCGGCATTAGGAAATAGGGTTCAGCAATGGTTATTGATTTAGCAGTCTGGTCTTATATGATCTGCTTTCTAATTATCTATCTAGTATTCCTATATTATACTGGAACTTCAATAAATTATAACCTATGTGAATATCATAAATTCTTGTGAATTTTTGTCTATTTCCAGTAGAGAAGCATACTCAGCCAATGTTTTCACTTAATAACTATGACAACCTTAAAGGATGTCACTTAAGTTAGAAAATAAGCAGGCTTAAGAAGTGATTCTAATTAGGACCCCCACTCAGTTTGCTAGTCATGCCTGCCTGACAGAACATAAGCTTTTGTAAAGTATTTAGACTGATAACACATGCAGTATGAAAACATTATAGACTGCAGTTAGAAGACTAATTTTTTAAAAGCACTCAAAACATAGAACTAAGATTTAGAATATATGTCCATTTATAATGAAATAATTTGTGTTCATAATGTGAACATGTAAGATAAGTAAATAAAGCATTACTTGTTTTATAATATCAGGAAGAGAGAAGGAAACATTAGTTTATAACAATGTGCTATTTAATATCTGTATTTTGAACATTTAAAATACTCTGATGGTAAGGTTGCCAAAGTAATTTTGAATTCATAAAAATTGTTTATACCACAATAATGTGGGATATGTTTACAGGCTCTTTTATTTTGTGGTAGTTACTTTATAGTTCAGATGAATTTGCATTTCAGTCACTTATAGTAAATAAAGTATATTAAATATTTGTTGGAATAAAAATCTCAATGTAATAGGACATAGATAAATTATGCAACAGCCTGCTTTGATGAAAGCTGGTGCATTATGTGAGCTGCCACAGTTAATACTTTGTATTAACATTGCTTACTTCCCCCATTTGCTTCACCTATCTGACTACAATTGCTGGAATCATTCTTTTTGTGGTGCTTCCTCCAAGTGAAATAACTATGTTATTAAAACCTACTGGATTAATTTTATCAAATATCAGACTTACTGATCTCTTGGCAGAGATTTATTGGTGTCTCAGTGTGATCACAATACAAGTTGTAGCAACCATTTTATAAAACTCTTAGAGAATTATGTAGATAAAATGGAAATTACATAATCCTAAAACATTTTTGAGGGCTAATTGATAATAATTTCAGCAATTTTATTAAGAACCCAGTAAATTAATCCCTAATTTGTATGTTTTTTGTTCAACTTACCGTGTCTGCAACCATTATATAGACTTCATTGATACTCAGCAATTACTACAGTGTGTCTTACAATGTTATAAAAAACAAACAGCAATCTCTGTTTCTGCCAGAAGTTAGATATTTTTTTATAGTCCTGATGAATTTGTTGTGAGTAGACACCACATAGTTATTTCTGTTTGCATATAAATTTGCTGCTATTTATTTGTATGTTTTTCTACTGTAGTATGCTATTGATTTCTGAAGTTATAATCATAATTTTTATTTTAGTAATCCAAGCTAAATGGGCAACCAGAAGTAATATCTGCTAGGGTGCAATCCATCAGCATTGGTTCAGTGCATATACATAAGTAAACCAGTTTAAAAAAATTTTACTAAGCAAAAGGTAGTAGCAATATTGCTAGTTAAAGATTACCATTTTAGGGGAAAGTTCAAAGGTTTAACTTCCTGAAACCTTTTAAACTTTTCAGTGCAAGAATGAAAATGTTTGAAAGCCTTGTTAAGCTCATAAAAGTTTCATTTAAACACTGTAGAGTTTCCTACCTTTGTTGTGTAAAGGATATAGAAAATATTTTTCTATGGACAGAAGGTTGAAACTGTTAACTTCTTTAATTTCATTGTTTAAAGGAGATAAAATGTTATTTGTGTGTCTTTCATGCTGTAAAGAAAATGAATGTATCTTTCAAATGTCATTAGAATTATGGCTTGATTCTAAGGATACTCTATTTGTTTTAAAGTCTACACGGGATTGAAAAGAAAGGGAAGAGTATTACACTTCATTGTACAAAATGTAATTTTAGAAGAAAAACATTTTCATTATAAACAAGAGCAATCATTGAAGCATTTTCAGATATAATGTACATTCTTTTTCATTTTGCTTTGCCTCTAGAATAGAAACTTTTCAGAAAATTTGCACATACTGTTTGTAAGTATAAAATAATTGAATTCTAGACTTTTGGAGTGTGGAAGGGTGTTTGTGTGTGAAGGTAATAAATGTGTTGCTGCATGTGTTTACCATAGAGAACGTTGCCAGGCTTTGTCAAATGAGGACATTGTTGTGAGGGTGTGACTTTTGTGAAGCCAGAAAACTGTGCCTAAGATTCATTACAGTGAGTATGTGCAGAGGCCCCTGACCCAGTAAATGCTTTTTGCCTTTTTATTCCCAATGTCTTGGACAGTTGAGACAACTTGGCCCAACTCTGAATTGTAGCAGTGATGTCTTATATGCTTACGAGTTTATATTAATTCAGCTGAACAAGAACTACATCTTAAACCACCTTTGTAGGTATGATTAATACGTGCAACAGCTGCTTTAAAAGGTGGTATTTATTATTCATCACTCATGAAACTTGACTCAGTGAGGACTTCATTATTTTTATTTCTCTTTCCACGTCTCCAACTTTTTAAAAATCACTAATTTAACTCTTTGTTAAGTACTCAAGTACAAAGTGATCTCTTCTTTCATGAACTTTGCTATAACTGTTGAAAGGATTGGTGTCAGGCTCTCTCAACCCTGGGAGTTTCCAAAATTTAGCAAATATTACTTGTGATAAGCTTAAATGCCACATCGCTAAGTACAATTATTACCAGGAATCCGTCAAGGGGGAGATAGCCCCGCTCACACCCTTAGACCCAAACAGGTGCTGGTTCATGCTTTCTCCACAAATTGGCAGTTGGGTACTTCCCCACTGTCATCACAGTTGAGCTCATTTTAACATATATTCAAAGAAGCTTTTTAGTTTCTACTCCTGAATTGTAGTGTTCAAGTTATTTGCCTTCCTGGGTAAGAAAATTTTAACCCAAGTCTGGGATTCTCTGGCACCTGTCTTTTCCCATCTTTTAATGAGTTGGCAAGATTAGGTCAAATTTCAATGCTAAATTTGATTTTTTGAATTTTAAATAGTTGCACTTTATTTCATGCTGACCACCAACTTAATTTATACATTTTAAAATAAAATTATCCTAGAAGTGTTGTAAACGTGGGAAAATTTTAATTAGTGTTGGAGGTCATTAGATTGGACCCAGGTTTAAATATAATGATCTCTTCACAGCTTATTTGATGTTTAAGAGCAACTTGTGTGATCTTAGCTTTGCAGGTTTTCTGTAATTTATGTAGCACAATAAAGGATAACCAGTTGACTGTGTTACTGGACTCTGAGTTCTCACAGCTAGTTTCATCTAAGCTTGGTTTATTATCATTTCTGCTTTGGATTTTTTTGTGCATCACATGAATACTTAGAAATCCATTTGTTTTCAGTGTAGTACCTAGGGTGAAGTAGATGCTGCACAAGTAAGTTTAAGGGAATAAAAGTCCCGACACTTTATATACATGTTGAGGGGCACGATTTAAGAGACTGAAACAGTTTACATTAAACTGTTTTTATTTTCTGCCAGTAGACTCTATCTGCTTAAAAAAATAAAAATTGTTCAACCCAGTGTTCTCCAGCATCAGGACATTACAGTTGTAATCTATGTTGTAATCTTTTCAAATAAGAAAAGCTACTCCTTATTCTCTACAGTGTAGGCTTAATTTTAGAACCGATAATTTACTATATCTGCATTATTGATATTTTTAAGTAGTAGTTTTAAAAATAATTATTTCTATGTGGAGGGTGTTTTAATTTGGGATTTTTTTTTTCTTGTAACAGGTGCTATTTGTAAATATGAAGGGGAAAAGTCACTTAGTTAAAAGTCTAGCTTATGTCATAATTAAGATACAATTATTCATTTCATGTTTGATTCTATTAAACTAGTGGCAAAACAGAATTGGTCCCTTAGTTTTTTAGATTACCTTTCCCCCTATATCACAAAAATATCTCTTTCCATATGATCTCATAATTGAGGCAAAGAAGCTAAGGGTTTATTTAAAATGTGTATAAGCTTGAATTTGGTCAACACTGCATAATTTGAAATCACTCTGCATTTGTCACTGCAGCTTACTGTATGCTTGAAAGGCCTTGTGTGTTTGTCTTAATTTTAGTGAAAAAATTAGAATTTCTGCCATTCATGTACAAAAAAATTACAACTACAGCAAACAAGATAAAAATGCTGGTTTGCATTAATACTGTTTTAGTCTTAAGAGCAATTTATATTATGTGAAATGCTGTTACACATATTTTGTTGGCCATATTTCATTTTGAGAAACAGTTGTTCAGGTACAAACATGACAAACAACTCTAGCTATGACTCTTAATGTTCAATTGCAAAATAAAGATGTGCTTTAGTAATCTAAAGTACAGAAGTTTTGAAGATTATTTTATGGGAGTTTTTCATGGGCTTTTCTAACAGTGGTTATATTTAGTAACTGGTTATCAGGAATGGAGAGAATGACAAGTGTAAAATTTATTTCTGGAGTTATTGACTCACATAGTGGCTGTATTTGAGGAAAGGGAGTAGGTGAGGAACTAAAAGGGATTTAGAAGATTAAATAGTGTCTGAAGAGGCCGGGCGCGGTGGCTCACGCCTGTAATCCCAGCATTTTGGGAGGCTGAGGCGGGCAGATCACAAGGTCAGGAGATCGAGATCATCCTGGCCAACATGGAGAAACCCCGTCTCTACTAAAAATACAAAAATTAGCTGAGGGTGGTGGCGCACGCCTGTAGTCCCAGCTACTTAGGAGGCTGAGGCAGGAGGATCACTTGAACCTGGGAGGTGGAGGTTGCAGTGAGCCGAGATTGATTGCGCCACTGCACCCCAGCCTGGTGACAAAGTGAAACTCCATCTCAAAAAAAAAAAAAAAAAACAGTGAAGAGAAGATTCTGTTTAATTGTGGCCATTGCTTGGCTCCTGTCCTCTCCCAGTACCAACCCTCTATTCTGGTAATCCTAAGGTAAGACCTTGTCAAGCAAAATAAAGGACCTCTCCTTCTATCCCTGAAGTCAGCTTGCCTAAGTGCAGTTAGATATGCTGTTTTTCCTCTGAAAGAAAAGAAGTACCTAGAGAACAGGTAATAAATAAAGCAGAAAGGTGATTTTTGATTATGCCATGCCTTTGTTCTTATGTACATAATAAAAATTCAAACACTGTAATGAAGATCAAAATGATTTTTAACATCCTCTTCCTCATGCTCCACCCTAAGAAAAGCCCTCTCAAACCAGCGGCAACCTCTATTCAATTTCTGGTATTTTCTTCTGGGGTAAAAATGTGTACTTACATTTGTGTGTACGTGTACATACACGTTTTGTTAAAGCCAACAAGGTTGTACAGTATGTTCTTCTGCAGCTTGCTTTTTCGTCTTGGGATATATACAGATGTTGGGATACGTATATCAGCATGTTCAGATCTATCTTATTCTTTTTCACCACTGCCTAGTACTCTATCATATGGTTATACTCTAATTTCTTAATGGACACTTAGATGGTTTCCGTTTCTGCTGTGCAAACAAAGCTGCAATGAAAATCATACAAATGTTTTTGTTAATTGTTGCAAGTGTATGCGTAGGGTAAATTTTGAGCAGTAGGGTTGCTAGGTCATAGGGCACCTGCATTTTTATGTACTAATATTGTCTAATTGTTCTCAGACACAATTATACCCGTTTATACTCTTCTACCAAAGCATATGAGAATGTCTGTTTCTCCACATTCTTATTAGAATTTCATGAAACTTAATTTACCTGCTTATCTCAGAGAAGAAATATTTTGACATTCATTTCTTCTGTAAGGTTAAGTATCTTTATTGATCCCTTCTATTTTTTACATTACATTCCACATTGATTGCCTTTCCTTATTTTTATATTGGTTATTTGACATTTTAATCATGTGAGATGTTGGAAATTAAGGAAACTAGTCATTTGTCAGTCATATATGTTGCAAAAACCCACTGTGCTTTTTGTTTTGGGGGCTGACGGGAGGGATATGAGGACATTTTTAATGCTTGTATAAACAAACATACCAATCTTCTTGATGACTTTGGTGTCTACCTGCAAGGGCTTTACTCTAGTTCCTAGTCACATTCCATTTGTGACTGAAGCTTTCTTAACCACCATCCAAATAACCAACTCAGAAGACTGATACTCTGCTTTCTACTTTTGATCTCCCTGGCCTTGTTGACTGCTCTCAATTACGCTAGAGCTCTTCCAGTTCCACAAGTTAAGCTGTAAGCTTGCTAAAATCAGTTGTGCTTATGTGCTTTCATATGCATACAGATTTATCTTTATTATGTCATTTAATTCTATATTTCATAAGCCAATGAAATGAGAGTGTGAAAAGAAGGTTGGGCTTTTGTGAAAGCCTTTAAAAGTGAGTGATTAAAATTTTAAGGATTTTTATTTTTTTATTTTTCTTCATTTATTATTATTATTATTATTATTATTTCGAGATAAGGTCTTGCTCTATTACCCAGGCTGGAATCAGTGATGTGATCTCAGCTCACTGCAATGTCTGTACCCCAGGCTCAAGTGATCCTCACACCTCAAGCTCCCTAGTAGCTGGGACCACAGGTGTGTGCCACCACACCCAGCTAATTTTTTGTTTGTTTGTTTGTTTTTTGTTTTAGAGACAGGATTTCACCATGTTGCCCAGGCTGGTCTTGAACTCCTGGGCTCAAGTGACCCACCCACCTACCCAGCCACCTTGGCTTCCCAAAGTGCTGGAATTACAGGCATGAACCACCACACCCAGCCTAAGGATCAATGTCTTTAATTTATTGAAAACAGATATGACCAAGACAACTATGAGAGACTAACAAAAATATAGGTGACACACTTAAGGTTGTTTTTGTTTTTGTTTTGCTTGCAAGAAAGACTAAGGGATTACAAGGAGGCTTAAACCTATTGACAAAAGCCTTGGCCCTACATGAAAAGAATCACAAATGAATATACATTTATGTTTTTTAAGCTAAAACCAAATGCATGTAGTTTTTTTCCTTCTTTAAATGGTTTTTCATTTAATCAAGTACTAGTTCTGATCCCATCAGATATGTGGTCTTCTACAATGTATGTAGCAATTTCTCTGTTGAAAAATATGCAGACAGTTTTAAAATTTTTGCAGTTAAAATTGATATAGTTAGTATCCTTTTGTACATTTTCTTTTTTTTTTTTCTTTTTTCTTTTTTTTTTTTTAGACATGATGTCTCTGTCACCCAGACTGGAGTGCAGTGGGGTAACAACAGCTCATTGCAGCCTTGAATTCTTGTTTTCAAGCAGTCTTCCCATATGAGCCCCCCAGGCTCCAGAGTAGCCATGCCATTGCACCTGGCTAATTTATTTATTTTTTTGTAGAGCAGGGTCTTGCTTTGTTTCCCAAGCTGGTCTCAGAACATCCTGGCTTTTTGATGGCACCACTGCACTAGCTTAGGCAACAGAGTGGAACCCTGTCTCAAAAATATAACAAAAACCAGAAAACTCAACACAAAGCAGGATAAACTCTCTTCAACACACAGATATGTTAAATTATCAAAACCCAAAGACAAAGAATTTTGAAAGCAGAAAGAGAAGAGACTCATCAGGTAGAAGGAATCTTTAATAAGATTAGCAACAGATTTCTACTGGAAACAACAGAAGCCACGAGGCAATGAGATGCCATATTTAAAGTTCTGCGGAAATCTATATCAGCTGGATGCGGTGGCCCATGCCTGTAATTCCAGCACTTTGGGAGCCCAAGTTGGGAGGATCACTTGTGGTCAGGTGTTGGAGACAAGCCAGGGTAATACAGGGAAACCTGGTCTCTACAAAAAAAAAAAAATTTTTTTTTAATTAGCTGGGTGTGGTGGCGTGTGCCTATAGTCGCAGCTACTTGGGAGGCTGAAGTGAGAGGATCACTTAAGTCCAGGAGGTTGAGGCTGCAGTGACCTATGACAGTACTACTACACTCCAGCCTGGGCAACAGAGCAAGATCTTGTCTCAAATAAATAGAAGATATGCAATGGATTCCTCAGAAACAAAAAGGATCATAAACTATTATGAACAATTAATTATATGCCATCAAACTGGATAACCTAGAAGACATAGATAAAGTCCCAGAAACATACAACCTACCAGGACTTAATCTAGAAGATATAGAAAGCCTGAACAGAACTCTAACAAATAAGGAAATTGAAGTAGCAATTGCTAACAAAAAAAGCCCAGGACCAGATAGTTTCATGGCTGAATTCTACCAAACATTCAAAGAGGAATTAATACCAACACTTCTTACACTCTTAAAAAATAGAAGTAGAGAGGATACCTCCAAACTCATTTTATTAGGCCAGCATCACCATGATACCAAATTCAGACAAAGACATGATAATAAAACCACAGGTTAATACATCTGATAAACAGATGGAAAATTATTTAATAAAATACTAGCAAACTGAATTTCAAAACACATCAAAAAGATTATATACCATGACCAAGTGGGATTTATCCCTGGGATGCAAAATTGGTTTAACATATGCAAATCAATCACTGTGATACACATTAACATAATAAAGATAAAAGCTCAACATCCATTTATGATAAGAACTCCCAACAAAATAGGTATAGAAGGAAATTTCCTTAATACAAAAGGCCATTAATGAAAGCCCACAGGAAACATCAAAATAAATGAGAGAAAACTGAAAATTTTCCCATTAGTCTGGTACAGGGCAGGGAGGCCCACTCTCACCAGTTCTGTTCAACAGAGTACTAGAAGAACTAGCAAGAACAATCTCACAAGAAAAGGAAATAAAAGGTATCCAAATAGAAAAGGAAGAAGTGAAATTATCCTGTTTGCAGGTAACATGTTCTTATATGTAAAAACCCTAAACACTCCACAAAAAACCTATTAGAACTAATAAATCCAGTAAAGTTGCAGGATACAAAATCAACATATAAAAATCAGTTTTGTTTCTTCACAGCAATAATGATTACCTGAAAAGGGAATCAAGAAAACAATCCCATTTACAATAGCATCAAAAAGAATAAAATACATAGGAATAAATTTAACCAATGAGGTGAAATATCTGTACAATAAAAACTATAAAACATTGATAAAAGA